>NC_000020.11:56314719-56931599 GCF_000001405.40 Homo sapiens | reverse complement strand
GCTTTACTTGTGTTATCTCGGAGAGTACAAGTTCTGGAGACACGTACAGTTATTTGTGTTTTACAGATGAGGAAACCCAGGGTGTAGGAGTTTAAGCAGCTTTCTCAGGGCCACACCACCAGGAAGTGGCCAGAGGCCATTCCTTGAATCTCCATGTCCAGCCCTTTCCGCCACGATCCTCGGTTCAAGTGTCAGAGGCGTTTGAACCAGAGCAACTCCATCCTGAATAGGGACTGGGTAAAATAAGCCTGAAACCTGCTGGGCTGCATTTCCCATTGGTTGGGCATTCTAATCACAGGATGAAATAGGAGGTCAGCACAAGATCCAGGTCATAAAGACCTGCCCAATAAAACAGGTTGTAGTAAAGAAGCCAGCCATAACCCACCAAAACCAAGATGGCAACAGGAGTGACCTCTTGGTGTCCTCGCTGCTCATAACCTGCTAATTATAATGCATTAGCATGCTAGAAGACACTCCCACCAGCACCATGTCAGTTTACAGATGTCATGGCAACGTCTGGAAGCTACCCTATACGGTCTAAAAAGGGGAGGAGCCCGCAGCTCCGAAACTGCCCATGCCTTTCCTGGGAAAACTCATGAATAATCCACCCCTTGTTTAACATATAATTTAAAAAAAACATAAAAATGGGCAACCAGCAGCCCTCAGGGCTGCTCTGCCTATGGAGTAGCCGCTCTTTGATTCCTTTATTTTCTTAATAAACTTGCTTTCATGTTACTCTAAGGATTTACCTCAAATTCTTTCTTGTGTGAGATCCAAGAACCCTTTCTTGGGGTCTGGATCGGGACCCCTTTCCGGTAACACAAGTGTCCACCTCTCTACTTCCACAGTGCAGATTCACGGGGTCCACCATTGCAATTCCACATGTGCCCATTGTTGCTAATACAAACGTATGCTGTTGGGTATAAAGTATAACTCACTGATAATATTATTTATCCTTTTGACTATCATACGTGCCCCCTATTTAATCTCTCTGTTTATGGAGTGGAGTGGCACTTAATTTTCCTGTGATCCAGATGCACAGATGATGGAATTATAAGGAGCCAGCATTTGGATTCCTACCTCTAAAAGGGTTGCCAAATTAAACACAGGAGACCCCGTTAAATGTTCATTTTAGATAAACAATGAATACTCTTTTTTTTAGTATAAGTATGTCCCAAATATTGCGTGAGAAAGACTTATCCTTAAAAAAATTATCGTTTATCTAAAATTAACATTTAATTGAGTGTCCCGTAGTTTGATTTGCTAAATGTGATGGGCTTAACTCTGGCAACATGGGAACATCTCCATATTTTACTCTTCTCCCCAGAAAGAAATTATAAAAAATAATTAGTGATAACTTTTTCCCTTTAGACACTAAAGTGGCATTTAACTTGTTTTCTTGAGGGTAGATGAGAACCCCTTTGCTCGCTTCACCCTCCTCCCCCTTTGTCCCTTCATCCTTCAACCTGAGAAATTAAAGCTTCGGTGAGTGCGGTGAGAATCCGAGTATAAATGCCTTTCTGAATAGTCGGCAATCGAAACAAATAAATCCGCTCCCCATTACCCCGTGTAGTTGGTTTTTCTTTCTGTTTACTGTATTTTCTACTTAAATGAAGGCCATAATGATACACTCGCTATTCTTGTCATTTTTGCTCTGTTTGATGCTTAATGACGTGCTCCTTATACATGGCATTAAAAAACATTCCTTGTCTGTCATGGACGCCTGGAGGCATGAGCAACCTTGCTCAGCACTCAAAAGTAATTAAAGACAATCAACCAAAAATGCAAGGGGTTTGTGGGACCCCAGATTCCAAACTCCACCTACGTACAGCGGGAGCCAAGCGTCCTGCAAGGAGGAGCTATTTACATTTAACTCTCTGATGCATCGCAGCTTCATTTTGCTCAGACTCACCACAGCTTGCTGAAGGCACAAACACCTGAGAACTTCATCTAAGAGCTAATGGACAGTTTCCTTTCAAGAGTTAGGGGGAAAAAAAGACCTCCCAGCCTTGAACACCAGAACACTTTTGTCCCCCTTTGGCTGTTTGCAGGTCATTTATTTCCAGTTTCTTAAAAATATTTATAGGCAACAAGGAAGAGGAGATGAAAATTGTAAGGTAAAAATTTTCTTAAACCAATGCAAATGTTATTTTTCTGAAACAACAGTCAATGAAGTTAGATTAAAATCTTGTTGTAGCAGAAATACATTTTCATGTCACTAAAGTCTTTACAAATGTTCAAATGCAGAATAATGTTCCAGATTCGTGTCAATATCCAAAATGATGACCAAGAATCATTTTCCTTGGGGTGAAAAAAGCTGCTTACTCTGAGAAGGAAATGAGTGAGAATCGTGTATTCACAGAAAGTGCTGCTGGTTGGGCCAGGCTGACAAAATCGTGTAGAGAGTAACTTGGAAAAGTGAGAAATTAAGTGCTCCAAATTCCTCCTTGGATGTGAATTTAAAAGGAAGCAAAATGCAGAGAGGCCCCCCCAAAATACAAAAGATTGAGTAGTCTTTTTAGCAGGTTAGCAGCTGAAATGCCCAATGTCCCTTAGTCTTGCAGGAAATCACAGCTGAAAGAAAATCTTTTATACCAGACCCTTTTCGCGGGCTTTACAAGCAGCTGTGGAAAAAGACAAAGAATTGAAGGACTGTCGTGTATGCAAAAGTTTTGCTCAAATATCATTCAAATAGCAGGGCATGGTGGCTCACGCCTGTAATCCCAGGCCTTTGGGAGGCCCAGGTGGATGGATCACCCGAGGTCAGGAGTTCGAGACCAGCCTGGCAAACATGGCGAAAGCCCGTCTCTACTAAAAATACAAAAAAATTAGCCGGGCATGGTGGCAGGCACCTGTCATCCCAGCTACTCGGGAAGCTGAGGCACAACAATCACTTGAACCCGGGAGGCAGAGGTTGAAGTGAGCCGAGATCGTGCCACTGCACTCTAGCCTGGGGACAGAGCGGGACTCTATCTCAAACACCAACAACAACAACAAAATAAACCATTCAAATATGTAATTTCATTCATTTCCAATGCAATCAGCCCTGTTTATTACTTGGGCAGGATTGAGGTGGGAGGTGGGGAAGGCATGGGAATTTCAAGGAGGCTTTGGATGACATCTGGGAATGTGGGGATCTTGCTGCCTTCTGTAGTTAAATATGCTTAAGCAGGTGCATCGTTCGGAGTGGACAGGTCCTGTCCGGGGTTTGACCTCTCAAAGCAGCCAGGTGGTGTCCCTGCTGCTGGGTCCCCAGGGGACCCTTGGCCCTTGGGGTAAAGTGACTGTCGGCGGCAGGGTGACGCCAGGCAAAGGAAGGGCCCCCCCACCCTCCCCCATCCCCACCAGGGCACAGGCCCTCCCTCATTCCTGCAGGGTAAACACAACCTACCTGCCCTTCCTTCTCATGGGGAAGACATTCCATGGGGCCGGCCTCCCTTAGAATTTCTAACTCCTGGCTCAGTGGGGGTTTGGAGCCCAATCATTCCACTCTCCCTTGGAGCTTAGTTTCCAGCAAAACTCATATAGGCTGTTTAGCAATCAGAAATGTCTTGAGACCATTTCCCCAGATCTGGTTGAGGAATGAAAAAGTTGACAAGACATTGAAGGGGCAAGTGTGTGGGGAAACAGGCACTCTGAAACCCGATTTGGGGGAGTGCAAATTGGAAGGGTTTCTTTGGAAGGCAGTTTGGCAACAGTGACCAAGACTGAATGCACTTTCAGCCCAGTTTCTGTGGTAGTGATTTAACAACAGACCTGGTTTACCTGGGGGAGAAGACCATTGTAGGAGCAAAAGACCGAGCCCAACCGTTTTATTAGCAAGGGGTTAAACTGTGGTTCATTCGCACAAAGGAATACTGATTCAGATATTTTAAGTGAAAAGGGCTAAATGCAGGACAATGTGTCCAGCATGTAGCTTACTGGGTAAAGAGAGAGATGCCTACATATGTACAGCTTGTTGATGTGTGCAAAGAACTTTTACGGGGGGAGATGTAAGAAAATGGTAGAAATGGTTGCCTCTGGGAAGAAGAATCTTGAAGTGGGAGCGGGGATGAGGTAGGGGAGAAACTTTTCACTGTTTTTGTTTGGGAAAAAAATGTCTACTATATACCTATATTGTTTTATTAAAACTGAGTAGAATTTTTAGATGCTTAAATACCACTCAATTCCACTTTTGTTTTCTGTCTGAAGATGAATTTATCCTGCAGACTCGATGCCACTTGCACATCACATGGGCAGCAGCGCGTTCTGAAGCACGGCTTGCATTTTCTTACGCTTGACAATTTCATTTCATCGACTTTGCGATGTCATTTGCTGTGCCGAGTAGTGTTTCCAAATGTGGCTTTGGGACCTCCAGGTAACCTAGTGCTCAACCTGTGTGCAAATGTGTGTGTGGATCTGTGAGAGGGTTATGACTCCAGGGAAGCAATCAAGATGAAGCTATTTGTAATTGGGAGCTATGAAGAAGAGACTTCACCGAATGAAGAAAAGAGTGGATAAAATAAAATCAGAGACACCCCCCTTTCCCTACAGTGACCCCAATTTCTGCAAAAAGAAGGAAGTTTCTTAATTGGAAAGGATGAGTTTAAATCGCAAGAAGGAGGAGAGAATTGGCAGCTAGGTGCATTTTTATGAATATGCATATGTGATCAGGGCTAGATTATTGACTAGGTTGGATTCCAGCCCTAAATATAGGATATATAAGAGAAATGGCATCCTTTACCCTTGAAATATTAATTATTCATCTTAAGGAGATCATTGGAAAAGTGTACGAAGAGTATATATTTGTAATATATGTACAAACATATTCTTAGCAATATTGTTTTAAAGGGGGAAAAGCTGGAAACAACCTAAATGTCCATCAGTGGGGGATTGCTTAATTAAATAAGGACAAATCCATGCTGCAGAACACTAAGCAGGCATTCATGGGAGAATATACATAGATCTTTACTGATACAGAATAATGTCAGTGAGTGTAGGTTAAATCAACTTTCAAATGTCATGTATCATTTGATCCCTCTCATAAAAGCAAAGCCATGTAATGTGATAGGTGACATGTGATGTATAGTATATAATCTTATAAAGGGAACATACACACGTCCTAACTGATGATGAAGAATGATTACTCTCTCCTTACTCTGTTAGTATAATTTAAGTTTTCTAGAATGCAAGGATGAAAGAGTATTACCTTCCTTTTACTCTGTTAGTATAATTTTTCTAGAATGCCCACTATTTGCTTCAGAAAGAGAGTGATTTTTTTATCCACAAGAGAAAGGAAAAGATATTCCACCAGTGGGGGAAGGGCAAAGAACAGGAGACCTAATTGTCTGTACACACTTCTATATTCATTTTTTACCGATTAATTCATTCAACAAATACTTATTGAATTCTAGTACCATGTACAATGTGCTAAAAAAGACCCAGGCTAACTGTGTGTAAGTCCTAGAAGCTGAAAAAAAAATCAGAGTTCTCACGTCTGCAAAATAATTCGCCATGAACGCATTTGCTGCTGTTCTGGTGGAAGTATGACAGCCCAGGGCTGAGCCTTGTAAACGTGCCGGCTTCGCAGGCCAGCAGCGGTCGGAGACCGGCAAGCTCCTACGGTGCAGCCTCATCATCGATCATTCTTTCGACATATCAAATATCCAGTTCTCTTTTTCCTCTTCTCCCCTCCTGCAAAATATTGGAGGGTAGGGGCTGCTCTGCGGGTGCCCTTGGCCGGGGCCAAGTCGGCTTCTGGGGAAACGCACAGGTGCCGGGAGGGGAGCCAAGCGCGAGACGGTTTGACTCTTGTCATTAAGACAAGAAGAGGTTTGGAAAAAATGCAAAACCACCGTTCTCTTGGCTGCATCGGGAGACGGGCGGCTGCCCATCGCCTCGCACACGCGGGTGCGCTCGGAGCCCGTCCGCGTAGACACGCCTGTGCGCGGGGCGGGGGTCCCCGGCGCGGCCCGGAGCGGGTCCATCTGCCCGGCGAGGGCTTCCGTCCCGCCAGCCGCTGACCTCCAATCTGTCACTCTCTCGGCTGAAAGGCGGCCGCGGGAAAGGACGCCTCCCGCTCCGCCTATTCAAAGCGTGAATGCAAAGTGGTCCAAGTTGACCCGCCGCCAGTCTCTGCGGCTCCGAGTCGGCGAGGCACCCTACAGTTTACACAGCCCGGCCTCAATGCAGCCTCCAGGCGCCCCATTCAGGCGGGCCTGCATGCAAAAGAGCCGGCCATTAGATCATCGTAATTATCCCATTGACATCGCCCAGGGCCCCCGTGGGGCACGGGAGCGCATCAAACGCGTCTCTAATGAGGCGCTCCGGGCCCATTGTGCGCGCCGTCGCCCCCCGCGCCCGCCGCCGCTCCGGCCGCAGACAGGCGGTCCCTTTCAGGCGCATTCACTCCCCCTGACCCCCGACCCCCAGGGTTATGACATCAGCAGCCCTGATTTGTGACCATTTTTATTGGCACACACTCAACGCTTGTTTCCTGTGTTTAACTCTGGGCCCCCCTCCCACTCCGCCCTCCTCCCCTTTTTAGGCGAAACTGATTGGAATCTAATAGGCGTAGGCCCCGCACTACAAAGTGAGCCTGCAGCGTTCTCACAGCGCGCCCGGGCCCTTCTGCCAATAACCGCGACCAGGCTTCATTATCTAGGTGCACGGATCCGCTAATCACCGCCGCGGCGAACAATCCCAACCAGATGTCCACAACTTTATGAGTTTTAATTAAAATGTTCTACTTATTTTTTATCAATGCACTTTTTTTTTCCCCTGAAATGAAAAAGATGTTACTTCCTAGGAGTGTTTTGCAAATTACGCCTTCATAAGGGTGATTAAGAGACGCTTATTTGGAACTAATCGGGTTCCCCCCCCTTTCCCTTTTAACATGCTGCTGCTAAATTCTTTTTTAAAAAAGAATTAATTAAACTCGAGGTTTAAAAAGATTCTGTTTTCTTATGTCACAACAACTCCGTATAGCAGGGAAACTGTGTACGTTTCTTGCTTCGGATGCGAAAGATGGCAATTTACACGAATTCCTTAATTTCAAACGTGGCTTGACAGAAAAACTCGACCGAGCGTTTTCGGTTTTCTTGCGTCCTCCAATAGCATTTTCAGTTCGCGTTTCTTTCCAAAGTGTTTGACTCCCTGAAGGACGTCATTGTTGCTCCTGACTGCAAGTTTATGAAAGATCCACTTTAAACAGAGCAGTTGGGCTTTTTAAAGTATAAACGTGATACTCTCCTTAAAACTTCTTCAGCACATATGGTTTTTAATGTAATTTTGTTTAACCAAACCATAATTTAATTTGCCATAAAGCTGAAATGAAAGGACATTACAAACGAGCTTTTGACTTGAGTGTCAGTTAAAATAACCATTTGCCGAGGGGCCAGAACTTAAAGAAAGTGGCATCGTTTCATTGCAAGTAGGGTGCTGGAATTTGAAATTAACAAAACTAATTTCTGTTTTCAAAGGTTATGGGTTATCTATGATTGCAAAACCTTAACCTTCATAGAAAATAATATCGTGACTCCAGTGGTATTCCCCAGGTGCCAAAATACTCTTATCCTTGTGCGAAAATTAATTAGGAAGATGACTCAGTCAGAATGATACATAGAGTGCATTCTAAAAAGAAAAATCTTGCCTAATAATTTTCAATTGGTGAAATTCTCCACCAGTAACTGCAGGAAGTGAAAAGTAAAAGAATAGGAAACACTTTATTCATTATAATTTCCCCCACCCCCATTCAAAGTTTCAAAAAACCAGATGATGTCTGCATTACCAAGATACTTGGGTTCTAATATAAAGAATAATCTTTTTTCTTTTGTAGCCACGTAAATTGTTTTACCTTCTATTTAGGACTTGGTTTAAGTCCCACACATTTTTTTCAAAAACTTTGCCTTTGTGCAACCTGAAATTTTGCAATCTGGCACTCTGCATATGGCTTAAAATCAATTACTTCTCAGCCCGTCTTTAAGCACTCCTGATTTTTCCTCAGTTTTCTTTCTTATGGCCTGAGTTTCCATTTCCTTTCACTTCATATAGGAATGCAGAATGTCACCATGAGAAGACATCTCTTCTCACCCCATCCACCCCAAGATGGAGTCTTGCTCTGTCGCCCAGGCTGGAGTGCAGTGGTGCAATCTTGGCTCACGGCAACCTCAGCCTCCCAGGTTCAAGCGATTCTCCTGCCTCAGCCTCCCGAGTAGCTGAGATTACAGGCTCAAGCCACCACGCCCAGCATTTTTTTTTTTTTTTTTGTATTTTTAGTAGAGACGGGGTTTCACCATGTTGGCCAGGCTGGTCTCAAACTCCTGACCTTGGGATCACCCGCTTTGGCCTCCCAAAGTGTTGGGATTACAGGTGTGAGCCACCACACTCAGCCGATAAAACATCTCTTTGGGGGCTTAGTAAAACAGAAAATAGTGGCCACAGCCCAATTTAATGAAATCAGATAGCTTTAACACACACACACACACACACACACACACACACACAACCACAACAAATTATGCTTTCTTGTTCCCAACACCCAACTTAAATTTTCATTAGCAGCAACTTAAAATCTTTTGCCAAGTCCCCTTGGAGTGGTGAGCAGTGGTGTTTTACGTATAGCCTTAGGCTCTTAGAATTCCTAACTTTTTATTCTACAACAGATTAGGAGGGTAATTGAGTTTGGCCATTAAAAACACCACTATTACTTCCAAAAATGCAACCACCAGCGAACATCCCAAATCAGGCCCTGCCCTTTTGCGGATACCTGTGGCCATTTCCCAGCAGACTTGGCCTCGCACTTTGAAGAGATGTCATCACATCTCCTTTCTCAGGGGCCGCAGGATTAAAGGCAGTTGAAATGAAAACCGTGTGCCTTGCGATGATTAGGTTTATACAAACTCTGCAAACATGTTGGAGCTGTTCGAAATGCAACCTCAGAACTGTAAATATTTATCCACCCAAATCCCTCGGCAGGATCTTCAGAGAACAGGTTTTTGCTGTGGTTCCCTGGAGCAGAGCAGAGTCCCTTGAACGGCTTACCTGCTCACTCCCAGGCAAAAGACACTCAAGTTCAAGCTTAGAAGATGCTAAAGAGCAGCACCATCCAATAGAAACATAATGTGAACCACAAATGCGAGCCATACGTGGAGTCTTACATGTTCTAATAAGCCACATTTTAAAAAGCAAAAAAAAAAAAAAAAAAGAGCCAGGTGAAATTAATTTGAATAATGTATTTTATTGAAGCCAATTTATCCAAAATATTATCATTTCATCATGTCACCAATGTAAAAACTTATTAATGAGATCTTTTACATTCTTTTTTAGGTACTACGTGCTTGAAATCTGGTGTGTGTTTTACACTTGCAGCACGTCTGAATTAGGACCAGCCACATCACAAATGCTTCAGAGCCACACGGGGCTAATGGCTGCCATATTGGACAGCATCCTGATGTGTAGCAAGTGAGAGATGGTAAGAGGGCTGAGGAGTCAGCAAGGCAGTGAAGGGTCTTTTTCAATAATCCAGGAGAGAGATGATGATGGTTTGGGCAAGGGTAGTATCCATGGAGGGCATACATTGAAGGTAGAGCCAAGAAAATATGCTGATAGATTCAATGTGGCATAGAAACAAGAGAGGTGCCAAGGGTGTGGCAAAGACTACAGCCAGAACCACTGGGTCACAGTTACTGGTTAGTTGAAATGGACAAGTTTGTCATGAGTTCACCATGTACCAGGGACTCTGCTCAATGTTTTTCTACCTGGGTTATACATCTTGCAGCAGTTGTCTGAGACAGGGACTCTGCTTGCTCCCATTTTGCAGGTGAAATAACTGAGGCTTAGAGAGATGAGACCACCCACCCGACAGCTGGACTCAATGAGTTCAAATACTGCTCCTGCTATATCCAGAGACCAAAGGTTTCACCTCCACACTCTACCAGAGCTCTCTTGTCTTCCCCAGCATCTTAGCAGAGGTACGGGATGGAAACGTATCCCTTTGCTTGTCTCTCCTAAGTACCCCTGGGCTGACGGAGAAGGGGACTGCTGGGGCAAGAATCATCCTTTCCCCTGGAGCCTTAAAACCTGTAAGCCTGACTGGGGCCAGGCTTGCCTGAGTGCTCTTTGTTTGGTCTGGGTGACAAATTCTCTGCCTCCTACGGGAGAAGAGTGAGCCCCATGGCTGTAGTTACCCTTTCCCAGGCCACCATGAAATCTATACAGTAAGGACTGAGCCTGTGGGAGACCCATCTTTGAGGGCTGCTGATTAATGACCTCAAAGACATCCAGGTCCAAATCTCTGGAACCTGTGAATGTTACTTTGCACAGCAGAAAGGACTTTTGCGGATGCGATTAAATTCAGGATTTTTTTTTTTTTTTGAGATGGAGTCGCGGTCTCTCACCCAGGCTGGAGTGCAGTGGTGTGATCTCAGCTCACCAAAACCTCCGCTTCCTGGATTCAAGCGATTCTCCTGTCTCAGCCTCCGAGTAGCTGGGATTACAGGCGTGCGCCACCACACCCGGCTAACTTTTGTATCTTCAGTAGAGACAAAGTTTCACCATGTTGGCCAGGCCCTCAGGTGATCCGCCAACCTCAGCCTCCCAAAGTGCTGGGATTATAGACATGAGCTGCAGCACCCGGCCAAGTTAAGGATCTTAATATGGGCACATTATCCTGGATTAGCCCCATGAGCTCTAAATGCTATCACAAGTGTCCTTATTAGACAGAGGCAAAGGGAAGACTACCTAGAAGAAGCCCATGTGACATGAACAAGATGCTACAATGCTAGCTTCGAAGACAGAGGACAGGGCCATAAGCCAGGAAATGCAGCCTCCAGAAGTTAAAAAAAGACAAGGAAATGGGTTCTCTCTAGAACCTCTAGGGAGTACAGCCCTGCTGACATCATGATTTCAGTCCAGTGGGATTCATCTTGGACTTCTGACCTCCAGAAATGTGAGAGAATAAATGCCTGTTGTTTTAAATTTCCGAGGTTGTGGTAATTTGTGACAGCAGCCCTAGGAAACTCGTCCCCCTCCCTCACCCCTTCTCCAGATGATTCAGTGCTTGACTGTACAGAATCTGGGATCAGACTACCTGGACTCAGACCTGACCCCACCACTGGCAGCTCTGTGACCTTGGGCAAGTGGATACGTTTCTTTGAGCCAAAATTTCCTCAGTTTAACAAAGGGGAAGTTGACTTGAGGAACTTAAGAGAATCTAACAAATGCCAAGCCCTCTCCCCTAGACGTGCATATCCATGGCACTTTTTTCTACCATTCCAGAAGTTGCAGTAGACTGTTTGGAGGTTGAGATGGGCAAGATCTCATTCATTTTTCTGGAACTTCCAGCATATTAAGAAATATGCTTAAAAAAAAAATGTGGGCTGGGCGTGGTAGCTCCTGCCTGTAATCCCAGCACTTTGGGAGGCCGAGGCAAGCAGATCACCTGAGGTCAGGAATTCGAAACCAGCCTGACCAACATGGAGAAACCTTGTCTCTACTAAAGATACAAAATTAGCCAGGCATGATGGCACATGCCTGTAATCCCAGCTACTCAAGAAGCTGAGGCAAGAGGATTGCTTGAGCCTGGGAGGTGGAGGTTGCAGTGAGCCGAGATCGCACCATTGCACTCCAGCCTGGGCAACAAGAGGGCGGTGGCTCATGCTGGTGAAACCCTGTCTCTACTAAAAATACAGAAAAATTAGCTAGGTGTGGTGGCGCATGCCTGTAGTCCCAGCTACTCAGGAGGCTGAGGCAGGAGAATTGCTTGAACCTGGGAGGCAGAGGTTGCAGTGAGCTGAGATCACACAATTGCACTCACTCCAGCCTGGGTGAAAGAGCGAGACTCCATCTCAAAACAAAACAAAGCTGTGCCTCTTTTTTTTTTTCTTTTTTTTTTTTTAATTTAGGTGGAGTCTCACTCTGTCGCCCAGGCTGGAGTGCAGTGGCTTGATCTCGGCTCACTGCAACCTTCACCTCCCGGGTTCAAGCAATTCTGCCTCAGCCTCCCAAGGAGCTGGGATTACAAGTGCCTGCCACCACACCTGGCTGTTTTTGTATTTTTAGTAGAGATGGGGTTTCACTATGATGGCCAGGCTGATCTCGAACTCCTGACCTCAGATGATCCGCCTTCCAAAGTGCTGGGATTACAGGCCTGAGCCACCGCACCAGTCTGGCATATTTTTAATGTTTGCATTTGAAGAGGATCAGATCACGCCATCCCAAAATATGTACCTTTGGCATACTGATTATTTTGAGTTCAAGGTGACTGAGAAAAGGCAGATGCAGAAAGGGCTCTTTGACCTCCTTCTTTATATCTAAAAGTGGGGCATACATTTTCATGAGAAAGCTGCTCTCCCTGTATCAGGAAGAGGAGAACATTCTTATCACTGGAGAAGGGGCATCAATACTACGAATCAGTACCAACAAGTCTGCTAAAATAATCTTTATCTTCCATTAGTTCCCCCAAATATTTTATTTTTTTTCTTTCTTTCTTTTTTTCTTTTTTTTTTTTTGTGACAGAGTCTTGCTGTGTCGCCCAGGCTGGAGTGCAGTGGCGTGATCTCGGCTCACTGCAACCTCTCCCTCCTGGGTTCAAGCAATTCTCCCTCAGCCTCCCTAGTAGCTGGGAATACAGGTGCTCACTACCACGCCTGGCTAATTTTTGTATTTTTAGTAGAGACGGGGGTTTCACCATGTTGGTCAGACTGG
The DNA here is from genome assembly GCF_000001405.40 of Homo sapiens. Classification (NCBI taxonomy): domain Eukaryota; kingdom Metazoa; phylum Chordata; class Mammalia; order Primates; family Hominidae; genus Homo; species Homo sapiens. The sequence continues at coordinate 56,918,915 of NC_000020.11, read as the reverse complement.
TGTCGAACTCCTGACCTCAGGTGATCCACCCGCCTCGGCCTCCCAAAATGCTGGGATTACAGGCATGAGCCACCACACCCTACCTCCCCCAAGTATTTTCTAGTCACTTACCCACAATTCACTGCCCCTAGCCCAAACATCTTTTCTCTTTGTCTTGATATATCTCCACTATTAATTGTTCTTTTTTAAAGTTATATATAAACCCTCAGGCCCACCTGCTTCTCTGGGTCTTCATTTCTTATATATGAAAGCGTCCATGTACACATAGTAATACTAATACCAAATATAATGCGTATGCTTTCTTCCTGTTACTTTGTCTTTTGTCAGTTAATTATCAGGCCTGGCCACAGAACCCAAGAGGGTAGAAGAAAAGCCATTCCTCCCCTATACATTTAACAAAGCAATTCTTTTAACACACACAATCATAATGCTATATAATTGTGTTATTCCTGGGATAGCTGTGGGATCTATTAAAAAATAATGTTTTATGGTACCCTATGGGCAGAGTGGTCTGGGACATGAGGTAAGAGACGGGATGACTGGAAAGTTTGTCTCCTTGACATTCCCATTAGGTAGGTTCTCAGGCTCTGTGCACAACATCACAGGAAGTAACAGTCAATGTTCATATCCGAGGCCTTCCAAGAAGGTCCAGCCCTGTGCTGAAGGCCTGTACTGTACTGGCTCAGCCCCCTGAAGCTCATACAAGGCCCACCAACACAACCCAGAATCCAAAGTTACAGCAAACAGTTGTGCACAGGTGTGTGACTGCAGTGATTGGCCAGTACTTAGGGAGTCAGTAAAAACTGGATCCGTCTTTAGCCCAGAGAGCTTCAAGCTATTATTGGAAGGATGTGGCGAGGGAAGGTATGTTGAGGAGGGGTGGGACTATGAGAACAAAGTCCTCATCTTTCATTAAAGGAAATCAGAAGACAATGTTTAAACCCGAGAGAGCATAAAATAGCAGTATAGGTTATGTTAGAAAGTGACCATCCACAGGAAACGGCAAAGGGAGTCCACCTTAGTTGGTTCTAGGGAATGGGAATTGGGACTGGGGAGGGCAGAAACAGGAAAATGTTCTGTTGGTCCTGTTGTTATAAATTTTGAGTATTTTTGACTTTTAAAATTGTGTGCCTGTGTTTTTTTGTTTAAAAGATACATGAATTAAATGAAAAGGTAACCAAAAAAATTAAGTGAAATAAAATAAACCAATATGAAAGAATGGAAAATGAAGTAGAATCTCTGCTGCTTTGCAGGCTACAGGTGGCTGGTGCTGGAGTGGGAGAAGGAAGACGGATCCCAAGAAGAGGCAGATTGTGGGAAGAGGACGGTCCCGGGAATACGAGGGTGGAGGAGGGAGGATTTTCTCAGATAAAACAGAATCTATGGGAACAAGTATTTTCAAAACTCTCTTACCTTTAGTGCCATCTCCAGGTCTTTGAAGCCAGACCCTCCAAAGCAGGCAGAGTTGAGAGGGGGCTGCCCCTCCTACTCAGCCTGAGGGGTGCTCCTCTGCCGGAAACCCCCTTTCAGAAGCAGGAGGGAGCCTTCAACAGAAAGAGAGAGGGAGGGCTGGAGCCTGGGAAACTGGCTTTATTCAGTTGTGCGCCAATGGCATTCAAGGATGGGGAGAACAAGGAATAATAAAAATAAGAATAAGAATGGCTGTCAGGGAGCAGGAAGCTGGACTACAGGGCCTTGGTTTCGGGACCTTACTTGGTCCAATTCTCACAACGATCAGGGTAGGTAAGGAGTGAGAGACATAACCCCATTTGCTGATAACATGCAAAATCAGAATGTAAAAGGACTACCTTTTAAGTTCCCATGACAGACCAGGCACTGAGCCAGACGCTCCACATGAATCTTCTTACTGAAATACGGCTGCCAGGTGGAGCAAATGAAAAGTTGGGACTTATGAATTTAAAAAAAAAATCATCGCTTATCTGAAATTCAGATTTAATTGGTGTCCTGTATTTTATCTGGCAACTTTGTACTGAGCCCTTACAACAAGTGATAGCTAAAATGATCACCCCATTTCCAGATATAGACTCAGCCTCAGAGAAGTTAAGTTACTTACCCAAAGCCACACAGCAAGTCAGTGGCTAGTGTGGCTTTTTCACCACGGTCAACTCCTTTAAGGAGCCCCAGTTGCCTGATGTCAGGAGAACACAAGAGTACATTCCCAACCACTGTGTCACCGGGCACCTTCCCTGGGTCACGCACGTTTGCTAGGCACTTTTCAAACAGTCTTCTGCAAACTCATTTTGGGTATCATTGCTGCCATGTAATAGATGAAGAAACGAGACGTTTCTTCATGATGACAAACGGGGCGTTTGGTCAACGTGACCAAGGTCACACAGCAAGTGTGTCTCCAAGTCAGTTCTTGGAACCGTTACCCACTATGTGGCAGAACCCTCACTGGATCCCAGCTCTCTTTTTGTCCCGCCTCGCTGGCTCTCCAGGGAAAGGTGGCCAAAGCACGGTGGGGGTGGAGGATGCCTTGACCCCATGGCTTTGCACAGTGAGTGGTTATTAGACGTCCAGGAGCCATTTGGACAGGTGAGTGTGCAGAAATCTCATGACGGGAAAAGTGTGGAGAAATCTCATCATGGGAAAAAGAGCATGTGGCACTCTTTTTTTTTTTTTTTTTTTTTTTTGAGATGGAGTCTCACTCTGTCACCCAGGCTGGAGTGCAGTTGCGTGATCTCAGCTCACTGCAAACTCTGCCTCCTGGGTTCAAGCAATTCTCCTGCCTCAGCCTCCCTAGAAGCCGGGGTTACAGTTTGCGCCCCCACACCCAGCTAATTTTTGTATTTTTAGTAGAGACAGGGTTTCACCATGTTGGCCAGGCTGATCTTGAACTTCTGACCTCAAGTGATCCACCCACCTTGGCCTCCCAAGTGCTGGGATTACAGGAATGAGCCACTGCACCTGGCCCCCTGTGGCATTTTTTAAGTGCTATGTGCTTCCATCGGTGTAATAAGAGAAGGCAGGGCGGGGGACTGCAGCTGCTTCTATATGCCTAGAATCTTCTGAATGATGCTCAAGGAGTGGTCCCAGTGGTTGACCCAGAGGAAAGAAGAGAATTATATTTTTGCTCCACATCAGGGGTTGGCAAAATTATCCAGATAATTGAGAACTCTTGAGTAATCTTGAGTAATCAAGTGTGCTTCCGAAATACATTGTGTAAAGCAGGAGTCGGCAAATCGAAGTCCTGGGCCGAATCCTGCCACCTGTCTGCTTTTGCAAATAAAGTTTTATTGGCACACAGCCAGCCCATTGGTGATGCATTGACCATGGCTGCTGTCACGTGTGGTCTGTCTGGCCCTTTACAGATAAAGCCTCATATCCCCTGCTCTTATACCTCTCTACTGTTCGAATATTTTTTGTAGATGTTAGTTTTTCATTAGGAAAACAAAAAAGGATTCAAGGGAAAACATTTTCATTTGAGTTGGCTTCATTTCCATAATTGGTTAATAAATCATCTTTCCTCATCTGGGTGGTCCAGGTGGGCAGCCAAAGGCGAAGGCGGCTGTGGAAGACCCCTCACCCTTGAGGGCCTTCTTCAGAACAGTTGGGGCCTCTGCTCCCACCATCTGAATGCTCACCAGGAATGATGCTGTTGCTGTGAGAACGCTTAGTGAAAATTTCTTTTGGGGCCTAAATTATGTTGCTCTTTCATCTGTTGTACTTTGTGGGTCACAAAACTAGTGGGGCTTCACTCTGAGTGGATGGCTACTGAGAGCTGAATTTGTTCAGTATTGGTCTCCAAGACCATCTAGCGTATGGGCATTAGTTTCCAATGACTGTAACAAGTTACCACAAACACAGTGGCTTAGAAAACCACAAATTTATTATCCCACAGTCTTAGAAGTCAGAAGTCCAAAATAAGTCTTGGGGAGCTAAAATCAAGGTGTTGGCAGGACTGCATCCCTTCTGGAGGCTCTAGAGAATTCGTTTCCTCATCTTTTCTAGCTTCTGGAGGCACCTGCTCTTTTGCAGGTTTTTAAAAGTTTTTTTCTTACAGCCTGCTCCTCCATCTTCAAAGCCAGCAGCGTAGCATCCTCCAGTCTCCCTCTGTCCCTCTCACCGACTCTTCTGTCATCAAGTGTGTTTCAGAAACACATTGTAGAAAGCAGTGTTTGGCAAACCACAGTCCCGGGGCCAAATCCTGCCAGCTGTCTGCTTTTGTAAATAAAGTTTTATTGGCACACAGCTAGCCCATTCATGATGCACTGACCACGGCTAATGTCACATGTGGTCTATCTGGCCCTTTACAGAAAAAGCTTGTAGATTAGTCTCCTTCAGTCTTTCTCTTTCACTGACACTTCTGTCTCTCTTGTATAGAGACCCTTATGAGCCAAGTGTGGTGGCTCACGCCTGTAATCCCTGCACTTTGGGAGGCCAAGGTGGGGGGAATCAGTTGATGTCAGGAGTTCAAGACCAGCTTGGCCAACATGGCAAAACCTGTCTCTACCATAAATACAAAAAACTAGCCAGGTGTGGGGGTGCGTGCCTGTAATTCCAGCTACTTGGGAAGCTGAGGCATGAGCATTGCTTGAACCTGGGAGGCAGAGGTTGCAGTGAGCCAAGATTGTGCTATTGCACTCCAGCCTGGGCAACAGAGTGAGACTCTGTCTAAAGAAAAAAAAAAAAAAGGAGGCCCTTGTAATTACATAGAGTCCATGCAGATAATCCAGGATAATCTCCTCATCTCAAGACTTAATTTAATTACATCTGCAAAGTCCTTTTGCCATGTAAGGTGACATATTCACAGGTTCCAAGGATTAGGACATGGAATCTTCTGAGGGCCACTATTCTGCCTACCGCAGCATGTTTATGTAGCCTTCTTCCCGGCTTTATCTTATATTTTTATTTATTTTCTTTTATATTTTATATGTTTCTCTATTTTCTTTTTTCCCCCAACTTCTAATTTAGGTTTCTTTCTTTTATTTTATGTATTCTTCAAGTGTCTTTAAATTCTCTTAAAAGGAAAGGTAAAAATAAATTGTTAATTTTTTTTTAACCCAGCAGGTGCTCACTAAATTGATGCCCAACCACACAAATTTCCAAGCTTGGTTCTGGGACAGCGGAGGTCAGTTTGATGAATCAGATTTTATTCCTGCTCCCAGGAGGTGAGGTGCCACCTAGGTACACCTGTCCAAGAGCAGGTGGCCTTAGGAACTCTACAGGTGGGTGAAGTGTGGGGGAGCTGTGTACCCAGCTTTGAGGAGTAGGGGAGGGCTGGGATGATTGGGGGCCTCCCTAGAGGGAGAAGGTTTTTAAGGCAGAGGAGGAAGATGAAAAGGAGGCAGTCAGATGAAGAGATGGCCTCCCTTCCCAGGGTGATATGAAATCAGTTAATCAATTCATTCATGGCTGATGATGGGGATGCTCTTATACCCTCAGCAGAAACAGGTTGAATGTTGTATGCAAGACACTTGAGGCAGTAGTGGCTCTGAGAGCTACTGACCTGGCTCAAATTCCCATCCCACCATGTCCTTGTTATGTAATCCAGTGACCCATGATCACCCAGTCTTCATGGACCTCGGTTTGTTTGTTTGTAGAATGGGGATAATCATGGTACCACTTCATGTTTCATTGGGAGGACTACACACGATGGTGCCTGCAGAGCCCTTGGGATTGGTCAGGCATGGATTGGTCAGGCATACAACACCCACAGACTGACCACGGAATCTGCAGGGCCCAGGGCAAAGTGAAAATCTGAACCCTTGTTCAAAAACTATTAAGAATGTTTTTTAAAACTGTCAAGAATTTCAAGACATTAAGAGCAGACCATTAAACCAAGCATGACTACCTGGCTTACGCCCCCATGAAGCCAGAGATAAAGAATAATCCATAAAGAGGGGGAGATAGAAATACTCATTCCCAGCTCTGGGTCTTCCAAGGAGGCAGGGAGGCTGTGGCCATCTGGGCTCCTTATAGGGGATGGAACCAAAGCGTGAGAATCCAGGAGGTATCTTTTCAAACAATTCAACTCATTTGCACAATGCCTCAGGTAAAGCTGTCTGGGCATCTCATGTGGCATGCAGACAGCGTGCCTCTGTGACTGGGGACCCATGCCCAGAGAGGGCAATGGACTTGCCCCAGTCATGATGCTGGTGACGGAGCAGAGCTCATGGATCATCACCCGTGGAGCCCACCTGCAAACATGGTCAGCTTTCTGAGCGCTTGTGCCCTCCTCTGTGAGATGGGGGCAATAGTGGTCATCATGTTCATTCGTACCACAAATTCAGGTGGAAAATCTCCTAATGCCTGGCACTGTTCTCATCTGGCAGGGAAGGCAGAGCAGGGCAGACGAAGCTCCTGGTCTCAGGGTGTTCACATTCTGGTGGCAGACAGACAATAGAGGAGAGACAAATAGGCAACCAGGAGCACTTTGGGTAGGGTGCAATGCTGCAGGGAAAACAGAACAACGTCATGGATGGCGAGTGATGAAGGAGATGCAAGGGGGAGATGTGGATGGGGCCCTCTGGAAGCAGAGCCTGAGCTGCTGGGTTTGTCAAAACGGGGCTCCCAGGAACAGGGCTGTGAGGGCAGCAGGGGCAGACGGCACGAGGGCAGCAAGGACGTGGTCTCAGCTGAGGCACCCATGAGAAGCTCTGGAGCGGGAGTCCCCCCCCTGTTGCCCAGTGCCAGCCCCTGCGGAACTGGAGCTGTGTTCGTTGGGGAGGCGGTGCAGACGTCTTTGGTTGAGACCAACTCTCCAGAGAAAGAAGTGGCTGTGGGTCCTGAGCAGCCAACATTCAGCAAGCGGCCGGGTGCGGGAGCCCTGCAGTCAGCGGCGGCCTCTGCGGAAGCAACCGGGAGCGCAGAGTGGATGTTGTAAAGGAATGTCCCAGGGAAAAGCCAAGGCCCGGAGGAGGAAGTGAGCTTGGCGCCTGAAGCAGAAGCCAGCAAACTACCTCTAGCTCTAGCAGCCAAATCTGGCTGACCGCTTAGTTTTTATAAATAAAGTTTTATTGGCCGGGCGCGGTGGCTCACGCCTGTAATCCCAGCACTTTGGAAGGCCGAGGCTGGCGGATTACAAGGTCAGGAGATCGAGACCATCCTGGCTAACCTGGTGAAACCCCATCTCTACTAAAAATACAAAAAATTAGCCGGGCGTGGTGGCGGGTGCCTGTAGTCCCAGTTACTCCGGAGGCTGAGGCAGGAGAATCACTTGAACCCGGGAGGCGGAGGTTGCAGTGAGCCAAGATCGTGCCATTGCACTCCAGCCTGGGTGACAGAGCGAGACTCCGTGCCAAAAAATAAATAAATAAAATAAAGTTTTATTGGCACACAGCCATGCCCACTTATTTACATATTTTCTATGGCTGCTATAGTGCTACAATGACAGAGTTGAGTAGTCGCTATAGAAAGCAGCTGGCTGGCCGGGCGCGGTGGCTCACGCCTGTAATCCCAGCACTTTGGGAGGCCGAGGTGGGCGGATCACGAGGTCAGGAGATCGAGACCATCCTGGCCAACACGGTGAAAACCCGTCTCTACTTAAAATACAAAAAGTTAGCCGGGCGCGGTGGCGGGTGCCCGTAGTCCCAGCTACTTGGGAAGCTGAGGCAGGAGAATGGCGTGAACCCGGGAGGCGGCGCTTGCAGTGAGCCAAGATTGCGCCACTACACTCCAGCCTGGGCGACAGAGCGAGACTCTGTCTCAAAAAAAAAAAAAAAAAAAAAAAGAAAGCAGCTGGCAGCAAAGTAGGGTCACCAACTGCCCTGGTTTGCCTAGCACAGATGGGGTTTCTGGGGACACAGAACCCTCATGCTAAAACCAGGTGGCTTCCTAGCAAACCACAAAGCCTAAAACATTTGCTACCTGTCCTTTTGAAGAAAAAACTGCCACTCCCTGCCAGGGAACCACTGAAGGCAGTCCAGGATGGTGGGAACAGAGAGGTCAAGGTAAAGGGTGGCAGGAGTGAGGTGTGAAGACAGGCAGGCTCCAGCCGGGATGGGCTCTGGAACAGAGGATGGGAGAAGATGCCACCTGCCTCTCAGGGTGCAGGCAGGGTGAAACGAGATGGTGTCCACCAAGGGTCAGCCCTGTGCAGGCTCTGAGGAAGCCCCAGATAAAGGGAGCTCCCATCTGTATCATTATTTCTGTTGTAGGCCTTGCCTCCTGTGTGCCCTGGCTCTGGAATAGCCTACAGATCCTGGAGCCCTCCGTCAACTCGCATTCCCAGCCAGGAGATGTGGGACGCCCACCAGAAATGGACTGTGGAGATCAGAATCCTTGAATCTGCAAAATTTCACTAAATCTCTAAACAAGAGGCAGAGCCTGTCAAAAACACCCAACTGTGAGGAGACGGTAGTGGAGCCAGTGTGCAAATGAGAACCATTGCACGTGGTCCCTACCAGGAGTCTTTCCTACCAGACATGGGGAAGGCAGGCTGGGGGAAGTCCGAAATGTCGGCGGTGCAAAAAATAAATATTGATGTTAATTCTAAGGAACAAGGTTTTTTTAAAATTTACTTTTATCCAGAGCGGAACATTTTCAGCATAAACTCATCGTCCTGACCACCACAAAGCAGATGGCATTTTCCCACACATGGCCAAGAGGGGGAGGGGACATGCTCGTGGGTGGCTCCTCTGTCTGGTTCTGGAAAGGCTGGTTTCCGATGTAGGTGCTGGCATAGGCTGGCAGTCACGTGGGATTGGGTTTGTGATTTCAGATGATTTTTTGAACTCTTAAACTCTTACAGAAGTGGGGAGTGTGGGGAAGGGGACAGAAATAGGCTTGGGTGATCTCCGAGACCTGCGGTTTGCATATCAAATACAAATGAGGGGGCAGAGAGGGAGGGGCCCAGAGCGTTAGTATAATAAACTGCCAACTTCTTTGTTTGCTCACTTGATAAATACTGGAACAAGTTACTATCGAGTGGAAGGTCCCAGAAAGCAGGCCCTTTGGGAAATGTAAGAATAAATCCACCGTAAATCCCAAAGACCATTTCTCACCTTGGTGATTGTGAGAGACTGCTGACTTAAAGGTTGCAAGCTGAGGCCCAGGTGTGCTTTTGTCTGTCACACATGGTTTTGGCTGCCACTTCTCAAAAACAACCCAAAAAACATTATTTGCCAACAGTAAATATGAAAAGATTGAAGAATGGGAAGACTCAGGAGCAGTGGGTCTCCATTCCCACAGGGCAGCATTAGCTGGTGCTGAGTGGTGGCTCCCTGCAGACCAGTCTCTCTTAGCCAGGGGAAGATTTCACCCTCCAGGAGACATCTGGCAACATCTGGGGACATGTTCAGTGGTCATAACTGGCATCCAGCGAACAGAGGCCAGGGATGTTGCTAGATGGTGTACATTGCACAGTCAGCCTCATGGAACAGAGAATTTCCAGCCCCCCATGTCAATAGTGCTAAGATTGGGAAGCCCTTCTGTAGACAGGTGAGCCTGCACCAGTTCGCCACAGTCCCCACTACTCCCTACTGTTTCCCAGACAGTGCAGCCAAGTGTGAGTTGACTTTTGTCATCTTACATGGGTCCCTTCATTGATTTTCATTATTATGTGCCCCCCATAGGACCCTACCCTAAAAGGAGCCCCGGCCAGCCCCCGTGCATGCCCACCCATTCCTCACACTACAGGCGGGAGTTCTTTTTATAACTCACATCTGATCCTGTTACTCCTTGGCTCAAAACCTTCATCCCCCAGGATAGAGATCAAGCTTCTTAGACCAGTAGACAGGGATCTTCCCCATCTGCTCCTTGTCCACTTGTCCCAGTGTCTCCTCTGCCCCAGAGATGTACATTTAGCCAAACTGAAACAATAGCATGGGCCTCTGGGCTTCCAGGCATGCTCTTCCCTCTCCTAAAAATTACCGTTCACTTCCCAGTCTGGCAAATGCATTCAGGAAGCCTTCCTGGCTCCTCCCTGGGTTTTCCTGGGGCTCACCTTTCTCATGGTACCTGTGACATTGCACACTCATTGTTGACAGTGCCCTCTCCTTTCAGAGTGTATTGAACTCCAAGATCCAGGCAGAGAATACAGATTACTGAGTGGGACTCATTTGGAGGGGACAGCGATCTGCTGCTCCAACCCATTGTTGCTTCATCTAATTCATTACTCACAAGTAACTTCTGACCTGATGCCAGGCACTGTGTGAGGCACCAGAATAGAGCAGTGAGCAAAGCAATATCTCAGCATCTTGTGGAGCCCACATTTTAGGGAATGGTAACAGCTAAAATGCAAATACACTTACGTGTTTATAGATCACATATGTAAATTATGTGATACATAATATTAAACAAGCATTCTAATTATGGAAATATGGGCCCAGTATTGCTAGATCTGCTCATTTTTCCAGTGAAGCCAGAAATCTGTTTCTGGAAGGGTGATTCCCAATTTTTAAATGTTGGCAGCTACTAAATTTGTATACACTGTGTGACATGGTCCAGGCACAGCAGTCTGCCTGTCTGTTCTGGTGTGCAGGCCACCTCTTTTCAACCTCTGCTGGGATTGTATCTTCCCTCTCTGGGTCTCCAGGCCTGGCTAACAGGTGGGGCTCCACAAATGGACAATTGATGGAGTTTATAGTCACCAGGGGAGAGAAACCTAGAAACAGAAAGGCTTAACTCAAGGTGGAGGCCGGGCACAGTGGCTCGTGCCTGTAACCCCAGCACTTTGGGAGACCGAGGTAGGTGGATCACCTGAGGTCAGGAGTTCAAGACCAGCCTGACCAACATGGTGAAACCCCATCTCTACTAAAAATACAAAAATTAGCTAGGTGTGGTGGTACATGCCTGTAATCCCAGCTACTCGGGAGGCTGAGGCAGGAGAATCTCTTGAACCCAGGAGGCAGAGGTTGCAGTGAGCCAAGACTGTGCCATTGCACACACCTGTAATCCCAGCACTTTGGGAGGCCGAGGTGGGTGAATCATGAGGTCAGGAGTTCGAGACCAGCCTGACCAACATGGTGAAACACCGTCTCTACTAAAAATACAAAAATTAGCCAGGCGTGGTAGTGCATGCCTGTAACCGCAGCTACTCAGGAGGCTGAGGCAGGAGAATTGCTTGAATCCGGGAGGTGGAGGTTGCAGTGAACTGAGATCGCACCACTACACTCCAGCCTGAATGACAGAGCAAGACTCAGTCTCGAAAAACAAAAAACTCAAGGTGGAAAGTAACACAGACTTTAGGAGGGAGCCAACTGTACTTCCTGGGGAGTTCAGAGGAAAAGGAGGTGGGAATTCATTTTGACTGGTGGATCAGGGAAAGTTCTGAAAAGATGGGGAGAGTCAGTGGAGCAGCCTGGGGCTTGCCCAAGATTACAGGTCAAGTGTGGCCAAGAGTTCTCCTTTCTTTTCCTTCGATCCGCCCTCTCCTCCTTTATCCTAGTCAATGGTACAGCTGAGAGCCTGCCTCTGGTGAGACTGCACTTCCCAGAGTCCCTTGCAGCTCAGTGTGGCCCAGTGACTAGGTCCTACCTCATCGGATATGACCAAAGTACTGAGAGTAAGAGATTGTGAAACTGTATCCAGTTCTTCCCTCCTCTCTGTATCCTTGCTTTTTTGCCCCATACAAGGCAGCTCCTTCCCTATCCAAGCTATCCTGGGCTAGCCAAACCCTGGATTCTGAGCTCAGTCAGGTGACTCGCTTTGGCCCTGGGACGTTAGCAGATAAGATGAATGCAGAGGCCAGAAGTGGGCTTGTGCGCTGGGTTTGTGCTGTCATGCCTCTGCCATCGTGGCAGTGAGAATACACCCGGGCTAGCCTGTTGGAGGGTGAGAGTCCTGGGGGGCCCAGTCAACTTGGTCTAGTTGTCCCAGTTGAGGACAGCCTGGGTGCACTGACAGCCAGCTGATTCCCAGAGTGTGAGTGAGCCCAGCCCAGGTTGGAAGAGCTGCCCAGGCAACTACCCAAGATGCTTGAACAAAAGTCCAATACAAACCTATTGTGTTTACTCCTAAGGGTCTGTGGATTTTTATTAAGTAGGAATAAATCCCTAACACACCTTCAGAAATAAAAGAGCATGTCCTCCCCTTGTCTTTTCCCTTCATTCCTCTGGCTGGAATGCAGACACAGTGGCAGGAGCTGAAGCAGCCATTTTAGACTACAAAACAGATTCCTCCTGCTGAAGACAGAACAGAAAAAAGAGAAGGGGCTTGAGTTCCTGATGCCATCAGCCTACTTACACTGAGATATAAAAGGGAAAAAGGACCGGGCGCAGTGGCTCACGCCTGTAATCCCAGCACTTGGGGAGGCCGAGGTGGGTGGATCACTTGAGGTCAGGAGTTCAAGACCAGCCTGACCAACATGGAGAAATGCCATCTCTACTAAAAATACAAAATTAGCCAGGCATGGTGGTACATGCCTGTAATCCCAGCTACTCGGGAGGCTGAAGCAAGAGAATCGCTTGAACCCAGGAGGTGGAGGTTGCGGTGAGCCAAGATCACACCATTGCACTCCAGCCTGGGCAACAAGAGCAAAACTCCATCTCAAAAATAAATAAACAAACAAACAAACAAATAAATAAATAAATAAATAATTTTAAAAAAGGGAAACAGACTTCCATCTGGTCTTAGCCACTGTTATCTTGATCTTTGTTCCAGCAGCCATAGCAGTACCCTAACAAGGTGAGTTAGTGCCAGAGGCTCTCTCTAAGAATCTGGGTCCTTATCGAAATGTGACCTCATGCAAGTCCTTTGATTGACCTCTCTGATTTCAGTTTCCTCTGCTACAAAAATGGAGCATTTTTGTAATTTCATGGGTCCTTTCCACCTCCAGTTTTTATCTTCAGTCCCATCCCCACTTTCCAGGAGAGAGACACTAAGCAGCGTCTCTTAAGTTAATGGGACCTTTTCGAGAAGCACCTGGGGGCCCTGAACACCACTGGGAAGCACTGGGCTGGAAAACCTCCTACTCCTAACACTCTGAACCTATCATCTTCCAAGGAAAGCTAGGCAGAATTGGCTGCACTTGAGCCTTCTCCACCTGGCCTGGGGGTGAAGGAAGGAGATCACCTAAGGAAGACAGGAGTCTGAGGAGTCCCCAACAGGAAATGAAGGAATCGGCGAGCACACCTGCATTTATTCCAGGAAGAAAAGCTATGGCTCCAACTCAAAAGATTGCCCCAAACTATGACATTTGCCAGGAAAATCTTGACGTGCCTAAGTCTGGGTTGGTGCTTCACAAGCTACCAGTGGGGAAGAATCACGGGTTTTTTAAATTAATTAATTTATTTTTATTGTCAATACATCACAGACCAATAAATGGTCCTACTGTGCATGGCAAGTACATAGCATGTACCTTACTGACTCGCCACATGAGACCCACCACACAAGCCTGACCACACCAAAACTGTCCGTACTCTAAGAGCATATATTGTCATCAGCAAGAGATTGCGCACTTGGATGTGGTATAAATGTCCAATTTCTGTAAAAGCTTCACAGCACTTATTCTCCATTTCCTTAAAAACCAACAGCCAGCAGTGTATGGGCAGTCACTGGAACTGCAAACCACACTTCAGGTAGCCCTGGTGAAGGGCATTTGCTCGCCCATAAGTGAAACTGGTTGGAATTGAAAGATACAGATTTGTGGAAGTTGGGCCAAGCTAAAGGCTGTGATGAAGTGAACCATCCATAGCTTTGCCTCTTCATCCTGAAGGATGTTGTATTGGACAGAACACCTTTTTTCTCAAGAAGCCTACAGCAAACTGGGCTAGCTTAAGCAACAGATCCCAATGAGGGGGCCACACCCGGGAGAAATGAGTGGGTAGGGTGTAGCCAGGGCTGGGGAAGGGACTGGGACAGGGATGTAGAATCCCAACTCTTTTTCCCGCTCAGTCTCCACCTCCTGTTTGTTTTTCTCCCCATGGCTGTGCGAAGGCTGTGATCCTGTTTCTCTGCTGCTCTTGCAGACAACTGCCCAGCCCCTCTTGTAGCTACTTGTTGCCTGGTGAGATTATGTCCTTAAAGAAAATAGACAGCCCCCACCCCCCACAATAAATTAGGGACTGAGACCCTCATTTTGCTGACTGTCAGCCACACCACGCTCAGCTCCCAGAAGCCACTCTCAGGCCTTTTTCATGAGCCCCACCCCCTCCACCCCCACCAGCCACCAATCCTCAAGGCCAGCAACTAAAGAGCTCTCTTGTTTTGAACCCTTCTCATACTTTGAATATCTGAATTTTCCTGCTACCAACTGGAGAAAGCACTCTAGTTTTTGTCTGTTTGTTTGTTTTTGAGACGGAGTCTCACTCTGTCGCCCAGGCTGGAGTGCAGTGGCGCGATCTCGGCTCACTGCAACCTCCACCTCCTGGGTTCATGCCATTCTCCTGCCTCAGCCTCCCAAGTCACTGGGACTACAGGTGCCCACCACCGCACCCAGCTAATTTTTTGTATTTTTAGTAGAGACGGGGTTTCACCATGTTAGCCAGGATGGTCTCAATCTCCTGACCTCGTGATCCACCCGCCTTGGCCTCCCAAAGTGCTGGGATTACAGGCATGAGCCACCATGCCCAGCCAAAGCGCTCTGTTTTTAAGGGGTTCATGTGATTAGCATGGGCCCGATGAGTAGCCTTAATTGCATCACGAAATCCCTCTTGCCATGTAATGAAAACCATCCTGAGTATGATAGCTCAGCATGTCCACAGCCCTGATGATTAGGACAGGAAATCTCAGAAGGGACATTTGGCATTCTGCCTAGCACGGCAGGACATAGCCACGCCATTGGAGATGTGTCTCTTTTTACCAGGGAGGAAACCTTTCCAAGGATATCCCAGCAGATTTCCCTGGGTCCCCTGGACAGAATTGGGTCACGTGGACATACCCAGCTGCCAAGGAAGATGGGAAAGAGAGTGCCTGTACCTTCAGCCTCTGTCACAACCTCTACAGGTTTGACAAGGCAGGAAGAAGATGGAGGTAGAAGGTAGCCATTGGAAGGTCACAGTAGTGCCTGCTGCCCTTGCTCAGAGCAAGTGTCTTCCCTCCCTCTTTGTCCAACTCAATTCCTTCCATTTGTAACGAGGCATTGATGCATTTACCTGTTTATTGTCTGTCTTTTTCATGACTGGTCTTTATCCATAGCAGACCTTCTAGGACACAGTACCTGTCACTTACAAATAAGGTCTTAATATCTACCTCCCTCAAATACAGGAAGAAAGGGCTCTGAAATTTTGGTGGTGTCAGTTAGCCTTTGCTGCCTAACACATTATCCCAAACTCAGTGGCATGAAATAGCAAACATGCGTTTTTAAATTTCTCATAATTTGATTGGTTGCTTGGATAATCTTCTTGTGTAGACTGGCTTGGCAGGGGCTGGCTGGTCTAGAATTGCCTCACTCACCTGCCTGGGGCCATCTCTGGGATAGCCAGGCCTATCTCCATGTGCTTGCTCTCATGGTGGTAGAAGGGTTTCCAGCAGCAGCAGGAGAAGGCAAACTTTAATGCAGAAGCATTTTTCAATCCTTTGCTTGTATTAGGTTTGCTGAAGTCCCATTGGCCACCCAAAGCAAGTCACATGACCAAGCCAAGATCCAAAGGGTCGACAAACTCTACCTCTGGATGGGAGAAGCTGTTAACATTGTGGCCATTTTTACCCCCAGTGAGTTCTTTTCTTCGGGGCAGAACATTGGTTCCTGGGGACTAAGTGAAATTTACAAGGTGCCCACTCTCCATTCTCTTGAATGGAATAAAACACAATTAAAAAGAAGTGTGCCCCAACTACTCCTTCATCCAGCCCTGATAGACATGGCTGCTGCAGACATGTGACCTCCTTTACTAATTGCCTGGTAAGAACCAAGAACACCCCAATGCATTTTCCCAGGATACGTTCAATTCCACACCCAATCACCTCGACTCTACAGAAGTTTTTCCATTTGGGGTAAAATCCATTTTATGACAAAAGTTTTCACATCTCAACATTCCAAAGTCACTATTGTTGACAACTAAACTAAACTTCTCACGAAATGCAACCTTATTTATCTGTCAGAGAAAAGGCATCCCTTTCAGACACCTTGACCACCTTTTCATCACAGTCTGCAGGCATCTGTCAAAATGTACTGTGCCTTATAAATATGTATAACGCCAGTTCTCATATTTTGTGCTAGGAGAGGGTATCAATGCTACAATTAATTAGTCTAATTTGCATTCAAGACTATACATAATTAATTTCTTCATTAAAAGCTTTCAACATTTCTTTGCGGAAAGTGCAAAAGATCATTGATGAGGTTTGAAAAAGCAATTAACAATAAAATATGTCAATGCTGGAATGGGGAAATGGTAACAGGACAGCCCTGTGCCATTCAAAGCCAGGATGATCCTGCGACTTGGAGATATTTGTTTTTCACCATTTCTCTTCTAGGTTGTCATTTTCAGTAAAGAAAATTGTTCTCTTTTTATTCTTCCTCCCTAGCTGCTCTTCTCCCTGATGTGGTGTCTATAAGCTGGCTCATCAGAAATACCTGACAAATGGATCATTCTCGCCTACTGTTATGGTGTTCTGATGGGAAGACTACTGGGAAAAAATCAAGACTATTCCTCCTATAACCACTGCAATAATATTGATGGTAATAATAATAACATCATCATCATCATAATGCACATTGATCAGGTGCGTGCTATTTCTCAGGCTCGAACAGCTCCTTATACATTCTTTCTTTTTTTTCTTTCTTTTTTTTTTTCTTTTTTTTTGAGACAAACTCTTCCTCTGTCACCTGGGCCGGAGTGCAGTGGCATGATCTCGGTTCACTGCAACCTCCGCCTCCCAGGTTCAATCAATTCTTGTGCCTTAGTCTCCCCAGTAGCTTGGATTACAGACCACTGCCACCATGCCTGGCTAATTTTTGTATTTTTAGTAGAGTTGAGGTTTCACCATGTTGGCCAGGCTGGTCTCGAACTCCTGGTCTCAAGTGATCTGTCCGCCTTGGCCTCCCAAAGTGCTGGGATTGCAGGCGTGAATCAGCGCGCTTGGCCCCTGTATGCATTATTTCATTTAATGCTCACAAACAGCATTCTGCAGTTACTACTATTTCTAGTTCTTATTTAACATGTTAGGACAAGGGTCAACAAATACGGCCTGTGGGCCAAATCCAGCCACACTCATCCATTTCCCACAATGGCAGAGTTGCAAGTTGTGGAAAACACTGCGTGACTCACAAAGCTGAAAATATTTACTATCTGACTCTAGTACTTTCCTGTTGCTGCTGTAACAAATCACCACACACTTGGTGGCTTAAAGCAACAAACCTATTATCGTACAGTCCTAGAGGACGGAGGATGGACGTGGGTCTTCCCAGGTTAAATTCCCAGTGTGAGCAGGGCTGTGCTCCTTTCTGGAGGCCCTGAGGAAGAATCCACGTATTTGCCTTTCCCAGCTTCTAGACATTGCCTGCAGTCCTTGGCTTGTGGCCTCTTCCTTCATCTTTGAAGCCAGCAGTGGTTGATAGAGTCTTTCTCACATTGCACCACTCTAACACTGCTCCTCCTGCCTCCCTCTTTCTTTTAAAAGGATCCTTGAGATGACATCGGGCCCACCTGGATAATCCGAGTTAATCTCCTCATCTCAAGATTCTTAATTTAATCACATCTGCAGTCTCTTTGGTCACATAACAAAATGTATGTACAGGTTCCAGGGAGCAGGACATAGACACTGGAGGGTTATTGACCTGCCACTCACAGGCCTTTTCCAGGATGTTTGCCAGCCCCTAGGTCAGGAGACTGAGATCCAGAGGGATTCTTTTAAAAAGTTAATCAGAACAATTCTCCCTCTGCTCCAAGCCCTCCGAGGGCTCCCTTCTTATTCAGAGTAAAGCCACATGCCATGCAAGACTCTTGTCAACCTGGCCCGCTATGCCCACACACCTCCCTGCCCTATTTTTCTCTTTCTCTCCTTCTTGCTTAATCTCCCTCAGTCACACAGACCTCTTTGCTCTGTCTCTCTGTATGCTGAGCACAAGCCCACCCTAGGCCCTTTGCACATGCTGTCGGCTCAGCCTGGAGTATTTCTCCTCCAGTTAACTCCTTGGCTAACTCTTTCCTTTCCATCAGATGTCTTCCCAAATGTTCTCTTATCAGATAAGCCTTCTCTGGTGACCCTCTATAAAATAGTATCTCGGCCAGGCGTGGTGGTTCACACCTGTAACCCCAGCACCTTGGGAGGCCAAGGTGGGCAGATCACCTGAGGTCAGGAGTTCAAGACCAGGCTGGCCAATGTGGTGAAACCCCATCTCTACTAAAAATACAAAAATTAGCCGGGCATGGTGTGGGCGCCTATAATCCCAGCTACTCGGGAGGCTGAGGCAGGAGAATCACTTGAACCCCGGAGGTAGAGGTTGCAATGAGCCGAGATTGCACCACTGCACTTCAGCCTGGGGGACAGAGCGAGACTCCATCTCAAAAAACAAAACAAAAACAAACAAACAAACAAAAACAGTATCTGTCTCCCTCTCCCTAGCTCCTTAACCTGTTCTGCTTTTCCCCCTGGCTCTTCCACCATCTGAAATATTGTGCAAATGTGCTGATTCATTTGTTTAGTTTCCCTGCCTGCACTAGAATGTTCTGTAAGGACAGCGATTGGTCTGTTCCGTTCACCTTTGTATTCTGAGTAGCTGGAAAAGCGTGTTGAAGACTTCTGCACCCAAGATCCTCAAGAAAACCTATTGATCATAGTTTTAGGGACTGAGCCCGGTGGCGTTAAGGCAGGTCTCGCCTGAGGAAAAATGGTTTGGAATTGAAATGGCGGGCACACCTACATGAGGGTCTTGCAGCAGGTCTTGGTGAGGAAGCAATTTAGCTAGTTGACAGTCTTATCTCCCAGAAGCACATATCTCCTGCAGCGAACAAGTCTGTTAGTTTTGCTTGGTCTTCTGTGTTGTCTAACACAGATGCAGGGAGTTCTGTTGGCTTCAGTTCTCAAATGCCTACCTAGGGTATAGTAGGTATTCAACTAACGTTTGTTGAAGAGATAGAACGAATGAACGAATGAATGGTTCAATGGATAAATGGTGGTGTGATTTACCCAGGGCCTCATAACTAGTGAGTAGAGGAACCAGGATTTGAACTGGAGGCTGCTTACTCCAGCCCATAAAGCTCTTAACAGTTCACTCACTCCAATGTCCTAACATCTGACAGCCTCTTCCAGTGGAGGGTAAGGCAGTGTTTCTTCTCCTGCACCTACTTACATTTACTCACTGATATGGTTTGGCTCTGTGTCCCCACCCAGATCTCATCTCGAATTGTAATCCCCACTAGGGCGGGACATGATGGGAGGTGACTGGATCATGGGGGCAGTTTCCTCATGCTGTTCTCGTGATAGGGCGTGACTTCTCACGAAATCTGATATTTTTATAAGTGGCAGTTTTCCCTGCTCTCTCTCTCTCTCCTGCTGCCATGGGAAGATGTGCCTTGCTTCCTCTTCTCCTTCCTCCATGATTGTAAGTTTCCTGAGACCTCCCCAGCCATGTGGAACTGTGAGTCAATTAAACCTCTTTCCTGTATAAATTACCCAGTCTCTGGTACTATCTTTATAGCAGTGTGAGAACAGACTAATACAGTTACCATTTACTTCTGAGCTATTGTCTTATTTAAAACTAAAAGACTGCAATTTTGCTGTATAACTAATGGGCAGTCAGGAACAGAATGAATCCTCAATAAATGCCAATTATTGCTGTTGTTGCTGTTAGCTGATTTCTGCATTGGTAAGGGCAGAGATGCTGCCCTGCCTTGATGGTGCCATCAAACCAGAAATCAGGAGGATCTGGTCTTGCCTCTGCTTCCCTCTGCATATCTTCTTCCTTCTTGCCTTCCCACCAATGCTTTGGTCTACACTGTGTCACAAGGGAATGTCCCAAGGGAAGATGGTGGCTCCATTTTCCTTTTCCATCATTCAACAAATATCTGTCCGTGGTCAATAAGTCACCCAGGAGAAGTTGACATTCAAGTACCTTCTCTTTTCCTTGAGGCACCCACAGCACATTTTCCCCTCCCGGTGGCCACTCATGGGAGGGAGAAGAAAGAGTAGACAGTTCTGTGCTCTCTGTGGAATGGGACAACTTCCTGATCAGAAGACTATAAATAAGCCTTTTGCCCCTCTAAGCCTTCCTTTCTCAGAATTGTTACATGGACTAAATAATAGAAAGTATACAAAGAGCTTAGCCCAGTGCCTGCAGAGTAAACATTCCACAAAATAATAACGATCAGTATTATGACTATCTAATTGTGATCACAATAGGGAAAAATGTTTTGGGTACCTGCCCATTCGTCCTCAGGCTTTCCTGAAAAGGTGACACCAGGCTTCATAGAGGATGGTTTTTTTTTTTCCAACTGTAAAAAGAATAACCAAGGAATCACAGCTACCAGGAGGAAACAATTCTGTGTTCACGTCTAAGGGAAAAAAAAATCGCTTCTCTTTGCAGGCACTGAAAATGACCAGCAGGACGGGGCGTGATGGTCTGTAATCTCAGCACTTTGGGAGGCTGAGGTGGGAAGATCACGAAGTCAGGAGTTTGAGACCAGCATGACCAACATGGTGAAATCCCGTCTCTACTAAAAATACAGAAATTAGCTGGGAATCCCAGCTACTTGGGAGGCTGAGGCAGGAGGATCACTTGAATTCCGGAGGTGAAGGTTGCAGTGATCTGAGATCAAGCCATTGCACCAAAAGAAAAAAAAAAAAAAAAAGAGAGAGAGAGAAATGTCTCAAGAGGCACAGGGCATCTTTCAAATGTAAATCAACCTTGGGGGTGTGGTGTGGCCAGAGAGGTGAGGTCAAGAGAATACTGGATAATGTCCTGTTTATGGCATAAATCAGGGCCCCCCTCATTAGAGTTTCCGTAACCATGAGGCATGCCTCCCAATTTCATAAATAATGCTACGTAATGGTTATGCATAACTGATCATTCAGAATAAACTCCAGATATTATTAAAATAACTAAATCCCCTCCACCATCACCAGAAAGAGCCTCGAGGCAGGGAGAGTCCTGGACATTTCTGGACTCTCCTGTGAAACCTGCAGGAGAGGCTGGGATTCCCTGTGGGGGCCTGACTTAACTCAGAAATGGCCCAGGGGGGACCTTGGGAAGCCCCCTGTGCTCCCAGCCTGTCTCTACCCCATCTGCTGGACAGCCCGGCCTTCCTGAAGGGCTTGAGGGAGGAACACCTTCTCCCTGGGCCACCTATGCCAGCTGCCTGCTGGAGGGAGGCTGACCTGGGAAAGCCCAGCACACACTTGGGGCCCTGCCCAGCAGCAAGTCCTCCTCAGAGCCCGTTGGGGACAAGAGCCAAGCCAGAGTGACATCTCTGAGGCAACAGCAATGTCCGTGCTTGGGCATTACAGTCTCTGCAGCTCACATCTTCCCAGAGGCTAAACTAATAGGAATAACAGCAGGAGCTGGCGGCTGATGACTGAACAAGTGCTCAGAGCCCTGGGAGAGCCGCCGTCCATCTGGGATTTCATTCCATGCAGACAATGGCCCTTTGAAGAAAGTGCTAATGTAGTCCCCATTTTCCAGGTGGTGAAACTAAGACTTACCCAGAGGCCGACACCAGCTTCCCAAAGACTACCAGTTTGGGGCAGAGGTGGGCTCTGATGTAACTGCCCCATGCACAGCACCCCTCTGCAGGTACTCATGAATAGCCACCCAGGCACACTTCTCATTTATCCCGTACCTTTCATGGCACCGCTTATAATACTCTCCACAAGCTGTCTTTGCTGTTCTTAGATACTGCAAGAATATCTATTATCATTGATATTTAACAAATTGGAATGGTATTATATAAGCAGCCAGGTTACATCTGGCAGAGCCTTGTTTTGGAGAAAAAAATTAAATGTGAAATAATAAAACACGAAAACTTACAACTTACATCTAGGGTATGAAAATACTGAGCATGAGCAGGCCACAGTGTACACCCCACGGATAAGAACCTGGAAGAACTCCTTGGCTAAGACACATGTCGCTACTCTGATTTGGGGAACATTCTCCGGTGGGGTTCTCATTCCTTCCCAAACACACAAGTTTTACAGATGAGACCATGGTTGAAGAAGGGGACTCTGAGCTCAGAGTGAAACATGGTTAATATACAGATTTCTCACCTTGTGGTAATGGGGTGCTTGTTCCCAAGGTGGGGTAAAGAAAAAATAAACCAGAATAATTAATCATTCCATAAGAACACAAATCCCTTTATTCTCTGTTCTAATAAGAGAGTGACACTCTCCCCTGCAGCATTTTTGTAAAGCGTTGATTGAAGTACCGCATCCAGGAATCCCGACTGACATGATCCATAAGCTGTTGCGCACAGGCGCTACTCACTCCATTCATTCATTCATTCATTCATCCATTCATTCATTCATTCATCCATTCATTCATTCATTCATCCATCCATCCATTCATTCATTCATTCCTTCATCTGGCAAAGATTGATTAAGCTCCTACCAAGTGCCAAGCCCATTTCTAGGAGCCGAGCGCACATCAGGGAAGAAAAAAGGCAAGAAAACTTGTCCTCATGGAGTTTACAGTTAAACAACATTTAAAAATAAAACAGTAACAAATTTGGGGAGTTAGGAATTTAAAACAACAACAACAACAACAACAAACAAGGATTACCAAAAAAAAAACAAAAACTAGGCTGGGCACTGTACACTACTGGGATTTTAGCTCACACTTGTAATCCCAGCACTTTGGGAGGCCAAGGTGCGAGGATCACTTGAGGCCAGGAGTTTGAGACCGGCCTGGACAGTATAATGGGACCCTGTTTCTAAAAAAGAAGTTCAAGAAGAATTAGCTGGGTGTGGTGGTGCATGCCTGCAGTCCCAGCTACTAGGGATGCTGCGGCGGGAGGATGGCTGGAGCCCAGGAGTTTGAGTTGCAGTGAGCTATGATCACAACACTGCACTCCACCATGGGTGACAGAGCAAGACTCTAAGAAAATTTTAAAAATAAAAAAATCAAACATAGGGTATGTCTGATAGTGGTAAGATAAAAATAAGGCAGGGGAGGGGGCTAAGGGATGCTGGGAGTTGGGGGAAACCCCTGGTGTTTTGGTAGCAATTTGAAGGAGACCTGCAGAGGAGAAGAGGAGAGGATGTGTCTGCCTGGGATGTGCAGGCAGAGGGAAGAGCAAGTGCATCTGAGAGAGAGAGCAGGGCGGATGGGCTCCAGAAACACCAGGAGGCCAGTGTAGCTACACAGGTGGGCAGAGGGCAGTGGCAGGAGATGGGGTCAGTGGGAGATGGGGACAAATCATAGGGCCCTGGGCATACTTCAAGGGCCTTGGTCTTACCCCATGTGAAGGGAGCCACTGGGGCAGCGATCAGATCCAACTTGGTTTAACAGGACTCCTCAGACTGCCAAATTCAGAATCTAAGGGGGCGCGGCAGGGAGCTTGGTAAAGGCAGTTCCGTAACTGTAACACTCTCTACCCACCTTTCTGTATAAAAGAAAACACTGTAAAATAAATTCTGTAACATTTATTCTTTGCAATACATGACCTATGTCTATATACTTTTGCTATGATTTGAAGATTTGTTCCTTCTAAGACTTAGGTTGAAATTTGATTGGCATTGTAAGAGGTGGAAACTTTAAGAGGTTAATCACCTCTTTAGTTCACAAGGGCTCTGCTCTTAGTAATGGATTAAGAGCTATTATCCAGGGAGTAAGTTCATTAGAAAAGGGCGAGTTCAAATTAGAACACATGGACATGGCGAGGGGAACATCACACTCTAGGGCCTGTCGGGGGTTGGGGGAAAGAGGAGGGAAAGCATTAGGACAAATACCTAATGCGTGCTGGGCTTAAAACCTAGATGAGGCTGGGCACGGTGGCTCATGCCTGTAACCCCAGCACTTTGGGAGGCCAAGGCAGACAGATCACCTGAGGTCAGGAGTTCGAGACCAGCCTGGCCAACACGGCGAAACCCCGTCTCTACTAAAAATACAAAAAAATTAGCCAGGCTTGGTGGCACATGCCTGTAATCTCAGGAGGCTGAGGCAGGAGAATCTCTTGAACTTGAGAGGCAGAGACTGCAGTGAGCCAAGATCGCGCCATTGCACTCCAGTCTGGGTGACAGAGCGAGACTCCGTCTCAAACAAACAAACAAACAACAACAACAAAAAAAAACCTAGATGATGGGTTAATAGGTGCAGCAAACCACCATGGCACATGTATTCCTATGTAACAAACCTGCATGTTCAGCTCATGTATCCCAGAACTTAAAGTAAAAGAATGAAAGAAAGAAAGGAAGAAAGAGAGAGAGAGAGAAAGGGAAAGGAAGGAAGGAAGGAAGGAAGGAAGGAAGGAAGGAAGGAAGGAAGGAAGGAAGGAAGCAAGGAAGGAAGGAAGGAAAGAAGGAAGGAAGGAAGAAAGGGGCAAGTTTAGTCTCCTTTTCTCTCTCTCACCCTCTCTGCCCTTCTGCCTTCCACCTTCCCCCCGGGATGGTGCAGCAAGAAGACACTTGCCAGATGTTTGCACCTTGATCCTGGACTTCTCAGCCTTCAAAACGATGAAAAATAAATGTCTTTTCTCTATAAATTACTCAATGTCAGATATTTTTTTACAGCAGCACAAAATGAACTAAGACAACATTCTACATTTGTATACATATATTACCACACGAGATTGCTTGCTCAAACCAAGGACTCTAAGACTATTTAAGGAATTTTTAAGGCTATCTTTTGCCATAGGAGATGCTTGCTTTTCTTGTCAACCTTATCATCTTATCCTAGCATTGCATGATGTCCTACAACTGCCTATACCTGCCTGGGTTTATGTGGCCTAGCCCCAAAAATGAAGGCTCTCTCCTAAACCTTTTGTAGCCCATCCAACTACAAAACAGGGGGAAATTTTTTTCTGATAAGTATTTGAATTGAAATAGACCCACTGTCTTTGCATATTAGCGAGACATTTTGCAGAGCTGGGTCATGAACAGGGCAACCCCTGGCTCCACGCAGACGCTGCCTGCCTTGTAACCATGTTCCCAGTGCTGGAACAGTGCCTGACGCAGAGTAGGCCCTTAACAAAAATTTGTTGAATGAATGAATGAATTCCTTCAAAGTAGGAGCTAAGGTGACCTTTAGAACAAATGAAAGGGAGAGAAAAACTGCAGAGTGCAGGATTTTATGCATCAGGAGTTGGGGGGGATGAAGGTGAATGAAGGTGGCCTTTGGAACCCTGTGCAGTTGAATTAAAGAACATGAAAGAGCTGCTGAAAGGGCAGGTGTGTGACTGCAGTCCAAGGTCACACCTTTCACAAAGGCTGTAATGGTTTGACTGACAGCCTTAGGAGAAACCCTTCATTCCTTTTGAAGCTAAGGAGGAGATTAGAGGGCTCTGTTCAAAGCACTGTGCCTCCTATCCTGGGTATCAGTGGGGCTGGCGTTTCAATGGCCTTTAGCCACTCGTCCTAAGAGCTTGTGCTCAAAGATTTAGCATGGATCTGAGGTGTCATTAGCCACTCTGGCAAGAAGACTGTCCCTTCCTCTAAGAGCTCACAGGAAGGCTGTGGCAGGTGGGGAGGTGGGGACAGAGAAGCAGGAAGCTCTGGAGCCAAACAGACTTGGGTGGCATCCGGCCCACAACACGCATCCGGCCTGTCTGCATCTCAGGCTCCTCCCCTGTGGGCGGGGAGTTACAGGATCGCTCATTTACTGACTTGCTGTGCTGAACCGAGGACTTGTGTACTAGAAAAATAAAGATGATTAAGAGATAGTCCTTGCCCTGTGGAAGCAGGGGCAATTTAGAAATGTTTGATTGTGGCCGGGTGCAATGGCTCACGCCTGTAATCCCGGCACTTTGGGAGGCCAAGGCGGGCAGATCATGAGGTCAGGAGATGGAGACCAGCCTGGACAATATGGTGAAACCCCGTCTCTAGTAAAAATACAAAAAAATTAGCCGGGTGCGGTGGCGGGTGCCTGTCATGCCAGCTACTCAGGAGGCTGAGGCAGAAGACTCGCTTGAACCCTGGGAGGCAGAGGTTGTAGTGAGCTGCGATTGTGCCACTGCACTCCAGCCTGGGCGACAGAGCCAGACTCCATCTCAAAAAAAAAAAAAAAAGAAATGTTTGATTGTTTGTTTACACAAATGGCCTTCCATAAAAGGCTTTTTAAAAGTAACAAGTAGGAACATAACTATTACCAGTGGGGTGGGACATGAAGGGGGTGATCTCCCAGTGAAATCTACAGCAGACATGAAAACCCGAACCATAATCACAGCACGTCCCCAGCCATCCCTAAATAAAACAACAAATAACCACAGACTGAGAAAACTGAGAAGCAAGGGGCTCAAGCCTCAACTTAGTCAGAAGATGTCCCAGAAATTATCCTCTAACAGGGGAGGGAGATTTATTTGGTGGGAAATGAAGTCCAACTCCAAAAACCCCATTAGCCCAGAGGTCCCTGTAGCCCTCTACCCATGCACCTGACTCTGACTTGGAGACGGCAGAGAAGTATCCCCAAAGCATGCACAGCTCAGGCTTTTCAGGGATTAATTTGCACCTCAAACATCACAGAGTGTGTGAGTTCAGAATTTGGGATTACTGAGCGGTTCAGAGGAGATGAGAATGATTCCCAACAACGCATAATTAATCATTATGTTGCAAATGACAGAAAACCCACTCAAATAATAAAGGAATTACTTGTTCAGAATCAGAAAAGTCAAGGATTAAATTAATCTCAGGCAAGGCTGGATCCAGCCACTCATGGTCATATCATGAAGAACTTTATTTCTCTATATCTATTCTTTCTCCCTTTTTTCTTTTATTTTCTTTTTTTTTGAGATGGAGTCTCGCTCTGTCACCCAGGCTGGAGTGCAATGGCAGAATCTCGGCTCATTGCAATCTCTGCCTCCTGGGTTCCAGCGATTCTCCTGCCTCAGCTTCCCGAGTAGCTGGAATTACAAGCATGTACCACCACACTCGACTAATTTTTGCATTTTTAGTAGAGACGGGGCATAGCCATGTTGGCCAGGCTGGTCTCGAACTCCTGACCTCAGGTGACCCACTTGCCTCGGCCTCCCAAAGTGCTGGGATTACAGGCGTGAGCCACAGTGCCTGGCCTCTTTCTTCACTCTTCAGTGTGAGCTTAATCATAAACTATACCTAGGAACTGCTAGCAGATCAAGTCTTCCCCTTTTGGTGGCAAAATGTCACAGTTACTTGCAAATTTCATATTCTTATGCCCTACACATGATCCCATGCAAGGGGCTTTATTTTCCCAGAAGTCCCCGTAAATAGCTGTTCATATCGGGTTTTTAAAATAATATTTTTAAAATTTTAGAACAATTTTAGATTTACAGGAAAATTCCAAAGAAAGTACAGAGTTCCCATGAACTCACACCCAGTTTCTTCCATTAACATCTTAGGTGACCATGGTACATTTGTCATGAGCTGACATTGATACAATATTATCAACTAAAGTCCACATTTATTCAAATTTCCTTAGCTTTTACCTAATGTCCTTTTTCTGCCCAGGATCCTGCATGACATCTAGTCATCGTATCACCTCAGGCTCCACTTGGCTGTAACTGTTGCTCGGATTCTCCTTGTCTCTAGTGACCTGCACCGTTCAGAGGAGGACCTGTCAGGTATTTGCAGACTGTCCCTCAGTTAGGATTTGTCTGATGTTTTCTCATGAATAGATGGGGTTATAGGTATCTGGGAGGAAGATCCCAGAGGTAGAGTGCCCTTCTCATCCCATTACGTAAGCATATATACTCTGAACACAACTTATCGCTGTTGATATTAACCTTGATCAGCTGGCTGGGGTGAGGCTTGTCAGGTTTCTCCACTGTGAAGTTACTCTTTCCCCCTGGACTCTTTGGAAGGAAGTCCCTATGTGCAGGCCACACTTCAGGAGTGGGAGCTATGCTTCCCCATTGAGAGTGAAGCATCTCCATACATTATTTGGAACATTTCTGCATGAGAGATTTGTCTACTTCTCCCTATTTATTTAATAATTTACTTATATCAGTATGGAGCATATATATTTATTTTGAACTCTGAATAAATATTTATTGATTTATTTTTATTTATAAGCTAACACTCCTTTACTTTCCTGCTCAAATTGCTCTCGCTTTGACCACAGGGAGCTCTTTCGGGTGGCTCCTGTGGCCTTTGGCCATGACCCCATGATTTGGGGTTATTTGTTTGTTTGCTTTAGCATTTCTTACTTTCTGAACTAGAAGATGCTTCAGGCTTATGTTGTATATTTTCTGCCCCAGTCCTGGGATCTGCCATTTCTCCAAGGAGCCCCGGTTCCTTTTATTGTAAGTTCTGGGCTCTAGATGTACTTGTTTTGTTGTGAGATTGGGTCTCACCCTGTCGCCCAGGCTGGAGTGCAGAGGTGCCATCTCGGCTCACTGCAACCTCTGTTTCCCGGGCTCAAGAGATTCTTCTGCCTCAGCCTCCCAAGTGGCTGGGACCACAGGTGGGCACCGCCATGCCCGGCTAATTTTTTATATTTTGGTAGTGACAGGGTTTTGCCATGTTGCCCAGGCTGATCTTGAACTCTTGAGCTCAAGCAATCCGCGTGCCTTGGCCTCCCAAAGTGCTGGGATTACAGGCGTGAGCCACTGCGCTGGCCTAGGTGTACTTGTTGATATCAAGGTGACGTTGCTTCTAGACCCTCTCAGTTAAGGGAGCAAGGAGACATTATTTGTTTTTCGTGTCTTTTTGATGTGGATTTGAGATACGCCTATTCACTGAGCCAGCCTCTGAGTCGAGGGAACATGCAGGCTGGTTAGACAATCAGAGTCTGCCCTGAGGCAGGCCAGATGACACGTTTGGACTCAAACTACAGGGCTAAGCCTACCAGTTTACCCAAGAGCGCTCAAGGTGCTGATAAGGAAGAGGGGAGATTGGTGTAGATTGGTGTTCAGCAGTAAGGACAAATATCCATTACCATGGGGGAATAATTAAATAAGAGTGGCCAGAGGCCGGGCGCGGTGGCTCACGCCTATAATCCCAGCACTTTGGGAGGCCAAGGCGGGCAGATCACTTGAGGTCAGGAGTTCGAGACCAGCCTGGTCAACATGGTGAAACCCCATCTCTACTAAAAAATATAAAAATTAGCCAGGCATGGTGGTGCGTGCCTGTAATCCCAGCTAATCGAGAGGCTGAGGCAGGAGAATCGCTTGAACCTGGGAGGTGGAGGTTGCAGTGAGCCAAGATCATGCCACTGCACTCCAGCCTGGGTGATAGAGCAAGACACAGCCTCAAAAATAATAAATAAATAAATAAAAATAAAAATTTTTTTTAAAAAAGGGGTGGCCAGAAAGAACTGCAGTTTCTTTGGCCTGATACTTTATTACAAATCCCCTTTCCTTTGGAGAAAGTGCTGGGCAGTAAGTGATTCAGGAAAATGATAAATTCTTTGAGCATCTATTCCCAAAGTCACGTGTGCAATAATGAAATATTTTTAATCTTGTCCTTCAAACCAGCGGGCTTGTCTGGTAATAGGTCCCAATTAAATCCTTTTTCTTAAATTACATTGTTGTTAAGGACTTTGTTATCTTCACAGGATATTCCCCCCCACCGCTCTCAGCCCAACCCTCTCAAAATTGCCTCGCCATCCTCCTTTCCTATTAAAAAATGGAAAATTGCACAATTCACCTAATTAGTCAAATTTGAATCTTCTGTGGCTATCACAGCCCAATGGTTGAATTTCACACACCATTTGAAAAGCTATGGTAGAAACGCCGTTGTTGATTCCTCCTCACACTCCAGTGGTACTATTCAATTACAAAAGGAATTATTTGACTTTCTGTCGCCACGATGCTCTAGCAATATGCTATTAACCTCGATTGATTTTTGCTTAAATGTATTCAAGATGGGCACATTTTTGTAAATCTAATGTGCTGGTATTTAAACGGAAATATTTCATTAAATGGATTTTCTTTTTAAATGAAATTTGCCAAATGGTTATAAATGATGGGAGATGAGTTTTGAACTTGAAGACGTGACGTGAAGGTTCTGGGAAGAGGCTTTCTGTGCCACCAAACAGGCTGGGGCACTTAGAGTGGATTTTGGGGGGAATGCACACAGCAGGGGAGGCAAGATTCTCGCCCTGCTGCGTGCCTAAGCTGGTGAACATAAAAGCACCTTCCTTGCAGGGCTGCTGGGGGCCTTGAGGCCAACACAGACCAGGGGTGTAGAGCCTTGGCAGGCAGGAAATGGTCAGCAAAGGTGATGGTGATGATGCTATGGCATCTATGAAGTATCAGTCACTCATGTCTATCATATATTATCACTATTAATGGCTTTAAGAGAAATGTTTACAATTTGGGGGAATCTCATGAAAGTATAATCTATTTTATTAACTAGAGACATAAATAAGTGAAGCCCCCTTGAGGCAGAGACCTCCCCTCTCCAATCCTGCTCTCTCTCCAGGCCTCAACTTACAATGTACATTCACAAAGATCTCTCTTTCTTTTTAAAAGCTTTTCTTTTTTTTTTCTGTTGTTGTCAGTTTGAGGGGAAGAGGAGCTTGTCAGTGTGTGTGTGTGTTTTGTTTTTGTTGTTGTTGGGTTTTTTTGATGATCAATTGCCTCTCATTGTTCTCTGGTTTAGGAAGCGTTTACCAATGAAACCAGTTCCACCCACCTGGGCATGGAGAGGATACAGTAAAATATTCTGATAGCTTTACACACACCTCCGCATCCCTCTATATCTTCTAAACACATCCCACTTTTGACTAGCTCTATCCAGGGAGGGGGACATTTATAGGAAAATTGCAGACGCCAGGTGACCCACCCCATTTCAAGTCTGTCCTTGGAATGAGGCGAGGATGGGGTTGGAGAAAGAGCCGCTTTTCAAAGTGCCCTAGAATAGGCACAACTTGAGCAAATGTGAAAATAAGTTTTAAAATGAAAAGTCAGAAGTCACGGGGATGCTGGTCTCGGACAGCCATCAGTTCTCGATGCCTGCCAAGAAAGCTCAGTTTTCCTCAGGTGTGGACAGAAAGTGGCTTCCTTCTGTATGTGGGACAGACTTTTGCTTATTCTTGCTTGATTTTTTTTTTTTTTTTTTTACTTAGCCTATCCAGTGAGCTTGAGACTTGAAGGAGCGTGGCCAACATCTTTACTGTTCTGCCACAATCCTTATAATAAAATAATTCAATAAGTTCCACCGACGGCACACTCACCCTGCACTTCACTCATGTTTAGGTAAATGGCTCCATTTATACCCAGTTAGACCAAATTCTTGGTGTGGCCATTGATTTCTCTTTTCTATAGGCTTTTATTTTTTATTTTATTTTTTATTTTTTATTTTTTAGACAGGGTCTTGCTCTGTCACTCAGGCTGGAGTACAGCGGCTGGCTCACTGCAGCCTCGACCTCCTGGGCTCAGGTTGTTACAGGAAGGGGGTCCCGATCCAGACCCCCAGAAAGGGTTCTTAGATCTTACGCAAGAAAGAATTCAGGGTAAGTCCATAGAGTAAAGTGAAAGCAAGTTTATTAGGAAAGTAAAGGAATAAAAGAATGGCTACTCCGTAGACAGAGCAGCCCTGAGGGCTGCTGGTTGCACATTTTTATGGTTATTTCTTGATGATATGCTAAACAAGGGGTGGGTTATTCATGCTTCCCCTTTTTAGATCATATAGGATAACTTCCTGACATTGCCACGGCATTTGTAAACTGTCATG
The DNA here is from genome assembly GCF_000001405.40 of Homo sapiens. Lineage (NCBI taxonomy): Eukaryota > Metazoa > Chordata > Mammalia > Primates > Hominidae > Homo > Homo sapiens. The sequence goes on along the minus strand of NC_000020.11, from coordinate 56,887,337 downwards.
GCGCAGGTGGGAGTGTAGCAGTGAGAAAGACTGGAGGTCACTCTCGTGGCCATTTTGGTTTTGATGGGTTTTGGCCGACTTCTTTACTGTGGCCTGTTTTATCAGCAAGGTCTTTATTTTATTTTTTTATTTTATTTTATTTTATTTTATTTCATTTTTTGAGACAGAGTCTTGCTCTATCACCCAGTCTGGAGTGCAGTGACACGATCTCAGCTCACTGCAACCTACGCCTTCTGGGATTAAGCAATTCTCCTGCCTCAGCCTCCCGATTAGCTGGGATTACAGGCTCGTGCCACCACACTTGGCTAATTTTTTTGTATTTTTAATAGAGACGGGGTTTCACCGTGTTAGCCAGGATGGTCTCGGTCTCCTGACCTCGTGATCCGCTCACCTCGGCCTCCCAACGTGCTGGGATTACAGGTGTGAGCCACCGCGACCGGCCCATCAGCAGGTCTTAATGACCTGTATTTTGTGCTGACCTCCTACCTCATCCCGTGACTTAGAATCCCTTAACCGTCTGGGAACACAGCCCAGTAGGTCTCAGCCTCATTTTACCCAGCTCCTATTCAACATGGAGTTCTGGTTCACATGCCTCTGACAAGGTGATCCTTCCACCTCAGCCTCCTGGATAGCTGGTAATACAGGCACGTGCCTCCATGCCCAGACAATGTTTTGTATTTTTTGTAGAAACGGAGTCTTGCCATGTTGTCCAGGCTGGTCTCGAACTCCTGGGCTCAAGCGATCTGCCCACCTCAACCTCCCAAAATGCTGGGATTACAGGCATGAGCCACTGTGCCAGGCCCCATAGGCTTCAGCCCATTTGCCAGTACTTTCTGTTGGTCACTTCTTCAAAATGCATGCAGAATTTGTGCCTCTCATTCCCTCCATCATCGCTGCCCCTCTCGAAGCTACCATCACTTCTCACCTGGACCCCAGAGCCTCTTGCTGGTTCTCCTGGGGCCCGTCCTTCTTCCCACATGCCTCCCTTGTACAGCAACATTGGCAAATCTCTCTAAGCTGGGCAGATCCCACCAGGCACCTGTCACAACCTCCAGCAGCTTCCCACCCCTCAGGGAACAAACTGCATGTCCCTGCCTTGCCACATCAGCACCTTCTCCAGCCTCACCTCCTACCCCAGCACCAGCCTCCAGCCTTGAACCTGACAACCCTGATCTGCTCTGTGGCTGTACCATTTCCTCCCAAATACCCACATGGTTCCCTCCTTCCCCCTTATCACCCTCCACCCCCAAAGGAGCATGCTGTGACCTCTCCACCTGAAATCGCATACACGACACCCTGCCATTCTTCTCAACTGTAGTTCCCTGACTGGCTTTTCCTAATAGTAGCTCATCGTTATCCACTGTAACATCAGGGGCAACACATATTAACTCATTTGCTCTTGTCGTTTACTCTTGTCAGCCCATATTATAGCTGAGAAAATTGAGGCCCGGAGAGGTCAGACAGTTTGAGAAGGGCCCTCCACCACCTGGCGTTTGGCCGCAGCGTCTGTGCTGTGAACCACCCAACACAACGTCCTTCCCGACGTTCGACGTTCTCTTCTAGGTCCATCTGTGGGCTGCCTTCCGCGACCAGGAGGGGACTTTGTCAGTTTCATTTTCAGCTGTAGTTCCGCAGGTGCAGAGCCTGGTATACAGGAGGAGCTCCTGAGTGCTTGTTGAATGAATGGCAGATGCCGTGCTAAGGAAATGACACACACTCATTCATTTCACCCTTAAAAGAGCCCTCTGGGAGAGGTGCAGTTACAGCTCCATTTTATTTTATTTATTTATTTTTTTGAGACGGAGTTTTGCTCTTGTCGCCTAGGCTGTAGTGCAGTGGCGCAATATCGACTCACTGCAACCTCCACCTCCCACGTTCAAGGGATTCTCCTGCCTCAGCCTCCCAAGTAGCTGGGATTACAGGTGCCCACAACCACGACCCGCTAATTTTTGTATTTTTAGTAGAGATGGGGTTTCACCATGCTAGTCAGTCCGGTCTCGAACTCCTGACCTCAGGTTATCCACTCCCAAAGTGTTGGAATTACAGGCGTGAGCCACCAAGCCCAGCCATAGCTCCATTTTATAGTCAAGGAAATGGAAGCCCAGGGTGGTTGTGTGGTTTGCCGTGTGAATGGTCACTGGGGTTAGAGCAGAATTGCTCAGTGAGATTCCTGACTTGGGCTCTGAACCAGGAAGCATTCTGCCCACAGGCCTGGGCCCGGGGATGCAGCATGACTTCAGTCCCTGCCCTCAGGGAGCTCCCAGTTGGGAGCAGCTGTGGACACTAGCAAACCATCTCAGAGAGGAAGGTGTTGAACCTCAAACTGAGAGAAATGGCCTGAAAAAGAAGGGCACATGGGCCCAGGAAGGGTGAGCTTTGGCAACTGAGCTAGACCAGGGGTCCCAGGGGAGTTTCCCTGCGGTCAGCACACAGGCAGGGACAGCGTGTGCAAAGATCCTGCAGCAAGAATGGGAGATGTGGTGGCTCATAAAGGGGACCAGTGTGTCAGAGGCGCGGGAACCCGAACAACTCCGTGTTGAACAGGAGCTGGGTAAAATGAGGCTGAGACCTACTGGGCTGCATTCCCAGACTGTTAAGGCATTCTAAGTCACAGGATGAGATAGGAGGTTGGCACAAGATACAGGTCATGAAGACCTTGCTGACAAAACAGGCTGCAGGCTGGGTGTGATGGCTCACACCTGTAATCCCAACACTTTGGGAGGACGAGGCAGGCAGATCACATGAGGTCAGGAGTTCTAGACCAGCCTCGCCAGTATGGTGAAACCCTGTCTCTAGTGAAAATACAAAAATTAGCCGGCCGTGGTGGTGGACGCCTATCATCCCAGCTACTTGAGAGACTGAGGCAGGAGAATCACTTGAACCTGGGAGGTGGAGGTTACAGTGAGCCGAGATCACGCCACTGCACTCCAGCCTGGGCGATAGAGCGACTCCGTCTCAAAAAAACAAAACAAAAACAAAAACAAAAAACAAAAAACAAGCTGCACTAAAGAAGCCGGCCAAATCCCACCAAAACCAAGATGGTGACAAGAGTGACCTCTGGTCATCCTCACTACCACACTCCCACCAGCACCATGACAGTTTACAAATGCCATGGCAATGTCAGGAAGTTACCCTATATGGTCTCAAAAGGGGAGGCATGAATAACCCACCCCTTGTTTAGCATATCATCAAGAAATAACCATAAAAATGGGCAACTAGCGACCTTTGGGGCTGCTCTGTCTATGGAGTAGCCATTCTTTTATTCCTTCACTTCCCTAATAAACTTGCTTTCACTTCACTCTATGGACTCACCCTGAATTCTTTCTTGCGTGAGATTCAAGAACCTTCTCTGGAGGTCTGGATCGGGACCCCTTTCCTCTAACAAGTGTGGCTGCAGAGTGTTGAGGAGATGAAGAATAAGACTTCGAAGAGCACTGAGAAGCCAACAAGGGGTCTTATAAACTGTGTTTAAGTTGGGAGAGGGTCACACCTTGAATAAGTTCCTGGTCCCTGCCTTGCACTTCTGACTGTGTGCAGCATCGGGGAAAAAGATCCTGAAAAGGGTGGAGTCCCAGTACCTAGAGCTTTGCACCCAGAAGGCTCTGCACTTCAGAACAGCATTGGGGTTCTGCTGATGGGAGAGATCCCTGTAAAAAAGTGCTCTTTCCATCCCAACTTGCTGCTTTTTACCCCAGAAGTTTTCCTGGAGCCCTGTATTGGTCGATTTTCACGCTGCTGATAGACATACTCGATACTGGGTAATTTATAAAGAAAAAGAGGTTTAATGGACTCATAGTTCCATGTGGCTGGGTAGGCCTCACAATCATGGTGGAAGGTGAAAGACACGTCTTACATGGCAGCAGGCAAGAGAGAATGAGAGCCAAGTGAAAGGGGAAACCCCTTATCAAACCGTCAGATCTCATGAGACATATCCACTACCACAAGGACAGTATGGGGGGAATGGGAGGAACTGCCCCCATGATTCAATTGTCTCCCACTGGGTCCTTTCCACAACATGTGGGAATTATGGGAGCTACAATTCAAGATAAGATTTGGGTGGGGACACAGCCAAAGAATATCAAACCCCTTTCCTCCAGATAAGAATTACAGAGATTGGCCGGGCACGGTGGCTCACGCCTTAATCCCAGCAGTTTGGGAGGCCCAGGCGGCGGATCACCTGAGGTCAGGAGTTCAAGACCAGCCTGGCAACATAGTGAAACCTGTTTCTACTAAAAATACAAAAAATTAGCTGGGCATGGTGATGCATGCCTGTAATCCCAGCTACTCGGGAGTCTGAGGCAGGAGAATCGCTTGAACCTGGGAGGCGGAAGTTGCAGTGAGCCGAGATTGCACCATTGCACTCCACCTTGGGCAACAAAAGCAATGCTCCATCTGAAAAAAAAAAAAGAATTAGAGAAATTGTTTGGAAGAGAATTGGAGGAGAAAAATGGGGCTCAAAATCAACTCCAGGGTGCTGGGGGATACCCAAGAAACAATCCCCTTTCCTTCTCATTTATTTCATAAAAGTCTTTTATTCTGAGTTGCAAAATAAGGGGCTGTCCGGTTCTGGGGAAGGCCCTGGAGAGCCGAGGAGGTGGAAGAGGCCCTGGGAACTTCTCCGAGTTATGTGTGCCTGTGTTTTTTGGGAGGCAGAAGGTACTGCATCAGCAGCCCCACCCCTGCCCCTTACAAGTGGCAGCAGATACAAAGAGGGGAGACCTCGGATCTTGGACATGTTTAAGCTACCATTTACTGAGAGCTGCTAGGTAGTTTCCATTCCTGGTGCTGACTGCTTTACATAGTGGTGAGGATAGCTGAGCATTACAGATTGGTCAGTGCCAAGCAGACCTGGGCTAAGAGTGACACACTGTGCTCCCAACTCCAGCTAAGAGCCTCTGGGCTCCTCTGTATGTAAGGGGCTGTGCTCAGCCTTTTACACGCAGCACCTCTGTGCATCTCTCCGTACCTATGACAAAGTACCGTAAACTAGCCCCTCCCAAAGCCAGATCCAGTGTAACAGCAGAAACACAGAATTGTGTGCTGATTCCTGAGATTTGATCAGAAGATTTCAGAGCAGATGGAGAGCCTAAAAGGTTAAAAATAAGCAAGATTTCTTTTTTTTCTTTTTTCTTTTTTTTTGAGACAGAGTCTCGCTCTGTCACCCAGGCTGGAGTACAGTGGTACGATCTCGGCTCACTGCAACCTCCGCCTCCCGGGTTCAAGCCATTCTCATGCCCGAGAAGCTGGGATTATAGACGTCCACCACCACACCTGGATAATTTTTATATTTTTAGTAGAGATGGGGTTTCACCATGTTGGCCAGGCTGGTCTCAAACTCCTGACCTCAGGTGATCCGCCTCCTTCAGCCTCCCAAAGTGCTGGGATTGCAGGCGTGAGCCACCACACCTGGCCAAAATAAATAATTAAATAAATAAGCAAGACTTCTATGAGAACAGAATAGTGAGCAAGGGGGTTGGGGTGCATGCCCCACCTGGGTCCCCGTCCCAGCTCTGCTTTGTATCAGCTGTGTGACCTCAAGAAAGTCACCTGGCCTCTGAGCCTCGGGTTCTGCATGATAAGTTCTGAGCCAGCTGTCTCCAAGCCAGGCACTTCTTTGAGTCCTTACAGCAACCCCGGGGCAGGTAAGCCCATTATTCCTGGGAGCAGATGACAAAACCCAGGCTCCCAAAGCAGTGGGTGGCAGAGCTGGATCCTGCCTGTTCAGGCACATTTAGAAGCTGGTGTCTGCCGGGCACGGTGGCTCATGCCTGTTATCCCAGCACTTTGGGAGGCCGAGGAGGGCAGATCACGAGATCAGGAGATCAAGACCATCCTGGCTAACACGGTGAAACCCCGTCTCTACAAAAAATACAAAAAAATTAGCCGGGCATGGTGGCGGGCACCTGTAGTCCCAGCTAGTCGGGAGGCTGAGGCAGGAGAATGGTGAGAACCCAGGGAGGCGGAGCTTGCAGTGAGCCGAGATCGTGCCACTGCACTCCAGCCTGGGCCACAGAGCGAGACTCTGCCTCAAAAAAAAAAAAAAAAAAAAAAAAAAGAAGCTGGTGTCGGTTCCACTCAGCCATGCAGCCCCATATCTGAGAATAATGCCCCCTAATAATTATTTTAAAAATCTAAAGAGAGCTGCAACCCCTGGTTTTGGGCCTCCCTTGGCCTCCCAGGGCTTCCCCTGGTTTGGGGCCTCCCTGGGCCTCTCCTAGTTTTGAGCCTTCCAGGGCCTCCCTTGGTTTGGGGCCTCTTCGGCAGCAGACTCTGTTTTGTTTCCTTCTAAGCCTCGTGGCTCCTCCTTCTGCCACCTGGATTATGGCCCCAAACCCACTGCACTGTTCACTCTGTCTTGTCACCTGTCAGAAGGCATTGGATCTCTTGAACCATTCCCTGAGCACGCAATGTAAAGGAGAAAGACAGCAAGAGCCAGAGAGGGTGAGGCAGGAAGACCTCGAGAAGAAAACAACTGCAAAAAGATCTTGGATGGGAAAACCAGACCTCTTCAGCTTGTGAGCCACACAAACACAACAAAATGACAACAATCAAAAAATTAAAAATGTATATATATTTCCCAGCTGCGTTACAACTGCAGACCCTAGATTCCAAGATTAGACTCTAGGGTGCTCCCTTAGAAAATAGAGACTCACCTTTGTTCAGGTGCTGGGAGCATATCCTGCCATAAAGTCATCTGGGGCATTTGAAGCCTTCTCTTTGGGCTGTGGTCCCCTGACCCACCCTCGTGAAAAAGTCTGGCTGTCATAAGTCCCTGCAGGACTCTTCCTCTCTCTGCCTGGGAATTCACACCTTGGCAGTGTTGTCAAAGAAAATACGGGAAGCCAGTTAGATCTGAATGTCAGATAAGCCATAAATAATTTTTTTAGTATAGATATGTCCCATGCAACTGCTCAATTCTGTCATTGTGGCAGCAACCAGAGGCCACAGGCAATCCAGAAACAAACAGGCATAGCCATATTCTGTAAAAGCTGATTTATAAAAGCAGGAGGAAGGCCGGATTGGGTTCATGGGTTCTAGTTTGAACCCCCTGTTCTAAGGGCCTGGGGGTTGGGTGTATGCCTTAAGGGGTTTGAAGTCACAGCATAAACACAGTGTTGAGTTGAATGGAAATGTCATGTTAAATTTTTTCCTTCTCTTTTGTTTCATAGTGCAGGAGAATGTCTTCCTATCATGTCAATTTTTAAGGCAATAAACACATTAGCTCAGACTTAGAATTAATATACTTATTAGCTTATGATATGCTGGGTCTTGATTGAAGAGCCAATAAAGTACAGTGGTAAAATTAGCCTGAGTTCAAATCCCAATCTTTGTTTGTTTGTTTGTTTGTTTGTTTGAGACAGGGTCTCACTCTGTCACCCAGCCTGGAGTGCAGTGGCGCAATCACGGCTCACTGCAGCCTGGACCTCTCAGGCTTAAGCAATCCTCCCACCTCAGCCTCCAGAGTAGCTGGGACTATAGACGAGCACCACTATACCTGACTAATTTTTGTATTTTTTGTAGAGACAGAGTTTTGCCACGTTGACCAGGCTGGTTTCAAACTCCAGGCCTCAAGCGATCCACCCGCCTTGGCCTCCCACTGTCCTGGGATTACAGGCATGAGCCACTGTGCCCGGCCCCCAGTTCTTTTCTAGCTTTGTGGCCCTGGACAAGCCACCTAGCCTCTCTGAGTCTTGGTTTCCTTATTTGTGAAATAAGCTAATGAAACAACAGTAATAATAATGCCCACTCCAGAGGGTTATTGCTAGGATTATATTAGCTTGCAAATGTAAAGTGCACCAAGGAATATTCAGCACATACATTCTTTTATTATTATTATTATTATTATTATACTCTAAGTTCTTGGATACATGTGCAGAATGTGCAGGTTTGTTACATAGGTATACACGTGCCATGGTGGTTTGCTGTACCCATCAACCCTAGCCCCCTACTCCCTGATAGGCCCTGGTGTGTGATGTTCCCCTCCCTGTGTCCATGTGTTCTCATTGTTCAACTCCCACTTGTGAGTGAGAACATGTGGTGTTTGGTTTTCTGTTCTTGTTTTAGGTTGCTGAGAACGATGGTTTCTCAGTTTCAACCATGTCCCTGCGAAGGACATGAACTCATCCTTTTTTAAGGCTGCATAGTATTCCATGGTGTATATGTGCCACATTTTCTTTATCCAGTCTATCATTGATGGGCATTTGGATTGGTTCCAACTCTTTGCTATTGTGAACAGTGCTGCAATAAACATACATGTGCATGTGTCTTTATAGTAGAATGATTTATAATCCTTTGGGTATATACCCATAGTGGGATTGCTGAGTCAAATGGTATTTCTGGTTCTAGATCCTTGAGGAATCACCACACTGTCTTCCACAATGGTTGAATTAATTTACACTCCCACCAGCAGTGTAAAAGCATTCCTATTTCTCCACATCTTCTCCAGCATCTATTGTTGTACTGACTTTTTAAACACATACGTTCTTAGTGCCTGACGTGTGTTGTCTCATTCAATTCTCTCAACCTTCTCTATGGGCTTAGAAAGAGAGGAGGAGCTCAAAGATTCAAGCCATCAGATTCTCCAGGCTCCTAAATCTTCACTTGGTTGCTGCAAAAGTGGTCCTTGGGGTTGGGTGCAGCTGGGAAGGCGATAAGTTCTAGGAGTGGGAGCACAGAGAAGCTGTAGAGGAAGGAGGTTGTTTTAGCCTGTTCTCACATTGCTAATAAAGACACACCCAAGACTGAGCAATTTACAAAGAAAAAGAGGTTTAATGGATTCACAGTTCCACATAGCTGGGGAGGCCTCACAATCATGGTGGAAGGTGAAGGAGGAACAAAGACATGTCCCACATGGTGGCAGGCAACAGAGCGTGTGCAGGGGAACTGCCCTTGATAAAACCATCAGATCTCATGAGACTTATTCACTATCACGAGAACAGCACAGGAAAAACCTGCCCCCATGATTCAATTACCTCCCACTGGGTCCCTCCCACGACATGTGAAGATTATGGGAACTACAATTCAAAATGAGATTTGGGTGGGGACACAGCCAAACCATATCAGAGAGGAAAGCGTCTGTCCCTGCCTGCTCCATGTCCTTCCTCTCGCCCTGGCTCACACGGCTGCAGCCACACAGACCTCCTCCTTCTTCCTTGAATGCAGCAATCCAAACTTGTCCCTCGTATAGCCTTGCTCTGGATGGTGTTCTGCACGGAAAGCTTTTCCCTAGAAATCCACAGGTTCATCCCTTCACTTCATTCTTATTTCATCTAAAATGTCACCTGCCTGACCACCAAACCAAAGCTGTCTCCTCTCCCTCACAGTCGTATCCTGGCCTACTTACCATCCTCCATGGTTATCCTATTTATTAGAGGGTTTACTAGCTTATCATCCAATTTTGCTACCAGTATGTAAGTACCCTGGGTGGAAGGACTTTGTCGAAGTAGCTCATGGCTGTGTTGCCAGGACCCAGCACAGTGCCTGGCAGGATGTAGACACTCAGCAAATATTTCTAAGAAGCTCATCACAGCTGGGAAGCACTGGGTGCTTTGCTTCACCTCTCTGAGTGTCCATATGCTCATCCCATGCAGAGGTGAAATGAGATGGTGTGGACTTCTGGCTTCTGGTGACAACCACAGATGCTGGACAAAGCATGAGTAACGATTCCCTGAGAGCACTGGGCAGTGAGCAAAACTAGGCAGAAACTGGAAGGCAGCTGACACTTGGAATAACCAGGGTGACTTTCTCATTGTGTAGTTTTTTGCCTTTGATATAGATCATAGCCCAAGACCCACTTCTAGAACAAGAGGGTTAAAGCTATGACAAAAAAGCCACAGTTTCACTGAGTTGAAGAACCATAGGCTGGAGTTTGGGACAATCACATTCTCAAATTACTTCAAAGGAAGGAGGAATTCCAAAACAGAGAGAAGCAGAGAGAAGGAGCCCTAACTTATTTGTTTAAAATTTGACCTGGTCTCTAGCTAATCCCTGAAAAGACTGAAAGTCAGAATCCAAGAAGTCCAGCAAGGTAAAAGAACTTAACAGATATTTTAGCCATGGACCACTGCAGAAGGGATCAATTTTATAGTTTGAGTCTAGCCAAGTTAACTGTATGCTTTAGAAAATAAATAATAAATAAATATTCTTCAGAGAAACACAACAGCATCTGGAATCTCTACATATACAATTCATAATATTTAGAATGCAACTAAAAATTAGTAAGCCTTCAAAAAAAAATAGGTAAATGTGACCCATGCTTAAGAAAAAAGGCAATTGATGGAAAACAACCTCTTAATAACCTAGAACTGAAATGACCAGACAAAGATTTTTTTTTTTTTTTTTGAGATGGAGTCTCACTCTGTTGCCCAGGCTGGAGTGCAATGACGCAATCCTCAGCTTGCTGCAACCTCTGCTTCCTGGGTTCAAGCAATTCTCCTGCCTCAGCCTCCCAAGTAGCTGGGATTACAGGTGCCCACCAACATGCCTGGCTAATTTTGGTATTTTTAATAGAGATAGAGTTTTACCATGTTGGCCAGGCTGGTCTTGAACTCCTGACCAGGTGATCCACCTGCCTTGGCCTCCCAAAGTGCTGGGATTACAGGCATGAGCCACCGTGCCCAGACCAGACAAGGATTTTATGCCAGTCGTATGCTCAAGGATTATAAATGACAGTAAGCATGTAATAAACAAGTAAGAAATCTCAGCAGAAAAACAAAAACTATAAAAAAGGAACTAAATAGAAATTCTAGAAATAAAAAAATCTGAATTTTTAAATTCACTGGAGGAGCTTAACAACAAGATTGGCAATGGCAGAAGAGTCACTTGTTTTGATGATAAATAAATAGAAATTATCCAATCTGAAAACAGGGGAAGAGGATTTGAAAAATTTGAACTAGAGCCTCTGCAACCTATGGGACAACATTGAAAGGTCTAACACTGACTCTTCTAGACCTAGAAGGAGATGACATAGAAAATAGGGTAAAAAAAAAAATCATGGCCTGGTGCGATGACTCACTTCTGTAATCCCAGCACTTTGGGAGGCCGAGGTGGGCGGATCACGAGGTCAGGAGATCAAGACCATCCTGGCTAACACGGTGAAACCCGGTCTCTACTAAAAAATACAAAAAATTAGCCAGGCATGGTGGCGGGCGCCTGTATTTCCAGCTACACGGGAGGCTGAGGCAGGAGAATGGCATGAACCCAGGAGGCAAAGGTTGCAGTGAGCCGAGATCACACCACTTCACTCCAGCCTGGGTGACAGAGCCAGACTCCATCTCAAAAAAAAAAAAAAAAAAAAATCATAAACGATATCTGAAATGTTGCAAATCTGATGAAAGACATACATTTACAGATTCAAGAAGATCAGTGAACCCCAAGAAGGACGAAAACAACAACAATAATTAGGCACACTATAGTCAAACATGAAGAGAAGATCCTAAAATCAGCCAGAGGAAAAACAGCCCGTTACATGCTAATTACTTCTAACTTCTCTTCAGAACCCATGGAGGCCAGGACATAATGAAATAACATCTCTAAAGTACTTTGATAAAGGAGGGGGTGTCCTTTTGGCCTTAGCCAAATTTCATAGATTTTCCAGTGACCTGTCTCTCTCACAAGGCTGGGAGATCCTTTAAAATAAGGTCTTCCAGAAACCTTGTTGAATTAAATGCAAGGAGAATTGCTTTTTAAAATCATGATTATAAAAATTAATAAGCACTAAGCACCTTCCATGAATTATCTCAATTAACTCTTGCAAAAACTCCTCAAGGAAAGTGCCTTTGATTATCCACAGGCTCAGGGAGGCTCAGTGACTTGCCCTGGGCCATGTGGCTGCTGAGAGATGGGCCTGGGATTTGAGCCCAGGCAGTCTAGCTTGAGAGTCTGCCTAGTGTAGCTTCCCTGGGAGCACACCCTCAGCACCATATTTTGCAGTTTGGGGGAGACCAGTTCCGTCAGTGAATTTCTCACAGCGTCCTAAACGTACTCTTGTCCTCTACCACTCCCAGGAAGACCAGGCATTCCAAATGAAGCAAGCAGCAGCTCAGGACTGTTTATTTTGCAGAATCAGCAAACCGGGAGGCTGGGCAGCCTCTGAGTCAGAAGTGACTGCACAACCTGTAAGGCAGCTGCAGCTGAGGATCCCCAGTGAGAGGAACTGGGCTACTGGACCACACACCCCACCCTGTCTGCAACAACTGGGTGGAGTCTCTGGCCAGACCAGCGGCTCTGCTAGCAGCTTTCCTGGTTGGTGCCGAGCCTGGAGACAAAGGCCAGGCCAACTCTGGTATGGAAGCGTCAAGGGGCTAAGAGACCTTGCCTTGCTCTGCTCTGACCCAGCGCAGACCCGCCACGCTGCTCTCTGGCATCGGGGAGGCAGAGCTCTGCAGTGGTAACAGATCCAGAGTCAGATCGGCCTGAGTTCAAATTCCTGCTCTGCTTCTTTCAACCTCTAGAAAGGGACCTTAGAAAAATCCTTTTATCTTTCTAAGACTCAATATCCACATCTGTAGAATGGAACAATAACAATGATAGAAGCTTCCTTTGAACTGTCGTGAAGGTCAAATGAAATAGCATGGAGTACCCAGCAAGTGTCTGGCCAGCATGCACCGGCTCTCTCTCTGCATTCTCTTCATCCCCGTCCCCAGGGCGCTCACCAATACTCTTAGAGCATATGCTCTAAGTTCCCTGCCCAGACGTCCCTCTGTAGACGGCACATGCATCCCCCGCAGCTCTAGGGCTGTGGATAAGAGCTTCACATGCAATCTTCCTAAGACAATTGTCCTTCAGGGATTGACGCCGTTTGCCTGGAGATGCCGGGGTAGAGAGACATGCTTTCTCCCCTGAGCTTTCTCCCCTGAGCACCCATGACCCGATGGGGATACAAAAGCCCGCTCCTTTGCCTCAAGGTAGGAAGACACCACGTGTGGCCATTCATGCCCCAGAGCTCCCCGTGGGTCAGGCTGGCTGTAGATTCCAGCTGAGCCGGAGCTGTGCTTGGCCTCTTCCTCTCCCTCTCCTGCTTCCTTCTCTCCCTTAGAGGTTGTTCTTCTCCTGAGAGCACCCCAACAAGCCGCTTGCCCTGTTCCTAGGGAACCTGATCTAAAATAGCTCCTGATATGTTTCTGCCTTTAAAGAGGGGCCCTTGTCCCTTGGCAAATGGTGAATTTCAAAGGGAAACTGCAATGCACGGAAAGGCGAGCCGGAACAATATTACAGGTCAGATGGGGCTAGAGCGGGTCCCCAACCCCTGGGCTGCGACCGACTGCTCTGTGGCCTCCTAGGAACCGGCCGCACAGCAGGAGGTGAGCGGCGGGCGGGCGAGCATCACCGCCTGAGCTTCACCTCCAGCCAGATCAGTGGCGGCCTTAGATCCTCACGGGAGCGCGAACCCTTACTGTGAACTGCGCACGCGACGGATCTAGTTGTGCGCTCCTTCCGAGACTCTAACGACTGACTGATGCTTCATCCCAAAACCTCACCCTCCGCCCTGGGCCGTGGAAAAATTGTCTTCCACAAAACCTGTCCCTGGTGCCACAAAGGTTGGGGACCGCTGGGCCACAAAGGTTGGGGACCGCTGGGCTAGAGCTTACAAAAAGAACTTGAGTTCAACAGTGGCCTGTGTCCCTCTGAAAGTTTCACCCAAGAACCCATTAACTCAGCCATGCTCTTGCCCGCCCAGTGCAGACTGTCCGTCCCGTGCTCGGGTGGGAAGAAAAATCAAGCCGTCTGCGTGGTACACCGGCTCACTGGCTCAGAGCCCGGAGCTGCTGAGCGGCACCTAGGGCCCCAGAGGGCAGGGAGCTTCTCCCGCTCCTGTTCCATGAGTCAGGGTGGGCTGCCCTGCTGTCACAAATAGACCCCAATGTATGATGGCTCCAACCCAATGCGGTTCATTTCGTGGCCATGTAACAGCCTCGGTAGATGTTCCTGAGGCAGGGACTCAGGGTCCCAGGCTCCATCGTGTGGCTATGAATTCTTCTAGAATCCAGTTCGCAGAAGGGGAGGGTATGGAAGAGGCACTCCACTCGCCCAACCCTGCGCCCAAAGTGGCACTTCGCCATCGTGTTCATTTCACTGGGGGATATATTCCTCACCTTCCTTCCCTTCCTCCTTTTCTTCCTTCCTCCCTTCCCTTCCCTTCTCTTCTCTTCCCTTCCCTCCCTCTCTCTCTTTCTTTTTCTTTCTCTATTTCTTTCCTTTTTCTTTCTCTCTTCCTTCCCTCCCTCCCTCTTTTCCTTTCTTTCCTTTTCTTTCTTTCTTTCTTTCCTTCTTTCTTTTTCTTTCTCTCTTTCTCTCTCTCTCTACTTCCCTCTTTCTTTCTCTTTCTTTCCTTCCTTCTTTCTCTCTCTCCCTCCCTCTCTCACTCTCTCTCTTTCTTTCTTTCCTTCCTTCCTTCCTTCTTCCTCTTCCCTCCCTGTTTTCCTTCCTCCCTTCCCTCCATAAGTATTTACTGAATTCCCATTCAGTGCCACACACTGTGGGAGGTGCTGTTGCCCTAGGCCAGATCATGTCCCTCCCTCTTGGAGATGACGGTCCTATTGCTCAGTGGTGGCTGCCTGGGGCCCTGTACTGAGCTTGGACAGTGCATCTGGACCAAGTAGGAAGGAGCTCTTGGGTGTTCTGTGATCACAAGGCTGGGGTGGTGGCCACCAGACCTAAATTCAAACCGTGACTCCACTCCCTCAACCCACATCTCTGTGACTTTGGTCAAGTTCTCTGCTTTTCTTTGCACTTTGGTTCCCAACTGTGGAAACATTGGTTCAACACTACTACCTCTTATGGTTATTTCATGTGTACATAGATAGAATGTCTGGAAAGCCCTCAGCACATTGGCCAGCCTTTGTAGGGATCACCAAGTCCCAAAAGATAACACAATGGGAGGAATGTGGCCACAGAAGCTGGAGCTGAGTCCAGCATGGGAGGGGTCAATGGCCTGGTGTCTCAGCGGCCAGGCCCACTCATGGAGGGCAATTGTTCCTTTCCTAGCTCTGCGTGCCTATGAGGACCTGTCTGTCTGGGCACACCTGGTAGAGACTCGTCTTTCCTGGAAATGATGTTCTTGCACTTCTATCCCAACATCTCATTTTGAAAAAGCATGTGCCCCTCCCTGGAGAGCAGCGATGTGGGCGGAGAGGAAGGTCAGCTGCAAAGGACATCTGCAGCCAGACGGGGGCTGGCTGGGGGGAATGTTGAGACTTTGTCCCAAATTGAGGTGTCATGCGGGGTTACAGAGCCCTGTGTGCCCCCTGGACAGAGTGTGGGCGGCTGCAAGGGTGGCAGCCGCTGGGGATGTGTTTTTTAATGGCTATGGACACCAGCGCAGACAGGAACTATAATCATAGTGAGCACTGACCCTTCCCAGGGGCCTCGGGGCAACAGAGGGCTCTGGTAGACAAGCACGGCCGAGCCAGCAGCCTCTGAGGACACCCGTGTCATCTCAATGTAGGCCAGGACCTGCCCGTGGAGGGAATTCCTGAGGGGAATCACAGGACATGGGTGATCAAAAGGAAGGCGGTCGCCTCTTGGGAAATGGGGCATCAAAAGCCCACACCTGCGTTTGAGGTGTGCTCTCAGAAGGAATTTTCCCTCCCTCACCACCTTTGTTTCCAGACACATCTCTCTTAGCCCCTCCAGCTGTTGCTGTGTTTTATCTTTTTTCAAAAAAAAAAAAAATATATATATATGTATATATATATGCTGGCACCTGTATCTGATAAAACCTCAAATATGATGCAAAAGGTTATACGAGGAAATGTAAGCTTTCTCCAGCCCCTGAGTCCCCAGGTTTCTCTGCTCGCTTTCCCAGAGACAAATAAGCCCCTGTTGCTAAGTTCTGAGGTGCCCCCACAAGATCACCCATGCTTCTTACAGACACGCGTGTTTCTTTTCTGTTTTTCCAAAGCACAAATTATCATGTGGTATACGCTCTATACGGCATCTGACTGTTGTACCTGATATATCTCCGCAGTCTTTTTGAATCAGTACCTAGAGGATGTCCTTGTTGTTTTTCAGAATATTATAGTATCATACTATGCAGGTGTTCCATAATCTAATTTAAGCATATTGACCTAATTTAAGCATATTGATGGCCATTTGGGGTGTTTTCACACCCTCGCTTTTCAAAGTCCTGCTGCAACAAATAACCATGCACGTGTATCATTGTCACACCTGTGTCCAAGGACATCTGAAGGGCGCTTTCCAGAAAGTGCTATTGCTGGGTCTGGGGGAAGGTACTTACCAGGTGCCCACAGAGATCTGTAGATACAGAGACAGACGTTCCAAGTGACCCACCAAAGATGTAGCCTATCGAATGCTCTAACCATCTCCTGCAGGTGCCTTTTTTTTTTTTTTTTCCGAGATGAAGTTTCGCTCTTGTTCCCTAGGCTGGAGGGCAGTGGCGCGATCTCGGCTCACTCCAAGCTCCGCCTCCTGGGTTCACACCATTCTCCTGCCTCAGCCTCCCGAATAGCTGGGACTACAGGCACCCACCACCATGCCCAGCTAATTTTTTTTTTTTGTATTTTGTATTTTTAGTAGAGACAGGGTTTCGCTGTATTAGCCAGGATGGTCTCGATCTCCTGACCTCGTGATCTGCCCACCTTGACCTCCCAAAGTGCTGGGATTACAGGCGTGAGCCACCGCGCCCGGCCCTGCAGGTGCCTTTTTAAAGCAGCTTCATTTGGACAGTCAAGATAGCTATGTCTCTGGAGGACACAGCGTAGGAAGTCCTGAAATGGGGCTGTGTGTCACTGCGGTGAACCCACTTCCCAAAGGGACTGTCTCAGTCCTGCCCCTTAATGCAGATGCATCTTTGGGTAAGTTATCTAACCTTTCTAGGCCTCAATGTCCTCATCTGTAAAATGGGGAAGTGGTACCACCTGCGTGGGGTGGTGGTGCGGATTCAGTGAGTTAGTCACCTAGACACTGAGATCCGGAGATTGGCAGAGTCAGGACTTGGATGTCAGCTACTTCTTCTTATTGGGGTGATGGTAGTGGGGGCTGGGGGCATTACTATTATTAGGACTATGTGCTGAGAAAGTGCTAGGTACTGGGCATGTCACATACTAGCCTTTCAAATGGAAACTTGTTCTCTGCCATGTGTGAATAGTGAATACCTAAGCGTGACTTGGTGGTGTGGGGAGGACTGTGAGCTGATGGCTGACTGTTGTTGGGGAAAACTAGAATCCTATGTCAAAGGGCAGAACTGGGATGCAGGTTCTACTGATTCCTCACCCCTGCAATGGGGAAGGTAAGTCTTGTCTCCCTTCCCTACTGACCCTAACTCATTTTTTTTGCTTAAATGTCAGTTCCACCGGAGACCTCCCCATTCCCACCCTTTCTGGACGAGGTTAATTACCCTCCAGTGCACTCTGACTGCCTGTATCTTCTCCTTCAGGGCCGAAAGGAGGATACCTTATAACGGAGGCCAAAATGATAAATATTCTCAGTGCAGCTCATCTAGTCATGAAAATCACTGCCTACTGCACACAGCAGTGTATGCCGGATGTGCTGGTAAGATTAAACCACGTCTTCTAAGGAAAAAAAAATTTGGAGACAGAGTCTCACTCTGTTGCCCTGGCTAGAGTGCAGTGGCACAGTCTCGGCTCACTGCAACCTCTGCCTCCTGGGTTCAAGCCATTCTCCCACCTCAGCCTCCTGAGTAACTGGTGTTACAGGCGCATGCCACCACTGCCGGCTAATTTTTGTATTTTTAGTAGAGACTGGGGTTTCACCATGTTGGCCAAGCTGGTCTCAAACTCCTGACCTCAGGTAATCCACCCACCTTGGCCTTCCAAAGTACTGGGATTCCAGGCGTGAGCCACTGTGCCTGGCCAGGAAAATTTTTTTGTACCCTGCAAAGTTGATCCCAGTCCTCATGATCTCAGGTATATTTGCCTCTAGTAGGGTCTAACTAACTTGGACACTGCTACTTTTAAAACTGCATTTATCTTTGGTCATAAACACCAAACTACTTCTCCTCTGCGGGCCACAGCAAAGGTGTTTAAACAGCAAAGGCAGAAACCCAGTCACCTTCGTGCACAGAATCACACCACACAAAGAAGCGTCAGGTCATGAGAATTCCAAGTCCTTGCGTGAAATTACCAACCATGCCCATCAATTGGGAAACCGTGACTGATTCCCAAACACGATCTCCAGTGGTCACGCCTTGTTTTTGACTGGTCTGCACATGCAGTCGAGGCTGACGAAAAGTTCACACTCTCACCACTTGTTCTGGCATTCTGAATAGCCTCAATTAAAAAAAGAAATGAGAAAATTATTTAAGTAGCTATAAATTGCCCTTCCTGGTTCTGCTTGGCATTGGTTATATTTACTTATTATTCCCATCTGTTTTCCCATGGCAGATTCTGTGTCTGGCAGTAGAGTTACTTTATAGCCTTTTGCCAGACAGATTAATTTCCTTTACTTCCCACTTTAATTATGAATTTCTATCTTGTTGTCTCAGGGACTGAATCCGTTTGAATTGGTCTCTCAGGTTGGCTCAGACAGAGGGCGAGACTTGAACAGCAAATTTCTCATGATGCAAGGAAAACTGCTTGAAGTGAGATAAACAAGGCAAAAGTATCAAATCCTAAACAAGCCGCCACTTTCCTGGCTGGGGATACTGCTCAGGATTTTGTTACTGATCAGCATTATTGATTGATTCTGGCTCAAGCAGGGAGAAAATTAACTCAGCCCATCTGACGGGCTTCGTAGCCCATGGTAGCCAGCCTCCAAGGTGGCTCCCAAGCAGCTTTGCCTCCTGGGCTTCTCACCTTGTTGTAGTCTTTCCCACACGGAATCATGCCCATCCTAGTGACCAGTAGAATACTGTGAGAGTGTGTGACTTCCCAGACTCAGTTATAAAAGGCATCATATCTTCAGCTTTGTTATCTGGGATCATTTGCTCTGGAAGAAGTGGCAGCCATGTTATGAGAACACTCAAGCGTCTCTGTGGAGATGCCCACATAGAAAGGTACTGAGGCCTCCTGCCAACAGCCAGCACTAACTTGGCAGCCACGAAAGTGGGTCGTTTAGAAATGGTTCCTCTAGCCCCAGGCGAACCCTTGGATGACAGCAATCTTGGCTGTCACTGTGACTGCAGCCATAGGAGACACCCTGAGCTGGAACCACCCAGCTAAGTTGCTACCAAATTCCTGACCCAGAAAAACTGTGAGATAATAAACATTCATTGTTGTTTTGGGGTGTATGTAAGTTTTGGGGTAATTTCTTATGCATCAATAGGTAACTAAATCGGAAACTCAGTAGTTAAATGGTGAGACTTTTTCTGAATCACATGTAAATCTGATAACTCATAAGTCTTAGTAGTTAGGAGGCAACAGAAAGGAGTGGAGAAGGAGGGGTAAAATGTGAGGAAACAGATGTTTTGCTCTGTTGCAATCACTACTAATAATAGTGATTGTCGAGAGTGAGCTCCTTTTGGTAGTTACTGTTTTCTCCTTGAGCCCTCTGCTTCCCTGCTTCGGGGACTTTGCATGTGCTGTTCCCCTGCCTGGAACAGCCTCCTTGGATCTGCAACTGTTCCCTCCCTCCCGTGTGGTTCAGCTTCAGTTCACATGGCACATTCTTCTCTCACCATCTTTGCTAAAGTAGCTTCACCTCCCACGGTGGTCGCCCCTCTGCCCTTGTGCTTTATTGATTAGATTAACATGTTTGGCTGCAACCAGGGTGGGAGCTCCCTGAGGGCAGGATCCTAATCTCTCCCGCTTACTGCTGGGAACCGTGCCTGGCATAGAAGGAGATAATAGGTGTTCACTGCATATAGCCGGTGCTCTTTTTGGCCAGGCATCAGCTCAGGCACTTGATAGGCATTGTCTTATTTAATACTTCCAAGACCCTGCTGGGTCAGTCCCATGTTTACCCCGTTTTACAGGTTTAAGAAAAAAAAATCTGAGCTTGGTCAAACAGCCAGTAAACAATAGGGTTGTCACTCCAGCTCCAGCTCCAGCCCCAGCCTGTCTGCCTTGCAGTACTGATGCTTAACCACCATGGTGAGTGTGTGCAGGGGCCACTAATTCGGAAGACAGGGGGCACCGAGACAGCCAAGGCACTGTGGGGGAGGCTGTCTCTTTGGGGTCCTTGGGGCAGGGTGTGGGAGTCAGGGGTAAGGTGGGCTGGCATGATGGAAATTAGCCTCCGGTTGTTGTTTTGATTATTGGCCCTTCCACAAATTTCCTAGTTCCACATGGTGTGCATGAGAACACCTTTGGCTTAAAAGAACTAAGATGGTTTTTATTTCCACACTGAGCTCCAACCAATGCAGTAGGGGTCAATAAATGTGCATTCACTCATTCATCCCGTCTATCAGCCATTTATTGAGTGCCTAGTGTGTGCCAGAGATACTTCAAGGCACTGGGGATGCATCGTTGAACCAGACAGAACCTCCTACCCTCGTGGAGTTTACCTTGAATGGAGGGAGAATGGAGAAAACAGTAAGTAACCAAATAAAACAAACAACCACTTAAATAAAATAGGATCAGATTTCCAAAGCTATTATGGAGGAAGCAAAAAGGCTCAGTGGAAATTTCCAGGAGAAATCTTTAGATGGGGTGATTAGAGAGGGTTTTTTGATATAAAACCTTTTTTTTTTTTTTTGAGATGGAGCCTCGCTCTGTCACCCAGGCTGGAGTGCAGTGGCATGATCTCGGCTTACTGCAACCTCTGCCTCCCAGGTTCAAACAATTCTCCTGCCTCAGCCACCCGAGTAGCTGAGACTACAGGCTCATGCCATCACACCCAGCTAATTTTTGTATTTTTAGTAGAAATGAGGTTTCACCATATTGGGCTCGAACTCCTGAACTCAGGTGATCCACCTGCCTCAGCTTCCCAAAGTGCTGGGATTACAGGCATGAGCCACTGCGCCCGGGCCATACGTTTTTGTTTTTGTTTTTGAGACAAGATTTCTCTCTGTTGCCCAGGGTGAATTGTAGTGGTGCGATCTTGGCTCACTGCAACCTCCACTTCCCAGGCTCAAGTAATCCTCCTGACCCAGCCTCCTGAGTAGCTAGGATCACAGATGCATGCCACCACACGTGACTAATTTTTATATTTTTTGTAGAGATGGGATTTTGCCATGTTGTCCAGGCTAGTCTCAAACTCCTGGTCTCAAGCACTCCACCTGCTTCAGCCTCCCAAAGTGCTGGGATTACAGGCATGAGCCACCACACCTGGCCAAAATTCTTACTTTGCATTAGAGTTCACTTTATGGTGTACATCTTACGGGTTTGGATAAACATATAATGACATGTGTCCACCATTATAGTATCATACAGAGTAGATTCACTGCTGTAAAAAGCTCCTGGATGTCAACGTATTCCCCCTCCCATCCCCCCATTTCCACAAGCCCTGGCAACCACAGATCTTCTGTCTCTATACTTTTACTTCTTCTAAAATCTCATAGAGTTAGATTCCCATAGCATGTAACCTTTTCAGACTGAATTCTCTCACTTAGCCATATACATGTAAGTTTCCTCTATGTCTTCTCATGGCTCAATAGCTCATTGCTTCTTTGTGCTGGATATTCCCTTGTCAGATGGTACCAGAGTTTGTTCATCCATTGGGTCTTTTTATAAAGAGCCCATGCAACTGCGTGAGAAGTAGGCAGTCCGCTACCCATTGGCTGATTGTGGATCCGCACTTCCTGAGAAGGAAGAGGGCAGGTTGCAGAGCAGCAGAATGAGTCCATGTCATGCTGTGCTCTTGCCCTCTGTGCCACTGTCCCCATCCCCCAACACAGCTCCATTCCCCAAAGCCATCACTACTGGGCGCAGCCAGGGACCCATAGGAGTCAGCCTGCAAATCCTCACAGACCGACCGAGGATGCTGGAGGCCCGACTTCACATGAGACCCCGTGGAATGGCAACACAATGAGAAATAAAATCACAGAAGCCGCTCTTCAGGAGGAAATTATCCTCGAAACCATTGCCACATTTGACAATAACACCCAGTCAATTTTTCCATGCTGGTGCCCAGCCCACAATCGTGTCCTGCTGGAAACCCGGCAGACCGGCCTTTGAAGATGCCTGTTCGGCTCTGGAGTGTGATTCAGAGTCGGGCTTGATGGCTCTGTGTGTGAGCATGTTCTCAGACAGGCTGCCAGAAGCTCCGCATTGTTTTAGGATCCCTTCAAACGCGGCCAATAAATCAGACTCATTCAAAATGTACACTGGGGAGAAGCTTGGCCTAACAGGGATGGTGCTGAGCAGCTCTCATCACCACATTTCAGATCAAGGGCAGTCCAGCCTCCCCCTGCTTTTCCATTTTGCTAAACTCAATTTTGAGAGCTCGGGTGTTTGCCACCCAAGCTGGGAAGTAGGGCAGGAATAGGCTGGTTTGCAGACCAGGCTCAGAATATACAGAAAGTGGGGAGGACACAGCCCCAGATGCCAGGGCTTTAGGTTTCCGACTGTAAAGAACCCACTCCTGGGTTGATGGCATATCAGAGCTTAGAACAGGGGCTGATGGAGAGGCAGGGATGTGGAGGGACTCAGAGGGAAGTCCCCCAGCCAGGTACCAGGCTGAGGACCCCAGTCCACTGCCTGTGACAGTGACCTTAGGGAAGTGGCTGACCCTCTCTGGGTCTAGATCTCTGGTCTGTGAAATGGAATAATAACCATGGTGCCCACCTCCCAGGGTTTGCTTGTTTTTTAGGGGGTGGATTTTGTCCTTCCTTCCTTTAAGAAAAAAACAGCTTTATTGAGGTATAATTAAGATATCATAAAAGTCATCCATTTCAAGTATGTAGTTCAATGAGCATCAGTTTGTGTGTGTGTGTTTGTGTGCGTGTGTGTGTATGTGTTTTTGTAGATGGGATCTTGCTATGTTGTCCAGGCTGGTCTTGAACTCTTGGCCCCAAGCAGTCCTTCCACCTTGGCTTCCTAAAGTGCTGGGATTACAGGTGTGAGCCACCGCACCTGGCCGAGCTTCAATTCAGACAGTTGTGCAGCCACCTCTCCAGTCCCATGTAGAACACCCCCAACCCCCGTCAAGTTCCTTCAAGCCTCTTTGCATCAGTGGCTGTTCCCACTCCAGCCTGAAGCAGCCACTCTGGTTTGTGTTCAGAAGGTGAAGCGTGGAGTGCCTTGTTCAGCCAAGTTCTCTGTGAATGTGTGTAGATACATTTTAAAGGCACCTAGAATCGGCAGGATCTTTTCTCAGGTAGAACCATTCACACTATCACCTAGGTTTGTGGAGTGCACAACCTGCACAATCATCCAGGGCAGCCTTGTTTTTTTGCTTCAGTCACTGTCAGTGATTTTTCTCTAAAAATCATATTTCCTGGGGAACATGCCCCCGATACAACAGAAATTGAAATGGAACTGAAAATTCTGAAAAAGTATGACCCTAATTTGCTCAAAAATGTGTATGTATATCCCAACAAATAAAAAATAAAAGACTTGAAGAAAATGTACCAACCTTTTTACAGTGGGGTGACAGATTTAGGTATGATATTAACTTTTTTTCTTTCCTGCATTTACCACATGTTCTATAAGATACATGAAATATTTATAATGGAATGTGTTATTTGGTTGAAAATGGCAATAATGCATTCATTCTTTTCTTCCGTTTTCAATACGGGTGGATTAATTCTTATGGCAACATCATAAAAAATATTTCGAATCCTCAATTAATTTTGCTTTTGGAGCAAAGCGAGAAATAATAAACAAAATGGTCCATGCCTCTGTTCTGCACGTTAGCATGAGTGTGTGTGAACACACACACACACACACACACACACACACGCATGCACGATACTAGATGAGACTTTTCCACAAGATGATTTTTTGAGCTTGGCCAAGTGAGATGCTGCAAGACAAATCTTAATTGTCAAATTGAATTAAATGTCCTTTTACTTCTGGCTTCTCCCTGACAAGTTCAAACATAAAAATTTCCTACTTCTTCAAAGGAGATCACCTCTCCATTTATAAGGAATTAGACATTTCCCTACTATAAATTCTCCGCATATGGCAGGCACTCGTAAAAATCAGTTGGTCATTGAATGAATAAAATACTTATTTTTGAACTGTCTTAAAAGCAGTCTCTTTCCGTGATTATTCTGGAACAGTTCTTCTTAGAGAGCTATTTTTGATTCATCAGCAAACATTCTTCAGGTCTGTTGGAAGGGCTTTCTTTATACCTGATATGAAAGAGTATCCTTCAGCAGGAAACTGATCATTGGATGAAAAAATAAAAACCCTAAATTTTTCAAAAGCATTTTTTAGTTAAATACAATTGGCAACATGGTATTAAATGTAATGCAATGCTAATTCTAATTAAGTGTAATGGATATTAAGAGGTAAGTACACACGCAGTCTCCAACTACAAGGAATAGAACATTAGTTGTATTATTATTGCTAGTCCTCTTGCTTGATTAGCTATTTTCTTAAAAAAAAAAAAAAACACCATTATGTGTCCAATCTCATAAAGTATAGTTTGAGTTCTGTTTATGCTTGAGGGGATGTAGGGATCCTTCTCCCTCCCTGGGACTTTCTGGGACAGTAGTTTCTCCTCAGGTGCTGATTTTGTCCCCTAGGAGACGTTTGTCCTGAGATATCTTTTGGGGAGAAGGGAGCCAGGGACAGCGGAGGAGAGGTTTCTGCTGGGATCCAGGGGGTAGAGGTCAGGGAGGCTGCTGCGGCTTCTACAATGCACAAAAAAATCCCCATCACAAAGTATGATCCAGCCCAAATATTATTATGCCCAAGTTGAGAAACCCTGTGTTAAACCAAATGACAATTAATATTACAAAACCCATTAAAATCATGATTTTACTACCAACATGCTCATTTCCTGGAAGACAAAAGCATGTACTCTTGAAAAACATCAAAAATGACAACTGGTTTGTCTCGGGGGAGGGTCAAAGTATGCTTTTGGGGACTCAGTCCTAGCGCTGTCCATTGATCTCATTAGAACTTCAACTTCATCCAAGTTCTCAAAAGACAAACAATCAAAAGCCCTCTGTTCTCTTCATACCTCATCTTTCTTTGCCCAACCAAACCAGGACCCCAAAGTGGGGGGTCAAAATTCTGAGGTAAGACCCCAGCAATCAACAAGAAACTCTGAGCTGCAGATGAACCCCATGGATAAGCTTATAACTCGGTTCAGGGGAAACTCCAAGAGTCTCTCATCGTGTCTGGACAGTAGGCGATGGAGGGTGTGGATTTTCTCCTTTCTAATTATCTGCATTTCCTAAACTGCCTACCACAAACATGTACTGCTTTGCTAAAAAGAGGAAAAGACCGTCAGCCTAAACCCCTCTTTCCATTTCCCAGCCAACTCAAGAAAGAAGGAAACTCCATAAAATATTGCCCCAGGCTGGTAGCAGAAGGGTTAATTTCCTTCCAGTAGGCAACAGGGTTAGCGCTGGCACATTCAAGTTCATCCTGCCAGAAGAGACCGGGCAGTAACACGGGCTTAGCCATTCAGGTGACCAGCTACAGAAAATCCACAGGCTACAGGGAGCTCTGCTGGTGTTTGGTTATCGTGGAAACAACGTGTAGGGAGCAGTCACTCACAGGCCTCAGACATGGCGCTGCTGCTTCACTGAGCTGTTCCTGGGGCCTTTCCTAAAACCATGCACAGCAGGAGTCATGCACTCCACTTTACAGCCAGAGGCATCAGGCTCAGGACAGAAATGATGTCTCTTGCTGAAGGTCCAACTGTTTCTGCAAATGCCTGGCACAATGTACAAATCTCAGCAATAGGTTTTGAGGAAAAAGAGCCCTTTCTGAATATGCTCCACATATTGAACACTGAGACAGCCCATGACGGGTTCCCCATCTCCACCCCTCCTACGAGGCTGCTCTGTCAAGCCAGAGTTTCTCCCATAGCCCAGCCCCATGAGCATGCCCTGGATGGCACGCCCCGGGGTGGGCTGAAGTCTACATCAAAGCAACGAGCTGTGTGGGTGACTCTGATGTGGCTGAAAGCTGAGGACCCCTGGAATATGTCGAGGTCTTTCCTTTTCAGCCCAGATTTCATAAGCTGGTGACATATCCATGTCTCCGTTTCCTCATCTGTCAAATGAGAACAATAACAGCATCTGCCTTAGAGAACTGCTGTGAGAACACAGCAGATGAACACACATCAACCCTTTACAACAGGACCTGGCTCACAGTAAGTGTCCAGGCAATACAACCGCTTTAATAATGATTATTATTCTGATAATCTCTTACAGGGAATCCACTGCCAGTTTCAAAGGGGGTCCTCTGGGCCCCTCATTTCCTCTCACCACTCTTCTTTCCTCCAGCACATTCTCTTCCTCCTTGCCTCTTTTTAACCGGGACTCCAGCTGCCCCTCCCCTAGGGCATCTAGATGCCCTTGTCTATCTCAGCTTTGGTGCCCAGGGAGGGGAAAAATTAAAAACCTTCCCCATGCAAGCAACCCAAAGGTCCATTGAAGGGTAGATGGAAGAACAAAATGCGCCCACTAATACAATGAAATATTACTTAAGCCTTAGAAGGGAAGAGAATTCTGACACATGCTAAACATGAATGAGCCTTGAGGACATTATATTAAGTGAATAAGCCCGGCACAAAAGGACAAATGCCGTATGATTCCACTTACCTAGAGTTGTCGAATTCATAGAGACAGACTGGAGAATGGGGGTTGCCAGGGGGAGCGGGAGGGAGGATGAGAAGTTAGTGTTTAATGGGTTTGCAGTTTCAGTTTTGCAAGATGAAAACAGTTCTGGAGATGGGTTGCACAACAATGGGAATGAGCTCTTCACGGTGGAACTGTACTCTTCAGAAGTAGCTAATGGCCAATTTCATGTTCTGTGTATTTCACAACAAATACAAATAAAATGAAGAAAAAAAGAACAAAACAAACTTCCCCACCAGATGCAAACCCTTGACTGTCAGCAAAGGGCCACAGTGCTCCTCAGAGCTTTATATGCATGTATTTGGGGGTTCTGGGGTGGACGCCGCCATGCACAGGCACAGACACCCCCAGTCTCCTCTGGGCAGCCTCCGGCCGTGGACCTGCTCTAAGGGGAATGAGGACACACTGACATTTGCAGGGGGCAAAGGAGGGCCCTGTGCAGGTGGGTGTGGAAATCTGGCTGAAGCTTTTCCCCACGAGGAGGGGGATGGGGACGGGAAGGCGAGGGGGACGGGGAGGGGCTGAGAGGGGAGGGGCTGGGAGAGAGCCGGCCTCTCCGGGTGTGCCCCAGGGAGCAGCAGTGTGAGGTGGAGCCTGTTCCAACCCTTTTTAGGGTTTGCCTGGGACTGAGGGGTTCCCAGAACCTGGGACTTGGGATGTAGAATCCAGAGGAGTCCCAGGCAAACAGGGACAAGTTGGTCATTTTCCTTGCTCAAGGCCGCAGCCCTTTTCCCAGACAGTGGTGACTTGAAACCGGTTCCCACCCACCTCCCTTCACTGTTCCCCCCCTCTCCCGCCCCCACCCCGAGGGGAATTCCAGTGTGAGAAGCTTGGGGTGGGTGAGGGGGAGTGAGCTGAGTTTCCTAATTCCTGCTGTCTTGAGAACAGCCTCTGTGGTCCTGGTTCAGCCTGTGCCCAGGCCATTCACTTCCTAATATGGTCCTTTTACATCTACTCGCTTCTGCGACTTTAATAAACTTAGCCTTGCCCATTAAAAAAAGAGATAATTGTTCGGTGAAAAAATAAGCATCCAGGGACACTAGCGAAAGCTCCCATGCCAGCAGCCCCCAGTGGCAGGGCCCAGAGAAGGGGCAAAGGAAACCGTGATCATCTCATTGGGAGGCAGCTTTGAAACTGATGAGATAAAAGGGAGTCCTGAGGCAATGAAGCTTGAAGGGCAGAAAAAGGGTTCGGGGAGGATGGGGGTAGGAGGAGCTGCAAGAAGGAGCAAAGGGGAGGGAAGAAGGTCCAGGGTCCTGGGAGTCACTGTGGCTGGGACTCCCCGCAGGAGCTCAGAACAAGTCCAGGTATTGGGGGTGCACCCCAGAGCAGGGTATCTCTTCCTTCACCACCTGCTCCCGCTGGAGCTCAGAGCTGGGGCTCAACACCCCACCTCCCCCAGGAGACACAGGAATATGAGACATGCTTGGCTGGGGAAATGGAGCCAGTTTCTTGACCAAGACAGGAGCTTCCGTGTGTGGGGGGCACATGGGCTGTGTCCTCAAGGAAGGAAGGCCCTTGCCCTCCCCATGCTCACCACGTGGTGAGGGAGGATAAAGAGTGAGCAAGGAAACCAATCAGGTGTTTCCCAATAGTGCTGCACAGGGATGAGCTACGTGCTTAATGCAGTCGCTGGTGGAGGACAGAAAGGCCTTTCTGAGGGGTGACGTCTGAGCTGAGACCTGAAGGATGAACAGGTCCCTCTGAAGGAAGAGGGGAGAAGCCCTACAGAGAAAGTGTTTCTTGGTCAAACACTGACATTCACTCAGGGCTTAGGGTCCAGTCAGCACAGAGGCAGAAGAGCAAAAAGGACAGAGAGAGGGAAAGGTCAGTGCTGAAGGTGTGCTAGGGTTCTGGCAGGATTGGCTACGTGATTTGCAGAGCCTCTCAGGCAAACTTAGAAAGAATTTCAAGACGAGACAAGATAGCATTAAATCAAGCATGGAGTCCCTCTGTGCAACTGCCCAGGTTGCTTGTCCATGAAGCTGCCTCTGGGTGCAGACCCTGCAGACCCCTGCAAGCTCAGGAAAGTGGATTTCATTTTAAGGACAAGGGGAGCCCTTAGAGGGACTGAGAAGGCAGGGTCAGGTCCTGACCAGGCCCTTTGGGTAAAAGGACCCTTATGGGTAAAAGAAGGCAGAAAGCAGGCAGGAGAGGGTGAGCTCTCTGGAATCTATGACCTTTTCAGGGGGTCTGACATGGTGACTTTGACCCTAATGGTATGCCCTTGTGAATCTACAGTTGTGGATTCTGTAGCCATGCTCAAGGGTGTTTAAGGAAGGAGCCCCTCTAGACAGCACCCGTGGGACCAGGGCCCCACGGGACACGCCTTGGGAAACCCTAACTTGGTGTAACGGTACTAAGAACCCCCATAAAGAACGTGCCATACAGGGAGAAACCAAGGCCCACGGAGGGACCAGAGGTCGCCCAAAGGCACCCTGCAAGTGTTTGACAGAGGCAGAAGCTGGGTGGCAGCCTTGGGAATTCCCACGTATTGGTCCAGGGCCAATACTCACAGAGCATGTGCAGGAACAGGGCCTGGAAACTGGCCAGGTGGCCCCAAATGTCACACTATATAGGCCACACGCTCAAATGGGGGCAGGGAGGCGGTGATCAGAACATCTGAGCATCAGGACTTTTGAGAACAAACAGATGCTGTTCAGAAAGAAGCTCCAGCCCGCTGCTTCTGAGCGAACTTGGGTGTGTAATTTAAATCTTATTAAATAATGAATCTGAATCTGGGTCAGTGGTAATTTATAGATTACCTTCATTAACTGGATAAAAATAATCACCAACTCAACAGTGAGTCATAACAGCAATTAAAAAAAAAGCTACAGCTTAGCACTAGTTGGGGTGTGAGGACATGTCTCCAATTATTTCCCAAAGATCCTGGAGATTGGCAAAAATCAACATGAATTTGGCTGGAGACAACTCCCTTTTTTCCCCTTTAACTTTTAAGCCCTTCAGGAGAAATGTAATCCATATGTTTCAGATTTGTTTACATTTAAACCATCAAAACAGTGTTTGTAAGAAACATTTGATGTCCAGGAACCCTTTCTCCTTTCTTTTTCAAGGCCTTTGGTCTTTGAACCAGGAAGTTGTCTTGTGCCAAGATGAAATGAGGCTGTCCCCGGTGGGAACACTGAATGGGTGCCCTCTCCCACCTTCTCATCTGCCCTCTGGCCATGGAGGTCTGTGGGGTACCAGGGGATCTTCTCAACCCTTGGGTCTCTCCAGAGGACGAGAAGACAGCCCTAAGGAGTTGGCCTTGCCAGCAGTGATCCACCAGGCTCGTGTCCCATATGAAATAACAGCAGCTCGAGATTATTGAGCACCTACTATGTGCCAGGCCCAGGTCTGAGACGGTGTCAACCACTCAGTGAGGGAGTGCTTTTAACATCCCCATTTTATAGATTGGAAAACAGAGGCCAATAGAAATGAAGGAGATTGCCCATGAGCACAAAGTGGAGTGCAGCTGGGTTTGCAGGTAGCATTTTAGATAAGGGAACTGAAGCTCAGAGAGTTTATTAAAACTGCCAAATGGGTTGGAATAAAGGATGGGAAAGATTTCGGAAGAGCTTAATTGCGATACACACCTGTGATGGCTTAATGTTACTGCAGCAGTAAGGAGTACTGGCTACTCCTGCGTCTCTTGTGGGCCTCCCTCCTTCCCGCTCCCTTCTCCTTTCCCTTCCTTTTTCCTTCCTTTCTCCTTCCCATATGTATGGATTTAAATTGCTTCCCTGTGACTTTTTTGTGTGTTTTCTTTCTCTCAACAGAAACGTGGTATTTATTTCTGCATAATTGTAATCATTCTGCACATACAATTTTCTATACCTCTTTTAGCCACTTAATGTTATTACCAAGAATGTTTCCGTATTATCAAAAAAAAATTTCTTTTATTTGAGATGAAGTTTTGCTCTTGTTCCCCAAGCTGGAGTGCAGTGGCACGATCTTGGCTCACTGCAAACTCTACCTCCCAGGTTCAAGTAATTCTCCTGCCTCAGCCTCCCAAGTAGCCGAGATTACAGGTGCACGCCACCACACTCGGCTAATTTTGTATTTTTAGTAGAGACAGGGTTTCACCATGTTGGCCAGGCTGGTCTCAAAGTCCTCACCTCAAGTGATCCGCCTGCCTCAGCCTCCCAAAGTGCTGGGATTACAGGCGTGAGCCTCCACGCTGGGCAAAAATGTTTTCTAAATGTCCCTTCAGTGGCTGCACGTGATTCCCTTGCACCATGAGGTCAGTGACCCACCCCTCGGGGTGAGCATTGGGTGGTTTCCATGTTTTTGTTGTTGTGCTGGAACCTGATGGCCCAAAAACCTCACTGTGCACAGAACCAAATGGAGAATGTGCTTTGACCTTGGTTTCGATTCTAACTCAGGATCTCTGGGGACACATTCTAGATTGATCAAAAAAAAAAAAAAAGTAGCTAACATTCATGGAGCACTTACCAGGTGGCAGGCTCCCAGATGAGTCCGTGTAGTTACTACCTCATTTAGTCTTCACCACGACAGCACACGGGTGTGGCTAAAGTCCCATTTCTCACATGGGAAGACTGAGGCTGAGGGGTAGAAGTAACCTGCCTAAGTGCAAGCCAAATTGCCCCAAATTGCCAAAGCTGGTATGTGGAGGTGGGCATACTATATTTATTTCTTGGAGTGGCCATAACAAATCTGGTGGCTTGAAAAAAAAATTGTTTTCTCGCAGTTCTGGAGGACAGAAGTTGGAAATCAAAATGTCAACAGGACTGGTTTCTTTCAGAGGTGGTGAGAGAGAGTCTGATCTATGTTTCCCCCGAGCCACTGCTGGCTGCTGGCTTCCCTGACTTACAGACGCATTGCTCCAGCCTCTGCCTCTGCGGCCCCACGACCTTTTCCTCATGCCTCTCTGTTTCTTCTCCTTTTCCATCTCTTATAAAGACACTCGCCACTGGACTCAGGGCCACCACGCTCCAAGATGATCTCATCTCAAGAACCTTGCCATTTGCAAAGATTCTTATTCCAAATGGGCTCACATTCTGAGGTTTCAGGTGGTCGTGTCTCTTGGGGGAACCCTTCAACCCACTGCAGATGCATGGTTTCAAAGTGGGCTTCTTGGAGGAGGGAGCAGCCCAGTCATGACCTGGAGGGTGAGAAGGGTCGGTCCTGGGAAGGCAGGGGGAGACGTTCTGGGCAGAAGGCCTGGTGTGATCCTGATGTCCCCCCTCCTCCCTTGCTCAGTGGCTGGACAAACAGCAGCAGCAGCAGCCCCGCCCTTAGGTGGCCACTCTCAGCTCTGACTGTGACACTGAAAACCAGTGGGCAGATGAGCACGCTGTGGCCACCAATGAGCCAGGCAGCTCGGAGTGCTATCAGTCTGAATTGTGGCCATTGTCCTGGGGTAGGGGGATGCTTGGGTTCCAAGAGCAAACCAGGACAAGCATCCCTAAGTGGGGAGCCTAGCCTGGCGACAACCCCCTCCTGTCCCTCAGAGCTCAGAGAGTCCCTGTGCTCTACCTACAAACTCTCAATAAGAACATCATGTCAGCCAGGCACGGTGGCTCACACCTGTAGTCCCAGCACTTTGGGAGGCCAAGGTGGGCGGATCACTTGAGGCCAGGAGTTTGAGACCAGCCTGGCCAACATAGTGAAACCACGTTTCTTTTAAAAATACAAAAAATTAGCCTGGCATGGTGGCGCACGTCTGTGGTCCCAGCTGCTCGAGAGGCCGAGGCAGGAGAATCGCTGGAACCTAGGAGGCAGAGGTTGCAGTGGGCCGAAATTGTGACACTGCACTCCAGCCTGGGTGACAGAGTGAGACTCTGTATCAAATAATGATAATAAAAATAAAGAACACCGTGTTATTGTGTGTTGGTGTTCTCATGTCTCTTCTACTAAAATGAATTCAGGACACTGTTGGAGGAAGTGCAAATTGAGGAGGGCTTCAGGGAAAGCTCTTAAGCACTGCACTCAAAATTTAAAATGCACGACTCTTTCACCCCCAACATGCAGAAAGTATCCAATGTCTTTCCTCCCACCAATGTGCAAGGATCTGTGGGATCCTGCATGTTCATCTTAGCAGCGTTTGAAGAACAAATCCTGCTCAGCTACCTAGAAAGATGTCACCTTGGCCAGCTACACCATAACCTTTTTGGTCTCAGTTTCCTCATCTGTAAACCAGGGTAATAATGGAACCCACTTCCCAGAAGTTTCAGGGGAATTACATGAGTTCATGGGTGTAAAGCGCTTAAAGCGAGCCTGGTGCACAGCAGGGCCTTGAAAATGCTGGCTCGGCACAGAGGTATTTTCTCATTCAACACACACTTGCTGAGCACCTACAGTGAACGGAGCACTGTCCTCAGCCAGGAAATATACAGAAGGGAACAAGACAAGGCCCTTGCCCTTGGGGAGCTTCCAATCCAGTGCAGGAGACAGAAAATAAATAGGGCCATGTGCTGTGCACTATCAGGGAAGGCCCAGAGGACAAGGGACAGAGAGTGCTGGCAGGGAAGGAAGGGCGCTGTTTCAGCAGCGGTCCAGGAATTGCCTCTTAGGAGATAACATTTGAGCAGAAACTGGAAGGAAGAAAAGAAAGAAAGAGGGAGGGAGGGAGGGAGGGAGGAGACAAGGAGGAAGTTCTAACCCAGTAGTTTCCTTTTCTTTTCTTTTTTTTGAGATGGAGTCTTGCTCTGTCACCTGGGCTGGAGTGCAGTGCCGCCATCTCGGCTCACTGCAACCTCCGCCTCCCAGGTTCAAGCAATTCTCCTGCCTCAGCCTCCCAAGGAGCTGGGATTACAGGTGCCTGCTGCCACGCCCAGCTAATTTTTTTTTTTTTTTTTAAAGTAAAGACGGGGTTTCACTATATTGACCAGGCTGGTCTCAAACTCATGACCTCAAGTGATCCACCGGTCTCGGCTTCCCAAAGTGCTGGAATTACAGGCGTGAGCCACCACGCCCGGCCCTAACCCAGTAGTTTTCAACTGGGTGACATTGCCCCCCAGGGGACATTTGCCAATGACTGGAGACATTTTTTGTTGTCACAACTAGGGCCCCCAGTAGTGAGAAATGTTGCTGGCAACTAGTGGATAGAGTCCAGGGATACTGCTAAACATGCCACACAAGACACACCCCTATAACGAAAAGCCGTCCAGCCCAAAATGTCACTAGTGCTGAGGCCGGCAAGGCCAGCTCCAACTCCCGTTTTTTTTCTATGCCTGTATATTTTTTAGTAACAAAAATGACATCATGCCATACATTATAATTTGTAAACTGCAATGATATATTGGAATTGTATGTATCAAAAAAGCATATCGATTTTATAACTCTTTAAAAACTGCATCACAGTCCAGGATATGCAATACTATATAGTAGAATTTACTGATTTACTATTGATGGGCTTTTAGGTTAATTCCAATTTTTCACTGTTGAAAAAAACCCTGGCCAGGCACAGTGGCTCATGCCCGTAATCCCAGCACTGTGGGAGACCAAGGAGGGTGGATTGCTTGAGCCCAGAAGTTTGAGACCAGCCTGCACAACGTGGCAAAACCTTGTCTCTACAAAAAAACACAAACAAAAACTTAACTGAGCATGGTGGCACAGGCCTTGGCTCCAGCTACCCTCGGAGGCTGAGATGGGAGGATCGCTTGAGCCCGGGAGGCAGAGGTTGGGGTGAGCTGTGATCATGCCATTGCACTCCAGCCTGGGTGGCAGAGTGAGACCTCGTCTCAAAAACAAAATCAAAAAACAACCCTCTGATACACAGCCTCATCCCAAATCTGCTTACCCATCCACAACTCTTTCCCTAGGATCAATCCTATAGAGACAATTGTTGGGTTGAGAGTAAGCAGGACTTGAAGGCTGTCACTGCAAACCGAACAAGGCTGTAGTGTAGACCCCAGGCAGCCTGGGTTTGTAGTTACCAGATACTTGACCTTGGGCAGGTTACTTCATTGTGCCTTAGTGGTCTTGTCTGTGAAATGGACTTAAAGATAGTTCCTACCTCTTAACGGTGGTTTGGAGGCCTAGCGAAAGAATGTAAGGCCCACAACACAGTGACCAGTGCCCAGCCTGGGTGTCGCTCTGCAGAGAGCCCCCTACCTCCACCTTACCCCCACTTTACACATTCAAAACAGTGAGGATCAAGACGGCCCTTTTCCCTCCGTAGCTGCCACAGCAGGAGTTATTGACCTCGTTCATCTTTGCCAATCAGATCACCAAAACTGATATCACATTTTAAAAACTGGTAATGTACCAAGGGGTCCCCAGCAGGCGTGTGAATAAAGGGGTAATTTGACAGGTGGCAAGGTGAGGTGGGGGGAGTTAGTGCAGGGGCAGCTGTGTAATGGGCAAACGTCCTGTCTGGAGTATCTGTATCTCCTCCAAGTAAATGCCTAAAAAAGCATCATCTGTCAAAAATCCAGAGTCTAACGTGATCACATCCGCCGGTTACATGGTTAAGACACACGGCATGCTATCTCTCAGTCACTGAAGGGCAAGTAGGTTTATGAGCTGATCTGCTCAACTGTACGTTGTAACATTTTTGGCTGCCTATTTTAGTCAAAGCAATGAGTTTTTCTTGGGAGTGTAAAAGTAGACCTATTGAATAAACAAACTGAGATTCTCGCCTCACCTCATATGGCAAAATGTATTCCTGGTGGACCAAAGATTAAAATGTTAAATAAGCAAGCAAACAAATAATGTAAATAGTGAAACTAAAAGGAATAGAAAAATAACTATGAATTAATATTTTATAATCTTGGGGATAAAAAGAGTCTCAAAGCATGGTACTAAGGACTAAAACCATAAAAAACATTTTTAATTACCTAAAAATTAAACTCTGAATAGCAAATAAAAAAGTATAAGCAAGTTGAAAAATAACTAAATTGGGGAAATATGAAAAAGGTGACAAACATATTGTGTAGAGCCTTAATATGTAAAGAGTAATTGCTAATCAATAACAGACAGTCAAATATACTAATAGGATGTAAACAAGCAAATACTTAAACAAGAGATACAAATGACAAAGGTACATGAAAATATAACCACTTCAATTAATTCAATGCCCACCACATTGTAGATGTTCGGTAAAATAGTTGTTTGTATGTGAATCTGTCCTGAGTCACATAATATAAGCTCACTGAGCCCTTATCTGGAGATCCAGAGAGTTAGGACAAGAACAAAGCTCAGCTCTGTTCCCAGGCCTGCAGAAAGTCACTGCGGCAGCCACTGAAGAAGTCCTTGCCACTTACTAGCTGTGTGACTTTGGCAAGTTCCTTAACTTCTCTTTGCCTAAGAAGTTGAGTAAATGAGAATAAACAGGGATAGTAATAATGCCTACCTCATAAGACTGTTGCAAAGATCAGCAAGTTAATACACGTAAAGTACTTAGAACAGCGCCTAGCTCATCAAAAAGACTCAACTGCAAAGTTCAGAAATAAAGCTAATTGGGAAGCAAGGAAACACCCATCCATTCATTGATCCGCTCATTCAACAGTTAGTCAGTGCCTAGCATGTGCCAGGTATTAGCATGGCTGTGATGGATGCTCATGCCACAATAAGACAGAAACTGAAGCAATCACAGTAAATGAGAAATGATCTCTGTTAGGGAAAACACCTTGTTGGTGAAGGAACCCCAGACTGGGTGCCTGACCTAGTCCCTCCTCAGGGGGAAACGTTCGGGAGAAGGAGCTTTTAGAACTGAGCCCTGAAAGTTAAGTAGGTGTTTTCCAAGAGAAGAATGTTCCAGGCATAAAAAGCAGTCAAGCAAACTCTCAGATGTGCAAGAGAATGCAAAACAATTTCAGTCCATGTCTTCTCACAGTGTAGACCTGTCATTAAGGGGGTGGGTTTGGAGTCAGACTGTCCAAAGTACATCCAGGCTCTACCAACTTTCCTGTGTGGTGTGTGTGTATGTGTGTGTGTGACCACAGACTCTTGCTCGGTTTTTCTCTGTCTCAGTATTCTCACCTGTAAAATGGGGATAAAAGTGGTTTGTCTCCTGGGAGTTGAGAGGTTTGCTGATTTCAGACATGTGACACACCTATCACGGGGCTGGCATGTCAGGAAAGCACTGGACAGGCCACTAGGCTGGAAAGATGACCTTTGGAGGACATTTTAAATCAGGTGTAAACTGACTCCTAAAGGCCACTGCTCATAAGTGAGGAATTTCCACAACCAGAAGCTGGCCTTCTCAAATCACCCTCGGGATGATTCTAATTCAAGGTTTCTCAGCTACCTCACTTCACTGTCAACATTTAGAGCCAGATTATTCTTTTTTTTTTTTTTTTTTTTTTTTTTTTTTGAGACAGAGTCTCACTCTTGTTGCCCAGGCTAGAGTTCAATGGCATGATCTTTGCTCACTGCAACCTCTGCCTCCCGGGTTCAAGCAATTCTCCTGTCTCAGCCTCCCGTGTAGCTGAGATTACAGGTGCCTGCCACCAAGCCTGGCTAATTTTTATATTTTCAGTAAAGGCGTGGTTTCGCCATGTTGGCCAGACTAGTCTTGAACTCCTGACCTCAAATGATACACCCACCTCAGCCTCCCAAAGTGCTGGTATAATGGGCGTGAACCACCGTGCCCGGCCAAGCCAGATTATTCTTTAACTTGGGGTAGGCTAGGGGTTGTCCCGGGCACTGTAGGATGTTCAGCAGCATCCCTGGCTTTACCCCAGCTGCCAGTATTGAGCGCACCACCACCACCACCACCACCACCACCAACAACAACGACCCAGTTTTGATCACCAAAACTGTCTCCAGGCATTGCCAAATGCCTCCTGTGGGCAAAACCACCCCATTAGGATCCATTCCTCCAAGCCAGTGCAGGATCTTCTGGGAAAAGCCCAGCTTGGTAGGGTAGTCCCTTCTACATCAGAAAGAAATGACCACAGTGGCGATCGACTGCTCACTGGATGTCCACAGGCCAAATTCAAGCCTCACATGTGTTTTCTTTGACCCAGGAGACATTTAACAATCTCCTTCAATGGGCTGACAATAGATTCTTAAAAATCAAGCCATTTCACATAAAAATCCAGCTTTCTGGCTTCTCTTGAAAAATGAGGATTCCTGGTAACACTGGATCCGCATTCCTCATGCAGCAGCAACGAGGTTGCATCTGCTGCACTCAGGGATACAGGCTTCCTGTTTGCCACAGTCCTCGGCACTCTATACCATATGTGCCCTATATTTGAAGGACCAGAGTCACTTTCTCTCTATCCCATCCCATTTTCACATTTATACAACCTTGCTGGCGGCTGAACATGTTTGAATTGAGATCTCCTGATCTAATGTGCTTGCCTGCACACACACACATTTGCACACATTACATATACACATGCACACAACCATATAAATATATAAACACATACACATGCGCACACATGCACATGAGTATACATATAACAACATGTATACACACATAGGCATACATGCATAGACACATAAATGCACATACACACCTACATATATACGCCTGCACACATGCACACACACATATACATGTGCACACATGCATACATGCATGTACACACATATACACATACACACGTGAACACTACCTACACATATGCACACACATACATATGCACACAAACGAATATACACATACATACATACACACATGCATATGTGCACACACCTATGTGTATAGACATATCTATATGCACACACACATGCATGCACGCAGACTCTCACACCCACGCAGACCCCATGGCTCACCTCCGCCGTCCACTGCAGCCCAGGACACACAGCATCCCTGATGCACACACCTGGATGTCAGGCTCTGACCTTTGAAGTCACGACTCCCACCACGGGGGCCCTTTGCATGTCACGCTGGATTGATGGATGGGACAGCTCAGCTCTCAGAAACTACCGCGTGTGTTTATTATGGCAATGAGTGTGGGCCGGGCCTGCTTCTGGCTTGTGTAAGTGTCAACTGGTGACAACCTGTGCTCTACAGAAGGCAGATGTCAAGGGGCTGGGGGCAGTGGAGTCACCGCCCGCACTGTGGAGACCACCCAGAGGCAGCACTCACACTGGCCCTGGCTTCCCCGGCCTTTGGCGAGAAAACTAAAGGATGGAGAGGGAGACATGGTGCCACCAGGACAGGCCTGCCACAAAGGCTGCAGCCCGTCGTGAGCCAGGCCAGGAGCAGCCAGACATTGCCCCCTGAGAGCTGCTTCTGCCTGGAAGACTCCACCGGCTCCGGGCAATAATTCAGTTCCATTCTCTCCAGAAGATTCCCAGGCCCAGCTCCTGTCCCCCTTGAGGCCACATGCTCAATCAGAAGGACAGTTCCTCACCTCTGCTTGAATAATAGTGACAATGTACTGAGGTCTGACAGGTACCAGGCACTTTCTGTTCACTTCAAATACGTGATCTTGAGTTTTCACCACAACCTATGAAGAAGGTGACTTATTATCCTGATTTTGTTGAAGCTTAAAGTGTTGTCATAACTAAGATTTATTGAACACTTAGTATGTGCCGAGCACAATATTAAGCACTTAGCAGACGTCATGTCAATTCATCTTTTCTACAACATTTTGAAAGATGATCTGTTATTATTCCCACTTTATTTTTTCTACTTATTATTTTGTTTTGTTTTGTTTTTTGAGGCAGAGTCTCACTCCGTCACCCAGGCTGGAGTGTAGTGATGCCATCTCATCTCACTGCAACCTCCCCCTCCCGAGGTCAAGCAACTCTCACGCCTCAGCCTCCTGAGTAGCTGGGATTGCAGACGTGCACCACCACGCCCGGATAATTTTTGTATTTTTAGTAGAGATGGGGTTTCACCATGTTGGCCAGGCTGGTCTCTAACTTCTGGCCTCAAGTGATCCACCTGTCTCAGCCTGCCAAAGTTCTGGGATTACAGGTGTGAGCTACGGCACTCAGCCTTATTCCCACTTTATAGTCAAAGAAATTGAGCAATGATCTCAGATCGTCTCTCTTTTTGTTGTCCTTTGTTTTGTTTTGTTTTGTTTTGTTGAGACAGGGCCTCACTCTATCACCCAGGCTGGAGTGCAATGGTGTGATCATGGCTCATTGCAGCCTCAGACTCCTGGGGTTAAGGAATCCTCCTGCCTCAGCCTCCCAAATAGCTGGGACAACTGGTGTGCAACAACATGTCCAGCTAATTTTTAAAATTCTTGTAGAGACCTGGGTTGCCCAGGTTGGTCTCGAACTCCTGGCCTTAAGCAATCCTCCCACCTTGGCCTCTCAAAGTGCTGGGATTACAGGTGTGAGCCACTGCACCCGACCAGATGATCTCTTTATTTTTATCTCTCCCTCATTTCCCCTTCTTTTCTTCCTCCTCTTCCTTATTCTCTTCCTCCTCCTCTTCCTTATTCTCTTCCTCCTCCTCCTCCTCTTTCTCTTCCTCATCCTCTTCCCCATTACCATTATGAAGGCTGAGACTTATGGAGCCTTCCATATAACAAGCACTGTGTCATATAGAAGACGGTGCCTGATACCTGACTGGCACCATCTCAGTTAATCCTCCCAACAGCCCTGTGAGGCAGACACTCTTGTCACCTAATTCTTAGATGAAGGAACCAAGGCTCAGCATCACACTTGGAAACCCCCATTCCAGCTGGGACTCAGGGGTCAGTGGAGACTGTGTGTGTCACTAGCCTCAGGAGCTGTGGGGTTCCCAACAAGCATGATCAACAGAGCATCCTCTGGACCCAGTCTAACCCCAGGCACCTCCTCAACAAACGCCCAAAGACCAGGAGCACCTAGGAAGAGTGCAGAGGGGTGCTGAAGCAGGCATCAGGCCTCCAGGAGGCATCTTCACTGCAACTTAGACCAGGAGGATTTCAGGAGCCTCTCCTGGGAAATCACCAGGGGTCTCCTTAAAAGGTGCTAAACCTTACATTGCAACTTCTAGAGTCTGTGAATTTGGCCTTGGAGAAGGGCCATGGTTGCAGAGAGACCAGATACCAAGCACTCTAGAGAAAGAAATAGAAACAACAAAAAACACAATGACATTTGTTAGTTTAACACCATGGGGCATTTTTCAGGTTCCAGAGCGTTGGGAAGACCTATACATTGCCAGAAGCTACAAACTGCCTTCCACATTCCACTCTGAGGATGTAGCTGGGATGGATCTGGCCAGGGCTGGGGGGCTGTATATGTGCCTCTCCTTTGGCCAAACCCAGATCTTTCCAGGAGGCAGGATATAGTAACCAGGCTCCGGAGTCAGCCAGATGAGGGTGTAAACCCAAGCTTCACCATCGACTTCCTAGTGGTGTGGACTTGGCAAATTATTTAGCCTCTGGAAGCTTACGTACCCCCAGGTGTAAAATGGAGCATAGCGTGGTCATGAAGATGCAGCAAGCCGAAGATGTCTCTCAGCCCAGTGTCTGACACAGGAGGCGGCTGATCATTGCTGGTCATTGTTCATGCTGGCTGAGGTTTCTCTCTGTCCACCCCTTTCCTGGGCTAAGAGGCCCCTGGTAGCATTCACAATTGGTTATAAGACATTTATGTTATTCTAAAGATGGATGTTTTCCATTTCCCACTTCCTACCTCTTCCCTTCAAATCTGCAGCTTTTGCAAAAACTCAATGTTATTATCATGAACATTGCCAACTAGAGTTTTAGGATGTAAAAAAACCGAACTAAGTGAACGTGGGCAAAGGAGGGAAACTTCTCCCTGAAAGATAGAACTGTTCAGAGAAAATTTTGGAAGCTTAACTTTATTCCTAATTGAGGCAGAATTTTCTCAGCTTCGCAGATATGTATCAAATAATTATAGCTCAACTGCTATAATTCAGCACCTGGGCTATGGTGAAATTATTTTTTATGCATCACTTGAGCTGTTTGATGTTTGATTTATGCCTGGATGTCAAGGCACTAAACAGAGATCTAACACAGCGTCCCTAAGGCAGCTGCTATTGCCAAGTTGAGGGGGGTTGGTGTGTTAGAGACTAGAGATCACTTACCAGTGGCATGACCAACCACACCAACTATCCTAGCTGCCTGGAACCAAGGAGTTTCCTGGGATGCAGGACTTTCAGTACTAAAACTGGGGAAGTTCCCGGGTAAACCACAATGCATCTGTCACCCAACTTACCAAATATGTAGTCTGGCCTTTTTCGAAACAAGCAAAACCATATGTTAATCAGGGCAACAATGCACCCTACTAAAAAGCTGGATTTCCCAGCTTATCTTGCTGCTAGAAATGGTCATGTGATACAGTTCTGGCCAGAGATATGAGTAGATGTCCCAAACGGAGCTTCTGAGGAAGCTCTTTAAAGGGGGATAATTCAGCAGGTGCCTCTCCTCTTTGACCTTCCACTTCCTTGTGTTCTCACCTAGAATGAGGGTATGATGACTGGAGCTGCTGCTGCCATCTTGGGACGATGAGGTGACCTTGAGTGTGGGTATTATGCCTCTAGGATAGCAGGACAGAAAGCAAGGAGCTCAGGTCCTTGATAGTATTAAGAAGCCACCTTCCAGTCCTGGCCTTTTCCTTTTACGTCATTTCTTTAAGCCACTCTTTTACAGGCTTCTGTTCACAGCAGCCAAATCTGTAAAGTGACCAACTATCCTGGCTTGCCTGCGATTGTCCCAGTTTTAGCACCAAAACCCCTCAACACCTGGCAAACCAGGACAGTTGGTTACCCCAGAATGCGATTCCTAACACATACAGTTAGGATTTGAGGACTGGGTGGATTCATGTGGGAGGAAGTTTCTAAGGAAAAGCTGATCCTGAGGAGGCCCATGGATGTGACAGGATGGGATGCCACCTCTCCTGCCCTCACCAAAGGGGCTACAGGCCAGGCCATAGAGAACACGCATTGCTCTGTGCTGGTATAAAAATAAACATCATGAGCAAGTGCAGCCTCTGACAGGTAGACAGCAGTTACTCAGCACGAAGCACCTGGAAAGCAGGGTACAAGACCGTCAGTCTCCTTCCCTCCCTGAACAAATGGTTTTCGAACATCTGCTATGTGCCAAGCATGGTGCTTAGCTCTGGAAACAGAGTGGGATGTGAAAAAATCAATGCTTCTTACCCTTCTTGGGGAGACAGACAATGAAAGATCAATAAGTAAATATATAGGTAATTGCAACTAGAATAATGGTTGTAAAGGAAAAGATGTAGAGGTATGTATAGGAAGCAGGGGATCAGGGCACCCACTTAGATGAGAACAGGTAAGACTCTTTTCTACCTAATGAGTGAGTAGAGATTGAAGAACATGAGTCAGTCTGAACAGTGCTCCAAGCAGAGGGACTGGCACAGGCAGAGGCCTGGAGGCCGGAAAGGGATTTCTGAGTTGAAGACACAGGAAGGAACCGTGGCTGACACTAGTAAGGGAGAGGACAGGGAGGGATGAGCTTGGAGAGGGAAGTGGCCACATCCTGCCAACTTGAAGGTCTAATTTTCGGTTCCCCCACTTGTCAGCTGTGTGACCCTCAGTCGTTAGTTAACCATGCTGAACCTCAGTTTTCTCACCTGTAAAATGAGATCATCATGGGGTGGTTTGAGGTGAAGAAACTAAAATACAAAGTACATGAGCCATAGAGAAAATGGTAGCTATCGTTACTGTCTATCCCCAAAAGGGAACAGTTTCCTCAGAGGAACGTTATTCAGTCAATGATACAGAGGAATAAAAGGAACACGACCTTGCCAAAGCAAGACTTCCTACAGGGAACCTCCTGGAAGCTGAGCTCATCTTTATGGTCCTGGCAAGGGCCTCCCCCAGTTCCTTCCACGCTGCTCTGCCCCCAGGTGGTGGGAGGCAACCTCTGAACAGATAATTATAGCTGGGAACACAAAGGAATGCCTATATTTCCCTTTTTCTTTATTTCTGGAATATTCCCCATCCCCTACAATTAGCCTTCCAGGCACCAAATGGGTGGAGTCTCTATCAGTTGTCAAATGGACACTGGGAAAGGCAGGGTGGAAGCCAGGATGTCCTTTTGATGACAACTCTGCTGGCTTAGGGGTCACAGGATCCTTAGGGGTCGCTTTTCCAGCTTGAAATCTCTGTGGCCCGTGGCTCCTTTGCCTGAGTTTTGCTCAGGCCTGCTGGGCTCGTTCCACCCACTCAGACTGGCAGACTGCTCTCTGCTCATGCTACTAGCCCAGATGCCACGTGAGCCAGGCATGAGTGGTGAGGGGTGTGTGAGTGAGCATGGAGTCCGGCCAGGCATGGAGTGGTGAGGGGTGTGTGAGTGAGCATGGAGTCTGGCCAGGCATGCTTGCTTCAGCAAGGCAGGTGCTCCAGGCACCAGCTCCCTGCGAGGCTGCAGCTGGACCAGGCGTACTGCAAGCTGCTTCCACTGTGGGCACTGGGAAACATGGTGGTGCCTGGAAACTTGGAGATGCCAGGAACCATACAGACTCAAAGACAGTGTCACAGCCCTGGCTTGAGTAGTTCCTACATCTGGGATCCCCAAAGAGCCACAGCTCTTTTCTTTTTCTCATTGCCTGCAACATGGCAAGTGGGGGGCATGTTTCAGTCCTGTTTGTGTTACAGATTTTTCAGTCCTGCCATTCCTCAGGTCCCAAGTGCTTATCCCATGCCCAGGGAGAATGAGGTATGCGGACAACTGGAGAGTGAGCAAAGCAGAGAGGAGCTTCACTGAGTGACAGAACAGCAGCTCTCAGGAGACCCAAAGTGGGTAGCTCCTATCCTCAGGCAGG
Source organism: Homo sapiens (assembly GCF_000001405.40). NCBI lineage: Eukaryota > Metazoa > Chordata > Mammalia > Primates > Hominidae > Homo > Homo sapiens. The sequence continues at coordinate 56,843,092 of NC_000020.11, read as the reverse complement.
TTGTCCTGATGTGTGTCCAGCTCTCAGCGGAGAGGAGACCCACAGTGGGAAGCTCCTTTCCACAGGCAGGTGTTCTGACAGGTCAAGGAAACCCAGAGCGGGTAGCTCCTTCCGGCAGCTGGTAGCCCCAAGTCTCTGTGAGTCCGGCTGAGTCTGGGTTTTTTATGGGCTCAGAGGGGAGGATGTGCATGTTGATTGGTCCATAGGTAGCCATGGACAGGCCCAGAAAAGCACCATAAGTTTTCTCTCCAGACCACGGACTCCACCTGGAGCTGGCAGCTTGGCCCCCAGGCTTCAGGCAGTCCCTGGCTTGGAGGTTTCACTGGGACCCACCCCTTTCCACCCAGGAACCTGTCTGCCTCTTGCCATCAACATGCCATCCACAACACCCAGGCTGTTTGCACTGAGGGGTGCCTGCAGGCCTATGCTGAGCTGCCCTCAGCCCCACACCAGCCTCCCTTCTGCGCTCATCAACACCCAAAGTCTGGAGGGGGCCGAGGTGGCATGAGGGGCTGGCATGTCAGCACCACCCCAAGCGTGTGCCCACCCAGCTGGGTTGTAACAGCACTCAGGCTCGGCTACAACTTTGCTCTGAAATTGGAGTGGGCACTAGGAGCAGGGAGACACCAGGGAGTAACAGCAGGCACTTCCGAGCCTGTGGGGGCAGGGGCGAAGGCAGGGGCATGGCAGGGTGCTTCAGAGGTCCCCAGGAGCACAGGAATGCCTGGCTATGGAGCTATGGCTGGGCAGCTGCAATTGCGCCTGGGAACGTGGGGCTTCCACACCGCCAACATGGTAGTGAGTGGGGCTCCCACCTGTTCCCGGCTGCTGTTGGCTCCGTGGAGCATGCGGCCCCAGCTGCACCTCCCTTGCTGCAGCTGGCATCCCCACAGTGACTGCTCTAGACAGGCCATGGCTGTCATCAGCTCTAATACTCAAGCCAGCCCTGCCCTGCACAGGACCCGCTAGTTTTCCCAGACACAGGATGGCATTAGCCCAGCTTCTCTGCAGAAACAGCTCAAGCAGCAGCAAGAGCTCACAACTTCACTCTAGCATTTTTCTTGTAGTCTCTACTGGACCAAGTGCAACCATGAAAAGTTTCTGAAATAAATTATAAGCCCAAACCTCTCTCACTTTTCCTCCATACAGGACTTTATGAAACCTCTGTAAATGTGCCTGGCTTGCCTTTGCATCTCAGAGGCTGGATTTTGCTTTCTGTGGAAGAAGAAGCCTGGATGGAGATCTCGCTTTGTAGTAACTCACCCCCAATGACTCCATGACTCTCAGAGCCCATGCTCAGCTGGACCTCTCACTATCCTGACTCTGCACGCCTCTGCCTCCTCCTCCAGACGCCTGTCCCTGGCTTTTCTCTTCATTCCATTGTGTCTGCCTCTGAACTCCTGCACATGGCTTTTGTCCTAGGCTGGGTTCCCCAGAAGCAGACCCTGACACCAAGACTCACAGGCAAGTGATCTATTAAGGACATGCTCTCAGGGGAGACCCCTGGGAAGTGAGGGCAGCAGGCCAAGAATGAGAAGAAGCCAAGCAAAGGCGAGACTCCAGGCAGCCCGGGAAGAGTGGCTGCAGCCTGACCCCTCAGGGACTCTGGGCCATAATTCACACCAGGGAGCTTTCCTGACCAGGCGCCAGGAGTCAAGCTCTCCTAAGCCCTACCAGTTATTCTCTGGGTAAGGACCACCCTGAGGGTATAGACTCCCAGGTACTTCTGGATCTCTGGACCTGCCCCATGTAGTTCTGATAGCCTGAATTAGTTCTCCGAAGACTAGTCACTGGAAAGAGAAGTGCAGAGGCAGTGATGCAGGACAGGTGAGCCCTAAATTGAGGCTTAGCCCACCAAGATTCTTGACTTCAGCCAGAAAAGTACTCAGTGGTGAGCCAGTGGTAGAGTAGAAGAAAACAGCTTTATTGAAGCAGCAGTGTTACCGCTCTGTGCCTGTTCCTGTAGAGCAGTCTACTCCATAGACAGAGAGTACCATCTCAGGGCAGTTCTGTAGTCAGATTCATACCTACTTTTAATTGCATGCAGATTAAGGGGTGGTTTATGCAGACATTTCTAGGAAATGGATAATAACTTCTGGGTTGTCAGGTCATTGCCATGAAAAGAGGCAGTAACTCCCGAGTGTTGCCATGGCAAAAGTAAACTGATGTGGTGCACTGGTGGGCGTGTCTCATAGAAAGCTCCTTCCACCCCTGTCTTTGTTTTAGCTAGTCCTCAATTCATTCTGGTGTCCAGCCCTGTCTCTGGAGTCCAGTCCAGCCTCCTACCTCAGCAGAAGCATGTGGGAACAGTAAAAGGGATCTGCAGGGTTCTAGGTGGAGCACCACTCCCCTCCAGCTTCCTCCCACCTGGACATTTCATGAGTGAGTATTTGCCCTCACCTCATGCAGATTGCAGGCTGTGAGCTCCATGCTTACATCAGACCATTTTATCTTCTCCATTCCAGAGCCCAGCTGACCCTCAGTCAGTAGTGAATGAGGAAATAAATTTGTCAGAGAGGGTGCTCCTGAGACCTGGGACTGGCTGGGGTCAAGGGCTCATGTTTTTGGGGGTGCACCTAGCCCAGGCCTGCCTTATTCCAACTGAGCTCTCCTCCCCACCTTCCCATTCTTTACGTGTTTCACAGCTGGACCGTGAAGGCTGTGGGAGAGCACCAGTGAGGTAGGAGGCAGGAGTTTACTCCAGACCAGATTGGAAACTGGCTGAAACAGGGAAAAGGCAAAAGCCCCTCTCCATAAGACATGCCCACCAGTGCCATGTCAGTTTACCATTGCTATAGCAACACCTGGAAGTTACCGCCTCTTTTGATGGCAACAACCCAGAAGTTACCACCCTTTTTCTAGAAATTTCTGCATAAACTGCCCCTTAATTTGCATTTAATTAAAAGTGGGTATACTATAACTGCAGAACTGTCCCTGAGCTCCCCACACACTGCCTGGGGGGTAGCCCTGCTCTGCGGGAGCAGTCACAGAGCTGTAACACTGTTGCCTCAATAAAACTGTTTTCTTCTAGCACCGACTCACTCTTGAATTCTTTCCTGAGCAAAGCCAAGAACCCTCCCAGGCTAAGCGCCAACTCTGGGGCTTGCCTGCCCTGCATCACCAGATGTCGTATTCCTCTAGCACTGTGGTTTGCTGGGTGGAGTGCCCAGATCAGCAGCACTAATATCTGGGAACTTGTCAGAAATGCAATATTTTAGCCCCACCCCCAACAAGGAATCAGAGATGCTGCGGGTGGGCCCAGAAGTCTAAGCTTTAACCAGTCCCCAGGTGATTAAGGACCATGGCTCCAGCACAGTGTCAGGGCCCCAACAGGGATAAGGGGGTCTCAGTTAAGATTGTTGCAGCTGAAGTATCTGCAGTGGTGGGTGTTGGGGGCATCTGACCCCACATCAGACCCTGCCTTTCCACATCCCCTCCAAAGCCCACCCATGCATCCACCCATCCACTTACCATCCATTCATCCATCTTACCCATCCATTCATCCACCCATCCATCTCACCTACCCATTCATCCATTTATTCATCTATCTATCTCACCCAGCCCCGATTCATCTTTATCCTTCCATTCATCCACCCATTCATCCACCCATCCATCTTACTCATCTCCCTACCCACCCATTCATCCATCTTACTCATCTACCCATCCATCCATACATCCATCCATACATACATCTCACCCATCCATTCATCTCATCCATCCATCCATTTATTTATCCATCCATCTCACTCACCCACCCATCCATCCATCTATCCATCCGTTTTACTCATCTACCCACCCATCTATCTATCCATCTCACCCACCCATCCATTCATCCATCTATCCATCCATCTGCCCACCTACCCATCTATCCAACCATCCATCTCACCCACCCACTCATCTATCCATCCGTTGTATACTTATGTGCCAGGCACCATCCTAGATGCTGGGGACACAGTGATGAACAACACAAGGGCTGGTTCCAGGTGTTCTGCTCACACCGATTTTGAAGAAGGAGCAGAAGACCACTCAATCCAGCTCAAGCTAAAGGGACATTGTTGGGGAATGCACAGATTCTGAAGGCAAGAAATACACTGCACCCTCTGGAACTGGGACTGGGGGCCAGGAGCCAACCTACTCTATATGTGTCTTAGGAGTAACATGTTCTCTCAACTCTGACTCTGTCCCTCCTGGAATCCTTCTTCATCTCTCTCTCTCTCTGTTTCTCTTTCTACTCTCCTTATCTCTGCCTACCTGCTTCATTCTCTCTTTTCCCAACTAACTTCCTCAACATATGCATCTTCAGCTTGATCCAGCCTTGACTTCCTAGACTTACAACAACCTAATCTTTCAGCACAAGGGTCTACCCTACATGGAATCTCTTCTCTGAGTCTCTTAGTTCAAGTTTCCATGACAGGAAATTTTATTGGCTTGGCCAGACTTATGAACAGGCGGTCTCGAAGTCAGGTGTTCACCCCTTGACCAGGTAGGTTGGAATGTGGGATTATTCAGACTAGTTGATGCCCACTCAGCAAGGACTGTCTCTGCTTCTAAGCTTTTTCTTTTACTCCCACAATCAGTATCTCTGTCAGGAGGCCTTTGGACACGAGTTTCAGGAACCCCTAACTTAAATAAAGGAATGTTATTATCTCCATGGCATGAAGTTGAGAGACAGGGTGTTTCCAGGTGCAGAAGGAACATCTCAGGGATGACATCAGACCCTGGTTCTTTCTGTTTCTCTGCTCTGCCAGCCTCGGGGTCTTGGCTTTGCCTTGGGCAGTGTTCCTCGAAAGCTGGAGTGAATTTGCCACTGACCTCTGGGTGGTCGTGAGATGGCATTTCATGGGTGGTCATGAGATGGGCATTTCAGGTTCAGTTCTAGACAACCACATTCAGGGGAAGGAGTAGACCTCTGCAGGCTGGCCCTCACAACTCATAGCAAAAATGGTTCAGATGCACTTCCTTCATCACACCTTGGAGGAGGCAACAGGGCCACCACAGCAAACCTGCCATAAGACCTAACCTGTTTCTCTGAGTGTTTTCCAAAGATGCACCTTACTTCCTCAGCCATCTCCTTCTTGTCATCGTTTGTGATAATGGCACAGTTCTAAGCAATCCTTCCTGCCTTCTGTCTCCCATCCTGCAAGGGGCAGTCAGAGCAGTCTTCCAAGGTTATTGTTCTATATGCCACTTTCCTGCTCAAGAACCAACTATGACTTGCTGTTACCTACTGCATCCAACTGCAACACCCCTGTTGAACTTTCAAGACCCTTCAAGACCAGTGACCCTCAAACACAACCTGTCTATTGGCAATTATTTCTGGCATATCCTTAGTTCTACCATTTGATCAAAGCAGACTATTCCTGGATAGTGACTAAACACTGTGCCAATTTCTACTTCCTTGGACTTTTCTCAATCTTTTCCTTCCACCTGAAACACCTTCTCCTCTCTTCTATCTACTAAAGACCTATACGCATCCTTTAAGTATGGTTATAAGAGGCGCTGGACACAGGACCAGCATCCAGGAGATCACACAGGGGGAATGGAAAAGACTTTGAGGCACCATGACTTGGGTTTGAGTCTCGTTTTTACCAGGACTGCGTGATCTAGGCATGTCAAAAACCTGAGCATAAGTTTTCTCATTTTTAAGACAGTGACACCATGATATATTTCATGGTGCTACCTCGCGGGTTAAAAAAGTAAAATACACATAATTAGGGAGTGTGCAGCACATATTAAACACTCAATAAACAGCAAATATGCTGAGAAAGCTCCCAAAGAAGCAAACTTTGTCATGATTGTCTCTGTTGCTATTTCTATTGGGAGCTCTCTTTTTCCCAGCCCAGTTCCTGATTTCTTATTTCATCTGCCTTGGAAGCTGGAGTGAATTTGCCATGCTTCTGGGTGGCTTTGTTCTTGGGTGTGAAGCAAAGAAGTTGCTGCCCAACAGATGCACCAGACCTGTATTCACACTTGGGCTTACCTGAGAGCCTGGCTAAGGCATGGGGTCTCCGAGGCTGTTTGACAAGTGAGATGTGTACCCAGCTTGGAAAGACCCAGCTTCTCCACACTTCCTGGCAATTTGCTCCCCTTATATGATTGTCTCTGGATGTCTTTTGCCCATGGTCTGCCTCCCAGGTCTGCTCAACCGGGTGACAATTGCAGGCACCAGCTCTGAAATTCACTACCGATAGCAACAAGGAAAGACTCATCCCTGGGAAGCAACACTGAGCAAGAGCCCTGCTCAGCAAGGCAGGGTTCTTGGTTCAGGTGGCATTGCCAGCCCTGACCATGCTCGACCCTCTGCAAAAGAAGACAGAAGCTGTCCATCTCTGGGACATCCCGGGGTGGAACAAAGGCTTCCGGTTCTCACTTCTCTCACTACTGCCCACAGCCCACCTCAAACTCAGAGGCCAATGAAGACAAGCACTTTGGTGCCATTAGCCCTTAACATCAAAAGCTAAACATTACTACCAGAGATCTTGCCTGAATGGGAAGATTCAAGACTTATGAAAATGCCCTCAAACCAAAAGATCCCCTTGGGGATCCTCCTGGCCTCAGCATCCTAAGCCCATGCTGAGAGCCTTTCAGCGTGGTTGGAAAGGAGGTAAGCTGGGCTGGGGAGGCACAGTTGATACAGGGGTGATCCAGAACACAGCCCAAGGCTTCTAGCTCTCTGGGAGACCATGGGCTTGTTGTTTCAGCTGGCAGAGTCTGCATGGTTGGATCACAGCAGGAATGGCAAGCAGATTCCACCTCCCCTTCCAGCTCGGATTCAACAGTGACTGTCTGTTGCTCTGGGCTGAGAAGATTTCTGTAGCTGAATCTTGGATTGGCAGCACTGCTGCTATTGCTGCTAGCTACCACATATGGAGTTGTACTAGATACCAGACAATATCAAGTGCTTTACACATATTCCATTTTACTCTCACAACAACTCTGTGAGATAGCATTTTGTATGTCTGTTTTGTAGATAAGGGAATGGAAGCTCAGCCAGGTTAAATAACCTGCCTTAGGACACATAGCTTGAAAGCGAAAGATCCTAGATTCAAAGCCAGGCAGTCAGGTTTTGGAGCAGAACCTTTGTAACCTCTGCACCCTGTGGAGTGCTAGAATTGATTAGTGATGTCTACCACAAGTGCCTACACGGCAGTAATAGAACATATGCTGTGAATTTGGCATATCTAGATTTTTCAGTCTCTGATTCAGGACTCAAAGGCCCTAAGACTTTGCATCACCCTTAGATCTGAGCCACCATTTCCATCATCAGCTATTTCTTCAGTAACTCCATTTATGTTCAATCCAAATGTCATTTTTAGCATTACTGCTTTTCATTTCTTAGCTGCACTTTCATCTTTGTCCCTGATTCTCTCTTTGGATTCCTCACTTTTATAAAATGCATGTGGGCTTATCACGGGGAAACAAGGAGGCAATGCAACTTCAAGCTTTGCTGTCTGTGTATGAACTGAATACAGATGGGCAGTGACCAGTCTTTGACAGACTTTGAAGTGGTGACATGATTGGTCATGGATCGCGATGTGCACCTGTTATTACATAGTAATTTGTGGGCTGTCAAGCTAGCAGGGAAGTTTGTAATTTATGCAATTATGCACAGTTAACATACTGTGGTAACTTAAAATTGAACCGTGTTGTTGGAGAACTGGAGTTATTTGACCAAAACGTTGTGACCGACATCTGCGCACATTGGAACTTCACAAAACGAGGACCTTCCCAAAAGGAGCCCGTGGAAAAAGACCAGCCCGCAGAAAAAAATCTGACAAGGAAGGCTTGCCTTGCCTCTCTCTGCCTGTCCACACTCTGCCCTGACTCCAAGATCACCTAAGCCCTGCCTCCTTCAGGAAGGCTTCCTGGCTTTCTCTATGATGTTTCCTTTTTCACAGCCCTGCAACTACTTCCATTCGGAAGCACTTGGTGTTCTCAAGAGCAGCCTCATTGTCCTCTGTCTCCTTAGATCAAGGCACACCTTCATCTGGCACAGAGGGTGGTATTCACACCAATGGGCACATGAGTTAATTTCTAGGTGTACCCTGATTAACAACTTGTTTTCGTTTTAACAATTTTTCAAATTTATTTTTATGGCTATCTTATATTTGTGGGAACTGATGCTGGTTTTACATCTATGGTAGTGATAGAGTAGTTCTTTTCAAAGAAATGCATTTATCTGAGAAAGGTGAGTCAATTATTAGACTAGGTTGTATGAGGATACCGAGAAATTCCTGAAATTCTAAGTGGATGGTAGAGGTGGGGAAATATGGCTCTTGACTGATTATGGAGGGGAAGGAGTTTGTCTCATGCAGGATTTAGGATCAGTTCCATCATTATCACGCTCTCTACGACCTCCTGGCTCAGTGCTACCCACCCCCGCAACAGGCCCAGCTGGAGCCCCTGCTAGGGTGACCAACTCATCCACGTTTGCCCAGGACTTTTCTGGCTTTAGAACTGAACGGCCAGCCACAGCCCAGAAAAGCTCTGAGCCCTGAGCCAGCAGGGATGGACGGCCACCTGAGCCTTTGGCTTTGACCCTCCTTTTCCATCAGTTTCTCGAAGCAGCTGGGAGGCTGACCTCGCTGTGGTGGAGAGTGGAGACTGAGGAGTCCCATCATCTCAGTCTCATCCAAGTGCCCTGTGTGATCTCAGTAGGGTTACCAGATTTAGCAAACAAAAACTCAAGACGCCCAGTTAAATGTGAGTTTCAGATGAACACAAATAATTTTGCAGTATAATGATTTTATAAATTGTATTTGTCCTATATTTTATCTGGCAACTCTAGGAGTGTGCGATCTCACAAAGCTTCCTCTCCGTGATCTAGAAATGTAAATTAAGTAAGTGAATTCCTAATCTGGTGAAAAGTAAGTGACGTGACCCTCTAATCTGGCAAACAGTAAATTCCTGGAAAACAGTAGATGCTCAATAAGTTACTGACTTTGATAGTTCTGCCACTCCCTGAAGGTGTGAATAAGTGCCTACAGGTTGTGAGTGGGTTTTATCGCCCTTCCAGGCACAAACAAAAAGTTCATGCCGCCTTTATTGGTTGACTCACTGAGTGGTTTGCAGCAGGGTTGGGGATCACAGCCTTTTGCCTGGCTAGAATTTAAGGAGACTGAAATAAATTGTAGTTGAAGAGCTACCAACACATTTTTCTCATTACATGCATAGAAACCCGTCTTCCTAGGACCCGGCCAATGACCACATGACCAAAATGATCACTTCACAGGGCATGATAAGGTCGGGGAAGATGTTGTGGGAGCAAGCACCTGATTATTAGCTCCCTCGCCTTGGGCAAATCATTTCAACTTCTACGGACTTGTTTTCTTATCTGTCAAATGGGGATAAAGGAGGGTTGCCCAGCCTGCCTTGTAGCTTAGAAGAGCATGATGAGGACTGCCCTAGAGGGAAGAAGTGAAAGCACTTTGCAAAATAAATGTTTTGACAAACACCACTTCCCTCCTGAGAGAGGCAGGCAGAAGGCACGTGGCTTCAGAGGGCTGATCACTCCTATCTGCTTCGTGAATCTCTATTCTTGCACACATAAGACTCAACTTAACGAAGGTCACTGTTGTTTGTTCCAGAGCCTTGCACTGTTTCTGGCACTGTTGAACAAATGAATGAAATCTAGAATCAAAGATTCAGTGGCAGCACAGAGAGATCCACCCAGGGCCTTTGAGGTCATCTGTTCCCAGGCACTGGCTCTGCACTGGGAGAAACCAACACCTGGAGCAAGTGGCCTGCCCACTCAAGAGGACCCGTCTAGATAACAGAGAGCTCCTGGCAGCATCCTGGTGCACAGGATGGTGTGGCTTTAGAATCAGGCAAATAGTAACAGCAGGAGTTCCCCGGGGTGTGCAATACTGGGGAACCAGCCCACTGTGAAGTGCTTGACATAGGTGACCTCACTGGAGCCTCATAACCCCACAGTGAGGAAGGAACTATTATTATCCTCATTTTGTAGTGATGAACTGAGGCACAGAGAGGTTAAGTCATTGCCTGAGGTTGTCCAGCTGGGATGTGGAGCCTCACTTACTGGAGATGCCCAGCCCCCTGGGGCTCCTATTCTCCACTGCATTTTTGTGCCTCCTCCTTCCTGGAGCTGGGGGCCCATTCTGTATGAAGGTTCTGTCAGAGGCATGTAAATAAGAGCAACTCCATGTTGAATAGGAGATGGGTAAAATGAGGCTGAGACCTACTGGGCTGCATTCCCAGACAGTTAAGGCATTCTAAGTCACGGGATGAGATTGGAGGTCAGCACAAGATACAGCTCATAAACACTTGCTGATACAACAGGTTGCAGTAAAGAAGCCAGCCAAAACCCACCGAAACCAAGATGGCGATGAGAGTGACATCCTGTCGTCCTCGCTGCTGCACTCCCACCAGCGCCATGACAGTTTACAGATGCCATGGCAACGTCAGGAAGTTACCTTATATGGTCTAAAAAGGGGAGGCAGCCGGACACGGTGACTCATGCCTGTAATCCCAGCACTTTGGGAGGCAGAGGCGGGCAGATCACGAGGTCAGGAGATCGAGACCATCCTGGCTAACACGGTGAAACCCCGTCTCTACTAAAAATACTAAGAATTAGCCAGGCGTGCTGGCGGGCGCCTGTAGTCCCAGCTACTCGGGAGGCTGAGGCAGGAGAACGGTGTAAAACCGGGAGGAGGAGCTTGCAGTGAGCCGAGATTGAGCCACTGCACTCCAGACTGGGCAACAGAGCAAGACTCTATCTCAAAAAGAAAAAAAGGGGGGTGAGGTATGAATAATCCACCCCTTGTTTAGCATATCATCAAAAAATAATCATCAAAATGGGCAATCAGCAGCCCTCAGTTTCTCTTACTCCTTTACTTTCTTAATAAACTTGCTTTCACTTTACTCTGTGGATGCCTCCTGAATTCTTTCTTGTGTGAGAGCCAAGAATCCTCTCTTGAGGTCTGGATCTGGACCCCTTTCCTGTAGCAGCTCCACTCCTTCTTGCTGCATGGCCTCCAACTGGGATGGGATGCTCTGAGTCTCCCTGTCCTCGCCTGTACAATTGGGCAATAATAATGCTACCATGGAAGGGGGCCCAGGTTCGAAGCCAAAAACATGAGCACTGGCTGGGATCCAACCCTCCACTGTCCTACACCGGAGCCTGGAAGGTATCAAATCCTGGTACCACCATTTGCCTGCTGTATGACTTTAGGCACATTACTTAACCTCTGTAAGCCTTACTTTTCTCCTTTATAGAAATCAGAACAATCATAATGTTACAGGAGATGGGTCCCGATCCAGACCCCAAGAGAGGGTTCTTGGATCTTGTGCAAGAAAGAGTTCAGGATGAGTTTATAGAGTAAAGTGAAAGCAAGTTTATTAGGAAAGTAAAGGAACAAAAGAATGGCTACTCCATAGACAGAGCATCCCAAGGGCTGCTGGTTGCCCATTTTTAATGGTTATTTCTTGATGATATGTTAAACAAGGTGGGGGGAATTATTCATGCCTTTCCATTTTAGACCATATAGGGTAGCATCCTGATGCTGCCATGGCATTTGTAAACTGTCATGGTGCTGGTGGGAGTGTAGCAGTGAGGACGACCTGAAGTGTCTCTCATCGTCATCCTGTTTTGGTGGGGTTTGGCTGACTTCTTTACTGCGGACTGTTTTATCAGCAAGATCTTTTTGACCTGTATTTTGTGCTGACCTCCTATCTCATCCTGTGACTTAGAATCCTTAACCATCTGGGAATGCAGCCCAGTAGGTCTCAGCCTCTTTTTACCTGCTCCTATTCAAGATGGGGTTGCTGTGGTTGAAACGCCTCTGACAATAAGCGTGCACCCCATGGGCAGATGTGAGGATTCAGTAAAACACTGCCACATCCAGCAGCAGTGTTGGGGCTGGAACGCAGCTTGGACAGGGCAACAGGCACACACAGTGGACTTTGGAGGAAAAAAATGTCCGTTGCATCCCCCGCCTTTTTGTTTTTTCAGATGGAGTTTCACTCTTGTCGCTCAGACTGGAGTGCGGTGTCATGATCTTGGCTCACTGCAACCTCCACCTCCCGACTTCAAGCGATTCTCCTGCCTCAGCCTCCCAAGTAGCTGGGATCACAGCCGTGCTCCACCACGCCCAGCTAATTTTGTATCTTTAGTAGAGATGGGGTTTTGCCATGTTGGTCAGGCTGGTCTCGAACTCCTCACGTCATAATCTGCCCACCTTGGCCTCCCAAAGTGCTGGGATTACAGGTGTGGGCCATGGCACCCGGCACCCCCCTTTCCCTTTTCAGGCTTCTCAGCTAAAGCTCTTTCCTCCTAGCACCCTGTCTCCCCACACAAAGGAGGAGACTCCCCTCTACCTCTTCTGCTCAGTCTGTGGACACAGATGTGTCTTTCCGTAGATCAAACACACGTTCCCTCTGCATCTTCATTACAATTGCTATAGAAGAAGCAGTCAGATACCTTTAAGTACTCTAACAGGAATGTTTAGAAGATTATTTTCTAACACATTTTAATATGTCTATGGTATTCTATCGACCAGGTAATTTTAAGAACAAAACAAAGTATTTTGCTGGAAATGCAGCACCCAGGAATGAGAGAGGTTTTTTAATCTGAAGGCGTTTTCATTCGAATGGGAACAATAAGTGCCTCTTTGGAAACTGTTCTCCATCCCAGCGCTCAGCTCTCTTCTAATTAGCACCGAATAACAAAAGTATAACAGTAGCACCTCTCCTCCCAACTTTTCTAACAGCCTGTCAGAGACAGGACAGTGTGAAAAACAGCTCGATTTATGAGCGACTTTGTCATTTTTTTCTGTTTAAAATAAAATGTGCCCACCCTGGGGGAAAGAAAAAAGTCCCTGAGGATTTAACTGCAGACAAATGAGCCCGGGGTGGAAACCGGAAGGTGTGGGGGTGGGGAGGGAGGTGTCAGGCAAGGGGCGGGGGGCGGGTCACCTCTTGGATGTGCTGAGAAAATTCTCACTGGCTGTGTGACCTTGGACGGGTACCTTCCTTCGTGGAGGAAGCTTCCTCCTCTGGAGCGAAAGGAGGATGGATGCAGGGATGTGTGGAGAAATGGAAACCTATCACGCCTCTCTGTGGCAGGCATGATAGGACAGTTCTAAGCGTGTTACCTGCTTTGCTCCAGTTAACGCTCATTCCGCCCTATGAGGGAGGCCCTGGTGTGTTCCCCGCCTTAATCACAATGTCAACAGCAGACCTGAGGCTCCGACCCTGCCCTGTAATCCTGCCGCCGATGCTGCTGAGACAGGAGGTCACTTCAGCAGTGGCAGATGCCCTGAGGAGGCTGAGAGATGCAGCCCCACACTGAGCTTTCTGTTGCTTTGGGTTCTTCAGAAACTAACATCATCTTAAATATTATTCATTCATTCAACACTCATGTACTAAGGTCTTATTTGATGCCTTATTTGCATTGAGTAGAAACCTGGGGGTTCAAAACAGGTAAGACAAGGTGCCTGCCCTCCAGGGACGGAAGCCAGATGTGTAAATAACTCATTCATTCGACAAATATTTATTGAGCATCTACTATGTGCTCAATCTAGGGGCTGAGGACATGGCAGTGAGTGAGGATTAAGATCCTGTCTCTATGGCGCTCACACGGTGGCAGGGTTAGCAAGTGGGCAGGTCACTGTGGATGGTGATAGTAGCCCCAAGTGAAATAAAGCATGGGAGCATGATAGGAAGGGCAGCTGCTGGGACGATGAGGGAGGGCCTCCTGGAAGAGGTGGCATGGGAATGTGGATCTGAATAGCAAGGAACGAGCCACAAGCAGAACTTGGAGAGGGTGTTCCAGAAAGGGTAAACGCCCTGAGGTGGGAGCTGGGTTTGGGGGTACCCAGCTTGGAATTAGTCACCGTGCAAAGGTGGCTGGATGCAGAAAAGGGGGAATCACTGCAGTGATCGTTCATGAAGAGCTTCTCAAGGAGGAGGGTCTTGCTTGTTTTTTTTTGCATCCCATAATGCCCTTTGTCAATTTGCCCATGCGTCTTTCCTTCTGTATAGCCGCCCATCCACCCCTTTATTTAGTCGTTCTGATTCCAGCTCCCCAGGCGTCTGGTTTACCCACGAGGAAACCAATGTGAGGGAAGATGTGGCCTCTGAACCTGAAGACATTGTAGTTCCATTGAAGAAATAACAGCAGCAGAATGTTACAATCCTACTCAACGTTTACTGAACACTTAGAGTGGGCAAGGCGTGGGGAAACCATCTCACACGTGAATCAGCTGGGCTGCTTGTGCCTTGTGTGGCATAGACCCCCAACTCCAACCGATTTGGGTAAAGAGAGAATGCATTGGTTTAGGCACAGAAAAGTCCAGAGGAGGAGATGGCTTTGGGTACAGCTCCATCAAAAATCAACCCTGTCTCAGCTGTGCTTGGCTGGGTGGCAGCCGCTCTGATCTTACAGCTTCCAGGCTCAGTTGCGGGGATCAGGACAGGAGCCTCTCTCTTAAAGTCCCAGCAAAAGCCACATTGTCTCTCATTGGCTCTGCTCAGGTCACATGGCCTCCCTCAGCCAATCCCTGTCTCTAGAGAAATATGATTCTCTGATTGGTCAAGAGCCAAGGGTGCGGCCCCCACCCACCTCCCACACTGGAGTCCAAATGGGAAGGAGCGAGCGACCCCCCGAGAGGCTCGGGCTTGGACAGGGCAGGGACTGACGGACTCGGGCATTCACCTGCACAGTGGCAGCTCACTCTCATTGGATCCTTTTATTGATGAAAGGGGACAGACATCATGATCCCATTTTACACTGAAGAAAGAAAGCTTGAGGAATTTAAACGGCCAAGAATGGGGTGGACCAGAAACTAGACTTGTTGTTTCTCCTAAGTCAGTGGCTCTCCTATGTCTTTTGCAGTAGAATTGCCACATTTAGCAAATAACAATACAGGGTGACCAGTTGAATTTGAATTTCACATAAACACCAAATCCTGTCTTACTATAAGTGTGCTCCAAAGTATGTAAGATACAAGACAGAAGAAAAGTATTTGTTGTTTATCTGAAATTCAAATGTAACTGAGCATCTGTATTTCGTCATTCAACTCTACTCGCGGGGGATATTCAGCAATATCTGGAAACGTTTTCTATTGTCCCAAGTTGGGGAGGGGAGGGTGCCCCTGGCATTGAGGACGTTGCTACACATCCTGCTCTGCACAGGGCGGCCCCCGCAGCAGAGAATTCTCCTGCTCCAGTTGTCACTGTTGCCCGTAAGTGCTACGATCACCATGTATAGCTCTAGCATGGAAGACAGAAAGGCAACGGGCAAAGCAGCCCCACGCCGGTGGCCTTGCGTTTGCTGTGTGCATGCAACAATTCATGAGGCGCTGAGCAAACCCCCGCCGCATCATGAATGGGGCCTTCAGTTGAATTATTTGGGTTTCAATTTGGAAACGCTCAAAGGAAGCTAACGAGAATCTTTGAACTGGGCTTAGGCATCCACACCCAGGCAGGCTGAGATAAATCGGATCTGCTGATACTCACTGGAGAAAGGAGAACATTCAAAGGGAATTTTAAAAGTTGTGCCTTTCTATTTGTTGTCGACATCTCCAAGAGACGGCTCTGAAATGAATCACCCTCTGCTGAGGAACGTGCCCCGACCTCTCCCTCCTGGGCTCATCACAAGCCCCTGTGTCAGCACCAGGCAGTGGATATGCTCAGCCTTGTCCCAGGCCGGGCGGGCGGGGGCAGGCGGCAGGTGAGGAGGATGAGGATGGTCGGGCCCTCCCTTCCAGACGAACCCACCTGGCCAGCTTTGCTTTGGGGAAGAACAAGGGAGCCGATCTTTTAGGCTGGGCTGGTGAGTATCACTCTCTCAAGGGCTGGAGAACTATTTATCATGTCTTCCATCAGACTTACTAATTTTGCCTGGTGTTTCACAATGCACAAAAGCCTCGTGTTGTAACTGGGGCTGTGACACAAGGTTTCAAACCCACAGAGCCATCCCTGATTTGCTAAGCAAACTTTTATGAGTTTGGATTCTGTTTTGTTTTGTGCTGGTTAGGTTGTATCTGGGGAGAGAGGGGATGGAGGGACATACTGGTTTTGTGTGCACATGTTGCATAGATGTAGCTTTCGTCTTTGAAGTTTAAGACCAGTTGTAAATTCCTTGAAGTTCGTCCTATTTCCTTTTATATGAGCGTGTTAACAAGCTTTGGAAAACTGACAGAGCTTACAGGAAAGCATAGCTGGGTTGCTCCCTGAGCCGGGGCTTTAATTCAAACCAGAACCGGGGCCGGAGCACTGTGGCCCGGCTGGTGTTTACAAATGCAGCAGGAAGAGCCCGCTGCACAGTGATGAAGCCATCAACCTCAGATGCTTTCTGTAGACAAAGCCCCAGTTGGGATTAATTAAGAAAGGAAATGCCGCAATACTCCAAATCACTTCTCTAGTGGAAATCTTTGCACCAGATGAAACTCAACAATAAAAATGGAAGAAGAAAAAAGCAAAAAAATGAAAACACCTCCCAGAAATGTGTTGAACGGACACTTAGGTTTTTGTCAGTGAGGGCAGCCGAGGAAATCAGCTTCCAGTTCCTTGCACTGGAATCATGTGACATTTTCTACATACCCAGGAAGGAGAAGGCACCGGATAGGAGGCAAAGCTCTCCACTCCCAATTGGAAGCAGACCTTCTCATCCAAGAATACACTCTGAGCTCCCTCATCAAAAGCACTTTGGTGGGAGAGAATCAAGGTGCAGAATCTCCGTGCCATATGACAAGTCTAAAGGAAGGGCATTCTCAGCTGAAGACCATGTGACCAGCTGACATGTCAGGGGGGATTTAAGAAAAAACGTGGTCCCACTCATGGTTTGTCTTGGGTGCACGGTGAGTCTGACGGTATCTGGGGACAGATACATATGAAAGTGAAATACTTGGCATAAGCTGTGGAAATTAAAGGTAAAATTTTTTATTTTTATTTTTTAGAAATGGGATCTTGCTCTGTTGCCCAGGCTGGTGTGCAGTGGTGCGATCACAGCTCTCTGCAGCCTTGACCTCCTGGGCTCAAGTGACCTCCTGCCTCAGCCTCTCGAGTAGCTAGGACTACAAGTGTGAGCCGCTGCACCCAGCCTAGGTCAAAATTTAAGGGAGGCATGAAACATGGATCCCACAAGATTTGCCTGACTCCACTTGACAGTCGGTCTGCTCCAATCCGCTGTCTCTTGGACACTTGCTCTTCTCTCCAGAGGCCATCTGGGTTGGAGGAGAGAAAGGCCCCCTGCCTTCCTGAGAATGGTCCATGCACCCCACCTAGCCCCGCTCTGCCACAAAGTGCCATTGTGCTGCTCTTTGTCCCCCAGCTGTGAATTACATTCAGTGTACCTCCCACACATCAGTGAGGGCCTCGGGGCAACCTGGTTGATTTTTATTTTGATGAGATTTCAGGAAAAATAAATAAGTAAAATGTAAATCCTGTTGGCGAACATATACTTTCCATACAGCCCATCTTAGCCAAGCACATGCTGAGTCTCATGAACCCTTGGACATTTTGATTGTTACTAAAATTCCATGTGCACCTGGTTATAGGGCCAAAATATTCCACCAGAAATATAAACAATGGCAGAGGAGAGTCAAGCTCATTGGAACCATCTTGTTGAACAGGGACCTCATCTGGGAGAAAGCTGTGGGACTGGAAGTATCTGTGTGACAATGTGTGTCTCTAGCAGAGGAGGACTTCATGTTCAGGCGAGCAGTTCCCTTTGTAATGGCTTCTACCCTGAGGATCAGGAGCGAGTGGTTCAAGGCTTGGGCCCCCGAGTTGGACAGCTCTGAATGGAGCCCAGACCTTCCCTTACTGGCTGGGTAACAAGTAACTTTCCCTGGGTCTCTCATGTAAAAAAGTAGTGGTGACAAAATTTACCTTGAACATCATTTTGAGGACTAAGGGAGGGCGTGTGTGGGCCCCTCTCTGGGTTGGCCACGGAGGGAGTGTTTGGTAAATGGCAGCCACTCCAAAGCAAGCCATTGGATGGCTGCATAGTGACAGCATCCACAGATGCTGGTCAAATGAGACTTTCTAAGGCTGGGCACAGTGGCTCATGCCTGTAATCCCAGCACTTTGGGAGACTGAGGTGGGTGGATCGCTTGAAGCCAGAAGTTCGAAACCAGCCTGGCCAACATGGTAAAACCCCGTCTCTACTAAAAATACAAAAATTAGCTGGGCGTGGTGGTGCACGCCTGTAGTCCCAGCTACTCAGGAGGCTGAGGCAGAAGAATCATTGATCCCCAGAGGCAGAGGCTGCAGTGAGCTGAGACCATGCCACTGCACTCCAGCCTGGGCAACAAAGTGAGACTCTGTCTCAAAACAAAAACAAACAAACAAGGAAAAAAAAAACAAAACAAAAAAACAAAATCAGACTTTCTAGAAATAATGCCATTTTTATGTGCCCAGAAACCTGAGAGTATTCTAGTTCTTCCATGCTGTTGCCTCTGAATTATGAATCAAGGGAGATGAATATGGTACCTATTTAGGCAAAATGATTCTGAAGCAGACAACTGGACTTCCTCTACCTTCCCCCAGCACATCATGGGGTTGCTTTTTCACCACGTGTGTCTATGTGTTTGAAATATAGTTATTGAAAATAGATATTGTAAAAGCCTTGCACATGCATAGAAAAAACTCAACATTGACTAGTAGTGTAGAAGATCCCCTCCCAATACTTATTTCCCCTCCCAGGTCTTGTTTTCACTGCAAACACCCAAGGTAACTCTTATGATGCAAAGGGCATCTTTTCAGACCCTGTCTGTACTTAAAGAAACACACACACAACTTTGTTTTACAAAAGTGAGATCACTGTTTTCATTCAATCATACATCTTGAACAACCCTCACATCCATCCGTAGACTCTACCTCATTTGAAAAATAGATTGTAATTCTAATTTTTTTATTTATACACATATTTTTAAAGAGTTGGGGTCTTCCTCTGTCTCCCAGGCTGGAGTGCAGTGGTGCAATCACAGCTCACTGCAGCCTCGACCTCCCTGCCTCAGGCAATCCTCCCACCTCAGCCTCCCAAGTAGCTGGGACTACAGGTGTGCCCCACCATACTAGGCTAATTATTTTTTAATTTTACTTTTTGTGGAGACAGGGTCTTGTTATGTTGCTCAGGCTGGTCTCAGATTCCTGGCCTCAAGCAGTCCTCCTGCCTCAGCCTCCCGAAGTGCTGGAATTACAGGCGCCTGGCTAAATTATAATTTTTAGATCAGTTTTGGATTTACAGAAAAATTACAAAGATAGTACCGGGAGTTCCCATGTACTCCACACTCAATGTCTCCTATTATTAACAACTTCCATCAGTATGGCACGTTTACTATAACTAATGAACCAATATTGATATATCATTATTCACTAAAGCTGTACCTTATTCAGATTTCCCTGGTTCTTTTTTTTTTTTTTTTTTTCTTTTTCAAATGGAGTTTCACTCTTGTTGCCCAGGCTGGAGTGCAATGGTGCGATCTCGGCTCACTGCAACCTCCGCCTCCTGGGTTCAAGTGATTCTCCTGCCTCAGCCTCCTGAGTAACTGGGATTACAGACATGTGCCACCACGTCTGGCTAATTTTGTATTTTTAATAGAGATGAGGTTTCTCCATGTTGGTCAGGCTGGTCTCGAACTCCTGACCTCAGGTGATCCGGCTGTCTTGGCCTCCCAAAGTGCTGGGATTACAGGCGTGAGCCACCGCGCCCAGCATCCCTGGTTCTTATCTAATGCCCTTTCTCTGTCCAGGATCCCATCCAGAATCCCACATGACATTTGGTCATCACATCTTCTTAGGCGCCTTTGGGCCGTGACAGTTTCTCACACTTTCCTTTTTTTTTTTTTTTTAATGATCTTGACAGTTTTGATGAGTACTGGTCGGCTTTATTGTAAGATGCTGCTTTATTGAAATTTGTCTAATGTTTTCCTCATGATGAGACTGATTGTGGGTTTGGGGGAGGAAGACCACAGAGGTAGGGTGTCTTCTCATCAGATCATTTCAGAAGTACATGCTATCAATATGACTTTTCACTGTTGCTGCCCTCGATCAGCTGGCTGAGTTCCACCTTATTTTGATGCAGTTGCAAAGTGTCTCCTAGTGTTGGGAGGTATAATCATCTTTTTAACCAATTGAGGATTAGTTGAGGTATTGTTTTTTAAGTATTAGAAATTATGCCAAAGTGTACATCCTTATATTACCCTATTTGCTCAGTATTTCGGTTGTTTCTGTGCTATGATTCCTAGCTCAGTTTTGAGGTGTAACCTTATTTTAATTTTTCAGCAAGGCTTGTTGGCTCATGCCTATAATCCCAGCACTTTGGAAGACCGAGGTGGGAGGATCATTTGAACCCCTGGAGTTTGAGACCAGGTTGATCAATAAAGCAAGGACTCATCTCTACAAAAAAAAAAAATTAAAATTAGCTGGATGTGGTGGTGTGCACCTGTGGTCCTAGCTACTCGGGAGGCTGAAGTGGTGAGAGAATCACTTGAATCTGGGAGATTGAGGCTGCAGTGAGCCACGACTGCACCACCATACTCTAGCCTGGGCAAAAGAGGGAGACCTTGTCTCTCTAAAAAATAAAAATTTGCCATATCCTGCCAAATTGCCATCAGAAAAGATTGTTCCAGTTGGCCCTGCCTTGAACAGGTGCAGTTTCCCTTTGTCTTCCCCAACGACGAGCTTTGCCATCCTTTAAATCTTTGTCAGTGTCATAGAGGGGGAAAGACATACATTGAACTCAGTGACACTACATGCTGAGACTCTTTGCTTTACATCCATAGGGTGGTACCCCAAAGTCTATTTTTCAGAAAAGATTAGTTGCAGGGGCCAGTCCCAAAAGAAAATATACTCAATGCTAAACACCTGGAAGAGGTAGGAGAAACATGGGAGCTAAAATCAAAGTGCATTTTAATCTGAGAGTTTCAAAGCACCAACTCTCTAAGAGTTTCTTGTTTGCTAATGGGATGATGTGTCTGTTGGGCGAAGGACACATTTGGTCTTCCTTCCTTGTCCTCATTAATTCCATCTCGTCTCCACCTTTGGGATGCAGTTCCCATCTGAAAGGTCTGTGTCTTCGAAACCCTGGCCTCATCCCTAGGGTAGAGAGACTGGTTTTCCATGCGTGCGGCCTCTACTCTGTTTCAAAATTTATACAAATCACAGGGAACCAGTCCTTTCAAAACTGAAGATTTGACAACTATTTACATGCTGAATGAGAGCCAAGCTGTATCCACTTTTAAATGTTTATATCGGCTCGACAGCCGCTCTAAAGCAAAGGGAGCGTGGGCACCCTAGAGGTTTCAGCCCCAAGACCGCCAGCCCCGACATCCCCTTTCTCCACGATTTGACACGTGCCACTGGGGGAAACAAAACTAAATTCTTGCTGCTCCCCCAGTGCAGACCACCATCATCTCAAGTCTTCGAGATGACCCCTCAGGCCAAAACAGCTCTCGATCCCACCATCACCTCTGCCCTTACACTACGATATGGTCCTTTAGAACACTCACTGAATCCTGTTTACTTTACTGAATATATGTACTTGTTTATTTGATTACTGCTTGCATGACTACTAGAATGCAGGCTCCACGGGGAAAGGTACGATGTTTTGGTCACTCTTGAATCCCCAGTGCCTGGAACCATGCCTGACACATAGTAGGTGCTCAATAAACACACGGTCTCCTCCCATTTATTCTCCACGCTGCAGCCAGTGTCACCTTTCCAAAATGCAAAACTTACAAAGAAACTCTTTTCCCCAGCTCAAACCCTTTGGTGCCTCCCTGTCGCCCTCTGGGTAAATTTCCAACCTCTGAGCATGCCTCACTGGGTCCTACAGGATTGGACCATGCTCCACCTTCAGCGTCCTTGCCCACTCCTCTCACCTTCGGGTGCTCCAGCCACAGAGAGTCTGCTGGGTTCCTTGAAGGTAGATTCCCTCCCTCTTCTGGACCTTAGCTCTGTGCCCTTGCCTGGCCCCAACTTCTGCTAGTAAGGTAGCAACACCTCCTCCAGGAAGCCTTCCCTCTGCCCCTATCCTGTGTCTCTCAATATGCCTCCTGCCACTCTTCCCTTAGCCTAGTCCAAGTACTCAGAGCCAACAGGGAGCCAGAGAACCAGGCTGATGTTTCCCTGGGATGGTTGCTAAGACAACCTGAGATTCACGGAAGCCCTTAAAACACAGAGGTCAAGAGCTCACACTCTGGAGTTAGAACCGGGCTTGAAGATTTCCAAGGCACTTTTTTTTTTTTTTAAATTCTCTGAGCCTCAGTTTCCTCATCTGCAAATTGGGAATAATGCTTTTTTCTTGTAGTATGAGAAACATTAAGTTGGGTTTTTACCACTTTTTTAATGGAAATTTTTATTGAGGTAATTGTAGATTCACATGCAGTTGTAAGAGATAACACAGAGCCATCTCTTTTACACTTTGCCCAGGTCCCCCCAGAGGTAGTATTTTGCAAAACTGTAGTATAATATTTCAGTTGGGATGTTGGCATGGATGCAATTCAGGAATAATTCACAATGATAAGTT
Organism: Homo sapiens; assembly: GCF_000001405.40. Lineage (NCBI taxonomy): Eukaryota > Metazoa > Chordata > Mammalia > Primates > Hominidae > Homo > Homo sapiens. The sequence goes on along the minus strand of NC_000020.11, from coordinate 56,820,597 downwards.
GTGAGTTTTTTCCCAGATATTTGTGTCAGAACATTCAGTAAATACGGCAATGGTGAGCATGAATTCAAATCTGGACTCTCATCTCGGTTCTGAGGTAAGTAGCTGTTGTTTTTGGCTGCCAGCACCCATTTCCCCATTCCCCTATTCTCTATATTTTGGTAATAGACCCTGCTTGCCTCCATGACACATAACTCAGGCCACAACAAGCAAAGTGGCTTATACTGTGGACTAAGTATTGGTGAGAGATGTGCCTGTGATCCGAGCAGAGCCTGTAAGAGTCCTTCCCTGGGAAATGTAGGAAGCTGTTTCCAACACTACGGCACAAGGGATCTGGGCTGAGGGATGTCCTCCCTGCCATGAGGTGACAGGCTGTTTCCAAAGACAAGTGGAAGAGAATCAGAGAAAGAGACAGAGAGACAGACAGGGAGGCAGCAGGTAGCAAAGTGCAGCTCTGCTTCTTTCTTATCTCTTTTTGCCTTTCTTTGAGCCTCACAATAAGTGTTCCAGTCCTCTGAGCCAACACATTGCCTTTTGGTAAAGCAAGCTTTTCATTATGCTTGTGACATGTGTGCCCAAGAAAGTCCAGAACCAACATCATCGTAAGCAAGTCACTCTGAGACTTAGTTTTCTCACCCTTGACATGGACAGTCATTCTAAATTATCAGTGTAACTCTGCAAAGATTCCCAGATAGGGTCTGGGGACCCATTGTGTTCCATCTACATGAACTCAAGTGAAATTGGCGTTCATTTATTATTTGTATGATGAAATCCTTGAAAGTTACAATAAGATTTCCAAGACTTGTTGAATTAAGGGGAAAGGGGACACGGTCATGTTTTTCTTCCCTGTGAACAAATTAATGGCATCATGGCACTGCAAACCTCAGTTTTACAGCTTCAGTGGGAACTTGGATTGTCTTTTTCCTTTGTGCTCCACATTACCCTCAATGTAGATTCTTGAAGACGAGCTCTCCTTCATGGTTGCCAACTGATAATTTAAGGTGAAGAATTTAAGAGGGAGGAAAGGAACTAGATGCTTGGCTAGCTCCACCTGAGGTCATATCCCAGCTTTCTGAAAGAGTGGGATTGTTAACAGCAGTGCTTCTTAATCAGGTGATTCTGTCCCCCAGGGGACACCTGGCAACGTCTGTAGACATTTTTGGTTTTCACAACCAGGAGGGTGTTACTGGCATAGAGTGGGTGGAGATCAGGGATGCTGCTGAACATTCCACAGTGCACAGGATGGCCCCCACCACCAAGAACGATCCAGCCCCAGATATCACTAAGTGTCAAGGCTGAGAAGCCCTGATGTGAAGCGCTCTGGCAGCCAATTGTTCAATTTCGCCTTAAGACATGGCCTATCTGTTCATTAATCACAACAGGAATGATCAGGTTAATTCCAGTAGGCGTTGTGGCAAGTGGGGGAAAGTTCCTCTCCCAAGAAGCTTTATGATCTGAAAGCAAGCATAGGGTAGAGGCAGAAAATAGAGCCAAACATAAATTGAGGTTTACTCTGGCTAGGGTGTTTGCTGTTGCCAATACGGCGGGCTTTCCCACCAAGCAAGGATGAGTGTTTTGACTACATAAGTTTAATGGCACCAATGAAGACGGGGCCTCGAAAGGCTTGTGGCTCATTTCACCAGATGTAAGTGGGAGCCTGCTCTGAGGCAAGCCCAATTCTAGGAACTGAGTACCTTGCAGTGGAAATACCAGGTGCAACCTCGACGCCTGCCGTTCTTGTTGGTGAGTGTTATGGGGGAAGAGAGGGAAGAGAATGAGTGAAATGAGTGGGGGCAGGGGAGAGGATGGATGCAGTATTATCCAATCAGTAACTTCACGACTCACCCAGGTGATCCTGGTTCTGGAACTCTCGTTTACTGGGGGGAAGGGAAGAGAAACTGACATTTATTGAGTTCTATTGAGGGCCCAACACTCTGTCTACACCATCTTGACTAATCTCACTAACCCTCCTCCTACCTCTATGAGATAGACACCTTATTTGGTTGGGACAAAGGAGGAAACTTAGGACCTGATAAAAAAGGAATTACTTCTATTTTGACATGACTCCATTTCAACTTTGTTTACAATGAGAAAAAAATTAGACATAGGTGGCGCCACTGCACTCCAGCCTGGGGGACAGAGTGAGACCCATCTCAAAAATAAAATCAGCAGGAGTGTATGGGTGGGGTACCCTCCTTCCTTCCCCTCTTCCTCCTTCCTCCCTTCCCTCCTCCCTCCTGTCACCTCCCCAGAGAGGTCACCTCCTCTCTGCGGAGGTGACAGGAACAGAGACCTGAAGACAGAACAACAGCAAGCGAGGGAGAGGTGGTGACAAGTGGTGGGATTCTGGACATGGGTCTCAGCAGAGCTGGCAGGATTCGCTGAGGGATCAGACAAGAGATGGGAGAGACTGAAAGGTGTCAAGGAAGATGTTCATTTGTGCTGACTATGAAAGAAATACAGGAGCATCTATTTTGTTCACTCGTACTCTCAACATCCGGCACAATATTTAGCACATTGTAACACAGAAAATGTTTTGTAAAAGTCCTCTTGCTTCTTCTCCTCCCTCCTAGTTAGCTGCCTGGAATACAGGTGTGATGGCTGGAACTCCAGCAGCCATAAAGAATCATGAGGTGACATCTTTCTGAAGCTACATACTAGGGACAGTGGAACAGAAAGACAGATGGTGCTGAAATCCCTGATAAGTGTAGAGTCTCCACCCTAGCCCTGGGCTACTCATCTTCAGACTTCTTTCACACAAGAAGATATCTTTCTGTTTCTTTTAAGTTATTATTTCACTCTGGCTTCTGTTCCTAGCAGCTGACTTTGATTTCCAACTGCATAATGCTATGTCTAATTTTTTTTGAGATGGGGTCTCACTCTGTCCCCCAGGTTGGAGTGCAGTGGTACAATAATGTCTAATTTTTTTCTTATTGTAAACAAAGTTGAAATGGAGTCATGTCAAAATAGAAGTAATTCCTTTTTTTTCCAGGCCCTCAGTTTCCTCCTCTGTCACAACCAAGTGCGGAGTCTATCTCACAGAGGTAGGAAGAGAGTTAGTGAGATTAGTCAAGGTTGTGTAGACAGAGTGCCGGGCCCTCAACAGAACTCAATGTTAGCTTCTCTTCCCTTCCCCCCAGTAAACGAGAGTTCGAGAACCAGGAGCAGCTGGGTGAGTGGTGAAGTTCCAGACTGGATAATAGAGGGTCCTCCACAGCGGTGTTGCTCACAAGTGTGACTCACAGAAATAATTTAAGTTTTTATAGTAGAAGCAATAAAAAATAGTAAGGAACAGGTGAAAAGAATTTTAATAATATATTTTATTTAAGCTAATATGTGCATAATATTACCATTTCAACATGTAATCATTACTAAAAACTATTAATGAGTTGTTGGGTTTTTTTTTGGTGCTCAGTCTTCACATCTGATATGTGTTACACACTCACAACACATCTCAGTTTGGACCAGCCACATTCCAAGGGTTCAGGAGCCATGTGGTGTGTGGCCACTCTTGGATATCACAGGTCTAGAGCCCTGAGGTTCACTGTACCCAAGCAGATGATGACAGCTACAGACCCTGGCAGAACCAGCCCACGCTGAGCCCCTTTTGCCACTTGGAACACCTTGAAGTGGTCATACCAATGACTTCTCTGTTCACTCGACACAGAGCACAGTCCTGCGTGGGTCCAACAAGACTTGGTCCAACAAGACTTTGGAGAGACAAATGTCCTCTACGGACCCAATGTGTGCGGGTTTGTTCATCCATTTACCCAACAAGTATGTGCTGATTGGGGACACAGCAGTGATAAGACCTTTCTCCGGTGTGGTGGTTGTCAATGAGGGACAATTTTTTCTCTTAGGGGACATGTAGAAATGCCTAGAGACATCTGTGGTTGTCGCAACTGAAGGTGGGGGAAATGCTATTGGCCTCTAGTGGGTAGAGGCCAGAGATGCCAATAAACGTTTTGCAATGCCCAGGACAGCCCCCCGACAAGAATGATGCAGTCACCAATGTCAGTGGGGCTAAGGTTGAGAAACCTTGTTACGGTGAGGGAGCCTTGTAATCACCATAGCACGACATGTTTATAATGAGAAAAGCCAGGGGGCTTGGAAGCACATAGGAGAGACCGTTAGCATGTGATGTCTGTGCTGAAATCAGAAGGATGCACCATGCTGTGGGCAAAGAGGGAAGGCAAAGAGTGCATCAGGCAGATGGCATGGCATGTGCAAAATTGGGGGACGAGAGAGGGCTGATTTTCTTGGAGGAAGCAGAGGGGGCTGTGTTGCTGGAGTGGGCGGTGCAAGGGGAAGAATGGAACAGCTGAGGTTGAAGAAGCCATATATAGAGGTCAGATCATGTAGATCACTTAGTTAAGAAGCTTGACTCAATCTCAAGGGCAATAGGGAGCCATAGAAGGTTCTGAAGTGAAGTGAGGGTTTGTGAGCAGAACAGATTTGTCTCTTAGCAAACCAGGCAAGAAGACCCTTTTGGAGGCAGTTATGGTCATTCAGTATTATTTAAAGACCTCAGAGTGGGCTGCAGGGCTCACACGCCTATAGCCTCTAACCAGTTCTGCCTGTTTTGCCGCTGCTGCCACTGCTGCCACTGCTACCGCTATTGTCTGTTTGATGCATTTGGCGAGGGGTGATACCACGCTTCTGCATTTCCCCTTGAGCAGCATCTGACCATGACTAGCTCCCTGAGACTTTGTCCTTCTGAGGAGGTGGGAAACCAGAGGGCCATTCTAATGGCCCCTTCCTGCCCCCCTTCCCCTCCATGCCCCTCCGCAGACTGGCTGGGCTTGTCACTAAACCAACCCTCCCGAGGTCCCAGCCCCAGGAACAAAAGCCCCAGACCATTTCCAGTAATGCAATTTCATGCTCCGAGGTCTTTCACCACTCTTGGAGCTTTTTTTTGGAGTTCTTTATTCCAAAAAGTGCGTGTTCTCGAGAAAGACAAAACAAAGCCCAGCATTTCTGTTAGTTCCAGTAAGCGCTTCGAAAAGTCCCAGCTCTCCTTCTGACAACTGTGCTTCCTTTGCGGCCACCGCCACCAGATCTAATTTTTTTTGTTTTGTTTCGTTTTTCTTAAAAATGAGTCTCCAGGCTGGGCGCGGTGGCTCACGCCTGTAATCCCAGCACTTTGGGAGGCCAAGGAGGGCAGATCACCTGAGGTCGGGAGTTTGAGACCAGCTTGGCCAACATGGTGAAACCACGTCTGGGCGTGGTGGCAGGCACCTGTAATGCCAGCTACTCCGGGGGCCGAGGCAGGGGAATCGCTTGAACCTGGGAGGCAGAGGTTGCAGCGAGACGATATTGCACCACTGCACTCTAGCCTGGGCACAGAGCAAGACTCTGTCTCAAAGAAAAAAACAAAAACAAAAAGAGTTTCCTTTGGTGAAAACTTTTTTTAAAAAATTATGAATCCCCTCCCCCTCCTCCTCCTCTCTTCCAATGTTACTCTAGTTTGCTCCTGCTCCTTTCCGAGCAGGAATAACTGCACTCCAGAAAGGACAGGAAGAGGGGCAGGCAAATACTGACGGGGTGTCAAGCTGCCTATAAGAATGAAAGTGGGCGCTCTCTTGGCTTCAAAGGCCTCTGCCCTGGAAAGAACCCAAATGTCCATCAACAGATCAGTGGATCAACAAAATACAGAATATCCCTACTAAGGAATATCATTTGGTCTCAAAAGGAATAAAATTTGAACACTTGGTGCAACATAGATGAACCTTGAAGACATGAAGCTAAAGTGAAAGGAGCAGACACAAAAGGACAAACACTGGGCGAGTCCACTTTCCGGAGGTTCCTAGAGCAGGTAAATTGATAGGGACAGAAGATAGAAAGGAAGTCGTCAGCCGCGCAGGGGAAGAGGGGGCGGGGTGTTAGTGTTTAATGGGGACAGACTTATAGTTTGGGTTGACAAACACCTGGAGTTATAGTTTGGATGACCACACCTGGAGACGGGCGGTGGTGACGGTTGTGCAACAACGCAAATGTACTTAATGCCTCTGAGCTGTGTACTTAAACATGGTTAAAATGGTAAGTTTTATGTCATTTGTATTTTACCACGATTTTTTAAAAAAGTAATTTGTTCTTGACATGTTTTCCACTCAAGAGTCCGGGTTCCAAAGGAATATAAATCATTCTATCACACAGACAATGCACACGTATGTTCATCACAGCACTATTCACAATAGCAAAGACATAGAATCAACCCAAATGTCCATCAATGATAGACTAGATAAAGAAAATGTGGTACATGGGCTAGGCGCGGTGGCTCATGCCTGTAATCCCAGCACTTTGGGAGGCCAAAACGGGCAGATCATGAGGTCAGGAATTCAAGACCAGCCTGACCAACATGGTGAAACCCCGTCTCTACTAAAAATACAAAAAGTAGCCAGGCATGGTGGCACACGCCTGTAATCCCAGCTACTCAGGAGGCTGAGGCAGAAGAATCGCTTGAACTCGGGAGGTGGAGGTTGCAGTGAACCGAGATGGTGCCAATGCACTCCAGCCTGGGCAACAGAGTGAGACTCTGTCTCAAAAAAGAAAAGAAAAGAAAAGAAAGAAAATGTGGTACATATACACCATGGACCACTATGCAGCCACAAAAGAAACAAGATTATGTCCTTTGCAGGGACATGGATGAAGCTGGAAGCCATTATCCTCAGCAAACGAACACAGGAACAGAAAACCAAACACTGCATGTTCTCAGTTATAAGTGAGAGCCTAGCAATCAGAACACAGGGAGGGCAACAACACACACTGGGGCTTGTTGCAGGGGGAATGAGGGAGGGAGAGCATCAGGATATATAGCTAATGCATGCGGGGCTTAATACTTAGGTGACGGGTTGATGGGTGCAGCAAACCACCACGGCACATGTTTACCTATGTAACCAACCTGCACGTCCTGCACGTGTATCCCAGAACTTAAAATTAAATTAGATTAAATTAAATTAAATTAAATTAAATTAAAAAAAAGAAAAAAGAGTCAGGGTTTGCCTTCCTTGAAATTGCTTCTCTTAGAGAAGTCCCGAGCAGCGGAAGTGTTAGCTCGGATGTAGTTTGGATCTGTGTCCCTGCCCAAATCTCATGTTAATTTGTAATTCTCAGTACTGGAGGTGGGGCCTGGTGGGAGGTGATTAGCTCGTGGCGGTGGATTTCTCATGACTATTGTTGTCACAACTGAAGGTGGGGGGAATTCTGTTGTCCTGTAATGGGTAGAGGCCAGAGATGCCAATAAACATTGTGCAGTGCCCTGGACAGCCCCCTAACAACAAAGAATGATGCAGTCCCCAATGTCAGTGGTGCCAAAGTTGAGAAACCTTGTTCTGGAGAGGGAGCCTCGTAATCACCATGGCATGACATGTCCATAATGAGAAAAGCCCAGGGGGCTTGGGAGCACATAGGAGGGACCGTTAGCATGTAATGTTTGTGCTGAAATCAGAAGGATGCACCATGCTGTGGGCAAAGAGGGAAGGCAAAGAGTGCATCAGGCAGATGGCATGGTGTGTGTGAAATCGGGAGACGAGAGAGGGAAGTGCCATTCTCTTAGTGCTGTCCTCACAATAGTGAGTGACTTCTTGCAAGATTTGGCTATTTAAAAATGTGGCACCTCCCCACTCTCTCTCTCTTGCTCCTGCTCCTGCTATGTGACATGCCTGCTCCCCCTTCACCTTCTGCCATGATTGGAAGCTTCCTGAGGCCTCCCCAGAAGCCAAGCAGGTGCCAGCATCATGCTTCCTGTAAAGCCTGCAGAACTGTAAGCCAATTAAACCTCTTTTCTGTATAAATTACCCAGTCTCAAGTATTTCTTTATAGCAATGCAAGAACGTCCTAACATAGCTGCCAAGCGTACTTATTGTAAACTCTGTTGTGTCTGTCTGGTAGTCATCCCTGCTTCTTTTAATAGCAACTCAATTTTTCTGGAAACCTCCCTCTCACTCCCAAACACACACACATGCATTTACTACATTTACCATCTTAGCCCACGTGGTTGGGGTAGAGCTGGCCCAGCCTCCATACCAAGGACCCTGGTCTGGTTGATCAGCATAATCCATCCCCTTAGTTACTTAATATGTGCAGGAATGGGTACAGGACACATATTGGTGCAATCATAGCACTCCCAAGACCCAGGAACAAAGGTATCAGCCCTTTGAACCTGCTGAGAAGGTGGGACATAGGGCTACATCTGCGTGCAACCTTGGAGGGGAAGCTTGACTGAAAGTAATGGCAATGGGAGAAAAAGAGACAAAAGACGCATAGAGATCCACTCCTGATATTTGAGTCCCTGGATCCAGCCATGCCTGAAGCCAGATACTCTTTGACCTTTCAGGGATATGAGTCAAATATTTTTCTATATTGCTGAAGCCTGAATTGAATTTCTGTACTGACAGCTTAGTAGAGTCCTGAGTAAAATCCTTTCAGCAACCCCTTGGGGTGACCTTTTTTTTTTTGAGACGGAGTTTTGCTCTTTCACTCAGGCTGGACTGAAGCAGTGTGATCTCAGCTCACTGCAACCTCTGCCTCCCCGGGTTCAAGCAATTCTCCTTCCTCAATAGCTGGATTATTGGCACCCGCCACCACACCCGGCTAATTTTTGTATTTTTAGTAGAGACAGGGATTCGTCATTTTGGCCAGGCTGGTCTCAAACTCCTGACCTCAGGTGATCCAGCCACCTTGGCCTCCCAAAGTGCTAGGATTACAGGCATGAGCCACCATGCCCGGCTGAGCATTTTGATAATCAATACCTATTTTACAAATCTTCCGAGGTTGAGTATAATTAAGTAATTTGCCCAAGTTCATCTAGACAGAAAGTAATGGAATCATAATTCTATCTCCAGAGTTTGCATGTTTAATCCCTGTCTTGTGTGGCCTCATAAGAGGATGTGAGGAAGACTGTTCTAGCATCAGAGGGTGGTCAAAGTATGTCTTGTAGCCTTGAAGCCCTTACTATTTCCCCCCAGATCTCTGTCCTGTTCTTTTGTCCTTACTTTTCTTGTTTTTACTGCATGATCTTTTCTGTTTCTTCCCTCACTGGTCTTTACCTTTGACTTTCTCCCTTTCTTTCTTAACCTCTTTTCTCCACTATCAGACCTCCTGGCCAGAATCCCCTTTCAATTCCCTCCCACTGTTGACCTTCGAGGATACTAAACAGGAATTTTTTCTTTGTGTACCAGAGCTTCTTAAGCCCTTCCTGCCCCAAATTCAGAGGTGAGCCGGAGCAGGGGAAAGGTGGGATGTGAGGGGAAAGGCAATATATCACTTAGAAAGTAATAAGTCAAACTCAAAATGCTTTAAACATAGGGGGGTTATTATTTCACTGAAGTGGGGTGGGCCCAAGGTTGGATAATCCATGGCTTATTCACTTAAGGACCAAGATTCTTCCTCTTTTTGTATTCCACCATCTTTGGGTTACTCCCCTCATAGTCTAAACGTGGCTGCCATTGCCCAGTTATTATCTTCTCATACAGCCTCATCTGGAGGGAGTAAAGGACTGCATCTTCTTGATAACTTTTTTCTTCCTTCCTTTTTTTTTTTTTTAATGAGACAGGGTTTCACTGTGTCACCCAAGTTGGAGTTCAGTGGAGTAATCTTGGCTAACTGCAGCCTCGACCTCCCAGACTCACGTGATCCTCCTGTCTCAATCTCCTGAGTAGCTGGGACTACAGGCATGCACCATCACAGATGGCTAATTTTTGTATTTTTTATAGAGACAGAGTTTTGCCATGTTGTCCAGGCTGCTCTTGTACTTCTGGGCTCAAGTGATCTGTCCACCCCCCTCAGCCTCCCAAAGTACTAGGATTACAGGCATGAGCCACTGTGCCTGGCTAATACTTTTCTTTCAAGAGCAGGAAATCTTCCCCAGAAGTCCCCTCAGTAGACACCCCCTCACTTCTCATTGGCTGGAGTTGAATCCCAAGCCCACCCTCAAACCAATCCCTGGCAAGGGGAATGGGCTTATCAGACAAGCAACCCAGTTACTATAGCTGTGTAACAAATTATCCTCAAACTTAGAAGCATAAACATTTTTTATGCTAATGGATTCTGAGTCAAGAATTCGGGTGGCAGAAGCAGCCTGTCTCTGCTTTAAGGTGTCTGGAGCCTCAGTCAGAAGTCTTAAAGGCTGGGGCTAGAATCATCCGAAGGCTCACTCACTCCATATCTGGTGGTAGAGACCGGCTGTTGGCTGGAGGCCTGTTTTTCTTCATGGGCCTCTCCATGTGTTCTACCCATGTGGGCAGGCTTGGGCTTCCTCCCAACATGGTGGCTGGGTTCCAGGGATGAAGGGGGTGGGGGAGAGACAGAGACAAGCAAAAGCTACATCGCCTTTTCTGACCTGACCTCAGGAGTCATTCAGGCTCACTTCCACTGCATTCTAGTCGCCGAAGCAGCCACAGAATCCACCCAGGCTCAAATGACAGGGAAATCAATCACCTCTGCCACTTAACAGAGTGTGGCAAGGCCCCGGAAGAGCATGTGAGGCCAGAGAGATCATTATAGCCATTTGGAGAAAATAGCTTCTGCCACACCTGGGTTGGAGCCTACCTTTCCTGAAACTCACCCTCCCTCGGGGCTGTGGGGGAGAGAAGCGGGGTGCTGTTGGTTAGGTGGGAGAAGGGCGAGCAATTGGTGAGTAGGGAACTGCATCTGCTACAAAAGGGACAGGACCTGTGTGCTGGCTCCAGCCACATGAGCCTCCGTGCATTCCTCCCACATACCACGTTCTTCTGCCTCGGGGCCTTGGCACATGCCGTTCACTCTTCCTGGAACATGCTTCCATTCTTGGCCCATCTGATTCTTCCCCATCTTTCCAAGTGCAGCTTCAAGGGCGTTTCCTCCGACAGTCTTGCTGATCTCCAGCCTGAATCAGGTTCCCTTTCTAGAATCGCCCAGAGCAGACCCTGCTGTTCGCTCCTGGCCTTCTCACGGCGATTAAGAACTCATCACAGGCATGCAGGGTCCTGGTTATAGGTGTGGCCTCTGAACCAGGCACCTCGTATTCAAATCCAGGCCCTGCTCCTCACTGGCTGAGCAACCTCGGGCAAGTCTCTTGACCTCTGTCAGCCTTGGTTCCCTGATTGAGGATCCTAACAATCAACCTACAGGATCAGGTTCTTATGAAGATTAAATGCGATACTAGAGGCAAAGCTCTCAGGTGAGTGCCTGGCACATGGCAGGTGCCTGGTCTGCCCCTATTCTCGAATCTGTTCCGTGTCTCTCTCCCCTGGCAAACTGCAGGAGTGTCTGCTATGCTCACCCCCAGCCCATTCTTCTTAATCCCCAGCATGGCCATGTGGCCCATGTGGTGTCGGCAGTAAATCAATATTTGTTGAATGAATTAATAAATGAATAAATGAGTAAGTCTTCTTCCAACAGAAATGACCTCAGACTTGATTTCAACTAGAAGCCCAGATGAACACACCTGCTCAGATCGTGCATTTGCCCCAGCGTGTGGACTCCTTATTAAGGGCCTTAAGATTCCATGGGAATCCGCAGAGCACAGATGTGTGTATGTGGGGTGCGGGGGGTGAGGTGTGGGTTGGGGGATGCTGGGCGGGAGCAGCGGTTGCCCAGCCTTTGCCAGGGAAGGGCCGGTTGTGTGGGTGGAGCCCATCTGCAAGGCAATCACACTTCAAAAGCAGAGGCTGAAGGCAAGTGGAGACTCGCTCCTGCTTGCTCCTGAGCCTCCAGGGCTTCCCAGCTTCCACCTCTGATCTCGGAAGTCTTACCTGTTCAAGTGGGGGAGGGCAAGGGGCAGCTGGAGCTCCCAAGGTTCTCCGCACCCCACCCTCACTTCAGACCAACACACAATAAGTTATTGTACCAGGACACTTACCAGCAATAAAATGAGTAAAGAAAGTTTTTTTTTCAGCAAACAAGTTATTTCATAGAGGGAGCTCTGGGAAGGGGCAGAGAAGCCTCTGAAGGGAACAAACAAGTGGGGTCAGGTTGGACTCCGCCAGGCTCCCACCTCCTCTCCTCGCTGTGCACAAACCACCCTGTGCCCAGGGATGAAAGCTCCCCAGGAAACCCGGAAACAGCACCCGGGAGGCAGGCTGGCCCTGGGACAGGCCCCCAGCCATGGGTGGGGATGGCTTGGCTGGGTCCTTCCTTGATTTAACTATTTTAATCCAGCAGCTCCTAGAGGCACACACGAGGATAGACATTACCTCTGCAGGAAGGGCTGGAAAAAACTTAGAGGGTTCACTCCCACAGCCCGTGGAAAGCTCAGCAGGCCGGTCAGGTGTGAACTAGGGAAGAGGAAGCACTCCCCTGCCAGGAAAGCCAGAGAGCCCAGCCTCACCTCGGCCCCAGCCGCCTCCCTCCCACCTGAGACACTCACTCCATCTTAGAACCATCTTTCCTGCTCACGCCTCTCCCCAGTCACTGCTTTGAGCAATAAGATGTTAATCCCTTTCCAAGAGGTACAGGAAATTAAAAGCAGAAGCACTGAAGACCTTGTGAGGAACAAATTAATCCCACCACACCCACCCCTTTAACCTGTTCTCCACCTCCCCAGGAGCGCTCCCCCAAATTCCCGCTGTCTTTGTGAGCCATGGTGTGTGCGTGGGGAGCTCCGCTGCCACGGTCTTATTTTGCAGATGAGTAAGTCGGGGCTCAGTGAGGTTTGGAAGTGATTTGGTTAAAGGTGCAGGGACGTTTTGTCACCAGAAATTCACATCCCGTGGAGAAGGTAAGAGGGAGGAGATGACAGTCGGGCAAGTATTATTCCAGAGACATTCTATGAGTTTGCGAGGTCACTTGGCAAATGAGTAGGAGGAAGGGACAGGGATGGAGGAGAAACAGGGCTCCTGAGTTCAAGTTGAGACAAAGGGGTTTCAGAATTTCTGCCTCGGAGGGGCTCAAGGCTAAGCCCAGATGTAAGGGGAGCCTAGGCATGTCTGAAGCCTCCACTCACAGAGGAAGCATGGTTTTTACTTAGAGAGTATGTTAGTTCATTCATTTGTATGTTCATCTCCCCTTGGCACCGCCCCTGAGGTGAGCAATTCAGGAAACTGAGGCCCATTTGCATGCAGCCAGGGTGAGAGGTGCCTATGTCTGTCTGCCCTGGCAGAAAGAAGAACCCCGGGGGATGCAGGAGGTCACGGGTGACAGTGTGTGCCCGGTGGCTGTCCTTATGGCTTTTTTCTTCACTGTTAATCCTCTAATGAGCAAGGTGAAAAGAAACCCGCGCCTGCTCAGCCACCCTGCAGGGAGTTGGCTCACGGGCCTGGGCCTTGGGCTCCACAAAATACTCAGGGAAAAAGAGGCTGAAACTCCTCCTCCTCGTGGAGTTGGGGTTTATAATTACGTTCTCCAGGGCTGAGCCAGCAAGTCGTGTCAAAAACGCAGTGGCTGGCCGTGTCCCTGCCTTGATCAGCTGTCCTGGTGGGCCTGGGGCTCCCTGAATAAACTGCTTTATGCCGCCTGTGCCCTGCAAGTGGGCGGCTGTCCGGCGGGGCGTGACTGCCTCTCCTCACTGTCTCCTAATATCCAGTCTTACCCCCAATCCCCCTGCCTCTGCAGCCCCTCCCCCTCTTGGTCTACACAGCAGGATTTGCTTCTCCATCTGTCAGGGTTATTGGAAGCTTCTTCAGCACGAAAGTACTCAGTGCCTTCTGTGGGCCAACACGCTGCTGGGCTCCGGGGAGACACCATGGGGAACAGACAGACCTGCTCTCACGGACCTTACAGTCTAGTGGGGAAGGAAAAGGCTAGAGGAATAAATATCAAGTTGTAAGTTGTGACGAGCTCAGCCAAGGAGGTAAAGAGGATGCTATGAGAGGCCAGTCACAGTGGCTCACCCCTGCAATCCCAGCACTATGGGAGGCCGAAACAGGAGAATCACTTGAGCCCAGGAGTTTGAGACCAGTCTGGGCAACATGGCAACATCCCATTGCTACAAAAAATGTGAAAATTAGCAGAGTGTGATGGTGTGCACCTGCAGTCCCAGTGACTCGGGAGGCCGAGGTGGGAGGATCACTTGAGCCTGGGGAGGTTGAGGCTGCAGCGAAGTATGGTGGTGCCCCTCCACTCCAGCCTGGGCTACAGAGCAACGCCAGTCTCAAAAAAAAAAAAAAAAAAAGGAGGGTACTATGAGGCCACAGGGACCAAGCTACACTCGCCAGGTGGCCCGGGCAGGCCTCTCTGAGGAAGGAGGGCCAGATAAGGGGCCATGCTGGGGGGAGAAGGAGGTAGCCAGGGACAAGGTCCAACCTGAGGCAGGAGGCAGGGTGCTGAGCTGAGCCCCCGCTGTCCCCAGGGCTCTCTGTGAACTCACTCACTCACTCTCCCGAGGAACGGGTGAGCCAGCATCATCCGTGCCCTGCAAGTAAGACGGCTGCAGAGAGGCCCAGCATTTTGCCTAAGGCTGCTGAGCTTATAAGTGGCAGAGGCAGGATTTGAACACAGGCCACTCACCTGGCCCCAGAGCCAGTGTGTATAATAGGCCACCTCACCCTGGGGGAGGCTGCCGGCATGTGGCGCCACTGCTGCAAAGGCCCTGTGCCTCTGAGGCGCTGGCTACCTGCTTGCCTCTCCCAGAGCAAGCCAGGCAAGGCTTCACCATGGATCAGAAGGCACCCATCTCCCTGCCCAGGGGTGTCGAGCCCCTTGGCACCACAGAAAGGAAGGAAGTGAGGGGATTGAGTCACTATACCTGGGGAAACTGAGGCTGAGAAGAGACTCCAGGTCCTTGGAGATTGGAGGGATGTGGGTCCTGATCCATCGGTCTGTGCCCAGCTGCCTCACCACCGCCTCTCTCCTGATTTGGGCTCCCCAGGCCCCAGCATGGAGCCTGCAGCCTGGTGCCCAGTAGAGGCTTTTTGATTAATTCACTGACCATCAATTTACAAGGTTTTCCTCAGCTTGGACCATGAAATCTGCATATCCACACCTGGTCCCTACCAGGGTTTTCAGTGTGTGTCGAGGTCAGAGTGTGTGTGAGTGTGTCTGTGTGTGTGAGGGGGAGGAAGTGTGTGTCTGTGAGTGTGTCTGTGGGGGGGAGTGAGTGTGTCTGTGTGTGGGGGAGGGAGTATCTGTGAGTGTCTGTGTGTGTGTAGGGATCGGAGTGTGTGAGTGTGTCTGTGTGTGAGTGTGTCGGGGTTGGAGTGTGTGTCTGTGAATGTGTCTGTGTGTGAGTGTGTGCGGGAGGCAGTGTGTCTGTGAGTGTGTCTGTGTGTGAGTGTGGGGGGAGGGAGTGTGTGTGTGAGTGTGTGGGGGGAGGGAGTGTGTGCCTGTGAGTGTGTGAGGGGAGTGTGTGTGCATGTGCATAGGAATGAGAGTGTGTCTGTGTCTGTGTGTGTGTGTGACTGTGTCTGTGTGTGAGTGCATGAGCATGTGTGTGAGAGTGTGTGTGCACGAGTCCCACCAACCTTGGGGAACACTGGCCCAGAAGAAGCAAGTGTATGTGTGTGAGAAAGCATGTGTGTGCGTGTGTGTGTGAGTTCGCATTTTCTGGGTGTGTGTGTGTGTAGAGGGAGAGTGTTGTGTGAGACTGTGTTTGTGTATAAAAGTGTATGAGAGTGTGTGCTTGCATGTGAGAGTGTGTCTGGGTGTGCATCAATAACCATAAGGGTGTGTGTATGTGTGTAAGCGTCTGTGTGTGAGTATGTGGATGTGTGCTGAGTGCATTGGCAGTGCGAGAATGCGGGGAAATGTTTGTGTGAGGATTGTGCCTGCTTGTGTTGCACGGACCTGTTTTCCAGCAGCTACCAGACAGGTCGGGAGTGTGAATGGGCCGATTGTTAACCTCAGAGGCAGGGAAGGAAAGCAGCCTTTTGTCCTGCGGGGAGCTGAGAGCTAGGAATGCGAGATGCTAAAGGCAGCAGCTTGACGGTGGGGGCTCCCCTGTTCACGCAGACGCCTTGCCTGGGACTGCACACATTCCCAAGCTTGCCTGTTGCCTTGGAATTGACCCCACAGAAGGTGAAATGCTTTCTAAACCATGACTGATCAAATTGCTGTGTTTTACCTGCGTCACCATTTCCTAAATGTAGAAAAGCAGGCTTTTCTGGAAGAGGGAACGTGAGCCTTGCTGTGGGATAGACATCTGTTACGATTTTGATGAGCCGGGTTTACATAAGCCAAGTCATACAGTCGGCCCAAGAAAAAGGACGGGAAACACACGGGGCTCATGAGTTGACAGAGCTGTGAGTCAACAGGTCTCCACTGAGCACCCCCCGGATGGCGTGTGGAGGGAGAAGAAGGCTGAACTGGCCGGGCGCGGTGGCTCTCGCCTGTAATCCCAGCACTTTGGGAGGCCGAGGCGGGGGCGGATCATGAGGTCAGGAGATCGAGACCATCCTGGAAGGCCAAGGTGGGCAGATCACGAGGTCAGGAGATCGAGACCATCTTGGAAGGCCGAGGCGGGCGGATCACGAGGTCAGGAGATCAAGACCGTCCTGGCTAACACGGTGAAACCCCATCTCTACTAAGAATACAAAACATCAGCCGGGCGTGGTGGCGGCGCCTGTAGTCCCAGCTACTCAGGAGGGTGAGGCAGGAGAATGGCGCGAACCCGGGAGGCGGAGTTTGCCGTGAGCCGAGATCGTGCCACCGCACTCCAGCCTGGGCGATAGAGCGAGACTCCGTCTCAAAAAAAAAAAAAAAAAAAAAAGGCTGAACTGGTTATGATTGGTTTATAAAAATCAACAAATCAACACCTGGGACGATGAGTGTGGAGAAATTGATGTAATTTCTTTGGCATCGGTGGCTTTCTCATCTGTAACATGGGAATGTTGGTAACTTTTCATGGGACTCTTTAGAGTCTTTTTTTTTCTTTTCTTTTTGAGAAGGAGTCTTGCTCTGTCACACAGGCTGGAGTGCAGTGGCGCGATCTCGGCTCACTGCAACCTCCACCTCCCGGGTTCAAGTGATTCTCGAGTGTCTCAGCCTCCTAAGTAGCTGAGATTACAGGCGTGCACCACCAGGCCCAGCTAATTTTTGTATTTTTTGTAGAGATGGGATTTCGCCATGTTAGCCAGGCTGGTCTCCAACTCCTGAGCTCAAGTGATCCGCCCACCTCGGCCTCCCAAAGTGCTGGGATTACAGGCGTGAGCCACCATGCCCGGCCAACCACTGGAGTCTTAGACCTGTATGCATTCGCCCATCCATAAAAACAGAGGCTTGTGCTTATCACTTGGAACATGGCCTGGCCAGCAATAATGACTGCTTCCCGGGTAAGGATTGTCGTTATTTCTACTAAAAAAAAAATAGCACCTGAAAGCATAATTTTTGGATGCTAGTTGTGTTTTCACTACTATGCATTTTTGTAATAAAAATGTCCACCTGGGTACCAAATTACATTGGGGCTACCAGTCCCAGCCTAAGAACGGCAGCTCTCATAGGACCACCAACCTCGGGGAGCACTGGCCCAGACGAGGCAGGTGCGGGGCTCCCAAGGTGATGCTTTGGCGAAACGAGCCTCTCGGGGTCTCTTGCCTGAACCCACTTGGCGTGCCCCTCTCAGATCCTCTCGTGTTCCGTTCTCCTGCTCCTGTGCCCCCAACCCCCAGTTCCACCGTGGTTGTCTGCTCCTGTTAGCATTTCCCTCTGCCACGGTGAGATGCCGAGCGGCTGAAGGCCCCGTCAGTCCCTTTCCCACTACGCTGAGCAGGCGGATGAATCATTTTTGATTTTTTCCCCCTTCGCTGGCAAATCGGAGTTGTCAGCACTCAACTCAAAAAGCTGCCGTGGGGAACATCCCCGGGAGGTGGACGTTGTCAGGGCAAAGGACTTGTCGCCAAGGAGACTACAGCCCCCGAGCCCACTGATGGGGTGCAGCCTTGACCCCCTCCACAAAGGGGCCTTTGTTACATGATAGGGGCACCCCAATTTGTAGGCAACATGTGTCACAGGTGAGTTAGCTTCAGCCCTGCAGAAAATTCTCCCCATCATCAGAGCAGAGTTTTCCAACCCACTCCCTCCTTCGTCAAACAAATTGCTTCATGTGCCTTTAAGTCTAAAAATCACATTTAAATATTTGATTCGCTGCCATGAGCCGAGGAGAAAAACGTCTATTGATGGATGCTCTGATGAGCTATTTGGAGAATGTCTCCTCGCTGCTCACCCACACAATTGTGGACATGCCTCTTTCCACTCATGCGCTTTCAAGAAAGTAAAACAAACAAAATGCCAAAGAGCTCAAGGTGCACAGGCTGGTGGCAGGGATTAAGGTGTAGAGTTTGCAAGGAAGCCGCTGAATGATCCATTTTATACAGGTTTTGTCTGTTGATTTTACAGGGAGATTGTTTTTTTCGGTAAACATCATTACATGGCAGTGTGTGTTTTCATTTCTTTCCGGAGAAATGAAAGACATTTGTAGCTGAAGAGATAAACTCCCCGTGCTTTTCAGATTTTTTTTATTGAAGTACCAGGAACACGGCCAAGGAGAAATGAAATTCGAGTGCCCGGGAGATCGCCACAGCTCTGGACGGGGCTTAGGCCCACAAAGTCCTGGCCACCACGTGAGAAGAAAGTTTTTGAGAAGCAGCCATGCGAATCAACCCAAAAATTCCAAGTAAGAGCTGGGAATGAGGTACTCTATCAGGACACCCACTAGCCGACTTTCTCTTCATTTAATCCTGGTGGCTACACGTAACATTTCCATGTTCCTAGACCAAAAGGTCGGCCCTAAGCATTTGGCATTGTTAAAATTCCACCATACGTCAGGCACGGTGGCTCACACCTGTGATCTCAGCACCTTGGGAGGCTGAGGCAGGAAGATCGCTTGAGCCCAGGAGTTTGAGACCAGCTTTGCCAACATGGAGAAACCCCAACTCTATCAAAAATACAAAAAGTAGCCAGGTGTGATGGCATGTGCCTGTAGTCCCAACTACTTGGGAGGCTGAGGTGGGAGGACTGCTGGAGCCTGGAAGGTTGAGGCTGCAGTGAGCCATGATTGTGGCACTGCACTCCAGCTTGGGTGACAGAGTAAGAACCCATCTTAAAAAAAAAAAAAATATCCGGCCGGGTGCAGTGGCTCATGCCTGTGGTCCCAGCACTTTGGGAGGCTGAGGTGGGTGGATCACGAGGTCAGGAGTTTGAGACCATCCTAGCTAACACGGTGAAACCCCATCTCTACTACAAATACAAAAAAAAAATTAGAGAGGCGTGGTAGCGGGTGCCTGTAGTCCCAGCTACTCAGGAGGCTGAGGCAGGAGAATGGCGTGAACCCAGGAGGTGGAGCTTGCAGTGAGCTGGGATAGCGTCACTGCACTCAGCCTGGGCAATACAGTGAGACTCCATTAAAAAAAAAAAATCTACCATAGGCAACTGACCAGAAAATCTGTAGGGAAAGCAAATATTTCCTTTTCCTGTATTAGATGTGGCTGGAAGAATTTGTCTTCTTTCTTTTCTTTCTGATTTGATTTTTTTTTTTATGTTGAATGAATTCAGGACTCATGCTGCCTGGGAAACAGTGTTGGCCCACTCCCGGGATAGAGTCCCCTGGGTGTGCCTAAGCTACGTGTTTCACCCATGGCCAGAAAAGGCAGCCTTGGCCAGGTGTGGTGGCTCATGCCTGTAATCCCAGCACTTTGGGTGGCCAGTGTCTGTAATCCCAGCTACTCAGGAGGCTGAGGCACAAGAATTGCTTAAACCCAGGAGACAGAGGTTGCAGTGAGTCGGGATTGAACCACTGCACTGCAGCCTGGGCAACAGAGCAAGACTCCATCAGAAAAAGAAAAAGAAGAAGAAGGAGGAGGAGGAGGAAGAGGAGGAAGAAGAAAGGGAGAGGGAGAGGGAGAGGGAGAGGGAGCAGGAGCCCTGTGCTCCAAGCAGCTGCAGCCAACTGGGCAGGATGAGCACCGGACCAAAAGGGAGCCAACCCACTGACAGGGCTCATCCAATCAGGTTCCTTCCTCCAGCAATTGAACAGATCAGGTTAATGATGGAAGAAGAAGGGGAAGGGGCAGAGAGAGAGGAGAGAGCCCGCAGGGTCCCAGAGAAAAAGAAATAACAACTGCCCAGTTTCTGTAAGAACTGGGCCCATCCTTCCTGCCTTGAGTTCCATGAGATTTTGCCAGCTTCTTTCAGCAGACCCTCTTCTTACTTGAACTACCTATCTGGGTTCTGCTCCTTACAATTCAGAGACTTCACTGGAACAGGGAGGAATATAAATGACCCAAGTTGGGGCCTATGTGAGAGGCAGGGTTTCCCGAGGGAAGAGGCTCTGAAGGGAAGTCAGCCCATTTAAGGGAACCACAAACAACAAACATGCAAAAGACGGCCAACTTCACGAGAAGTTGGAGCAAGGCAAAGTAAAACAGAGAGGCAGCATTTCTGGTGACAGCAAGTACAGGTGTGAGTGTGGAGGAAATGGGAGCCCCCTTGCTGCTGGGAGGTGCATAAATTTGAGAATATCTTTTAAAATTCAAGACACATATGCTCTATGATCCAGTTCTTCTCCTTCTCCGTATCTACCCTGGAGACAAACTTGCAGAAACACTCAAAGAGGCAAGTACAAGGATGTTCATGGCAAAAACACAGATAATCTAAATGTTCTTCAGTAGCAGAAAGACTACAAAGTGGATTTTTCTATATCTGGAAATATGGTGGAAGGAGGAGGAGGAGATGGTGGTGATTATTATTATAAAAGAAGAATCAACATTTATTGTGCGAGGTGTTGTTTTCAGAACTTTACATGTCTCAGTTACTCTAATTAATCTATATAAAAACCCTAGTAAGAAAACACTATTATTACTTCCACTCTATGGATAAGAAACTGTGGCTTAAAATATAAATTGCATATTTAGCTGATGATTCTGAGGGTCAGCATTTTGGGCCAGGCTCAACTGGGCAGTTCTTTTGCTGATCTTGGGTGGGCTCCTCCAAGTGTCTGCAGTCATCTGCCATTTACCTAGGTGGCTCTGCTTCTGGGGCTTGCTGGCTATTGGCTAGGAAGCAGGAATCACTGGGCCATCTATCTCTCATTACCCAGCAGGCTAGTCTTGGCTTCTTCACGCTGGGGCCATAGCAGGGATCCTGAGAACACAGAAGGAAGCTTCATGCATACACTCTTCAAGCCTCTACTTAAGTCATGGCTGTTATTGTCCCATTGGCCAAAGCAAGTCATGTGTTCCAGCCAGATACATGGGGTGGATACCTCTTGAAAGTTCCTGCAAAGTCATTGCAAAGGGCACACAAACAGGGATGGGAAGAATCTGTGGCTGTTTTTGCAATCACCTCACTTGTGCAATCAAAAATCAATTCTTCCCAAAAAACTAAGCAAATTGTAAATAGACGATCGAGAACTTTTCAGGGTCAGGCTTTGGCTTCACCCTAACAGGTGAGGGATCTCTGGGCCATCTCCAGCCATGCCTCCACTCACTGTGCTCATGCTGTCCCTTGCTTTAAAATCCAGTTAAACCTTCAGCAGGAGCTGACACTGTCCACAACTTCTTCCTTCTGTGGCTTCTCCTAGTTTCTCTGCCACTTCTCCAGCCACTCCTTTTCTGTCTCCTTCACAAACTTATTCCTTCTATCCAGGAGATACACACATTTGTTTCTCCTACCTAAATCTCAAATCTGAACCCTATACTTGTACGTCCAACTACTTGATTGCCTTTTCCCATCTCTATTTGGCTGGCTCAAGGGACTTTATCAGCTACTGGTGCATAATAAACCATCCCTAAAATCCAGCTAGTTTGCTCATGATTCTGAAGTTAGTAACTCAGGCTGGAATTAGCTGGATAGTTATTTTGATCTTGGCTGATCTCATTCAAGGTCAGCTAGAGCCAGGTAGCCTAGGATGGGCTCAGCTGGGATGGCTCATCTTGCTCCATGTGGTCTCTCATCATTCAACAGGTCAGCATGAGCCTGTCCACTTGGAGATCCTGGAGGGCTCTAAAAGAGTTAGTGGAAGCTTGTAAGGACTCCTGAGACAGGCTTATAGCTGGCAGGGTGTCCCGTCTTCCACATCCTGCAGGCCAAACATGTCACAAGGCCAGCCCAGGGATGTGAAAATTGACTCCTCCATTCAATGGAGGAACTGCAAAGTCACATTGCAAAGGGGTGTGAACACTGGGAGAGAATAAGTGGGACCATTTGTGAAAGCCATCAACCACAGACACCTCAAACTCAACAGATTCAAAACTGAACTCAAGATCTTCCCCCAAAATCTGCACCTCTCCCAAAAGTCCACATCCCAAATAGTTTCACAGCAAAGAAAGAAATGCAGAAGTTATCCTTGACCCCTCTCTCTTCCTCACACTCCAGATCAAATCCATCATCTCCAAAATACCCCTTACATGTGTTTTTCTTTCTCCATCTGGCCCTTCAGTCCCTAAACAAAGACACAGACACCAGCATTTCATCTGATAGCTTCAGCAACCTCTTAATAGATCGCCCTCACCCATGTTGCCCCCTCCTGTAAATTCTATACTTTGTGGCCCTTGAGATTGTTATAAAGAACAAATCAAATTCCGGTACTTTCCTTCATAAAGTCCTTTAGCAGCTCCAGTCCCCTTAGCATGGCTTCATGCCTGTGAGATTTGCCTCAGCCCATGCCAGGACCCCGGGCTCCTTACAATCCATCCATGTGAGTCTGCTTTCAATTTCTCAGACTCATGTAGTGAATTGAATAATGTCCCCAAAAACATATGTCCAAGTCCTAACCCCCCATACTTGTGAATGAAACAATACTTGGAAAAAGGGTCTTGGCAGGAGTAATTCAGTTAAAGACCTTGATACAAGATCATCCTGGATTTAGGATGGGCCCTAAATCCAATGACTTGTGTCTTTTTTTTTTTTTTTTTTTTTTTTTTTTTTTTTTTTTTTGAGACAGAATTTCGCTCTCTCACCCAAGCTGGAGTACAGTGGCACAATCTCGGCTCACTGTAACCTCCGCCTTCCACTTTCAAGCGATTCTCCTGCCTCGGTCTCCTGAGTAGCTGGGATTACAGGTGCCCGCCACCAGGCCTGGCTAATTTTTATATTTCTAGTAGAAACAGGGTTTCACCATGTTGGCCAGGCTGGTCTCGAACTCCTGACCTCATCTGCCCACCTCGGCCTCCCAAAGTATTGGGATTACAGGCGTGAGCCACCGCGTCTGGCCGACTTGTGTCTTTTTGAAAGAAAGAAAAAGGAGGTTTGAGGCACCGGGACACAGGGGAGAAGGCCGTGTGAAAAAGGAAGAGACTGGAGTAAGGCGTCTTCAAACCATGGAACGCCAAGGGTTGCTGACAACCATCAGAAGCTGGAAGAGGCAAGGAAGGATCTTTCCCCTAGAGCCTCCAGGAGGAACATGGCTTTGCTGACACCTGGATTTCAGACTTCTGGCCTCCAGCACTGTGAGAGAATCAATATCTGTTGTTTTAAGCCACTAAGTTCATGGAAATTTGTTGTAACAGCTCAGGAAACCACTGTGGCATGTTAAGCCTCATCCCAGGGCCTTTGCCCTGGCTCTTCCCGTGGCCTGAAACGCACCTTCTGGGCCTGCTCACCTGTCTGGCCCCTATTTTCCTTCCTGCATGAGCTCATTTCATTGCAGCTTCAGGGAAGCCTCTTCTAACTTCCCTAAGGAGAATCCCTTTCATAGACTCTCTGGCACCATTTCTTCTCTTCTTTCCCCCAGCTTTATTAAGGCATAATGGACAAATACAAAATTATATCTATTTCATTTCTTCTCTTTCACAAGGCTTATGAGAGTTGCAATTTTTCATTTATCTATATCTGTGATTAATGCCTTTGTCTGTCTCCCAAGCTGAACTGCAGTTCCTAAGGGGGCAAGGATGGCAGCAACCTCCTGTTCACCTCTGAATTTCCACCACCAGCCCACAATGGATACCCAATAAATATGCAGAAAGCCAATGCTTGATGTCACTCACATTTTCCATTTTAAGTGAAAATTACAAATCACATGTGAAATAACTGGATCAATTAATAAAAAGAAATAAGAAAACCTAAAAGTCCCACCTGGCAGGCAGAAGCCAGAGATGAGGTGGGTGGGGATCAGCCCTGGGTCCTGCGGATCCTCAATCCTCCCAGGGCACAGGGTGACGCAACAGAAGTAGCTTCCTTTCTGTGCAGTATCTCAGAACTGATCTGCATACAAGCTTCCTCTCCTTATCAATGCTGTGGCCAACAGAGGTGCAATTGAAACTCTGATGGACCCATTCCAGAAACCTGGGCGGCATAGAAAGCTTGCCAGAGCAAGGCTTGGCCACTGCTGGGGAGGCACCTGATTAAAGGAGGTTCTTGTCTGTCCTTCCCCTGGGAGTCAGAGGGGGTCCTGGGCCAGCCAAGGTCATGGTCCCTCAGTGCTCCGGGAAGAATTACTTGGCAGCAGTTAGTATAGACCAGAAATAGTTACTGAGGCCCTACTGGGTGCCAGGCACAATGCTAGGGGCTAGAGAAACAGGAGTGAACTCATGAACTAAACTCCCAGCCCCAAGAAGAAACAGATGCCTATTAATCGATTATACAAGCAAATTAATAAACTATAGGTTTTAGACAGGGCATGGTGGCTCACGCCTGTAATCCCAGCACTTTGGGAGGCCAAGGCAGGTGGATCACTTGAGGTCAGGAGTAAGAGACCAGTCTGGCCAACAGAATGAAACCCCGTCTCTACTAAAAATACAAAAATTAGCTGGGCATGATGGCATACGCCTGTAATCTCAGCTACTCAGGAGGCTGAGACACTCGAGAATCGCTTGAACCCGGGAGGCGGAGGTTGCAGTGAGCTGAGATTGTGCCACTGCACTCCAGCCTGGGCGACAAAGTGAGACTCCATCTCAAAAAAAAAAAAAAATTGAAAAAAAAAAAACTATAGGTGGTGATAAGGGTATGACAGAGAGGTACTATCTACAAGGAGAGCATGTAATAGGATTATCAGACCTGGTTTAGGGAATCAAGAGAGGCTTCCTGGAGGAAGTGACATTTAAACCAATACTTAATGGACAGCCATTCCCAACCCCATTCTCCTTTACTCATTCCTTCTATCAAGGCTGCAAGAATTAAACACTTTCCCAGCCTCCACTGCAGCTGGGGTTGCCATGAACAATTGTGACTAATGAGATGCAAGCTGAAGTCAGCTGGCTCCACTGTCCTTCTTCCTGCCTTAAATGGGAATGAGATAGCTGGAGCTGAGGCAGCCGTCTTGTGACCCTGAGGGAACAGCAAAGAGAATCGCAGAGATAGCAGCCCCAAGTCACAGAACCAATACTAGAAACCAGCCGCCTCCAGATTTTTTGTTATGGGAGAAAAATATGTCTGTTTTTGTTTAAACCACTATAATTTTAGCCAAAAGCATTCCTAAGTGAAACAGGTCTCAAAGATGAGTAAGTTAATGAAGGAAAGAGTGGCAGGAAGAGTTTTCCAAAGAGGGGAAACAGGCTGGGCATGGTGGCTCACACCTGTAATCCCAGCATTTTGGGAGGCCAAGGCAGGCAGATCACTTGAGGCCAGGAGTTGGAGACCAGCCTGGCCAACATGGCAAAACCCTGTCTCTACTAAAAATACAAAAATTAGCCGGGCGTGGTGGCGGGTGCCTGTAATCCCAGCTACTTGGGAGGTTGAGGCAGAGAACCACTTGAACCTGGGAGGTGAAGGCTGCAGTGAGCCGAGATCGCACCACTGTACTGCAGTCTGGGTGACAGAGTGAGACTCCATCTCAAAAAAAAAAAAAAAAAAAAAAATGGTCAGGCACGGTGGCTCACGCCTATACTCCCAGCACTTTGGGAGGCTGAGGTGGGTGGATTACGAGGTCAGGAGTTCGAGACCAGCCTAACCAACATGGAGAAACCCCGTCTCTACTAAAAATACAAAAATTAGCTGGGCATGATGGTGCGCCCCTGTAATCCCAACTACTGGGGAGGCTGAGGCAGGAGAATGGCTTGAACCCAGGAGGCGGAGGTTGCTGTGAGCTGAGATTGCACCACTGCACTCCAGCTTGAGTGACAGAGCAAGATTCTGTCTTAAAAAAAAAAAAAAAAAAAAGGGAGGAAACAGAATGTGCAAAGGCCCTGGAGTGGAAAAACCCAGTAGGGGACCCAGAGAAGGTCAGTGTGTGGTTGAAGCTTAAAGGGGAGCGGGGAGGGGCATGGGCCATGAGGCTGGCGAAATTGGAAGAGCTGATAGGAGACAGCGAATGGTGGGATGTTAGCCAAGAGCACCATGGAGACTAGAAGAGTTTCAGACAAAGGAGTGACGGGAGATCAGGTTTTCTTTCCAGAAAACATCTCCCTGGCAGGTTCTGGGGAATAGACTGGAAGAAATCAAGGGTGGGAACTGAGACACCAATGATAACCGTGGCTGAGGGAGGGATGCTGGGATGGTGGGAGAGGTGGTGGAAATAGAGAGATCCTTCCAACCAGAGGTTCCCAAGCAGGGCCGGTACTGCCCTTGACATTTGGCAACATCTGGAGACATTTTTGGTTGTCACACTCTCGGGGAGGGTGCTGCTGGCATCTTGCGGGTTGAGGCTGGAGGTGCTGCTCAACATCCTACAATGTACAAGAGATGTTCCCACCGCACCCCAGCAGAGAATCATCTGGCCCAAAATGCCCAGAGTGTTGAGATCATCATGGTCATGGCCCCTCAGCACTCCGGGAAGAATTAATGTGTTTATATTGTGGAAGAAAACTGGACACATGTTGGAAAGATGGGAGGCTAGAGAGAAAAGTTCCAAAACCGGGGCCAGTTAGGAGACGGTGACCCTAATCCCAGCAAGAATCAGCATGGGGTGCAGACCACAAGCTGAGGTCAGTAGGGCTGGACCGCCCTCCCCGAGGCTGAGAATTCAGATTTCTAATCAGAAAGCACCCACAGCTGGGCTTACTAAGGGTAGAACATAGCTGGGAATGATCTAGGCCACAGCAGTGTGTCTGCCCAGCCCTTGTCCTTAAAGAGGAGGGTCCCAACTGCCATCCTGGTTGTCCATGCCCCCACCCTGGCCAAAGCAGACTGGACAAAGGGTGGGCAACAGACTCAAAATGAGTGATCGGCTCTCTTTCCCATGGACGGGCGCTGACCCCTTCTTCCAGTCATGGCATCTGATTGTGCTCTGGGCAACTTCCAGCCCACCAAGACTCTCAGTTATGATGTCCTCCCTCTCCAAGGCATGGGCACTGGCCCCAAGTTCAGCCAGACTCTCTCCTTGGAACTTGAATTTTGAGCAGCCTCAGAACGGATGGGAAATGCTGATTTTCATCCCAGCGGAGGTGCCCTGCGGGACTGTTCTTTGTGCCTGCTCTCTAGAGCCACAGCTCCCTCTGGAACTCCCTTTTGGAGTTTCTGTTTTTAGTTGGAGTTAGAGGCTACTACAAGTTCTCTTAATAAATTTCTTTTTTCAGCCAGGCACGGTGGCTCATGCCTGTAATCCCAGCACTTTGGGAGGCTGAGGTAGGCAGATCAGGAGTTTAAGGTCAGGAGTTTGAGACCATCCTGGCCAACATGGTGAAACCTCGTCTCTACTAAAAATACAAAAATTAGCTGGGCGTGGTGGCATACACCTGTAGTCCCAGCTACTCAGGAGACCAAAGCAGGAGAATCGCTTGAACCTGGGAGGCAGAAGTAGCAGTGAGCCAAGATCATGCCACTGCACTCCAGCCTCAGCAACAGAGTGAGACTCTGTCTTAAAAAAAAAAAAAAATTCCTTTTTTGCTAGTGTATTGGTTTCCTATTGGTGTGGGAACAAATTACTACTAACTCTGTGGCTCAAAACAACACAAATGTATTCTCCTACAGTTCTGGAGGTCTGAAGGACAAAATCAACCTCACTAGACTCAAGTCAAACATCAGTAGGGCTGCGTTCTTGCTGAAAACAGTGGAGAGAATCTGTTTCCTTGCCTCTCCCGGCTTCCAAAGGCCGCCTGCTTTCCCTGGCTCCTGGCTCCTTCCTTGCCTCCAGCACATCTCCTACTCTGGACTGACCCTCCTGCCTCCCCTTCGCAAGGACCCTTGCGATTCCGTGGGCCCACCTTAATAATCCAGGATAATCTCCTCATCTCAAAATCCTTAACTTGACCATATCGGCAAAGTCCCTTTGTAAGGTAAGATTCACAGGTTCTAGGAATGAGATCATAGACATCTTTGGTGGGGGTGGGGGAGGCATTATTCAGCCTAGAAGAGTCCATTTCTGTTGCTTGCAACTAAAGAATTCTGATTGATATGTCAAAAGTCACAAACCCAACCCCAAACTCTAAAGATACTGCATTTTGGCTGAAAGCAGTGGCTCACAACTGTAATCCCAGCACTTTGGGAGGCTGAGATGGGCAGATTGCTTGAGCTCAGGAGTTTGAGACCAGCCTGGGCAACATGGTGAAACCGTCTCTACAAAAAATACAAAAATTAGCTGAGCTTGGTGGTTCATACCTGTGGTCCCAGCTACTCAAGAGGCTGAGGTGAGAGAATCACTTGAGCCCAGGTGACAAAGGCTGCTGTGAACCATGATCATGCCACTGCACTCCTGCCTGGGCAACAAAGTGAGACCCTTTCTCAAAAACAAAAAAAAAAATTATTTTTTATTTGAATTAGAAAGTCTTAGGAGTGGTTTGAACCCCACAGTTCACTGAAGCCCTGAGACTTATTTTTGCCTACCTACCTAGTTGTTTAAGTTACCTGCCTAGCACCTGAGAGCACATTGGTTGCCATCCTATAACAGGTGTGCAGCTACGGGTTCCAAAAATTAGCCCGATGTCACTACCCGAATGCTTTAGGACGTGGCAGATGGATGTAGTGGGATCAGTGCCCCTCCTGGCAGCTCCAGCCAGACCCTCAGCTGAGCTTTGTAGGGGCAGCTGTGTCTTAATGGGAGGATGAAGGAACAGGAACAGGTGGAAGGAAGGAAGGAAGGAAAGAAGGGAGGGAGGGAGGAAGGGTAGATGAATGGATGGGTGGACAGATGGATAGAGGAGGATGGATGGATAAGGGAATCGATGGATGGATAGACAGATGGATAGAAAGAAAAGATTATCCAGTATTTACCAGAATGAGGCCTCAGAAGTAACAAAGCTATGGAAGAAAAAGCAAATACGATGTGTTTATGTTATACGCAGGAGTAAAAGGAGGTGGCAACTTTGCTGGTTTGGTCTGTGATTGAAACAAAAATTCTCTTGAAAACAAACCTCCAGTCAGTTTTGCTTCTGCAAAGCGAACAGGCTTATAACCTCATTACAAAGATAGTCCATGTCACCCACTCTCAGCCTCCCGGGCCATTCAGAAGATTTGGTCCAATGAACAAAGAACCTAGATAGGAAAGCGGCAGCAGGAAGAGGACAGAACCAAACCCTCTCAAAAAGCTATAAAAAAAAGCTCCAAGTTCAGGGAGGAAAAGTAATCATCCTGTAATTTGCTGTTCACTAATGGAATCTATTAATTTATAGCCACAAAAGAATCAGCTAATTTGTGGTTAATGGTGTTTAAAAGATAAACAACATAGATTAAATCTATGGAGCCCAACCCAGGTTCACCAGAATCTGTCTGCACAGAAAGCTCTGGATGGGGGAGAGATGAGCCCAGCCCCAGGCTGCGGTGGACAGTGGCGCTCAGAGGTCTGCTGGGAGCAAAAAGAGATTTGGGTGAAACAGGTAAGCCCGTCCTCCAAGGTACCACATGTAGTCCCAGAGGAGGCTTATTTACTCCATAGGTTTCCTGTAAAATTGCAAATCCTCTCCTCCCTGACACAACACCATCCCTGCTCTCTCCTGCAGGGACCACCCCACCCCACTGCAGCAGTCTCCCTAACCTGCCACATTCCTTCCCACCTCTGGCCCTTGCACTTCCTGCACATGTAGCTGGACGGCCTTTTTTTTTTTTCTTTCTTTCCTGGGAAAAATAATCCAGATTATGGAGAGTTAACTTACTGAATGTCCCCTTGGAGAAGAGGCATTTCACATAACCACATCTCAGAGATTCCTGAACATCTCCCGTGAGACTGCTCCTATCCCATTCTCAGCCCCATTTTACTGGTCAGAAAACTGAGGGCTAGAAAGGTGAAGCAGCTGGCCCAAAGCTTCACTGTACATGTGGGGTGGGTCTGAGATTTGAATCCATGTCTTTCTGCTTCCAGAATCTGAGGGCTAGACCAGCATTTCCCAAAACTTACTTTTTTTTTTTTTTTTTTTTGAGATGGAGTCTTGCTCTGTCACCAAGGCTGGAGTGCAGGGTCGGGACCGCTGTTCACTGCAACCTCCGCCTCCTGGGTTCAAGTGATTCTCCTGCCTCAACCTCCCGAGTAGCTGAGATTACAGGCATGCGCCACCATGCCTGGCTAATGTTTGTATTTTTAGTAGAGATGGGGTTTCACCATGTTGGCCAGGCTGGTCTCGAACTCCTGACCTTAAGCAATCCGCCCGTCTTGACCTCCCAAAGTGCTGAGATTACAGCCGTGAGCAACTGCGCCCAGCCTTACTCATTCTCATAACAACATTTTTGCCATGTCTGCTACCACCTATATGTATGATATTTGTTTAAATGGACTCCCTGCCACTTTTATTTTTTGTTAATTTTAGTTTCATCCTGAACAATGTTATCCAGGTCTGATAAGTTAATAACATAGTTGCTTCTAACATAAACTTGGAATAAATACCTGACTACTAAGATAAACATGTGCCTGTGTCCTGCCTTATAATCTTATAAACCTCAGTGGTTCAAGAACTACACACATTTTAACCACACATCCCAAAAAGTCATAATCACACGGTGTGTGTCCCGCTCACCATAGCCTGCATGCACTATCAAGTTCTAGCCTCTGTCAACCTTCTCCTGATATAAGCCACCCTTGAAAATGCACTGGGCCAGGCGTGGCGGCTCACGCCTGTAATCCCAACACTTTGGGAGGCCAAGGCGGGCAAATCACGAGGTCAGGAGTTCGAGACCAGCCTGGCCAACATGGTGAAACCCCATCTCTACTAAAAATACAAAAAATTAGCTGGATGTGGTGGCAGACACCTGTAATCCCAGCTACTGGGGAGGCTGATGCAGGAGAATCACTTGAACCCAGAAGGCAAAGTTTGCAGTGAGCTGAGATCAGGCCACTGCATTCCAGCCCAGGTAACAGTGAAAGACTCTGTCTCAAAAAAAAAAAAAAGAAAGAAAGAAGAAAGAAGAAAGAAAAGAAAGAAAGGAAGGAAGGAAAGAAAGGAAGGAAAGAAAGAAAATGTATCAAAAGCCCTCCTTTTTCCTGAAGGCCTCTTGACTCCTCCAGCCCAAAAGCGCCCCTCCCTTTGTTGACAGCTAGAAAATTCATGCCATGAGCAAGCCACAAAAAGACAGGATAAAAAACAGGATGTGGCTTTTGTTTCTTCAAGTAGACTGGAAGATCTTGGAGGATTATAAAAAAAAATGAAAACAAAACAATTCCTATACCTTGAAGTCTAAGCTCTGGGAAACAGAGATGGACGCACACAGCAGGTGCTCAATAAAGCCTGGGGGAAATGATGGATGTGGACACAGTACAGAGAGGGGGCCAGGCAGCACTTTCATGGCTAGGTTGGGGCCGGCCTGAATCATCCTTCCTCCTTTGCTAACAAGGGTCAAAACTTCACCTGGGGATGCTCCCTCCCTTCCCACAGCCCAGGGCTCCAGGATGGGCCTGGGACACAGCCTGCCCAGTCCATGCAGAAAATCCCCCTAGCTATTCCCATTGGTTCAGAAAGCGGGTCTGTTACCCAAACCTGGCTGAGGGAGTCAGGCCCAGCATTTTTGTTCAAATGGATGAGGATGGAGCAGCTCTTTCTTGCCAGCTTGAACCTGGGAGCCGTGGGCCTGGAAACACTGTCACCTTCCTGCTCCCACAGGGAGCCTGGGAGTTAGAACCCTTGTGGAAGAGGCAGAGACATAAGAGAGGGCAGGGCTTGGCAATGTGATTTGAGATCCTGGATCAAGACATTCCTGAAACAAGTTCTACCCTTGGATTTTTTTAGACAAACTTTTTTTTCTTGGCGTAAGCCTTTTTGAGTTGGGTTTTCTGTTACTTAGGCCCAAAAACACCCTGGAGGAACCCCTGACTAGGAGCCAGGGAAGCAGACTCAATTGTATCTGGGGTCTAAATGACCCTGGGTGAGTCATTTCATCTCACATGACCCTGCCCCAAAGAGGCCTTCCCTGACCATTCTTTCAACAGCAGCTTCCATCCCTCCCTACCGCTCACTTCCTTGTCCAGCCCCATCATTGCACAATATCACATTCCATATTCATGACCTTGTTTGCTAGTACTCTGCCTCCCTCACTGCGGTGTCCTCAGAACTCAGAATAAGGCTGGCATGCAGACACCTTCTGTAAATATTTGTTGCAGGATCTTGCCTCGGTTTCTGCAGCTGTAAAATGGGAGAGCAGTGCTGCGTTGTCCTCAGTAGCCTGCCATCAGGGCTGCATTCACTTCCTCCTTTCATTGCTGCCACCCAGGCCTCCGGGAACGTGGCACAAGGTCTCACCCAAAGGCGCTGGAGTGCCTCCCAGAAAACTACCTTTCCCACAGAGTAGAAAGTTTTATGATTTTCCTCCATTTCTTCCTCTGCCTACACAATCTCATTGACTAGAAAGTCCCTCTTGATGTCTAACCCAATATTTCATGCTGCAACCAAAGTCTATTTATGTGCATCTTTTCTGAGTTCTGGAGTTCAGCAGCTGGAGTGCTGACTTCCAGACATTCCCAGCCAAGTAAGAACACAAAAGAACCAGTTTAAAGTGAGAAGAAATCCAGTGAGAAAATAAAAATTCCTTTACCTAGGAGATGCCCTCATTTCCTTCCCATGACCAGCTTCTGACTCGTCAGAAAGCTCTTTACTTGTCTCCACACCTATGAACACAGCTCTTCCAGAGATGTGGGTACAGAAGATGAGAGTAAAATAAATAAACTATCTGTTTAATCATTCTTATTGCCAAAACAACGGCTGAGCCAAAATACCGAGGCTCTGATTCATCCCAACTGACGTCCGTTCTAGGGAGGAGGCAGGAGGCAGGGAAGTAAGAATTTTTAAACCCGTTTTCCAGATGAATTCAGAGGAGGCTGGGACGTTCCACAGCGCCAACCCCACAGTAAGCAACAGAAGCGAACCACTTTCTCTTTGTGGTCGAGGATCTGTCTTCTCTTCATTTAAATAGGGCAGAATTCAGTGGCTCGCACCTGTAATCCCAGCACTTTGGGAGGCTGAGGCAGGTAGATCACTTGAGGTCAGGAGTTCGAGACCAGCCTGGCCAACATGGTGAAACCCTGTCTCTACTAAAAATACACAAAATTAGCCGGGTGTGGTAGTGGCGCCTGTAATCCCAGCTACGCAGGAGCCTGAGGCAGGAGAATCACTTGAACCAGAAGGTGCAAGTTGCAGTGAGCCGAGATTGCGCCACCGCGCTCCAGCCTGGGCGACAGAGCAAGATTCCATCTAAAAAATAAATAAATAAAAATAAAAATAGGCCGTCGTTGTGGCTCACGCCTGTAATCCCAGCACTTTGGGAGGCTGAGGCAGGTGGATCACCTGAGGTCAAGAGTTCAAGACCAGCCTGGCCAATATGGTGAAACCCCGTCTCTACAAAAAATACAAAAATTAGCCAGGCTCAGTGGCAGACACCTGTAGTCCCGGCTACTCAAGAGGCTGAGGCAGGAGAATCGCTTGAACGTGGGAGGTGGAGGTCACAGTGAGCTGACATTGCGCCACCACACTCCAGCTTGGGTGACAGAGGGAGACTCCATCTCAAAAATAATAATAACAATAAAAATAAAAATAAAAATAAATGGGGCAGAATTCAAAGGAAGATACACAGTACCTAGGATGCAGATTTCATCATTCATTCACTCACTCATTCATTCATTCAAGAAAATGAAAAGCCTCGACTGAGCACCTTCCCTGTGCCCCAAGCTGGCTGTCTTCCCAAGTCACCTTGCACCTTCCCCACCCCTCTGGGGGAGGAAAGTCAGGAATCATCCACCCATTGGCTGAGTCGGGAGGCTGAATGACGTAATTGTTGAAAACATTGTTCCTAGTCTGTTCTTTGTCTTTTAATTTTATTTGTGGTGTTTCTTGACGTCCAGGGATTGTTAATGTTCATATAGTCAAATCTTTATGTCTTTCCTTTGAGGACTCTGGCCTGAGATACCTAGAAAGGGCTCCATGGGGAGTAACATTTAGAGCCATATTTAAGGCCATACGTCATGAGCAGTCAGGGGGTCCAAGGAGGCGATCCTGGCTCATTCGTTCATTTTACAAATGAAGAAACTGAGGCTCCATGGTGAGTAGGCAGCCCTGCCAGAGTCCAGGATTCTACCCAGGGCTCTTTCTGCACATAATGAGTTGCTCAGAGACCCTTATAAAAGTTAAGAAAAGACAGAGGGCTCTCCACCTCCCAGGCTGCATTGCCGAGTGACTGACACAGCTTCTGTGAAGCCAGAGGCCATCTCATTCGCCCTATAAATTCCGTGTCATCTGCTTTGCTCTGAATATTCGTTCAACTGTCCCGCTGTGGCTATGGGCCCTCAAACCCATTCCCCTGAAGGCCCTTCTAGGCTTATGAAGGCAGACACCACCAGGGAAAACATGAAGAGTCAACATAAGCATCCAAAATTCCAGGGACTGTGCTCGCTCCGGCAGCACATACACTAAAATTGGAACGATACAGAGAAGATTAGCGTGTCCCCTGCACAAGGATGACATGCAAATTTGTGAAACGTTCCATAATTTTTTTAATAATAAAAATAAATTCCTGGAACAGTGAACTCATGGAAGCAGAAGGTAGAATGGTGATTGCCAGGGGGTGGTCAAAGGATACAAATTTTCCGTTAGAGAGGAGGAATAACTTCAAGTGATCTGTTGTACTACGTGGAGACTATAGTTAATAACAAGATTTTTTTTTTTTTTTTGAGACAGTTTCCCTCTGCCACCCAGGCTGGAGTGCAATGGCGCGATCTCGGCTCACTGCAATCTCCACCTCCTGGGTTCAGGTGATTCTCCTGCCTTAGCATCCTGAGTAGCTGGGATTACAGGCATGTGCCACCACACCCGGCTAATTTTGTATTTTTAGTAGAGATGGGGTTTCACCATGTTGGTCAGGCTGCTCTCGAACTCCTGACCTCAGATGATCTGCCGGCCTTGGCATCCCAAAGTGCTGGGATTACAGGTGTAAGCCACCGTGCTCAGCCAACAAGATATTCTTGAAAATCAGGAAAAGAGTAGATTTTAAGTGTTCTCACCACAAAGAATAAGTATATGAAGTAATGCATATGCTAATGAGCTTGAATTAGCCACACTACCAGGTATACACATTTCAAAACATTATGTTGTATACAATAAATAAATACAACTTGTATTCATTATAATTAATTTTTAAAACTCCTGGACACGAAAAACCATCACTAATACAATTAAAAGACATAAAACAATGAGGAAAAATATTCCCAACCTACATGACAAAGTATTTAGCCTCTTAAAATAGACAAAGCTCGTATAGAGTCATAAAAATGGCTAAAGAAAAATGACAGGCAAATCACAGAAATGGAAATAAAAGTGGGCAATGCATGCAGGAGAAATGTTTAGATTCATGAGGAATCAAGCAATGGAGGTGGAAATTGTAATTGTAATGACATCATTCCGTATCTCTTTCAGAGTAGCAATATTTGAAAAGAATGGTAACCCACGGTGTTAGCCAAATGGAGAAATGGTACCCTCACAACTGGAGGAAAGAAACAGATTCAACTGTTCTGAGTTTTGGAATACATATTAAAGTCCTTTAAAATGTGCATTTTTTTTATTCCTAAGGAATTATTTAGAAACTACGTATAAGGAAAGAAATGTATTTCCACATCATTTATATGGGAAATGTTGAAAGCAGCCTGTAGGCTCAGCACTAAAGAACTGGTGAAATATTCTCCAGTACAGACTTTGCTGTAATGATATGAAGCCATGGAAGTGACTGATGCTTCATAAAAGATGATGACAACATGCAGTTAAAAAAAAAAAAAAAGGTTAATAGGCTGGGAGCTGTGGCTCACGCCTGTAATCACAACACTTTGGGAGGCCAAGACGGGCAGATCGCTTGAGGTCAGGAGTTCGAGACCAGCCTGGCCAACATGGTGAAACCCCATCTCTACTGATAATACAAAAATTAGCCAGGAGTGGTGGCGCA
Organism: Homo sapiens; assembly: GCF_000001405.40. Lineage (NCBI taxonomy): Eukaryota > Metazoa > Chordata > Mammalia > Primates > Hominidae > Homo > Homo sapiens. Next base: position 56,784,540 of record NC_000020.11, on the reverse strand, counting down.
TGCCTGTAATCCCAGCAACTTGGGAGACTGAGACACTCGAGAATCACTTGAACCCGGGAGGTGGAGGTTGCAGTAAGTCAGGATTGCACCACTGCACTCCCACCTGGGCAAGAGAGCAAGACTCCATCTAAAAAAAAGTAAAATAAAATAAAATAAAAATCAGGTCACAAATCAATATGTATACATCATTCCATTTCTGAAACACACACACATACATGAGTACAAGTACACAGTAAAAAATCTGGAGGAAATATTCACCAAATTGTTAACAGTGGTTTACTTTGGAGGTAGAATTATTTATGTTTTTTTCCTCTGCATTTTCGTTAATGTATCCCAGGACTGGAGAAGATGAGGAGGGGCTGGGGAGACAGACTCACATTCTTGTTGGAAATGTTATTTGTCATAAACTTTCTAGGCAAATATGATGGCATTTATCAAAAGTCTTAATATGTGTGAATCATTTCACCAGTAATTTTACTTCTAGGAATTTACCCTAAGGAAATAATCAGAGATGTGTGCAAAGACTTATATACCAGGATATCCATTGTACAGTTATTTACAAGAGCAAAAAGTTGGAGCCAGCCTAAATATCCAACAATAGAGAATTGTTTAAATAACTGTCGGTTTGCGTTTACAATGAAGTGCGATGCAGTCATTTCAGGTGATGTTGCATATTAGATGTCATGACAAAACATTCTTGATATAAAGAAAAAAACAGTTTAAAATGGCAATATGATAGGAATATTGTAAAATACTATACCCAATAAATTATGAATTCTTATGTACAAAAGGCTGAAAGGTAGATGTTTGCTGTGATAAGCACTGAGTGATAGGATTCTAGGTCATTTTTATTTTTTCTTTGTGTTTTCCTACACTTTGCAATTTCAGTACAAAAAAAAAAAAGGTTACTGCCACAATATGATCTTCTTTAAGAAAAAAAAAATCTCAGGAACATATAAACAAAAAGAAACTCATCATTCATCCCTGTAAATTCTCAGTTCCATGCCAGACTGTTGGTGATGACAATCGCGGAGCTACCTGGGGAGTCAAACGACCGGGTTTAGGATTCAAATATGCCCCCTCTAGACATCCTCTGTCGGTGCCAGCCGGAATCGGTCCTCCCCTCACAGCTGCTCCCAGCCAATCCACAAGCTTCAGAGGGCTGAGAAGAAAACGGATCTGTTTCTATTTTATTTATTTATTTATTTTGAGATGGATTCTCACTCTGTCACCCAGGCTGGAGCGCAGCGGCACGATGTAGGCTCACTACAACCTCCGTCCCCCGGGTTCAAGCAATTCCCCTGCTTCAGCCTCCCACGTAGCTGGGATTACAGGCGCCTCCCACCATACCCGGCTAATTTTTTGTATTTTTAGTAGAGATGGGGTTTCACCATGTAGGCCAGGCTGGTCTCGAACTCCAGACCTCAGGTGATCCACCCACCTCGGCCTCCCACAGTGCTGGGATTACAGGCGTGAGCCACCGCGCCTGGCCAAAAACTGACCTGTTTTTAATATTGGGTAAAGAATCCTGTCGAGTCCAGCTGGCCATGCTCCCCACACTTGCTCAGTCATCTCTGTTGTGTAATGGTGAAGTATTCGCCGTATTCTCAGAAAGCTCATAGTCAGGACAGGAAAGAAGTTCCTAAATATGTGTTCCGGGGCTCACCCCCTTTTCTTGTGGGGAAAATCAACCCCTTTGCTAAAGATAATTAAAGTCACAGAAAGCCTGGAACTGCATCCCTGGGATTTTTATCCCAGAGGCTCCGGGCTCACACAGCTAAGATTTTCAAACCTGACTACCTCTCACTGCTAATGAGGACCAGAATGGGAGCAGGTTGCAAATGGAGAAGCTCCCAAACAGGGCATGAAGTGAGTACCCAAGGCCATCCCCAGCCAAGGGGACCTGGAGGAGACACTGGGCGGGGACACAGGGCAGAGACCAGGGACGGGGCAGCTGGGGTATCCGCTAGAAGGAAGGAACGCTCCTTGGCAGCTGCCTTAAATACTGGACATGGGGAGAGAATTCTGGGCTCACCAGTGGGGTTTTAGAGGCCTTTCAAGACAGCTGCCGGGAGTGTTTGTGTCTCCTTCCTTCTATTCCTCCCTGCCTCTTTCCTTTCCCCCCTTCTTTCCCTCTTTCCTTCCCTCCTTCTCTTTCTTTCCTCCCTCTCTCCTCCTTGCCTTCTTCCTTCCTTTTCTTCCCTCCCTTTCTCCCTTTTGTTCTTTCCTTCTTTCTTTCCTTCCTTTCTTCCTTCCTCCTTCCTTCCTCCCTCCTTCTTTCCCTCCCTCCCTCCTTCCTTCTCTCCCTCCTTCTTTCCCTCCCTCCCTCCTTCCTTCTCTCCCTCCTTCTTTCCCTCCCTCCCTCCTTCCTTCTCTCCCTCCTTCTTTCCCTCCCTCCCTCCTTCCTTCTTTCCCTCCCTCCCTCCTTCCTTCTCTCCCTCCTTCTTTCCCTCCCTCCCTCCTTCCTTCTCTCCCTCCTTCTTTCCCTCCCTCCCTCCTTCCTTCTCTCCCTCCTTCTTTCTTCCTTCTCCCTCCCTCCCTCTCTGCTGTCCCTCCTTTCTTCCTGCTCAGTAACTATCTACTGAGCACCCAGCACGTGTCAAGCTCCTGTCCAGCCCTGCACTTGCGGTGACAAGCAAACCCAGACAGACCCCTTTCCTCATGGATGTCTAGTCCAGCACACTGCTGCCCAATCAAAATATAATGTGAGCCCTGTAGGTCATTTGAAATCTTCTAGCAGACACAAATCAAACGATAAAAAGAAACAGGCACACCGAATTTTATCCTCCAGTTTAGTTAACCCACTATATCCAAATATTATCACTTTGACATGTAGTCAATATTTAAAAATGATTAATCAACTATCTTGTATTCTTTTTTTCAAACTAAGTCTTTGAAATCCAGTGTGTGTTCTGTACTCACAGCACATCTCAGCTCAGCCCAGCCGCATTTCAAGTGCTCAGTAGCCACTGAGGTCTAAGGCAGAGATTCTCAACCGGGATCCCATAGTTTTAGTGTGGGCTGTGCTGTGCATTGTGGAGCATTCAGCGGCGACCCTGGACTCTTTCCTCCAGTTCCAGTAGCGTCCCCTCTCTCCAGACGCAACAACCACAAATGTCTCCAGACACTGCCAAATGTCCCCTGTTGTTGCAAAGTTGCCCCCTGTTGATCTAGTGGCCACTGCACTGGACGGCACGAGTCCAGCAAGCCAGGGAAGATGCAATTGAGCAATGGCATGCAAGGGTGAGTGCCAGGGAGGGGCCGCACTTCGAGGAAGAGTGATACCGGACTGGCAGCTGACCAGACTGGCTCAGAGGAGGTTCCCAGAGGGCTAGGGTTTAAGCTGAGACCTTTCTCAAGTCCAGCAACCACATGTCCCACAGAAGGCTAAGCCAGGATCCGGTGGCCCCAAGAGATTACATCCTGGCTCTGAGCCTTGGTTCACATCCCACCATACACCAGGGCTGCTGGGAGGCTCAAAGGCAATTTGGGATGTAAATATTACTAGTGCAGAATGAAAGTGTGCTTCAAACAAGACATATTTGCACTGCTGTTCTTCACTCCCTCTTCCATCAAAGCTCTGGGACCTCATTCAAAAGAAGGCCAGGGTTGGCTGGGCACGGTGCTCACGCCTGTGATCCCAGCACTTTGGGAGGCCGAGGTGGGCGGATCACTTGAGGTCAGGAGTTTGAGACCAGCCTGGCCAACATGGCAAACCCCTGTTTCTACTAAAAATACAAAAATTAGCTGGGCGTGGGGGCGCACACCTGTAATCCCAGCTACTCAGGAGGCTGAGGCATGAGAATAGCTTGAACCCAGGAGGCAGAGTTTGTAGTAAGCAGAGATCATGCCACTGCACCCCAGCCTGGGTGCCAGAGTGAGACTCAGTTTCAAAAAAAAAAAAAGAGGGCCAAGGAAGCACTGGGACAGACCCAGACTTGAGCCTCTCTAAGCCACTATTGCTTACTAGCTGTGTGACCTCGGGGAAGTTACTTAACCCCTCTGAGACTGTTGCCTCATCTGTGGTATGAGGCCAAAAAGAGTACCCCCTTCAGAAGTGTGTCATAAAATTAAGAGAAGAAAGTATACAATGAGCTTCTCAGAATACCAAACACGTGATTTAACCAAAGCTCAACCAGCACTGGATTTGTGTTGCTTAAGCAGGTATTCTACCCAGTCACTTACTGACCAATAACGGTACGCCACCGCTATTTTAGACGCTCGGGGGTACAGATAGGGTTCCTAAAAATGGAAATTTACTTTGCTTAGGTAGATCAGACAATACGCAAGCAAGAGATAAATGCACCAGATAATTTCTAGTGCGGGTAAAGTTTATGAAGCAAATAAAACAGGGTCTTGTGAGAGAAAGTGGCCTCCTAGAAGAAGTGACCCCAGATCTGAGACAACGAGCAGGTAGGAAGCCTGCCTGGCGAAGATCTGGGAAAAAAGCTCCCCAGGCAGAGGAAGCCGAGAAGCAAAAGCCTTGAAGCGAGCCCAAGCCTGCCTCACATCACGAGGGGAGGGGAGGGGAGGGGAGGAGAGGGAGGAGAGGGAGGAGAGGGAGGGGAGGGAGGGGAGGGAGGGGAGGGGAGGAGAGAGGATGGGAGGGGAGGGGAGGGAGGGAAGGGGAGGGGAGGAGAGAGGATGGGAGGGGAGGGGAGGGCAGCTGTAGCAGAGTATGCGGGGAGGGGAATGGTGGGAAATGAAGTGTGAGAGGTGTACGGGGCCGGCTCAGCAGGGCCCTACTAGCCACAGCTGACATTTATTGTGTGTGCCAGGTTTAAATGCATCCCTTCACTTTATCCCCGCTGAATCCTGTGAAAAAGGCACTATCATTCTCCCCACTTTGCAGATGAGGAAACTGAGGCCTGGAGAGATTTTAATTAACTTGTTTCTTGGCCACAGTCACTCAAGGGGTCACCTATAGAGGATGGAAGGAAATAAGACTTGAATGCAGGCAGTCTGACTCCCGTGCTGGACTCTATGGTTAAAAATAAAAAACTGCACAACAGAAGCCACTGGAAAGTTCTCTGCCCTCCTCCAAGGCAGACACAGCTATTGATTTCCAGACCTATGCAAGCGGGTGATGGCCCAGGCTGGCATCCCTGACCCTCCCTCCACATCCCCCAAAACCTGAGCCGGCCACCAGACAGAGGTTATACTATGGGGGCTACCAGAGCCATACCCTCAAAAGCTGATGGGGTGGAGACAAAAAGAAAGAACTTTTGTCACTGCAGTTGGGCTTGAGAGTGCCCAGGGTCCTTGGACTCCCTGTTCAAAAGGGCAAATTTGCTGGGGTCACCTTGCGGGGTTTACACCAGGGGCTCCAGACCCAGAATCAGAGCCGAGAAAACCAGTAAGAGGCCTTGGTGAGCCCCAGCGCCGGGCCTGCCCTTACCGCCTCCAGCAGAAAAGATAACAGAGTTGGCGGCTCTGGTTGACCAGAGGCAGCACTTGGCAGAGGGACAAGGAAGACTTACAGATTCTCTGCCTTCACTGCTGCTCTGTTTAGACAAAGGCAAAGTGGCAGTCTGTTTTAAAAAAAGGCAACAAAAACAACAAACTCACATCTGTCAGAGCCTTTTGAGCTGGTTGGGTGCGTGCAGACTCCTGTGATGTGGGAGGCAGGAAGAGAGAGAGGCGTGACTTCCAGGAGAAAGTGGCAGAACAAAGGCCAACTGAAGACTGAAGCCCGGAGCCACAGTGGGCTGGAGCAGGGGGGACTTGCACATCTGTCTGAACACATCTCTCCAGGGCTTGGGGTCTCAGTTTGCCCATCTGCAGAAGGGGATAAAAATAACAGTTGGTTAATACACCAGGGACTTTGCTTATGTTACTCCCTTTAACGTGGACAGCAGCTTCGCAAGGCAGTTTTATTTCATTTGCAGATGAGAAAATGGAATATTCACAAATTAAAGGAAAGTCTCCAAACCCAGTTCATCTGACCCCAGAGCTGGGCTCTTTAATTTACCAACACCTACAAAATGCTCCAAAAATGTCAAGAACAACAACCAGGATAATAACTAATGCATATATAGCACTTCCAGTGAGCCAGGCACTCTGTAAATGCTTTTAAATCTTGCCACAACTCTGAATTAGGCACGATTATTATCCCGATTTTACAGATGTGGGAACTAAGGTGCAGATGGAAAATAAAATAATGTTTCTTCATTTATTTTTTTCATTTCCCCCTCTAAGGAGCTTTTCTGGAACATTTTCTCTATTTGCCACTCCCTCCACATGCAATTTTAATGCCACAGATCTACAGTATATCTATTTATGTAGTGAATGTACACATGGGCTTTATACATATAAAGTAGGATTTTTAGGCCATGCATGGTGGCTCACGCCTGTAATCCCAGCATTTTGGGAGCCAAGGCAGGCAGATGGCTTGAGCCTAGGAGTTTGAGACCAGCCTGGGCAACATGGTGAAACCCCATCTCTACCAAAAAAAAAAAAAAAAAAAAGGTTTTTTGCCACTAAAGAACCAATTTTTGCCCCTTTGGGGGAGATATCGCCTTCATACAAGAATGTATGAACTCAAAGATTGCCAAGATCGGCCGAGTGCGGTGGCACTTTGGGAGGCCGAGGCGGGTGAATTCTTGAAGGTCGGAAGTTCAAGACCAGCCTGGCCAACATGGTGAAACCTCATCTCTACTAAAAATACAAAAATTAGCTGGGCATGGTGGTGGGTGCCTGTAATCCCAGCTACTCGGGAGACTGAGGCAGGAGAATCGCTTGAACCCGGGAGGCGGAGGTTGCAGGGAGCTGAGATCGCGCCACTGCACTCCAGCCTGGGGGACAGAGAGAGACTCTGTCTCAGAAATAAATAAATAAATAAATAAATAAATAAATAAATAAATAAAATTTATAATAAATAAAAAATAAAAATTTTAAAAAATAAAATAAATAAAATAAAAAATAAAATAAAATTTCCAAGGTCAACCAAGTTTGCAAAAATCTCTTTTACACTCAGATTCACCACACACTTTAGCCTTCTAAAGATGGGAGAGGAATGGGATAGCCTAACTTTCTGCAACTCGGTATTTCCCAGGCCTCCTGACCACAGAAACCTACTTCCAGGGAACAGCTAGAAACATCCCAGTTGCAGACATTTGGTCACTTGCGACCAAAGAAATTCCTGCTGACACCTCAGTGTGATTATAATTCAATGAGATTTAAGCACACCTACTGTAGACAGTTTTTGAGACAATGGAGGAAATTTGAACGTGGTCTGGGTATTTTGTGATATTAAGAAATTATAATTGTCTTTGTTAAGTGTGAGAGTGCGATTATGGTTATCCGAAAAAAATATTTATATGTTCAGCATACACACTGAAGTATTTGGGGGAAAAATGATTCAGTGCCTGGGGTTTACTTTAAAATATTCTAGCCCCTCTACCCTCCTCATAGAGGAGAGAAGGAAATATGAAAAAATAACATCGGAATGATCGTTGCTGAAGCCTGAGTTGGTATTTGGGGGGTTCTTTGACTATACTCAAATTGAAATATCCCATTAATGAAAAAAATTACATTCTGGGCAACAGAGCGAGACTGTCTCAAAAAAAAAATTAAAAATAAAATAAATGAGCAAGAAAGAAAAAAAGAATAAAAGAAAAAATGCAATCTTCTGAGAAGACAATTATTGACTACTGATGGAAAAAGAGGAGAGAGCAGAACTCCTCATTCATTCATTTCTTCATCAAATTCTGATTAACCACCTGCCATTGGTCAGCACAAGCCTTGAGTGCTAGGCTTATGGGAGCAGACAGGACCTTGGTCTTCCTGCCCTTGAGCAGCTCCCAGCCTCGCCCAGGCCAGATGACCAGGAAGAAGTTATTCCAGGCTTGTGCGGTTCACAGAGGGCAGGGGCACTGTGAGCCTCCAAGTGAGTTTTCTCCTTCCCAGGCCCGTTTGAAAGGGAAGGGCTTTGATTGGCTCAGCCACATCCAGTGCCCACCACATTGCCAACCACTGTGACTAGGAGGCGGGCCTGAGGCCCAGGAGGGATGTGTGGTTCCAGGCACAGGGACCTAGGGAACCCCGAGGGTTTGAAGGACACCTGCATGTTTGCAGGGAGCAGTGGCGCTGGAGGAGGGTGGGGCCTGAGCGGGAGAGGGGCCGAACAGCCTCTGCCAGGGCCATTGTCTTTGTAGGAAGAGGAAAGCCATGTTGCTCACGAATTGTAACTCACAATTTCCGAGAGCTTACCATCTTCTTTTTAAAGATTTTTTTTATTGTTATAGATTTAATGAGTACAAGTGCATTTGTGTTATGCGGATAACATAGTGTGCAGTGGTGAAGTATCATTGTCACCTGAGTAGTGTAAATTGTACCCAGGCTTACCATCTTTGAGATAAGGTGTTAAGCACTTCATGTGCATGATCTCATGTGGTCCCACCTGCAACCCTGGAAGGCAAAGACTGACATTAGCCCCACTTTCCACAAGTAGGGTGTATTTTTGATGGACAGAAAACACTTAGAACTGGCCAGATCTGCTGAGTGGATAAACAGGGACGTGGCTGCCCTGTGTCACCCTGGGGGGAGAAGTTCCAACCCTTTCCCTTTGATCCTTTCCTTCAGAGGGTCTCCTGCCAGGGGCAGAGGACGTGGTCACTGGGATCCCTGAAATCTCCCTGTCCATGGCTCAGGTCTGCCCCCTCGGCCCAGGGGACCCGAGGCCACTTTCTCTGTGGCCTTTGCTTGCCAGCAGGTCTACCCTCCCACCTCTCCCTCCCATCAGTCCAGAGAGAGTCCAGAGACAGGCAGTCATAGCAGAGGAAAGGAGCTTGTTCACCTCCAAGCCAAGAGACCATGCCTGCGAGAGAGTGCGGCTCACAAGGTAGAGGGTGGTGATGTGCGTGGGCTCTGGAGCTAAAATGTCTGGATCCTATCTCAGCCTTGCTGCTTTTTAGCTGTACAGTCTTGGCCAGGTTAAACGATCTCTCTTCACATCAATTTCTCTGCAAAATGGGGATCATACTAGGGGGTTGTCGTGAGCATACATGAGCTAATTCAAGGAACACCCCAACAGCAGCACTTGGGTGGAGTAAGTGCTCCTAAGAGATCCCACCGTCTTTAGTACGCACGTGAGTTTATATGTTTCAGCACTAAGCACAGGGGTCCCAGGGGTGCAGTCATTACTTGTGGGATGAATGAATGAACTAGTTACTCATCAGTGTTTTTAGAATTCAGCTACTTGTTCATGCATTCAACAGCATGTTTGTATTCGTCTGTTCTCACACTGCTATAAAGAAATACATGAAACTAGGTAATTTATGAAGAAAAGAGGTTTAATTGGCTCACAGTTCCACAGGCTGTGCAGGTAGCATGGCTGGGGAGGCCTCAGGAAACTTACAATCAGGGCAGAAGGTGAAGGAGAAGCAGGCACCTTACATGGCTGGAGCAGGAGAAAGAGAAGGGGGAGGGGCGACACACTTTTAAACAACCAGATCTCACCATAGCTCACTATCGCGAGAACAGCACCAAAGGGGAACTCTGCCCCCATGATCCGATCACCTTCCACCAGGTCCCGCCTACAACACTGGGAATTACAAATAACCCTCATGCTCTGGCCATGTAAGTAAGGCATGCCCACTTTCCCTTCACCTTCTACCATGATTGAAAGTTTCCTAAGGCCTCCCCAGCCACAGATCCAAACCATAACAACATTCAATTCCAGTGCTTGGTCAGATAGAGGGGATGGTCTTTACCAAGTACGAAATCCCTGGAAACAGATTAAGTCCCTTTAGTTTGCCCCCAAACTAAAACACAAGGTGACGGGAAGGCCCTATGAGTACTAGTTATGGTAAGCAGAATTCTAAGACAGCCCCAAGATTCCCTCCCCTTGTGGTTCATGTCCTGGATAACCGCCTTCCCTTGGTGTGGGCAGGACCTTGAATATGACAGGATGTCACTCTTGTGATTTTGTGATTATGTTCTAGGACAAAGATGAAAAGATTTTGTTCTGTAATTAAGGTACTGTAGGAATTGCCTTTGAGTTCATCAAAGGGAGATGATCCTAGGTGGGCCTGACCTCATCAGGTGGGCCTTTTTCTTTTCTTTTCTTTTCTTTTTTTTTTTTTTTGAGATGGAGTCTTGCTCTGTCGCCAGGCTGGAGTGCAGTGGCACGGTCTCAGCTCACTGCAACCTCTACCTCCCGGGTTCAAGCGATTCTCCTGCCTCAGCCTCCCAAGTAGCTGGGACTACAGGCGCACCCCACCATGCCCAGCTACTTTTCATATTTTCAGTAGAGACAGGGTTTCGCCATGTTGGTCAGGATGGTCTCGATCTCCTGACCTCATGATCCACCCACCTCAGCCTCCCAAAATGCTGGGATTACAGGCGCGAGGCACCACACCCAGCCCAGGTGAACCTTTTGAAAGAAGCTCTAGAGATCAGAGAAGGAAGAAGGGCAAGGTTCATAGTAGCAGCCATGCTTCTGCTATCCTGGAAGAACCAGGCCTCCATGAGTTCTGCAGCTGCAGCAAGATGAACTTTGCCAATAACCACATCTGTTTGGGAGAGGACCCTGGGCCTCCAGAGGAGATCCCAGCCTCAGCCAACATCTTGACTGAAGCCTTGTGAGACCCAGAGCTGAGGATCCAGTTAAGCCGTGCCTGGAATCTTTTGCCATGAAAGCAGTGAGCTCATAAATGTGAAATAATCGACAGTGTTGTTTTAAGCCACCGAGTTCGTGTGGTTATTTGTGAGGCAGCAATTGGAAACAAGCACACCAGTCATCACGGCCATTTTTCAAGGCTCACTCTGTATGAAGCATCATGTGTAAGGACTTTTTTCTTTTCTTTCTTTCTTTTTTTTTTTTTTTTTTTTTTGGAGACAGGGTCTCACTCTGTTGCCCAGGCTGGAGTGCAATGGTGCAATCTCAGCTCACTGCAACCTCCGCCTCCTTGGCTCAGGCAATCTTCCCACCTCAGTCTCCCAAGTAGCTGGGACCACAGGTGCACACTACCACACCTGGCTAATATTTTCATTTTTTGTAGAGATGGGGTTTCGCCATATTGCCCAAGTTGGTCTTGAACTCCTGGGCTCATGGGAATTCTCCTACCTCCTAAAGTCCTGGGATTACAGGTGTGAGCCACCACACCCAGCCAGCTAAGGACTTTTATGTACTGTATCTCAGGTCATGTTCTCAATAACTGAAGTAGGTTCTAATGATATTCCTATTTCACAGATAGGGAAACCGAGACCCAGAGAAGTCACATAGGCTGCTCACGGCTAGTTGGCGACAGAGACAAAATTTGAATCCAAGTGGCCTACCCCCAAAGCCTGCCCCAGGTACTGCAACTTGCAATATTTTTAAGTACATATGAAAGCATAGACATGAACATTTTGGAAAGGGTGCATGTTACACATTGGTAACCTGGATGGTGAGATGAGAAGAGAATGTTTTGCTTTTATGCTTTTTCTATAATTTCTAACTTATTTTACAGTTAGTGCATATTTTAACAATCAGGAAAAGAAAGAAAAATGCTTTGTATCCAGTGACGATCTCTGAGTGATGAAATTACAGGCCTCTTTTACATTTTTCCTTTCATCTCAATTTTCTACCATATCCGTAACAGATGTGTTGCTTGTATAATTTTTTAAAAGCTCAAGCCAAGAAAACAAGCGAATGTATTTCAGAAAGTGAAAGCAAAAAAAGAGAGAAGGGACCCAGGACAAGAGGCCTGGGCCCAGACATTCCGAGGAGAAAGGGCCAGGGTCTTGTTCTAATGAAAGCAAATTTGCTGGCAGACTTGAAATGCGGCTTCGGATCTCCCGGAAGAGGTAGCCGTCTGAGCCTCCCAGCAACTGGGCTTTTATTAAACATGTGCAGCTTCTTCTGCAAATGTTGTCACCTGAAACTTTGTTATTTTAATTGGTAGCTATTCCTGTGGGCTCTTGTTTGAAGGACAGCTGCTAAGAAATCCAGCTCCAGGCATTTCTTCGATGTAGGGAAAGGCAAGGAGAGGCGCGCTCACTGACCCCCAGGAGCACACTTTGGATAGAGCTTACGCTTGGGTTTAATGCCACCATTAATTAACAAGGGCTCATGTGCCAACCTCTATCGAGGCACTTCCTTTGGTGGCTCTCATTTTATCTTTCCACATCTCTATGAGGTGAGTCCTAGCATTATTTTCATTTTACAGATGAAGAAGTTGAGGTTTAAGGAGATCAAGTAATAATAATACCCTATTTCATTAAATCTAAGGCATACTCTAATTTAATATGCCACTATGAAAAAGAAAAACCTAGCTATCAATGTGTAAAACACCATGGACTGTAAGATGCACCCTGATTACAGAGCTGTTGAAAGACGCATCTTAAAAACCCACGGTTCGATGCAATGTGGTATTCTGAAATGGACCCTGGAACAGGAAAAACAGCCACTAATGGGAAAATTGGTGACACTCAAATAAACAGCTTAGCTAATAGTACTGTGCCAATGTGAATGTGTCCGCTTTGATAAAAAATACCATGGATATGTAAAACGTTAATGCTAGGAGAAGCTAGCTGTGAGAAGAAGGATATGAGGATATAAATCTCTGTTCTAGATTTGCAAACTTTTCCATCATATTATTATTCAAAAATAAATTTTCCAAGTAAAGAAATTCCAAAATTAAAAGTTTATTTTTTTTAAATGATAAAATATGGCAAGCGCTAACTAACATTGATACGGTACTTACCAGGTGCAGGCACTAGTGTGGTATTGACAAAAGCAAGGACACATGGATCAGTGGAACAGAACAGAGAGTTCAGAAAGAGACCCATACATTTAATGCCAGGTGATTTTCAATAATAGTGTCAAAGCAATTCAATGCAGAAAGGAAAGTCTTTCAACAAATGGTGCTGGAACAGTTGGACACCCATACACAAAAAATGAACTTCAACCCATATTTCAATTTTTTTTAAGTTAAAATCGATCATAGACCTCAGTGTAAAAGTTAAAACTACAGGCTGGGCGCAGTGGCTCATGCCTGTAATCCCAGCACTTTGGGAGGCTAAGGCGGGTGGATCACGTGAGGTCAGGAGTTTGAGACCAGCCTGGTCAACATGATGAAACCCCATCTCTACTAAAAATACAAAAAATTAGCCAGGCATGGTGGGGGGCACCTGTAATCCCAGCTACTCAGAAGGCTGAAGTAGGAGAATCGTTTGAACCTGGGAGGTGGAGGTTGCAATGAGCAGAGATTGCACCACTGCACTCCAGCCTGGGCAACAAGAGCAAAACTCCACCTCAATAAATAAATAAATAAATAAAACTTCTAGAAGAAAACATAGGAGAAAATCTTCATAACTTTGGATTAGGCACAGGTTTTTTTAAGATAGAACACAAAAAGCATAAATTGTAAAGAACAAATTGATAAATTGGACTTAAAACGAAAAACTTCTATCTTCGAGAGACACTGTTACAAAAATGAAAAGACAAGCCACAGACTGTGAAAATATATTTGCAAAACGCATATCTGATAGAGGACTGGAATGGAGAATATATAAATAACCCTCACAAGACAGTAATAAGAAAACAAATAACTCAATTAAAAATTGGCAAAATATTTGAACCAATACCTTGTTAAAGGGAACGAAATACAGCCGAGAAGGACTCCATACTTCTATATTTGAGCCCTTACGGATGAACCATAACCTAATTTAATGGGTAGATGAGATTGAAAACCTAACTTAGGAGGAGGCACCTGTAACAATTGCTGAGTCTTGGCAATGCCAGCAGACATGCTTCAGCCACCTTTACGCTGCCGAGCGTTCAAACTGTGTTCAAATAAGGTGGACGAGCTGTAACCAATCCAGCTGTTTCTGTACCTCACTTCTGATTTCCATACGCCATTTCTTTTTCTTTCTTTCTTTTTTTTTTTTTTTGGCTATAAATTGGGTCTGACCACGAGGCACCCTGGAGTCTGTCTGAGTCTGCTGTGATTCTGGGGGCTGCCCAATTCGCAAATCGTTCATTGCTCAAACTCCTTTAAATTTAATTCAGCTGAAGTTTTTCTTTTAACAGCCTTACTAAAGAATATATATGGATGGCCAATAGACTAATGAAAAGATGCTCAACATTATTAGTCATTAGAAAACTGCAAGTTGAAACCACAGAAAGATACCACTACATACTAGAATATGCCTAAACCAACAAAACATGCCCCTCTGAAAAAAGACACTTGGCAATCCCAAGTGCTGGTGCAGATATGAAAAACTGGAACCCCTGAAGACCGCATGTGGGGTGCAGAATTGCCCCGGCACCTTGGAAAACATCCTAGATATACCTTAGATATTTATCCAAGATAAACAGAAACAGATGTTCATACAAAAACCTGTCCGTGAATGTTTAGAGTAGCTTAATTCATAATTGCCAAAAACTGGAAACAAACCAAATGTCCATCAACAGATGAATGGTTGAACTGTGGTATACCTACACAGTGGAAAGCTATTCAACAATACAAAACCAGCACACCGCAGCATGGAAGAATTTCCAGTCCATTGTACTGAGCAAAAGGGGCCAGACTCAAAAGGCTGCCTCCTGACTGATCGCACTTATATGACCTGCTGGAGAAGGCAAAACTGTAGGGACAGATAAAAGATCACTAGTTGCCATGGGCTGAGGCTAGGGGTGGTGACTGACTAAAAAGCAACACAAGGGAATTTTAGAGGGGGGTGGAAATGTTCTATAGCTTGATTGTGACCATGGTCACACAACGGCATGTGTTGCAAAATTCATAGAACTGTACAACTAAAAAGGGTTAATTTTGTTGTGTATAACTTAGACCTCAATAAAACTGACTTTAAAAGAAGAATCAGCCCTTGGCCTGGCGCAGTGGCTCATGCCTGTAATCCCAGCACTTTGGGAGGCCAAGGCAGGCGCATCACCTGAGGTCAGGAGTTCGAGACTAGCCTGGCCAACATGGTGAAACCCTATCTCTATGGGCGTGGTGGTGGGCACCTCTAATCCCAGCTACTCAGGAGGCTTAGGCAGGAGAATCGTTTGAACCTGGGAGGTGGAGGTTGCAGTGAGCCAAGATCGCACCACTGCACTCCAGCCTGCGTGACAAGAACGAAACTCTATCTCAAAAAAAAAAAAAAAAGAAAGAAAGAAAGAAAGAAAGGACAAAGAATCAGCCCCAAGTAAGTTCATGCCCACAATTTTGTGTTATTTAGTTCATATAATTTTTTTCAGTAAATTTGAAATCATTATCATTACCTAAAAATCAGATCTCATCTAAATTTTTTTTTTTTTTTGAGTCTTGCTCTGTCGCCCAGGCTGAAGTGCAATGGTGCAATCCCGGCTCACTGCAACCTCCGCCTCCTGGGTTCAAATGATTCTCCTGCCTCAGCCTCCTGAGTAGCTGGGATTACAGGTGCCCACTACCATGCCCGGCTAATTTTGTATTTTTAGTAGAGACGGAGTTTCACCATGTTGGTAAGGCTGGTCTCGAACTCCTGACCTCAGGTGATCCACTCGCCTCGGCCTCCCAAAGTGCTGGGATTACAGGCATGAGCCACTGCACCTAGCTGATCTCATCTAAAATTAAGGTATATCCACTTTTCATTAAAAATAAAAAGCTCTCATAACACTGGGCTTCTCTTTTTTATGCAAAACTAGCTGGTTCTCATTGGCAGCCACCTACAGATGAGGCATGAGCTCTCCACTTTGCTCCAGTCCCCACCACTCCCTATTACCTCTCTGCCTCTGAAGCCTCCCTCATGCATGTGAGGACATCCGCCTGTAGGTATGTTACTTTGTAACTCCTGCTCTAAACCATTACACATAGTGATGTCTAACAGGTCATAAAAGGGTCTTCAGAAAATGAAAAACAAAAAACTCTGTAGCAGAGATTGCTGGATGCCTTCACACTATTTATTCTCCTTCCTCTTCTCTAACAGAAATCCTAAGTTTTTGAATCCTGAGATGAGTTTGGCCAAAGGACTACATTTCTGCACTTCCTTTACAATGTGCATGGCCATCCATGCATAAGCAGAAGGCAGTGGGTGGGGCGCCCATGAGAGTTCTTTAAGGGGCTGACTCAGATGGGAGGTGGGCCCTTTTGTGACTCCCCACTCCTCATTCTTTTTGGCTGGAATACAAATATGATGGCTGGAGCAGGAGCAGCCATCTTGGGACTGAAGAAAAAGGCCAAAGGAAACATAGCCACGTCAGCGCTGGCACCACTGAGCCTCTGAGTGCCACTGACTGCCCATCTCTGGCATCGTCTGAGAAAATAAACCCTAGAAGTAATTGACTCTAATTTCTACCTGATGCATTATTAAGATTAATGGTATTTGCCATATTCCAAGCATGAAACTAAGGTTTTCCACATAATAACTCATTTAACCTCTACCACAATCCCACTATGTAGGTGCCCCCGTTGACTCATTTCACAGAATAGGCAACCAAGGCAGAGAGCCCAATATCACACAGCTAAGGAGGAGCTTGCACTGGCAGTTCACTCAGGCTCTCTGCGTCCAGGGCTCATGCTGAGGTTAGATAGGAAAAGTGGGTGCCGCTAAGGGGCAGGTGAGCAGGTTCCCAGCCTAGGTCTCCCAATAACCTGCACCTCATCACATACCCTCTCAGTGTCCCCCTCTGTAAATGGGGCTGATCTTCCAGGCTCTGGTACCCACAGACTGTTATGAGGCTCCTCTGAGTTCCCAAATTTCAACAGCTTTTAAAAACACCAAGTGATGTGCAAATAGAAAGTATTACTTTTGTTTTCTTTTTCTTTTTTTTTTTTTTTGAGATGGAGTCTCATTCTATCACCCAGGCTGGAGTGCTGTGGTGCGATCTCGGCTCACTGCCACCTCCACCTCCCAGGTTTAAGTGATTCTCCTACCTCAGCCTCCTGAGTAGCTTACAGGTGCCCACCACCACGCCCAGCTAATTTTTGTATTTTTAGTAGAGACGAGGTTTCACCATGTCAGCCAGGCTGGTCTCCAACTCCCGACCTCAAGTGATCCACCTGCCTCGGCCTCCCAAAGTGCTGGGACTATAAGCGTGAGCCACTGCACCCAGCAAGAAATACTCTTTTTTGTTGTTGTTGTTGTTGTTTTTTGTTTGTTTTTGAGACGGAGTCTCGCTCTGTCACCCAGACTGGAATGCAGTGGCACAATCTCAGCTCACTACACCTCCGCCTCCTGGGTTCAAGCAATTCTTCTGCCTCCCGAGTAGCTGGGACTACAGGCGTACTCCACCACACCCGGCTAATGCGTTACTCTTCTTAAACCTTATGAAACACAGCAGAGCTGTAAAACTCTTTTCCTGCCATGCCGGGTACCAGTGTCTCCTGAGGGACGGTCCCCATTCTCTGTCAAACACACTTGCTCCTGGAAACTCCAGTTCTGCCAAATTAAACATCCAGAAGACTTTGGGGTTACGGAATTTCCTGCATAAGGCCCGTAACAGGCACTGGATAAATCTCTGTGGTTGACAGTCTAAGGTCCTGACTCCCGAGCTGCAGCTCTGCCAACCAAGCCCGGCTGCCAAGCATGGCGTTCCAGTGCTCTGAAGGGCTGGGGCCCCACCAGTGCGTGCTCACCCCTCTCCAAAGAGGATGTCTGTAATTTCAGATGGTCTGCATCTCCCTCCTCTCGGAACAGCATCTCAATCTGCCTTAGGGAAGCCACTCCATCCTCATCCTCCTGTGCATCTATTCGGGTAGGAATTAAGTCCCTGCTCCAGGGCTGGCACATGGCATAAGCACAGCCAGTCAGTGTATTCCACCACAGGTCACAGTGATTGGTTCAGGGATGGACATGTGGCCAAAGTCAGCCCAATGAGAATCAGCCCTGGGTTATTTTTTGTTTTGTTTTGTTGTTTTTTTGCTATTTTGGAAACGACAAATTTCTTTCCACTGAGGTTGCTAAACTGGTAGTCATAAATCCTGAACTGCTCGTGGCTGCCACAGAGGGGGAAAAAAAGTGCCTGAGGAAGTAACCAACCAGTAGAAAGCAGAGAGGAGTAATGGGGAGGCAGGGGAGAGAGAGAGAGAAAGGCAGGCCAGGTCACGTGGATGTTGTTTAAATCCCTAGATCCACCCATTCTCGAACTCCCAAATTAAAAACATGAGTCTATTCTCATTCAGACCTAGGCTCAAAACCAGGATACGCAGCCTGGCCAACATGGTGAAACTCTGTCTCTACCAAAAAAAAAAAAAAAAAAAAAAAAAAAATTAGCCGGGCGTGGTGGCACATGCCTCTAATCCCAGCTACTTGGGAGGCTGAGGCACAAGAATCACTTGAACCCGTGAGGTGGATTGCAGTGAGCTGAGATTGCACCACTGCACTCCAGCCTGGGAGACAGAGCAAGACCCTGCCTCAAAAACAACAACAGCAAGGGAATCTGCTTTTTACCAGTTGTGTGGCCATGACAACAGCCATTCCTGCTGCTTCTAATAATGGTGTTTGACTTGCTCTGGAGAAACCATTCGTCCCTTACTTTTGGTCCATGTGGTCCTACAGGGTTTGACCCTCTCCCCTGGCTTGGGGCAGAATCTTGAATTAGGGCAAAACAGTCAGAGTCACAGTGATTGGTTCACCAATGGGCACATGACCAAGCTGGACCACTAAGAGTCAGCCCTGGGATTTTTGGCTGGATACTCTGTCTGCTGAGTTTACTTGGCTAGAAACTGAGTGTAGAGTTGCGGGTGACTGGGAAGGAAGCTGTCTTCATAAAAATCAGAGTCAAGGGACTTTAGTACCCATGGACTGACTTTCCAGTGACATGAGCCAATCCGTTCTTATTTTGTTTGTTCAACCCAGTTTGAGTGTACTTCCTGAGCCTTACAACAAAAAGTCTTGCCTAATCCTCCCATTCTTTCTGCAGCTCAGTCAGACATCAATCATTTCTTAAGTGAAAATGAATGAGCACGCTTTTCAATACATCTGTTGCAGCCTCTTCTTCTGGACCGAGTTTCAGCTCTCCATGCTGGAGGCAGGGGATGAACCAGATGTACCCAGGAGGGCCCTTCTCATAATACCCGAAGGAAGGGTAACCAATTTGTGCAGCATCCAAGCAGAGACTGCAACCAAATGTGTCAGGTTTTGCTTGAAGAGATTCCTTCCTGGGCAGGAGCGGTGAACTTTCAAGCAGCACAGCCCCCTCCTGTAAGAGGTCACTGCGCACTCAGACCTGCCTGGACAGGCTGCCACGCGCTTCAACACTGGCCTTTTCCGGCCTTGAATAGGATCCCTTTATTCAAGTCTTTTTCAGGAAGACACGCCCTTTTCCTTCTGGCTGTGCCCTTGTTTGGATTAAGTCCCTGGGCCAGCTTCACAAACCAAGAAGCAAAGGATTGTTCCTAAGACTTGGCCCAGCTCTGGTGGGGATGGACGGAAAGATGATCATTGGTGAGCTCCAGAACCATCCCATAATGACCAAGTCCGTGGTCCACTTCGATCAGAGGCCTGGAGCAAGTCTCAGCATTGCAACTGATGTCCCCTGAGTTGATTCTAGCCCACAGTCCCCGTTCAGTCTGCAAAGTCTATCTTCATCTTTCTACGTGAAGCCAGCGTCTAAAAGACATGAGACTTCATGCAGCAATTGGGATTCCACCACCACCGCCCCCCACCCACCCCGCCCCAGTCATGAAGTAGAAAATCTGACCACGCGGAGCCCACACGCCCCGTAGCTGCACTGGTTCATGCTGAGGAGCAGCCGCCAGCCTCCAGGAGGCAGACGCGCTCTGGGTCTGCCATTCTCTACTTTGCCTGCCTCATCTTCCTGCCTGGTCCCAGATCCAGCCCATTCCAAGCCCGTCTGGTCCCACTCTCCCCCACCCACCAGGCTGAGCCATGCTTCTCTCTGTTCCTTAAACACACCACATTCTCTGCCACCCCTGGGCCTTTGCATGCGCTCCCCGACCTGAGCTGCTCAGCCTGCTGCTTTCCGTGGCCTGGAAGGGATTCCGCATCCACGGCATCTCCTTCCAGTGATGCTCAGACACACTGTTCTTTTCTCTTCCTTCCCTTTTCTCTTTCATTGTTTTTCTTTTAATTATTATTATTATTTACTTTTATTACGATACTTGAAGAAGTTTGATATTCAAGAGTTAAAAAAACTTGATGGCTTTTTTTTTTTTTCCTTGCACAGAAGATCATGTTAATAATTGGGCGCAGGCCGGGCCTGGTGGCTCACTCCTGTAATCCCAGCACTTTGGAAGGCTGAGGTGGGAGGATTGCTTGAGGCCAGGCGTTCAAGGCTAGCCTGGGCAACATGGTAAGACCCTGTCTCTACAAAAAAGTAAAAAATTATCTGGGCATGGTTTGTGCATCGGTAGTCTCAGCTACTCAGGACGCTGAAGTAGGAAGATTGCTTGAGCCTATGAGATGGAGGTTGCAGTGAGCAATGATCACAACACTGCACCCCAGCCTAGGCAACAGAACAAGACCCTGTCTTATAATCATAATCATAATAAATAAAATGATCATTGTTTCTTTATCTTTTGGTCTTTTTTTTTTCTTTTTTCTTTTGATACGGAGTCTCTCTCTGTTCTCAAGCTGGAGTGCAGTGGCGAGATCTCGGCTCACTGCAAGCTCCGCCTCCTAGGTTCACACCATTCTCCTGCCTCAGCCTCCCAAGTAGCTGGGACTACAGGCGCCCACCACCATGCCCGGCTAATTTTTTTTATATTCTTAGTAGAGACAGGGTTTCACCGTGTTAGCCAGGATGGCCTCGATCTCCTGACTTCGTGATCTACCCGCCTCGGCCTCCCAAAGTGCTGGGATTACAGGCGTGAGCCACCACGCCCAGCCTATGTTTTGGTCTTTTCTACTCCTCCTTTCTTTGTCTTCCTCCCCCTTCCCTCCCCCCTTCCCTCCCCCCTTCCCTCCCTCTCTCCCTCCCCTTTTCCTTCCTTCTTCCCTATTTTTCTTCTCAGCATCATTGTTGGAGGTGCTAAAAGCATAGGTTTCCATTTATGTTAGCTCACAATGGAAAGGCTCAACCCTCCCCTCTGTCCACCCATGTTTGTCTTTTCTAACTAGTAAAACCAGCAAATTCTATTTTTATGAAGAAAAGTTCTCTTTGCAAAGAAACCATTGGCTTTCGTCAGAACCATCAGCAACTTCCATCTGGTGCCCAAAGCCTTGGCACTCTCCAGAACCTGGGGTCAAGATGCTGATGGAGGGGGGACCCCTCAGAGGCCCCCAGCTCCCAAACAGAGGCATAGAACTGTCCTATCCTCAGTCACTTTCCTGCCCCGCCCCTTCCCCACATTCTCAGGTCCTTCTCCCCAACCTCATGCACCCAAAGCGTTTCTCCAACACAGCACCCTCTGTATGGTTTTCTTTCTAAAAATAGTGTGTGCGGCTCTCAGCTGCTCTTTCTCACCTCAGGAGACAGGGAAGACTCATGGGGTTGGCATTGGGGGTGAAACGGTAGAGAGTGGGGAAAACTCCTTTTTCAATAGAGTTGTTCCTCTCACTCTTACTAAAGGGTGAGTGGTTACCTTGGAATTAATCTCATACCAGACAGTAGGAGTGGCCCTTTCTCTCTTACCCACAATCTCCTTCCTGTTTCATGATGCACAAACACCCTCCTGTCACTGCGGTAGGATAAACTCAAGAAGTTTTGTCCACGTCGGAACGGGCTTCCCCTGGTCTATAGGCACTTCAACGTGTAGGTCTGAATTCTCTAAATGCTTCCAGGAAGGCGACACAGAGGGTTTAGCTCCCTGGATCTGTCTCTGCTTGCCCGTGATGATGGCTAACTCCAATTTTCTTTTCCAAATTGTTATTGAAAGGAAAGAGCAAAAGCAGTCCACTGCTGCTGGACACAGCATCTCTACCCCACAGTCTCTGTGCCTCAAACACCCCTGGGATTTGGAATGGTGGGGCCCCAAGCTGCCGCTTCCATTTTCCAGAGGCCACAGTTGTGATCCAGCAGCCCAGGAGCTCCGGCTGGACTCACCCACTAACTCTCTAGTCCATCACCATCATCACACACCAGAAAGACTCCTGGGTGAGTCATTGCCCTCAGACATTCAAAGAGGTGCCATGGAGGAGTTGGTCAGATTCCATGGCACCAAACAACAGTCACTGTGACAGCCATCAGGGGAGCACACAGGAGCAGAAGGGGCCGGTCAGTGCTGCAGGAGGCCTGGTGTTGGTGGGGACGTGACATGTCTCCAGTCATTTCCTTGGACTTTCATTGACCTACGTCAAGGCAGTAGGTTGAGTTGTGCCTCCTTAAAGTTCACGTCAACCTCAGAATGTGACCTTATTTGGAAATAGGGTCTTTGTGGATATAATTAAGGTAAAGATAGAAATGAGATTATCCTGGATTAGGGTAGGGCCTAAATCTAATGAGAGTATCCTTGTAAGAGATGGGAAAGGACACACAGAGAAGTCCATGTGAAGATGGAGGTGGAGATGGGAGTGATAAGTCTACAAGCCAAGAAATACCAAGGATTGCCAGGAGCCACCAACAGTGAGGAGAAAGGCCTAGGACGGGTTTTTCCCTCTGAGCCTCCAGAGGCCCTGCCAATACCATGCTTTTAGACTTCTGACCTCCAGAACTATAAGAGAGTACATTTCTGTTTTCTTTTAATACACCCAGTTTATGGTAATTTATTATGGCAGCTATAGAAAGCGAACACACTCAGGGAGTAAAAGAACATTGCTCTATTTTTTCCATGGGGCAAAATGCCCTTTCAGGGGGTGGGTATAAGTCAGCAAAGTTGGAGCTGGAAACAGTCCAATATTTTGACATTATCACCATCATCATCATTGCCATCACCATCATCACCATTATCATCACTATCATAACCATCACCATTACCATCACTACCACCATCACCATCACCACCATCAGCATCATCACCATCACCATCACCACCATCACCCTCACTATCGTAACCTTCACCATCACCAACACCACCACCACCATCATCACCATTACCACCATCATCATCACCATCACTATTATCACCATCATTACCATCATCATCATCACCATCATTATCATCACCATCATTACCACCATCTCTACCACCATCATCATCACCGTTACCACCACCACCACCATTATCACCATCACTATTATCACCATCATCACCATCATCACCATCAACACCATCATAATCATTATCACCATCATCATCATCACTACCATTAACAGCAGCAGCAGCAGCATCACCTTTATCATCATCATCGCCACCATTGCCATCACCATTATCGCCACCACCATCAGCAGCGGTAGTAGCACCAGCCTCACCATCATCATCACCATGGGTATCATTTAGTGAGTGTGTATTACATGCTGTATGCTAGACACTGTACATCCCTTCCTCAATCCTTCCAACAATACTACAAGGTAGCTTTAAGTGTTTCCATTTTCCGGACCAGAAAAGTAAAACCTAAGAGATTTAATAGATTTAATAACATTTTCCTCATGTTCTAAACTTAGATGGCCATTCCACATAATTACTAGCTGAGTGACCTCTAGCAAATTTATCACCTGGTTGATCTTCAAATCCTGTACCTACAAGATGAGTTTAACAAGGATGCCCACCTCACAGGGTTATTGTGGGAGTGGATGAGAGGATGAATATAAAGTACCTGGCACTCAATAAATGATGCAGTTGCTGCTGTCTTGCTCTTGCTCCATCAGCTGCCGAAGGAGGAAGGGAGGGTCTTCTTTGTCTCCAACTTCAGCCACATTATTATTACTCCCTGTAAAACCCTGCGAGTCATGAGGGCAGGAACCAGGAGCTCTAAAGCCTGCTAGGAAACCAGGTCATTTCTAACTCTCTAGCTCACCCACAGACATCTCACTGCGCCCCGCCCCCTCTGGCCCCTTAGCAACTGAAATACAAATCAGTTTCCTACCCCAAAGACAGGACTGGCTCTGTAATTTTCAGGGCCTAGTAAAAAATGCAAATGTTGGCTGGGCACGGTGGCTCACGCTTGTAATGCCAGCACTTTGGGAGGCCAAGGACAGCGGATCACCTGAGGTCAGAAGTTCAAGACCA
Source organism: Homo sapiens (assembly GCF_000001405.40). Classification (NCBI taxonomy): domain Eukaryota; kingdom Metazoa; phylum Chordata; class Mammalia; order Primates; family Hominidae; genus Homo; species Homo sapiens. The sequence goes on along the minus strand of NC_000020.11, from coordinate 56,760,565 downwards.
GCCTGACCAACATAGAGAAACCCCGTCTCTACTAAAATACAAAAAAATTAGCCAGGCGTGGTGGTGCATCCCTATAATCCCAGCTACTCAGGAGGCTGAGGCAGGAAAATTGCTTGAACCTGGGAGGTGGAGGTTGCAGTGAGCCGAGATCATGCCATTGCACTCCAGCCTGGGCAACAAGAGTGAAACTCCGTCTCAAAAAATAAATACATAAATACATAAAAATGCAAATGCTCCAAACTTATTAAGAATTTCAAGACATAAACCACAGAGCATCAAACCAAGCACAGGGCCTTTTTTAGTGCAGGGTCCTGTGTGGCTGCCCAGCTCTATGTGCCCGTGAAGCAGGCCCGGCCCAAGGACTCTGCTGGCCTGCGTGGCTCCCCACCCAGAACCCTTTGCTGTTGTTTGACATCTCTGCACACCACCTGCTCTTTCCCTATGGCCACCCTGGCTGGAGGTCTGTGCTGATGAGTGCCCTGACGCCCAGGATAAGCAAATCTCCCCAAGCAGTTGAGAGCAAAGGTCCCTGGGAGGCAGCCAGGCTGTGGGAGCTGGCACATGGGCAGACCATTGATGAGCCACAGAAAACCTCAGCAAGCCCATCACACACACCCCACTGAAAAATGGAAGTCAACACCGATCCAGCCCTTTCTGCCATGAAGCTTCAAGCTGTGGCCTGCCTAATCCTGTACGTGATTTGGTCTGATTAACCTGATCTAATGCACCGACAGGGACAGTGGGCAAACCCAACCCTGCCCCCGATTAGGGCCACATTCAACTTTCCATGGAAGTCTCACTGTGGCTAATCCCTAAATAAGGAGCATGCCTGTTAGGCAGGCAAAGAAAAAGGCAGGTGGGTTAGGGAGGTGCAGTGAGCGGGTAAAGGCTCCAGCACTGGAGGGCCAGCAACCAACCGTCAAGGAGGGAGGTCATTTGCACTACTCCTAAGAAGAAGTTGCGATTTAATGAGGTCCTTCTTTTTTTTATGAGATGGAGTCTCGCTCTGCCACCAGGCTGGAGTGCAGTGGCATGATCTCGGCTCACTGCAACCTCCGCCTCCCAGGTTCAAGCAATTCTCCTGTCTCAGCCTCCCGAGTAGCTGGGACTACAGGCACACGCCACCACATTCAGCTTATTTTTGTATTTTTAATAGAGACAGGGTTTCACCCTATTGGTCAGGTTGGTCTCAAACTCCTGACTTCAAGTGATCCACCCGCCTCAGCCTCCCAAAGTGCTGGGATTACAGGCGTGAGCCACCGCACCCAGCTGAGGTCTTTCTATTTATCCAGTCATTAGGCTAAGGCAGTAGCTGCACAAACTTTTTCTCTAAAGGGCTAGATCGTAAAAATTAGAGGCTCCGAGGGTCACACAGTCTGTGTCGCAATTGCTCAACCCTGCCATCATAGAGCAGTCTGTAGTGCTCAGGTAATATGTAAATGAGTGTAGTGGCTGTGTTCCAATAACACTTTATTTACCAAAGCAGGTGGCAGAAAGATTGGTCCCAGGAGCTGTAGCTTTCCAACTCCTGGACTAAACGATTTAGATACATTATGACATTTAATCGTCTCCCCAGTGTGTGCTCCCACTTCCCTGGGTCAAGAACACCTACCTTTGTCTGCCCCCACCATCTATTTGTCAATTTATCTCTTTATGTTTGTTTCCCCCACACTAGATTTTAAGCCCGATGAGATCAGGGACTTAGTCTATTTGCTCACTGATGTAAACTCAGTGTTCAGAATAATAGGTGCTCATAAGGATTGGTTAAATAAAGTAAGCATCTCATCCCTATGTTGCAGATAAAAGAAGGTTTAGAAAGAGAAAGTAACTTGCTTAAGGGCACAAAGTTAGAAAAAGAAATATCCGGTTCTTCAGTGACTGTGCTCAGGGAATTTGTTGTTGTAAAACACAGGACTTGCAAAGGTAAATGCTTACTTAGGCCAAACACATAATGGGATAAATGAATAAAGTGGGTTGGGGTAGCGGGACAGAGTGGCGGAGACTGTGGTAAACTAGAGTATACACACTTATCTAAGAGGGGCTGCTCCTCAGCTCCAGCCAACTATAGCCAAGTTTGACTATGCCTTCCGGTTTACCTAGAGAAGATGGAAATCCAGGCTTTCATGTGAGATATTCCAATATCTCAAACGTTAGCAAGCATTTGATTTCTTTTCCCCCTTAACCCCTGTGCTGGCCAAAGAAAGCATGCCATCACTTTGTGGCCTCTGGCTGGAAGCTATTAAATACTTGGAAAGTTGTATCCATTAGCCCATCTCCTCCACATACCCAGTTAGTCTAGCCGCATTGTCAGATGCATTGAAGGATGCACAAAATTTGAAACTGGAAGAAGACTGAGCCATTTGCTCCAGAACATTCTCCCACCTTAATCTCTTAAGACATAGAGAAATCAGAACCAGTCATGCTCTGGTCTTGGAAAATCCTTCCTTTTCTAATTTTTAACATTCTCCTGAGAAGGAATATAGGGTCCCCTGAGGATATGGAGACCCATAAAATGTCCTGGTTTTAGGTAAAGATCTGAGTTTATGTCACACAATCCCACACCAACCTGGTGCTAACTCCATAAAAAATCATTGGGTGACTTCCCATTTCTCCTATGAGAATATCTTTTCATGGGTGGTAAAAATCTTTGGTTTCTTTCTGCCCAATGCTTCTCCCCAATCTGGTAAATGACTTCTTCCTACCTTTGGAACCTTGCCCCTCTTCCCATGCGATTCCACTTCAGCTGTCGATCATACACTTGCCCACCACTCCCTTTAGAGAGAGAGAGGCAGTAATCTAGGCCTGGCCAATCACAAGATTCCATCTCCCTCACTATTCTAATTGGCCCAGGGATATGCATGTGATCTAGGCTGGACCAATCAGAGCCCTGCCCTGGGTTTTTTATAGGCAAACCCTGAGAAACTCAAGCTCTCTATAGCCTCTGTGATTGCCACAAGCAAGGTTACACTGTAATCCTGGCTTTGTCTGTGCCCATGACCCCCACCACCTTTACAGAGCCACATAGATGAAGTCCCTCCATGGAAGAGCAAGAGGCCATGTAGAGAAAGAGAGAGAGAAGAACTGGAAAAGAGAGAGCTCTGATGACAACATGTGAATCCATGGAGCCACCTTTGTGCTCCCCAGTTCTGTGAGCCAAACAGCATCCGTTTTGGCTTTAACTTAGTTTGAATTGGGATTTTATCCCAAAAAACCCAGACACTCTGACTGCCTCCCAAATGCCCCATTGATGCCAATGATAGTCTAACTCTAGCTTGCCCCTCTGAAGGAGTTCAAGATCAAAGAAGTCATCTTTTTGCAGAAATTAGTCTTAAAAGAAGAAGTAGAGAGAAAGAGACATGGCCAGTTTTATGGGTCCCTCTTCGGGTTTTAAGAATGGGATGTGAGACCGGGTACAGTGGCTCATGCCTGTAATCCCAGCACTTTGGGAGGCCAAGGTGGGTGGATCACCTGAGGCCAGGAGTTCAAGACCAGCCTAACCAACATGGTGAAACCCTGTCTCTACTAAAAATAGGAAAATTAGCTGGGCATGGTGGTGGACGCCTGTAATCCCAGCTACTCAGGAGGCTGAGGCAGGAGAATTGCTTGAATTCCAGAGGCGGAGGTTGCAGTGAGCCAAGGTTGCGCCACTGCACTCCAGCCTGGGTGACAGAGCAAGACTCCGTCTAAAAAAAAAAAAAAAAAAGGAATGCGATGTGAGTGCTTCATAACCATGTCCACCAAAATATTTCTAACTGCAGAGAAAATAGCAAACACATTATCTAAGAGTCTGGATGACTTGGCTGGAAGAAGCTCAAGATTTTTTTGAAATACTGTGTTTAAAAATCTGTGAAGACATTTGTTATTCTACTCCATCATGTCCTGACACTTGTCTTAAATTATCCTAAAAGGGTTTGCAACCGGCTTCGAAAGAAATACCACGTTTAAGCTGTGGCTTCACGTACGCCTTGGCTTATCACTCCCTGCCTCAGAAACAATCATCTTGGGAAGCAAGCTAGAAACTCTATTGACTTTCAAACTGAGAAGCAATGCCAGAAGGGACCCTCAGGTTCATTCTCTAGGGTAATGTAGCTCTGTCCTATTCTTGCATGCCCTACTCTGCATCCCCCCCTCCACTCCTAGTCCACTAGCACAGAGTCCCAGGGAGGCAGCCTGGTGACAATTCACTTCTATTTGAACGTGAGTGAGGGAGTGCTATGGGTTGAATGTGCCCTCCAAAGTTCATGTGTCAGAAACTTAATCCCCAATGGAACAGTGTTGAGAGGTGGGACCTTTAAGAGGTGAGTAGGTCATGAGGGCTCCACCATCGTGAATGGATTAATGGCATTATCTCAGGAGTGGGTTAGTTATCACGAGAGTTGGCTCCTAATCAAAGGATGAGTTTGGCCCCCTTCTCTTACACATATGCTCTCCTGCCCTTCCACCTTCCACCATGGAATGACACAGCAAGAAGGCCCTTGCAAGATGCAGGCTCTTCAACCTGGGACTTCTCAGTCCTCAGCACTATAAGAAATAAATCTCTCTTCTTTACAAATTACCCAGTCTCAGGTATTCTGTTACAGTAACACAAAAGGAGCTGAGACAGGAAATGTGCACTGGGAGTGGAGCTGTTGCTATAACAAATACCTGAATATGTGGAAGCAACTTCAGAGCTGAGTAATGGGCCAGGCACGGTGGCTCATGCCTGTAATCTCAAGACTTTGGGAGGCTGAGGAGGGAGGATCACCTGAGGTCAGGAGTTCGAGACCAGCCTGGCCAACATGGTGAAACCCCATCTCTACTAAAAATACAAAAATTAGCCGGGCATGGTGGTACACGCCTGTAATCCCAGCTACCTGGGAGGTTGAGGCAGAAGAATTGCTTGAACCTGGGAGGCAGAGGTTGTGGTTAGGCAAGATCCATGCCACTGCATTCCAGTCTGGGCGACAGAGTGAGACTCCATCTTAAAACTACAACAATAACAACAACTGGATAATGAGCGGAGGCTGGAAGAATTCAGAAGAAGATGCTAGAAAAGCTTCTGTTGCCATGAAGGGAACATTAAGGGCAATTCTGATGAGAGCTCAGAAGAGAATAGCTTAGGAAAGTCTGAATCATCTTAGAGATTACTTAAGTGGTCATGACCAGAAGGCTGGTAGAAATAGGGATGGTAAAGACCATTCTTATGACGTCTAGATGGAAATGAAGACTCTCTTATTGAAAACTGGAGTAAAGGTCATCCTTATTACAAGGAGGCAAAGAACTCGGCTGAACTGTGTCCATGCCCAAGGGCTTTATGGAAGGCAGAGCTTAAGAGTGATGAACTAGGATATCTGGCAGAAGAAATTTCTAAGCAAAATGCTGAAGGAACTGTGTGGCTACTTTTAACGACATAGAGTAAGACGTGAGAGGAGAGAAATTATTTAAGGAAAAAATTTATAATTAAAAGAAAAGCATAGCAGAGAGATTTGGAAGAGTCACACCTGGCCACATAAAAGGCATCTTTAGGAGAGCAAACCAAGGGTGTGGCCATTTGTTTAAAAGATTAGTACAGATAGAAGGAAGACACATGCTATTCCCCAAGACAATGCGAGAAGTCCCATGAGGTCCATCTGCAAGCTGGAAACACTAGGATGCCAAAGGCTGATGTCTCAGCCCAAGTTCAAAGGCCTCAGAACCAGGAAAGTCGATGGTGTAACTCCCAGTCCAAAGCCAAAGTCCTAAGAATCCTGGGGGTAGGGAGAAGGGGAAGGGTGTTGGTGTAAGTCCTGCAGTCCAAAGGCCAGAAATCCTGGAGTTCTGATGTCCAATGGCAGGAGAAGAATGTCCCAGCTCTAGGAAAGACAGAAAAATTGCTCTTCCTCTGCGTTTTTTGTTCTGAACCCTCAGCTGATTGGATGGTGCCCACCATATTGAGGGCAAAGCTTCCCCACTCAGTTCACCAACTCAGCTCACATGCCAATCTTGTCTGGAAACACCCTCACAGACTCACCCAGAAGTGCTTTACCAGTTCTCTAGGTATTCCTTAATCCAGTCAAATTGGCACCTTAAATTAACCAACACAGAGAGGGTCTCATCATCTCATCCTCAGCCCAAGCCGCTTATCAAAATATTCCTTATGACTGCAGATGCTTGAGAGAATATTCTCTCAGAATGGAGGGCTGACAAATGTAATTTTCTCTATCTCGTTGCCTGCCCAGTGACAAGTTAGTGTCCTAGAGATGTTAGCAGCCCCTGTGGCTACTCAGTTGGCCCAGTCTCTAATCAAGCTCTGCCCCCCAACGACCTGTGTGCTCCAGCTTGAGGAGAAAAATATGCATCTCTTTCTTCTCCTCTTCAGTCAAACATGCAAACTCCATCAAAATGCCATTACTGAGTGTCCTCTGTATGTGTCAGTACTATTTCATCAACTTGCCTGAGTGGAGTGCCTACTATGTGGAAGGCCCTGGAGATGCCAATGAACTGAACACAGTGGGTCACCAAGGAGATCTCAGGCTCCTGAGCCAGTGGAGCTCCTACTGGGAGATGCATGCTGGAGACAGAATTGGTGTTTGGTGCTGTGAGTCCATGGAGAACGGAGAAGCCTTTACACCCATTTACTGAGCATTGTATGTATTTGTGGCACAAGACCTGGTCCTGAAAGGCATCTACTTGAAGGGAAGGAGAGGTATTTCTATTCTAGACCTACCAGAATGCTTAGCAGATAGAGAGTGAGGCTCTTTCCATCTGCAGTGGAACTCTGGAGTCATTCATGGCCTTCTATTCCATTTATTTAACCAAGTTGGTGATTTTTTTTTTTTTTTAGACGGAGTCTCGCTCTGTTGCCCAGGCTTTGGTGTAGTGGCACGATCTCAGCTCATTGCAACGTCCACCTCCCAGGTTCAAACGATGCTCCTGCCTCAGCCTCCCAAGTAGCTGGGATTACAGGCATGAGCCACCATGCCCGGCTAATTTTTGTATTTTCAGTAGAGACACGGTTTCATCACGTTGGCCAGGCTGGTCTTGAACTCCTGACCTCAAGTGATCTACGTGCCTCGGCCCCGCAAAGTGCTGGGATTACAGGCGTAAGCCACCATTCCCAGCCAGTTGGTGAAAATTTACTCAGCTCCTACTCTGTGCTCAGCACTGTGGAAGACACTAGAGATACAGTGGAAAACAGAACCAAGCCCTTGCTCTCAGGAAGAATACTTTCTAGCCTTAGAATAATAATAGATGACTGTTAATAATATAATAACACTCGTATAATGCTCACCCCATACCAAGATTGGTTCTTAGTTCTTATACATTTAGTTCTCATACTACTGTGTTTTACTCTCATCACCACTTTGTAGATGGGAAAACTGAGGCTCAGTGAAGTCAACTAACCTGCCTAAGGTCACACAGACGGTAAGTGGCAGAGCCAGGCAACTGAACCCAGAAAGTCTGACTCTGGAATCTACCATTCATCACTATTACTACAAATACGAATTCCACTAATCATCATTATTAGACAACTAGTTTAAATGTTGTGAACTGTTATCATGTTCCAGACACTATGCTAAGCATTTCCTGTATATCCAAGCCTGTACTGAGAGACGCAACAATACTATGAGAAAGTTATTTCCATTTTTTAGGCAGGTAAACTGAGGCTCATAGAGGCTAAGGCACTTGTTCAAATTCTCAGAGCTGGTAAGAAGCAAAAATTAGACTGAAACCCAAGTTATCAGGACTCATGCACTCGGCTGGTTTAAATATGTGCTGTGCTGCCTCCTCAGGATATAATTTTGGTTATCTGGAATGTTTAAACAGACCCAGTGAATATTTAAGCAAATCATCCATATTAAATTTTGGGTTGTTGCCCCTCAAGTATTGTATCTCCCTGCTTTCCCATCCTGGAAACTGATATTTTCTTATTTGCTTGCCTGGAGGGCTACTAAAATGAAAGTCAACACAACGCAGAGAGCAAATATCAATTTTCACTTTTGAAAAACAACCTGATGTTGCCTCCAGGATAAGGCGGTGCCATTTGCTCTGAACTGGAAAGAAGAAAAGAAAGAAAGAAGCAAGCAAGCATTTTGTAAGTGACGACTCATGCTTCCTCAACAAAGCGTGCTCCTCCTCCTTGCCAGCACTCTGAGCCTGGCAGCTAGGCAGGCCACATCCCTCCCTCCCTGGGCTGTTTTCCTTCGCAGGTCGCTAAACCCAAGGGTGAAGGCAGCCCCAAGAATCCCCATGGTGGGGACGACTTTTCTTATTGAAACTTCCTTTCCCCACCTAGTGCAGGATGTCACGCACCATCCCACTCTCTGCAGGCACAAATAACTACGTTCCTTAGCCACTGAGTGGGCCCCCAGGTCACCAGGTTGGGAAGACCACTGTGGCATAGACTCAGATGACATCCTAGCTGACTGTGGCAGAAGCTTCCACTGGCTTAGGGACATTCCCGGCATGAAAGGCAACAGGCATTTTCTTCTTCCAGGAAGGCCTTTCTTCCCACCACATGCTTCCCTTCCTTCCCTAGGTAACCTTTGCTCAGCCTCCACATCTCAGCACCTGCTGCTCCTGGGCTTGCAATGCTCTCTCCCCAGGTTCTCCCACAGCTGGTTCTTTTCCATCATTCAGAGCCTTGCTTCTATGTCGCCTCCTCAGAGAGGCCTTCCGTGATCACCCACCCAAAGTAGCACCTCCAGTACCTCTCCACTTTAGCTTGCTCTTCTTGTCTTTTTAGCACTTACTTCTGGTGAAAGAATTTTGACCCTTTCTGGTCTGCTTTGCCTCACAAAGTCAGCAGGAGAGGAGACTATTTCCTTCTTAAGTCCAGGGATCTTGCCTATTGCAACAGTTCATTATGCTTTGCTTCCCTCTCATCTAAAAAACAAGAAGACAGGCAACTCCAGGCTGGCTGGAGCTAATTCGCTTTGTGGAAGAATCTAGGGGGTAACAAATCAGAAAGAATAAGCCCCTTCTCCAGCCAGCTTGAAGTAGTCCTACAAGGACCAAGCCAAAACCCAACAGAATCCAGGGACCAGGAGGGGAGGCTCTACCTGCCTCAAGCCCCAACTCACTCCAGCAACCTCACTCTGCAAACATTCTGAAATCCCAGATGTGGAGGGAGGTAGGGAAGGACAGTGGTTACGGAGCTTTGGAAAAAGAGACAGGATTGGGTGCCAGCCCTGTGGCTTGCAAACGGTGTGCCCTGGGGCAAGCCACTTAACTCTGTGTCTCAGTTTCCTCTTCTGTAAAACAGGGTCATCGGGAGGATTATAGATAATAGGTAACACACTTAGCACAGTGCAGGGTAAGCGCTCAGTAAGTCGTGGGTATTGATAACAATTATTAAAATCTCTGCTTCAGAAGCCTCGAGCAATCTTTTCCTTGAGAACCTTTCTCGGTTTGGCTCTGCCTTTATGAAAAACTTAATTCTGATGGGTCTGGTTGCCTCCTATAGAATGGTTCCAAGCCTAGTTTGTTAAGAGTTATTTGGAGTATAATTTGCTACTGGAGTTGGGATTTGGGCTTTTATTTTTATACGATTTTCCCATTTTCTTCTTCTTCTTCTTTTTTAAGTCCCTTTATTTTCTTAGAAAAAGAGAACTCATGTTTTGCCAAGGAGGAAACAAAAAACCGTCTGGCCTCCAAACTGCAGCGGTTAGGGCTCCCTTCGCCCAGGAGAAAGGCGAGGGTTGGGGACGTGGCATGACCCTGGCTTGGGATACGGGCGGGGTGAGCAGAGGGACACAGGTCAGGGAACAGGTGGAGGGCAGAGCCCCAGAGCCATGCCCGGCGAGAAGCCCAGACAGGACCCTCTCCCCTCCCCTCCCCTCCCCTCCGCGCCTAAGGACCCTACCGGCCCAGGAGGTGCCGCAGCCCCGCCTCCCGGGAGCCTGCACCAGCTCTGCGGTAGTTTTCCGCACATCTGCAGTCCAGTCCATCATTGTAGCAGCCTTCACCTGTCTAAGCCAATCAGGGTGCCCCCCCTCCCTGCCTTCCACGGCGATTGGCTCAGGTAACTACAACCTGAGCCAGTCAGCACGTGGCATTCTCCTGGCCACAGGCAATGGTCAGGGTTAATCCAATTAGCATCGAGCTCAGGGCTTTGGTTCCAAGACTCGAGGGACGCCTTCTCTTTCTTCCTTTCCCCATGCCGTGCTTATTACTTAAGACCATGCACTTAATAAGAATAAAAGAAGCAGAATTCAGACCAAGTCCATCTGGCTCCAAAGCCTAAATACACTACCCTACCCCTCCCATCACCACCCCAATTACACTTAGCACAGAAATGCGTTGGGACCCAGACAACAAGACACCCCCAAATAATAACAGTGATGGTAAAATAATGGGTGATGATTTGTGTGTGTCTGTTTTTCTACATGATTTCAAAGAAACAGCTCAGTAACCAAAAAAAAACCACAGTTGAAAGCAATTGGAAACTTTACAAACGTCACTTAAACATCCCCAAGGGAGAAATATTGTCAGAGCAATAAGCAAAATTCTTTGAAGTCCTCTTTACTATCTCTGTGCCTCTCAATATTGTTCCCTCTTGGGATTTTCCTGAATCTCTTGAGAAGAAGACACCACGTTCCCCTTGAAGTTGCAAAACTGAGCAAGCTCTATGAGCTGTTAAGACCACCTCATGATGAGTCTGGAAAGCAGAGAGGAGAGAGAAAACTTGAAGAGCGAAAGAGAAAAAGCGTGAGAGAGAGAGAGAGAGCCACAGAGCAAAGAAGGCTGAGAGAGAAAGTTGATGACATTGCTTAAGCCCGTGGAACCAGATATGCCTGAAGGTGGATCTACCTCAGGATTTATTATTATGTGAGCCAACGAAGTACAATTTTTATTTAAGCCAGTTTCAGTTGGGTTTCAGTCAAGAATCAAGAAAAAGGAGAATAACCCAGTGGGCAATATCAGGGTTTTTTTTTTAGCCAGTTACAATACAAAAACAGGTCATGAATATTCCTGTGTTTATATGTTGGTTTTTTCTAATCACTTATAAAATGTGATTTCACCAATTTTATAACAAAAACACATTTTTTAAAGGTAGAAACTCTTTCTCTTGTTTGACATGGCTGGCTTTGGGCTCTTTCCTGAAAGCCTGAGGCTCAAAATGTTCAGAAACCAGCCTTCTGATGCAGGACTTGTTCCCCCAAGGTCCCCCACACCCCAGGGCCTCTTTGGCCTCAGTTTCTCCACCTGCAACAGAAGGCCTGATCTCCAAGAGACATGGGTGCAACCAGAGGCTCGGGAAACCTCCCGGATCAAAATTAATTAAGGCATGGAACAAGCCACAGATGAAAGGAGCTTGTAGAAGAACTCTTTAACAATCCTAGTAAAGAATTTCCCCTTCAATTACAGGACAATTTCCTTCTCACGGCATTTGCAACCATCACCAGGCAGTTTCCTGGGCCGCTTTCCATGCGGCTGGACCAGTCTTTCTGGAATCCCTGCATTTTTTTTTTTCTAAAAGACTTAGGGAAAGGCAGGGGGGATGAAAAGAAAGGAGGGCAGTGGGTACAATTTAGAAATGGCTATTTCATGGGATTTGAAAGGCTCCTGGAAACAGACGGAAGCAAATGGCAATGTGAATGGTTTCCTGCAGCTCCAGGAGAGAAAGCTTTTCGTTTCTATGTTGCCTCTCTCCTCTCCCTTCACTCTTACACAACAACAACAACAACAACAACAACAACACACTGGCCTATTGCCACTTCCAGACAACACAGATCTTTCCCACCTTCTGGTCTTCATCCTTGTTCTTCTCTGTGCCTGGAACTCTCCACTCCTCCCCAGCACTCACTTCAAGGGCTAATCAAGCTAACTAACTTCACCTGCTTTGGATTTCAGCTACCCAGCCCCTCTTCAGCCCTCTCTTGGCCTGCCTTAAATAGATTAGCTGCCCCATCATATGCATTTGTAACACCTAACACTTCTTCATAGCAGGAAGCACAGCTGTAATTAGTTAACTACATTTCACTAGTTATTTCTTATCTCTGTTCCGTCCTAGCCAGGGCCCCCATGAGGGCAGCTTGCTGCTGCATCTCCAGTGCTTGGCACATGGGGAGAGGCTGGTAAATACTTGAAAAACAAATCTTTAAAAGAGTTTATTAAGCATCCAGGACAGGGGTCGGCAAACTTTTTCTTAAAGGTCAGAGGCAACATCAAGGCTGTTAACATAGGTTCTTGCATATCCATTTTAAATACAATCAATTAGGCCTGGCACAGTGACTCATGCCTGTAATCCCAGCCCTTTAGAAGGCCGAGGTGGGTGGATCATCTGAGGTCAGGAGTTCGAGACCAGTCTGACCAACATAGTGAAACCCCCGTCTCTACTAAAAATACAAAAATTTAGCCTGGCTTGGTGGCGCATGCCTGTAATCTCAGCTACTTGGGAGGCTGAGGCAGGAGAATCACTTAAACCCTGGAGGTGGAGGTTGCAGTGAGCCGAGATCGGCCCCCTCCAGCCTGGGCAACAAGAGCAAAACTCCACCTCAAAAAAAAATTATAAAATAAAATAAATATAATCATTTAAAGTGTAAAAGCTATGCTTAGCTCATGGACTGTAGACAAACAGACATCTGGCCAGATTTGGCGCAAGAGATGTAGTTTGCTGCCTCTCAATGAAGTATATGCCAGGCCTTCCATGGGCTTGGAAGGGTGGCAGAGGCTGCAGTTTGTACCTTAGTGTCACCATTCTTCTCTTCTACATGAACAGAACCCCCACATTTCAGATGGGCACTTGGTCTCTCGGAATAATGACTCCATTCCCAGGTCTCCTTGGAGGTGACAGTGGCCATGTGACTGTCGGGGATGCAAACAGAAGCATCATCTGGAAGTTTCTAAAAACCTCCCCAGCAGGTAACACATGTTATTTCCCCATTTTTTTTTTTTTTGTTGTTGTTCCTCTCTCCTTCCTGATAGCTGGAATGTGGGTGTGATAGCTGGAGCTCTGGAAGCCATCTTGATCTGTGAGATAGTCTTGAAAATGGAAGCCTTGTGTAGCAAAACAAAAACACAGAAGGGTTGGCCGGGCGCAGTGGCTCACGCCTGTAATCCCAGCACTTTGGGAGGCCGAGGCGGGCGGATCACGAGGTCAGGAGATCGAGGCCATCCTGGCTAAACAGGGTGAAACCCCGTCTCTACTAAAAACACACAAAAAATTATCCGGGCATAGTGGCTCACGCCTGTAATCCCAGCACTTTGGGAGGCCGAGGCGGGCGGATCACAAGGTCAGGAGATCGAGACCATCCTGGCTAAACAGGGTGAAACCCCATCTCTACTAAAAATACAAAAAGAATTAGCCGGGTGTGGTGGCGGGCGCCTGTAGTCCCAGCTACTTGGGAGGCTGAGGGAGGAGAATGGTGGGAACCCGGGAGGCGGCGCTTGCAGTGAGCCGAGATCGCGCCACTGCACTCCAGCCCAGGCGACAGAGAAAGACTCCATCTCAAAAAAAAAAAAAAAAAAAAGAAAAGAAAAAACACAGAAGGGTTGACTGCATGGAGTACCAGCCACACAAGGCCTGGACCCCTTTCCTGCTGACCTTCTAAGGATGTTTTAGAAGTAAATGTTTCTCTCGTTCACATCCCTGTGATTCAGAGTCTTTGCATTTTAGTCCTAATAATATGGGGTAGGGCGTGGGGAGAAAGATACGAAAGTGAGTAGGAAACATTCCCGGCTGTGCTCATAGCCTAGTTCAGAGAAGACAAATAGGCACCCAGCTGTAACTCAGTGGACTGCACTACCTGCAAGTGCACGGGACAAGGTCTCGGCTTAGCTCTCAGGTGATCACAGAGGTGATGTTTCTCTGGGGCCTGCCAGCCAGGCAGGAAGTTGCCTATGCATCAGGTGATTTAATGCAAATGTCACAAACCAGGAAGGTCATGGGCCACATACGGCCTGCAGATTTGCCTGAGAGTGTGAGCCATCCAAGTTTTGCCACCAACTTTTTATTTTGAAATCTGCCCCAAAAAGTACAATGACCATCCACCCGTCTTCACCTAGGCTCAGCACTGGACACTATTTTCTCACACCGCCTTCTCTCTGTATCTCTCTGTGTATAGAGACAGATGGTGGAAATGTGTATGTGTCGATGTACATACACAGCTTGCTGATGTCATAACATTTCGCATCTAAAACTTTCAATATATGGCCAGGTGTGGTGGCTCACACCTGTAATCCCAGCACTTTGGGAAGCCGAGGAGGGCAGATCACTTGAGATCGGGAGTTTGAAACCAGCCTGGCCAACATGGTGAAACCCTGTCTCTACTAAAAATACAAAAATTAGCCGGGCACGGTGGCACATGCCTGTAATCCCAGCTACTCGGGAGGCTGAGGCAGGAGAATCGCTTGAACCTGGGAGGTGGAGGTAGCAGTGAGCCAAGATTGCACCACTGCACTCCACGTTGGGCAACAGAATGAGACTCTGTCTCAAAATAAATAAATAAAACTTTCAATATATATCTCCTAGGGATTTTCTCTTACATAACTAGAGTACAGCTTTCAAACTATTTAGTGGGAAATGTATCATGTATATGATATAATGATAGCATATTCTTACACTAATACCTATATAACAGCACCCATACTATTATCTAACATGCAGCCTGTGTCCCTATGTCCCCAGCTGTCCCAGTAGCGTTCCTTACTGTGCTCTGAGCTGTCACGTCTCCTCTGTCTTCTTTCATCTGGAACTGTTCTGCTGTTGTTTTCATTTTTGTCTTTTATGACATCGACCTTTTTCAAGAATCCAGGTTAGTTTTTGGAGAAAATCTCCTAATGTGGATTTGCGCTTTTAAAAATGTGGATTTTGCCAACCACTGGGAGTCTGACATTCATCTTCAACTCTGGATGTTTGCCCTCAGTAAGGCTGTGGCACAGCCAAGTGTACTTTTGTCCATGGCCAGATCTGAGAGGCAGCCTCTCGAGGCAGGCTGTGGCTTTCCTGGGAACCTCAGCTGCTCCTGATCCCCACTTTTCCTTCCCCAGACCCTTTGTGCCCATGTCAGGTACTTGCAAATCCTGCTTTAAAGGGTTGAAGTGTTGTAAACACAAGGCTGTGGGGGTCTGAGGGGTCCTGGTCCCCCTGAAGGCATCATAAGCTTAAGGGGACTAAGGATTGGGCTGGAGAAGGAGGAGGTGGCATCAAGCCCAGCTCTGTGACTCCCCGATATGATACAGGCCAATGCAACACGAAAGTGTGGGGCCCCTCATGCAAGAGCCATTAGACAGTATCAGCAGAGCACAAAGCCCAGCACAGGCCTTTCTGAGAACCAAGCCCTGTGCGGTGCCCAGGCCCTGGTGCACAGAACATAAACGGCCTTAAAGAGCAGGTCAGGCCAGGCACAGTGGCTCACACCCGTAATCCCAACACTTTGGGAGGCTGAGGTGGGCAGATAACTTGAGGCCAGTAGTTCGAGAGCAGACTGGCCAATATGGTGAAACCCTGTCTCGACTAAAAATACATAACTTAGCTGGACGTGGTGGCACATCCCAGCTACACAGGAGGCTGAGGCAGGAGAATCGCTTGAACCCAGGAGGCGGAGGTTGCAGTGAGCCGAGATCGTGCCATTGCACTCCAGCCTGGGAGACAGAGACTAAGAGCGAGACTCTGTCTAAAAGAAAGAAAGAAAGAAAGAAAGAAAGAAGGAAAGAAAGAAAGAAAGAAAGAAAGAAAGAAAGAAAGAAAGAAAGAAAGAAAGAAAGAAAGAAGGGAGGGAGGGAGGGAGGGAGGGAGGGAGGGAGGGAGGGAAGGAAGGAAGGAAGGAAGGAGAGAGAGAGAGAGAGAGAAAGAAAGAAAGAAAGAAAGAAAGGAAGGAAGGAAGGAAGGAAGGAAGGAAGGAAAAAGAAAGAAAGAAAGAAAGAAAGAAAGGAAGGAAGGAAGGAAGGAGAGAGAGAGAAAGAAAGAAAGAAAGAAAGAAAGAAAGAAAAGAAGGAAGGAAGGAAGGAAGGAAAAAGAAAGAAAGAAAGAAAGGAAGGAAGGAAGGAAAAAGAAAGAAAGAAAGAAAGAAAGAAGGAAGGAAGGAAGGAAAAAAAGGGAGAGAGAGAGCACGTCAGAGTGTCTGGGTTTTCTCTTTCACCGATGTGGAAGCGGGGCTGCTTCTATGGAAGGATTTAAGGGGAGAGCTCCAAGCTCAGGAGAGTATTGTGTTTCCTCATTTTTTCCTTTGTTCCTTTCTCTTTCCCGACAGCTGGAATGTGAGTGTGATGGCTGGAGCTCTGAAGGCCATCTTGATCCATGAGATACTTTTGAAAATGGAAGCCTAGTTCAGCAGAACAAAAACACAGAAGGGTTGACTCCACGGAGTGCATCAACTCCTGCAAAGGGCGAGGAAACTTGCAAAGGCCTGTGATGGGTGTAGCATGTAATAGATCGTGGAGCCAGCCCTTAGCAAGCAGGAGGGGAACCTCCTGTGCCTGGGTTTCTGCATCCATAAACTAGAAAGACAATAAGAGTGTCCATCTCAGAGGGATGCAGCAAGCCCTGAATGAGACACCTGTGGCCAGGGCTTAGCACCTGCTTGGTGGCACCGAGAGAGCTTTGCATAAATAGTAGCTGTCATTACTAGCAATAATAGTATAGAATGAGTAGGACTCAAAGTAGGAGGGAAGGAGTCGTTTCCTTTTCTCTGCAGTCCTGTATGTTGTTTGACCTATTAACAATAAGTGTGCATTCCTTTTGATATTTTTATGAAAAGCCAGTAAAGTGAAAATTTTATTTAAGAAAAAAACGTATCGTATATCCCTATGATCAGTTGTATGAAAAATTAAATTTATATCACTTGGATGTATAGACTATGTGTGTGTTTACATAGAAAAATCTCCAAAAAATGTATACTTAAATGGAAACAGTGGTTATTTCAGAATCTCTGGATACTTATTTCTTCTTTATATTCTTCTATTCTGTCTGATACAATCTTTGCTTTTGGTTTTTGTTTCGTTTACAATAGGCACACTCAGTGGCTATCAATGGGGGTGGGGGGATTTTGACCACAGGGGACACTTGACAGTGTCTGGAGATGTTTTTGGTTGTCACAGCTGGGGCCTGGGCATTGCTGCTGGCATCTAGTGGGTATGCTAGGGATGATCCTGATTGAAATGTCAGGAGTGGCCAGGTGCAGGGGCTCTCACCTGTAATCCCAACACTTTGGGAGGCTAGGGCAGGAGGATCACTTGAGGCCAAGAGTTCAAGACCAGCCTCAGCAACATAGTGAAACCTCATCTCTATGCAAAATATTTTAAAAATTAGCCAGGTGTGGTGGCATGCACCTGTGGTCCCAGCTACTTGGTGGGGCTGAGGCGGGAAGATGGCTTGAGCCAGGCAGAAGGAGACTGCAGTGAGCCATGACTGTGCCACTGCACCCCATTCTGGGCAACAGAGCAAGACCCTGTCTCAATCAATCAATCAATAGAAATGTTAGGAGTGTCAGAGTTGAGAAACCCCAGTTAGAATCAGACAAAAACAGTAAAGCTGTTTCCATCTTGAAATCCCATGGCTGTTCCTCACTGGGCCTGTTTGTCCCCACCAGCTCACTCCACCTTTGCAACAACATCATGAATTAAAATCACCTTCCCTTTACAGATGAGGAAACTGAAACACAGAGAGTCATGTGCTTTGTCCCAGCACTGCTAGCTGGGATTTGAACCCATCTCTGCCTCGCTCCCAAGCCCCACCTTCATGCCCTTACCCCCATCCCGACCCTCAGGAGGTGTCCCCTGCAAAGGGACCCTGTGCGACCATGGCCTCAAGTCCTTTCTCTGAGCCCCTCTTGCCGCTGGTGCCTTGTGGTGGTGTGAAATTCCTGCAGGCCCAGCCCCTAGAGGCATCCCCGCACCCCTCACAGACCCTCTGGTGTCCTTGCTTGCTTGTAAAGAGCTAGCCTTTGAAGTCAGCTTGTGGGTCACCCATTAGCCCACGCTCGCCCCCCGCCCCATCTCAAATATTCCCTCAGCTCTGTCCCTCCGTCCTCCTGGGTTATCAGTTTAAAGGCCAGGGACACACTTTGGACTTGTTTGGGGCTTTAGTCTCTTAAAGATCAAAAGCATCTCTTTCCTCCGTCCTAATTAAATTTATGTGATTTTTTTTTCTTCTTATACTCCAGTTCTTCAAAACCAGGATCAAGCTCTCGGCGTCAAAAATTAAATTAAATGTGGAGAAGATTCCCCAAGAATCCAGCTCTATGCCGCCCCACACCCAGCCCCAGCTCTCCCTCTCAACCCGTCTTGTAAAATACCATGTGGTTTTTAGCAAGGAATCTACAGGTTGGCCTTCTTCTAAATATCCCAGCCCCAGCCTATGTGGGACAAGCTATAAAAATCTTCCCAAAGATATTACAGCTTCACAGAACGACAGGGTGGGCCCAAAGCATGGTTTGTGCAAAGCCCACCTGATTGGCAGCAGTAAACAACCACCGCCTGGGGACCTTTTAGAACAGCACAAGGATGGGAGGCAGGACGAGGCACGAGTGTCTCTGGGCGCAATGTGGAAATAATCATTTCTAAGAAAAACAACAAATTAAAAATTTTAAGGAGCTTCCTGCTGCATGATTTAAGATCTAGTTGGAATTACATCAAAAGGCATAAAATATAAACATTTCACAAAGTGTCTCTCCCAGTCTCTGTTCCACCCACCCTCAATCCCCATAAAGACATGTGCACACATACACACACACACAATCATACACACACACAATCATACACACACACACAATCACACACACACTGTCACACACACACAGCCCTAGATGGATCAGATGTCAAAACTGAAAGAGAACTTCAATGTCAGATGGACTTCCAGCCTAGACAACATGGCAAAACCCCGTCTCTACAAAAAATTTAAAAATTAGCTGGGTGTAATGGTGTGCACCTGTGGTCCCAGCTACTCCGGAGGCTGAGGTGGGAGGATGACTTAAGCCCCGGAAAGTCAAGGCTGCAGTGAGCTGTGATTGCACCACTGCATGCCAGCCTGGGTGGGGTGGTAGCAGGTGGGGGAGGGATGTGCCCTCCCAAAAGGTACAGCGCATGTGTCCACAGTGCCTGGCATATGCTTAGCACTTTTCAATTACCAACTCCTTCACTACTTCAACAACCCCAACAGATATTCTCCTCACCCTCATTATATAAACTGAGGCACAGAGAGGCCAAAGAGCCAGGCTAAGTTTGCGCCCTGGAACCAGGAGCTTTCCCATCATCCACGCAGTGGAAGGCAGAATAATGGGTCCCAAAGACACTGGCGTTCTAACCCCTGAAACCTGTGAATCCACCCCACCCCCATTCACAGACATCTCCCCAGCTCAGTCCCTCCATCCTCCTAGGGGACAAGCCTGAAGGCCAGGGATATTGGAAAACTTTCCTGGCCAAAATAAAAACAAGCCAGGAGTCTCCTCAGACTTGTTTGGGGGGCTTTAGTCTTTTAAAGATCAGACGCATCTTGGCCTCCTTATATGTCACACGGCAGAAGGGACTTTACAGATGTGAGGAAGTCAAGGATCTCCAAGTGGGGAGGTGATCCTGGCTGATCTGGAGGAGCCAGTGTCATCACAAGGGTCCTCATAAGAGGGAGACAGGACGGCCAGAGTCAGAAAGGGAGATTTAAGGATGCTCCATTGCTGGCCTTGAACATGGAAGAGGCGGCTATGAGCCAAGGAATGCAGGCAGCCTCTAAAAGCTGGAAAAGGCAAGAAACAACTTTCTCCCCTAGAGCCTCCAGGGAGAGCGCCTTCCGGCTGACACCTTGATTTTAGCCAGGCAAGGCCCGTTTCCGACTCCTGAGCTCCGGAACTGTAAGATGCTACAGTTGTGCTGTCTCTAGCCAGTTAGTGGTCATTTGTTACAGAAGCCAGAAGAGACTCACACATCCCAGGGCCCAGGCTCCGAGGGACACAGACCAGGGTTTCCATCCTGCCTCGCCCCTCTCTGGCTGTGGGATCTGGGCAAAGGACCAGTCTCCTTGCCTGTAAAGTGAGACAGGAAAAGAAGTTTGTCACCGGATTGAGTGGAGGAAAATCCCGCCTTCCTGATTTGCACCACTTTTGCTTCCATTAGCATCACGGCCATCCTAGAGGCCACTTGGTCTGAATGTCTGTGTCCCCCACATCCATGTGTTGAAACTGAATCCTCAGTCTGATGGTACTAAGAGGGGGCCTTTGGGGTTAGGGAGGCCCCCACCCTCATGAACAGGATTCTTGCCCTTATAACAAAGCCCTGAGGGAGCTTTTTGCCCTCTGGCCATGGGAGGACGTGGCAAGAAGACACCGTGAAGCACAGAGCTCAGATGCAGAATCTGCTGGCGCCTAGGTCTTAGACTTCCCAGTCTCCAGAACTGTAAACAATGCATTTCTGTTGTTTATAAGCCACCCAGTCTAAGGTATTTTGTTACAGTAGCCCAAATGGACTAAGACAGAAGGCCAGGACCTTGTCTTGTTCATGCTTGTATCCCAGCACTGAGAATGCTGTCTGCACACAGTAGGTTCTCAGTTAATCCATTTGAATAAATAAGGAGGCAAGAATTCCAGAATCTTGATATTGAAGGACACTAGTATCCATCTGCAGGTCCCTGGAATTTGAGGCCGTTGGGTTGATCTCCACTATAATTCTCAGTCAAGCGGGGTGTCCTTATCAAGAACAAGACAGGTGGGGCATCTCTGAACATGGCACGTCCTCCGGAGCTGATCAGTCACTGGTGTCTGGCAAGTGGCTCCTCGCAGACGCCCATGAACACCCTGCTCTCTTGCTCTTGCCTTTCTTTCTGCCTGGTATCCCGCTCCCCAGCCTCAACCCCTTCACCTGCTGCACACGCCTGCATCCTGGAGCCAGCATGAGTTTCCACAGGTGGAGACACTTGAGTGGCCTCCCTGATCAACTTCTCCATGACTCCATTCCAGCTCCCCTGTTTCCTGTCCCTGTTCTGACAGCCCTCTGGTGCCTAGAAAATACAGGATTTCTGAAGCTCCCATAACCCAGGTGTGAATCATAGCCCAGAAACAAAAGGAGGACAAAGGAGGAGGGAGGGCACAGGGACTTGTTTACTGACCATCCTTTGTCCTCAGGTACTGGGCCAAGCAACTTGCACACGGAAGTTGCAAGTTTTCATCCTCCCAACCCTCCAAGGCAGGAACTCTTTAGTTACCCTGAGCCTCTGTTTCTCTAGCTGCTAAATGGGGATCCTAAAGTACCAGCCTCATAGAGTGGATGTGAAGGTGTGACGAGATAATGGGGAATTCCAGGGAGGAAACAGAATCAAGAATTCCAGGTCACCCCGCCAGGGAACGGTGGCTTCAGTACGTGAATCCAGGCCCTCCTGCTCTCAGGTGTGGCCTCTGCTCCTCAAGGCCATGCTGCAGTGGGGGCTGGTCAGGGGGTTTCAGTGCTTCCCTCTCATTCATCCTGAGAGAGTGATGGGGAGTGGTGGGAGCAGGAGGGGGCCGAGAGAGAGAAGGATGGAGGAAGGCCAAGGGGAGGGCAAGGACGTGGATCAACAGAAGGACCCACCT
The DNA here is from genome assembly GCF_000001405.40 of Homo sapiens. Classification (NCBI taxonomy): domain Eukaryota; kingdom Metazoa; phylum Chordata; class Mammalia; order Primates; family Hominidae; genus Homo; species Homo sapiens. The sequence goes on along the minus strand of NC_000020.11, from coordinate 56,739,110 downwards.
GTTCTTATCCTGCTGTGTGTGTGTGTTTTCACCAACACCACTGACTCCCTAAACACCATCTCATGCCATGGAAAAAATAGAAAATGCACGCAATCTCGAGGTCCACTCCCTTCATTCCTCCATTCATTTGGCCGTTCATCTTTGATAACAGGTGTAAATTGTGTGCTCCTGTTGCCAGGCTGAGCACAGGCCCCCATGATCTCCTTGCGCCCTCATATCCACTCCATGGTATAATTTTTTTTTTTGACAGAGTCTCACTCTGTCACCAAGACTGGAGTGCAGTGGCACTGTCTCAGCTCACTGCAACCTCCGCCTCCTGGATTCAAGCGATTCTCATGCCTCACCCTCCTGAGTAGCTGGGATTACAGATGCGTGCCACCACTCCTGGCTAATTTTTTGTATTTTTAGTAGAGACAGGGTTTCACCATATTGGCCAGGCAGGTCTCAAACTCCTGACCTCAAGTGATCCACCCGCCCCCCTCAGCCTTCCAAAGTGCTGGGATTATAGGCATGAAGCCACCACACCCGGCCGAGTTGGCACTTTAGGATCCCATTTTACAGTGAAAGAAACCAAGGCTCAGCATGACCAAAGACTTACCCAAGGGCACACAGCTAGAAAGTGCTCAAACCAGACTTTGAAGTCAGGTGTTCTGATCTCCAGTCCCAGTGCTGGGCACCCCCAGGCCTGCAGTCTTCTGTGCCAGCCCACATTGGACCAGTGGGTGTGACTGGAGCTGGGACACAGGGTGAGAAGGGTAGCATCTGCCCTGGGACTCACAGCTCAGGGGAGACAGCATTCAAGGCGGAGCAGTGGTACCGTTGGTGACAAGAATCTGCAAAATGGCCAACTCTTCGTAAAATTTCAAACAAAACAAAACCTATTTCCCCCTCATTTATCCAGTAGTTATATTTCTGAAAAAAAATCAGTGATTATTAAAAGTATGCAAAAATAGTTTGTATTTCAATGTTATATGTAATTGGGTTCTAGACTTGGATAATGAGAAACTGGTTCTTTGCCTACAGGAATGGCTAAGGGTGGTTTCAAAGTCCTGTGGGAGGCCAGGCATGGTGGCTCACGCCTGTAATCCCAACACTTTGTGATGCCGAGGCAGGCAGATCACTTGAGGTCAGGAGTTCTAGAACAGCTTGGCCAACATGGAAAACCCCATCTCTACTAAAAATACAAAAGTTAGCAAGGCATGGTGGCGGGTGCCTGTAATCCCAGCTACTTGGGAGGCTGAGGCAGGAGAATCCCTTGAACCCAGGACGTGGAGGTTGCAGTGAGCTGAGATCATGCCACTGCACTCCAACCTGGGCAACAGCGTGAGACTCCATCTCAAACAAAACAAAACACCAAGTCATGTGGGAGGTGGGACAGCCTTTGTGGGCGGAAGACTGCTCTGCACCTTGAAGGACATTTAGCATCCATGACCTCTGCCCATGAATGTCACCAGCTGCCCTTTGGCCATTGTGACAATCAAAGAGTTCCCCAAACATTTTCAGTGACCCTTTGAGGTACCAATGGAGGCATCACTGCTCTAGAACAAAATAGTCAAGATTCTCCACAGAACTGAGATAAGAGCGGACCATACCCTATGGATGCAGACACTTTCTGTCTTCATGAGAATGATCCTTCTTGAGTCTGAGATAATTCCCTGCCCCCCTCCACCGGATGTTTACTAGTTCCATCTGGAATGAAATGCCAGGGGTCCTCAAAGGTACCACTGGCATTTCAATTTTCTGGTCCAAAAATATCCCATACTGGGGACTCCTGAAATACAAGGAAAGCCCATAGCATTTATAGACAGGAGAACTTGTTCAGCCCAGTTCTCCCATTAGCAAGGTAAGCAGGCTTGAACTGGCCATTCAGTTGTTCACAGTCTTTCTTACTCTGCTAAACACAACAGCATCGAATACAACCGAGGGCTCACAATATGTCAGGCGCCACTCTGCTTGAGCAGCTGTATTAACTACTTCGTCATGCTAACAGCAATCGGAGGTACTTTACTTTTTTTTATATTTTATTTTTTGATTTTTTGAGACAGTCTCGCTCTGTCACCCAGGCTGGAGTGCAGTGGCACGATCTCGGCTCACTGCAACGTCCGCCTCCCAAGTTCAAGTGATTCTCCTGCCTCAGCCTCCTGAGTAGCTGGGATTACAGGCATGAGCCACCACGCCTGGCTAATTTTTGTATTTTTAGTAGAGACGGGGTTTCGCCATATTGGCCAGTCTGTCCCCTAACTCCTGACCTCAGGTGATCCTCCTGCCTCGACCTCCCAAAGTGCTGGGATTATAGGCTTGAGCCACCACGCCCGGCCTGGAGGTACATTTTATTATCCCCATTACACAGATGGGAAAATCGAAGCACAAAGAAGTTAAAACAACAAGTGTGTAAGGGAACAAGCACAGGCAGTTGGCCCCTGCACCTGCATCCTCCTTACCTGGAGTACACGTGGCCTTCAAAACCGGTGCTGCCGATCTGTGCGGGACTCAGCTGAAAATAACAGGTATTAAAATGTTTTTGCAAAGGCAAGGGGGCTTATTGTCCTCTTGGAGAGTTTCCTGCAGAGCTTCCTTGCAGGATAAAGAGAGGAGCTAAACCTTTTTCCAGTCCAACTGGGAGGTTCACACATGCAGATGAGAGGTGGAGTTGAAGGGACAAGAGAGCCCCAGGAGTCAATTGTGGCCCAATGACATCACTCAGTCCTTTATTCAGCAAATTTTTTGTGGGGGGTGCCTCTTTAGCGCCAGGCTGGAGGAGTAGGCAAGAGTCTGAGTGTTCCCGAGGCCATGGCAAGCTCTCTGTGGGCTTTAGGAAGCTCAGGTTAGCTTGGGGACAATGATCGGGGGGAAGGAGGACATGATGAGCAGATCAATAATGTGGCTGAGAGGCCAGGCGCGGTGGTTCACGCCTGCAATCCCAGCACTTTGGGGGACCATGGCAGGTGGGTCACTTGGGGTCAGGAGTTCGAGACCAGCCTGGCCAACACGGTGAAACCCCGTCTCTACCAAAAATACAAAAATTAGCCGGGTGTGGTGGTGTATGCCTGTAATCCCAGCTACTCCGGAGGCTGAGACGGGATAATCACTTGAACGCAGGAGGCAGAGGTTGCAGTGAGCCAAGATCGCGCCATGGCACTCCAGGCTGGGCGACAGAGCGAGACTGTGTCTCAAAAAAAAAAAATAACGTGGCTGAGAAATAATGGCAGCAGGGATGAAGGGATGGTGGGGGTGGGGGTGGGGGTGGGGGAGACAAATTCCATTACTTAAATATCAGGGTCTCCTCCTCAATGAAGCCCCTCCCTGTTTCAACCAGCCCCTCCCTCTGTTGACGCCCCAGGTCGCAGCTGTCCCATTCACACACTCTTGAACCCCAAAGCACGGCCCACCTACCTGCAGCATCACAATACCTGGAAGCTTCTCAGACACTTAGACTCCTGGGCCCCACTCCAGACCTACTGAACTGGACCCTTGATTCTAACAAGATCCCCCGATGATGAATATGCCCTCGGAGCTGGAGCCACACTGCTGGAAGGCGTGTTATGCCCTGGACAAATATTGACCGAGCACCTACTGTGCACACAGCACCAAGCGCACCTGGGTGGGTAGGGAAGAACAGGTCCAAGAGCTGAAAGCAAACAGATTGCAGGGGCGATCAGCACGGTGAAGATAAACCAGAGCTGGGTCATTGGAGAGTGGCAGAGCCTTTTCCAGGGAGATGATCATTCATCTCAGAATTGAAAGTCAACAAGGAGCCAGCCAGGCCATGGTTTGGGTGTGATCCAGCGGAGCAAGCAGCCTGTGCTAAGGCTCTGCAGCAGTGTGGGTGCTGGCAGCGCGTCGTGTTGGGGGAACAGAGAGACAGTAGTGCTCTGGCCCTAATGCCAGATGGAGAGAACGATAAACACCGTTTGCAGGCCTGGCTGCCTCCCCAGGGAAGCCTCTCCCGACTGCCACTGCCATGCCCAAATCTAGACCAAAATCTCACCCTCAAGCTCTCCTTGAGAGCGCTGATTTCTGTCTGTAGCTTGACATTTGCTAGAGCAAGCCTTTGAGTAATGGCCATCTTCTCTGATACTGGGACACCTTTTACTGGCATTATTTTATCCAATACCGTGGTGACCCCGAGGTAAGGAGATACTATTAACGTCCACATTTTGCACGAGGAAACTGAGGCTTACAGAAGTTTTCTTCATTTTGTTTCTTTCCCTCCTGTTTCACTCTCAGATATCTAAATATAGGCTTCCAGGGTGGGGACCCAGCCCCTAGCAGGGTGCAGGGCCTCCAATCTGCTTAAGAAAGTGCCTCCATCAGTTTTTTGGGTTTTTTTTTTCCCCAAAGCTGTGCTTTTGCATCCAAACAACAAAAAATCTGCATCTTGGCCAGGCGTGGTGGCTCATGCCTGTAATCCCAGCACCTTGGGAGGCCGAGGCAAGTGGATCACTTGAGGTCAGGAGTTCAAGACCAGCCTGGCCAACATGGTGAAACCCCATCTCTACTAAAAAATACAAAAATTAGCTGGGCATGGTGGCAGGCGCTTGTAATCCCAGCTATTCGGGAGGCTGAGGCAGGAGAATCACTTGAACCTGGGAAGCGGAGGTTGCAGTTAAGCCGAGGTCGCACCATTATACTCCAGCCTGGGTGACAGAGCGAGACGCGAGACTCTGTCTCAAAAAAAAAAAAAAAAAAAAAAAAAAAAATCTGCATCTTGTATTTCATTTTCCTGAGGAAAAGCTTAAAAACCAAACCTATTTGGTGGAATGAAAATAGACGAGGAATGAAAACCAGAGAGAAAGAGATAAAGAGATGGGCACTGGTTCTCTGGCTCTTCGCAGGTATCAACCTGGGAATAGCTTCAGTGGTGGGTGGAGTCAGGACATATTAAAATCACAAAAGAAGGGCATCTTTAAAACGATCTGCAAGAAGGATTTTGTAAACCGGTGGCTATCTGGGCCTCTATCAGCATGCATAATCGGCCTCCTTATCTGATTTTACCTGGGCCACCAGCAAAATCCCCAAGTCCCATCCCCTGCCCCCACCTCCACACCCCACAGTCCCCAGCCTAGATTTCTTTGTCAATTTCAAACAAACCTTCTGTGCCTTCCCAGAGTGGAGGAGCCAGAAACGCCAGGGTGGGGTAGGAAGAAAAGGTTCCCCTGGGTAGGAATTTACCCTAAAACATAATTAAAGGTCTCCTAAACCTGTAAGAATGGGAAAGATTCAAACAACCAAAATGCCCATCAATAGGGGTTTTGTTTAATAACTATCAAAAATCCACACAGCAAAATATATGGCAATTATTATAAATGACACTGATGATTATATACTAATGTCACCATATGCTGTTACATTTTTTAAAAAAGAAGGCAAGGTAGCAAACAGCATAGGAAGTATGGCTCCATTTTGTAAAACAAGCAGGTAAATATAAATAAAATTTACAACGTTGACCTCATAATGACTTAACTTTGATTGCACTCTTATTGCAGTAAGTAATTCACTGACATTATTTTTTAAATTTCACAACAATGATGTGAAGTTGGGCCATTATTATCTCTACAGATGAGAAAGCAGGCTTTGGGAAAGCAAATATTTTTTTGAAGGTCATCAAAAATGATCAGAGGTTCTATTTCTGTATGTTATCTAAAAAGTAAAAAATAAATTTGGACTTCCTAAATATTTTAATTTTTTAAATTGCCAAGGGATTGACTGGGCATGGTGGCTCACATCTGTAACCCCAGCATTTTGGGAGTCTCACGCAGGAGGATCACTTGAGGCCAGGAGTTTGAGACCAGCCTGGACAACATAGTGAGACCCCATTTCTACAAAAAATTTTAATATTAAAAAATAAACTAAAAATATATATTTTTTAAATTTTAGATTTAAAAAGTGGTTTTTTGTTTGTTTGTTTGTTTGGCTGGGTGCAGTGACTCACGCCTGTAAACCCAGCACTTTGAGAGACTAAGGCAGGTGGATCACCTGAGGTCAGGAGTTCGAGACCAGCCTGGCCAACATGGTGAAACCCCATCTCTACTAAAAATATAAAAAATTAGCCAGGTGCAGTGGTGGGCACCTGTAATCCCAGCTACTCGGGAGGCTGAGGCAGGAGAATCGCTTGAACCCAGGAGGCGGAGGTTGCAGTGAGCCAAGATCATGCCATTGCACTCTAGCCTGGGCAACAAGAGTGAAACTCCGTCTCAGAAAAAAAGAGAAAAAAGAAAGAAAAAAAGTGTTTTTTTTTTAAACTAGGCACGCTGGCTTATGCCTGTAATCCCAGCACTTAGGAAGGCCGAGGCAGGCAGATCACTTGAGGTCAGGAGTTTGAGACCAGCCTGGCCAACATGGTGAAACCCCATCTCTACTGAAAATACAAAAAAAATTAGCCGGGCATAGTGGTGAGTGCCTGGAATCCCAGCTACTCAGGAGACTGAAGTTGTGATGAGCCAAGATTGTGCCATTGCACTCCAGCCTGGGCAACAAGAGCGAAACTCTGTCAAAAAAAAAAAACCCTCTGAGCCTCAGTTTGCTTGTCTGTAAAATGGAGATAGTGATGGTACCTATCCCTTGTATGATTGAGAGGATGAAGTGATATCATGGATATAAAATATTGAGCACATTACCTGAAATATAATACATGCCTCTAGAATCACTTGAACCCAGGAGTTGGAGACTGCAGCGAGCTGAGATCACACCACTGCACTCCTGCCTGGGAAACAGAGTGAGACCCTGTCTCAAAATATACATATATATAAAAAATATATATAATATATATATATACACATATATATTAATATATTATATATATATATATTTTTTTAATGCCCAATAAATGGTGGGTGTTATTGCTATTTCTAATCTCCATGAACACCACAACCACATAAGGAACCCACTATAATGGGCCCATTACATGACCCAAGCAAAGTGATATCAGAGAGGTTCAATACATGCTTTAGGTCACACAGATAACAAGCAAAAAATACACTGTTAACCTCTCATTGTTTCCTGTGTTTATGCCGTGTTTCCATGTTTTCCCATCTACTATCTGGTTCCAAGATGTGTGGATACCTGGTGTGTGTGAGTTAGCTCAATTCATCAACGCTAGGGAAGTATGCAAATGCCTCTGGACCTCGCAAGCCCAGATTCAAATCCTTGCTATGCTCAGCTGAAAACTCCCACTTCCTAGAATGGAAGTCCCACGCAGACCCAGATCTTGTCTTTTTCCTGCCTTCTTCCTGGTTTCTGGTCTTCTTGCCCTATCTCCCCAAGAATTACCTTGAGTTCTCAATCAGTGCACTTAAAAAGAACTGGGCGTGGTCAGAATTACTCTTGAAAATCCCATAAATCATGCACAAAATGCAGTAAGCAGGGTTTGTGTGTACAACCTGTGCAGGATAAAGTATAGATAACAGCTGGGCGTGGAAATGGGTTCCTGTCCACTAGGGATGAGGTGTGGCTAAGGCATGGGAGTGGAGGGCATGCACGCTGAAGAGTGTATATACATAAGCAAAATATGCAATGAGAACATTTTTGGAAAATTCTTTGGAGTGTATGTAAATTAGAAGTGAAATGCACATGTACCGGAATTCTACATTGTTAAAATGTTGGTGTAGATATGAAGATCAGGGAACAGAGGTAACAACCCAAACAGAAACATCAAGATAGGGATAATTTTATATGCACGTATTTCTAAATTACCCTAGGATGATAGGCCCTGTGCAGTTTTGCACCTAGCATTTCTCTACTGAGAGTCTTACAGACATTTTCTCCAGCCATCAGTATCCACAAAGGTCCGGTCCTGGCTCTGGGGCTTCAGGCCCAGGAGGGGTCAGGAAATTTCCACTGGCTGCTGGCTGGGTGGAACAGAACGGTTCTCAGCATGGGCAACTCCAGGAGCAGCAAGCCAATGAGAGTGGCCGGATTGAAGCCACTGACGTACAGGCATCCGGCAGGCCTTGTAAATAACTCCAGTGGGTAACAGCGGGGTCTGGGGTTCTGTAGCAACAAAGTCTGCCCCACCCACAGCAATCCAGCCAATGTGTGGTTCAGGAAGGCTGACCAGGCACGGCCACATCTCCCCATATCTAGAGAGAAGATCAAAATTCAGATAAAAGCTCTTGATTTCAAAGGTTGGTAATTAATTTGAAATTTTTTAGCTGTATGAGGCAAACAGAACACATCTGGGTCACATTTGGCCTGCAGTCCTTCCAGCCTGTAATGTCTAGGTTAAAATTTGGAAGTGATTTTGTTATACCAAACTTTGGGGGCCCTCTATTTCATGGGACCAAGTGGCCAAAGTTTCCAGGTCATTTTCAATGGTCTCTTTGAGAGTCATATTTCAAGATTCACTAGAATTGGCAAGCAGAGACAAACAATTTATTCAAAGATCTTTTCACCTAGTTTCCTGTCAATATAGCTGGCTAGGGAGACTATTCCAACTTCATTTGAAAAAAGCTCACAGATTTGGAAGTTAGCTAAGAACCCAAAAGTCAGTCTAGCTTCATGCAAAGCAAAAACCGGCAGCCTAAGAAACCATAGCCTGGAGTGGGGGGTGGAGAAAAGAAAAGACTAGAAGGAAAAATACCAACATATTAACAGAACGTGAGGATATGGGATTATAGGATGGGCCACCTGGCAACCTATTAAAACAGAATAATATGTTTACTTTCCTCTCTAGGAAAAAAACTGAGAAAACACCAGACGTGGCGACATCTATAACTTTCTACTTATATGCTCATCATTAAGTTAGTGTCATGGACCTTAACAGTTTTGTCTGCCCAGACCACTCTCCTTCCTCTGAAAACGGAACTCCTAGTTTTCCTGTTAATACCCCGCCCCTCTGGACCCTATGGTTCCTATGGCAGCCCGGTTTCCAGATGAACCAATCCCGTAGTCCAGGAGCAGTCACCTGACCCAAGCTGAGCCAATGAGAGGTCTACCTTGTGCAAGTTGATGCCCGCCTTTTCTGCCAGAAGAATATCACCGACCCATCCCTTGGTTCCAGACCATTCGTGAGGCCCAGCAGCAGTGTCATGCCTCTCGTGGCTTGGTTAGTTGGCCCCTCCTTGATTTGGGGGAAGCCAATGGATCATCATCTTGGATTTCAGTCACTTGCCATCACTGTCTTTCACCAGAAGCCTGCTGATGAAGTCAATGTGTAAGAAGAGGATCCTGCAGAGATAAGACGTGGGCTCACTCATCCTGCTCACTCTTCAGCCTGCACTATGTGCTAGCCCACTTGGGAGCTTGGTGGATACCTACAGAAGCAAAGTAGCTCATGAGCAGGGCAACAAACTTCTATTAGTAAAATCCACCATTCTGGGGCTTTCCAAACACCCAAAAATACACAATATTTTCCTTCCATAAACACACCCTTCAAAACGGCATTATCCTTCATCTAGTCCTCTACTTCCTTATACCTCAAAGTGTCTTTTATTTCCCTTTTTAGACATGAAATATTTGGCAGCTTTAGCAAAGCAGGTTGGCTGCCATATATGAAAAATGTAACCTGAAACCTCCGCCTCCCGGGTTCACGCCATTCTCCTGCCTCAGCCTCCCAAGTACCTGGGATTACAGGCACCCGCCACCACGCCCAGCTAATTTTTTGTATCTTTAGTAGAGACGGGGTTTCACCATGTTGGCCAGGATGGTCTCGAACTCCTGACCTCGTGATTCACCCTCCTGGGCATCCCAAAGTGCTGGGATTACAGGCGTGAGCCACCGCGCCCGGCCCGAATGTTAAATTTTTATTTAGCTCCAAAATAGCTTGAGGGGAAAAAAAGAAAAACAATGATGAAGTTGTTGGGGGCACAGAGGTGTTTTATAAATAGGAAAAATTAAAGATCATAGAATCAGCATTACCAGTGGTTCAAGTAAAAATCCTAGATAAATGATAAGAATTACTGATAAAAAATGAAATATACTTGACTCTGGAAATTTGTAAATAATAATCTAAATTAAGTCTTAAATCCAACACAGAGCAGTTGGGTGCAGGATTGTTTGTTTGTTAAAAAAAAAAAGCTCCTCTTATCTGGCTGGACACGGTGGCTCATATCTGTAACCCCAGCACTTTGGGAGGCCAAGACAGGCGGATCACGAGGTCAGGAGTTCGAGACCAGCCTAGCCAACATGGTGAACCCCCGTCTCTACTAAAAATACAAAAATTAGCCAGGCGTGGTGGTAGATGGCTGTAGTCCCAGCTACTTGGGAGGTTGAGGCAGGAGAATCACTTGAGCCTGGGAGGCAGAACTTGCAGTGAGCTGAGATGGTGCTGCTGCACTCCAGCCTGGGCATCAGAGCAAGACTCCATCTCGGAGAAAAAAAAAAAAGTTTCTCTTATCTTGTAGGGAGGCTTACAAAGCAGTTTCTTTAGGCAATCATGTATTTCTATAGCACACTTTGTCCCCCAGAGAACTGCCAGCCCCAACCATCCGGATAACTCTGTTTTTCCACAAATTCAAAGTGCTTTGAAAACTGGAGACTTGGGAGAGATCTACGCTTGTGGTGAATTATTCAAATCTGGGAATTGTCACAATGGAAAAGAAACCAAAGCTCATTCCAGTCTTTCTTTTTGAGGGCAACAGTGCTTTAGACAGAATGCTCTCGTCCCTTGAGAAAACCACATATTTTGAAAAGGGGAATTTTTTTTTAAACAAAAAAACTCTGCTGTAAATGAATTTCTTTCTTTTTTTTTGTGACAAAGTCTCTCTGTCACCCATGCTGGAGTGCAGTGGTGTGATCTTGGCTCACTGCAACCTCCACCTCCCAGGTTCAAGCGATTCTCCTGCCTCAGCGGGGACTATAGTTTGCGCCACCATGCCTGGCTAATTGTTGTTTTGTTTTTGTTTTTGTTTTTGTTTTTGTTTTTGTTTTTGTTTTTGAGATGGAGTCTCGCTCTGCCCCCCAGGCAGGAGTGCAGTGGCACGATCTCGAATCACTGCAAGCTCCGCCTCCCGGGTTCATGCCATTCTCCTGCCTCAGACTCTGAGTAGCTGGGACTACAGGCGCCCGCCACCACGCCCGGCTAATTTTTTATATTTTTAGTAGAGACAGGGTTTCACCGTGTTAGCCAGGATGGTCTCCATCTCCTGACCTCATGATCCGCCCGCCTCAGCCTCCCAAAGTGCTGGGATTACAGGCGTGAGCCACCGCGCCCGGCCAATTTTTGTATTTTTAATAGAGACAGAGTTTCACCATCTTGGTCGGGATGGTCTTGAAAAATGCATTTCAATGGTATGACAACGGTATGACATTCTATTTCCCTTCTTGCATCAAATGCAGAGTCATGCATCAAGTGCAGAGACACTATGTGGACGAATAAACACAATAGGTTAAGAAAGGGGTTGATTTAAGAAGTAAGAAAGGGAAAAAGGTAACTTTAAAGTGGAGAAACCTGGCAAACACAACCTCAACCACAGCCAGGGTATCAAGGTCAACATCAACAGTGATAACTCGTGTTGACAGTGCGTACTTTTTTGATAGGATGTGATGAGAAGGGGCTTCACCTTTGTGATCTTCCTCCCCTAAACTCAGTCTGTTTGGTGAAAATAACATCCGACAAATTCTAATTGAGGTATGTTTTACAAAACATCTTTTTTTTTTTAAATGGAGTCTCACTCTGTGTGGCTCAGGCTGGAGTGCAGTGACGCAATCTCAGCTCACTGCAGCCTTCACCTCCCAGGTTCAAGAGATTCTCCTGCCTCAGCCTCCCAAGTACCTGGGACTACAGGTGCTCACCACCACACCCGGCTAATTTTTTTTTTTTTTTTTTTTTAGTAGAGAGGGTGTTTCACCGTGTTGGCCAGGCTGGTTTCGAACTCCTGACCTGAGATGATCCACCCACCTTGGCCTCCCACCATCAAGGTCATCAAAAACAAAGAAAGTCTAAGAAACTGCCGCAGCCAAGAAGAGCATAAGGAGACAGGATGACTCAATGTCATGTCGTATCCTGGAGTAGGGAAACAACACGGGGAAAACTAAGGAAATGTCTATCAAGTATGGGCTTTAGTTAATAAAAATCCATCAGTATTAGTTTATTAATTATGACAATATGCAATAGTAACGTAAGAAGTTCATAATAGAAGAAGCCGGATTGTGGGGCCTATAGAAACTCTGTACTATATTTGCAATTTTTCTGTAAATGTAAAACTATTCTAAAATTTAAATAAGATTTTAAAAGTAGTAAATCTTGTGATTTGTCTAGTATGTTTTTTATCTGCTTGAAGGAAAAATATTTTAATTTATTTTTCATCAGTAATTCTTATCATCTATCTAGGATTTTTATTTATTTATTTATTTATTTTGGAGATGGAGTCTCACTCTGTCGCCCAGGCTGGAGTGCAGTGGTGCGATCTCAGCTCACTGCAACCTGTGCCTCCCAGGTTCAAGCGATTCTCCTGCTTCAGCCTCCGGAGTAGCTGGGATTACAGGCACCTGCCACCATGCTCGGCTAATTTTTGTATTTTTAGTAGAGACAGGGTTTCACCGTGCTGGCCTAGGATTTTTATTTAAGCCATTGGTACTGCTAATTCTATGATCTTTAATTTTTCTATTTATAAAATTACACCTGCTGTTTTGGTTATTAATCTGTTGTCTGTTTAGTCTTCAAATACCTGGTAAACAAGTACTCTAGTCTGGGCATAGTGGCTCACACCTATAATCCCAGCACCTTGGGAGGCCGAGTTGGGCGGATCACTTGAGGTCAGGAGTTTGAGACCAGCCTGGCCAACATGGCGAAAACCCATCTCTACTAAAAAATACAAAAAAATTAGCTTGGTGTGGTGCCACACACACTTTTGGTCCCAGCTGTTCTGGAGGCTGAGGCACGAGAACAGCTTCAACTCAGGAGGCAGAGGTTGCAGTGAGTTAAGATCCCAGCAAGAGGTACCCGGAAGCCCAAGCGCCACCTCTACCTCTGGGTACCTGTTTAAGAGGCGTCCTCTCACCAGCATAGAAAAGCAAAACAATCAGACAGAGAGGAAGACTGGATCTAATGCCGGAGGATGATCAGAGGCGAATGATCATGAAGAGAAAGTGAGATGACAGTGCTGATTCTTAATGGATTCCTGATTTCCTCTGACAATCTCCACAAAGTCAGGCCTCACTACCTGCCCTTGATTTCCCAAGTGACCATTAAATCCCTGGAAAAAGAAAGTATTTAGTGCTTAAGCTAGTTTGAGTAGGTGTCTGCTGTTTGTAACCAATATATCTCTGACTAAGCCCATGTTCACTGTTCAAAGTTTGAGAAGGACCAGAAAACATAAAGAGAAATTTTAAAACAAAACAAGCACAGGCAGCTGCATGACATCTATTGTCTGGGTAGTGACCAGCAGCAGCACCACCATTTTTGCCTGTCCAATGTGCATTTTGCCTGGACTTTCTACAGTGATAGGGTGTAAGCTGAAAGTTGGTGGTCAGGGTTTCACAGGGCACAATCTGCCTTAGAAGAAAGCCAGGAGAGGAAAGCAATATTGAGAGATAGAGAATGGCTGGGCATGGTGGTTCATGCCTGGATTCCCAGCACTTTGGGAAGCTGAGGCAGGCAAATCGCTTGAGCTCAGAAGTTCGAGGCTAGCATGGGTAACACGACAAAATCTCATCTCTAAAATATATACAAAAATTAACAGGGCATGGTGGAGCATGCCTGTATTCCCAGCTGCTTGGGGGACTGAGGCAGGGATTGCTTGAACCCAGGAGGTCAAGGCTGCAGTGAGCTGTGATTGTGCCACTGCACTCCTGCCTGGGGGCCAAAGTAAGACCCTGTCTCCAGAAAAAAGAGAGAGAGAAATAGAGAATGATTCCGGATGGCATCCTTCAGCCCCTGGATCCAGCCGTGCCTGAAGCCACTGGCCTTTTCAACCACATAAGTCAATAAATTTCTTTGTTTATCTAAGAAAGTTTGTGGCCGGGTGCGGTGGCTGACACCTGTAATCCCAGCAGTTTGGGAGGCTGAGGCAAGTGTATCACGAGGTCAGGAGATCAAGACCATCCTGGCTAACACGGTGAAACCCCATCTCTACTAAAAATACAAAAAATTAGCCAGGTATGGTAGCACACGCCTGTGGTCCCGGCCACTTGGGAGGCTGAGGCAGGAGAATCACTTGAACCTGGGAGGCAGAGGTTGCCATGAGCTGAGATTACACCACTGCACTCCAGCCTGGGTGACAGAGCGAGACTCCATCTCAAAAAAAAAAAAAAAGAAAAAAGAAAAGAAAAAGAAAGTTTGCATAGGGTTTTCACTCTCCTGTAATTAAACAAACCTCATGAAATGTCTTAGGTCAGAGACCTGTATGAAGAATTCAGACAGTTCTCCTCTTCAACCCTAAGCCAGGGTGGGTAAGAATACTGAGTGCTGGCTGGACAGCTCTGGCACCTGCCCCTTTTTACAATTTATCTGAGGAAAAAACACATTCAGAGTTTTGCCTGCACTCCAAGGATTAGGAAAGGGGGCCAAGAGGAGACATGAGGAGGAAGATGGAAGCTTCCCTCTGAACAAGAACAGAGACAGTGCCAGAAAGTTCAGATCAAAGAGGAGGGCTGCGTTGACAGGGGCTTAGTCAGCCGCTGGTGTCAAGACCCAAAGAGAAAGTTGGGCAGGTTGACATGGAGCCCACAGGTGGGAGTGGGAGGTGGAGTCTGGATTTTGACCCAGCCGGCTGGAAACTCATTTACTTTTGGCCATGGTGACTTCCTGTTTTCAAAGGGAAGGAGGCATTGGTAAAGAAAAGCCGCCCCCGGCTTACTGGACAGCAAGTATTTCTCACAGAGTTCTATTTTTTGCTCCATTCAATGCCAGTGGTTCCAATTTATTTTATACAAAACAGGGTTCTGTGATGATGGGAAGGTCTTCAACAAGGCCAGTGGATTTGATTGAGAGCAGAAGATGAATGAATCATTCCAAGATGTTAGACAAAAACCCCAACACACCCAGGTTCCCCCGTTGAGACTGGGCTGCTGTTTGGCGTTGTGGGGAGAGTGAGCCACACCGGTGGCAGGGCCTGCACTTCCCATCCAAGACCATTTCCTTGCAATGAGGTCTCTTGATTCTCAAGGCCCATTTGGGTGCTGGAAATGCCTCTTCACTCTACCAAATCTCCACTTCCGGTTTTGACACCTAACTCATCTCAAATCCAGGAGTGACGGCCTCTAACAAGAAATTATATTATTGTCTGGGCACAGTGGCTCATGCCTATAATCCCAGCACTTCGGGAGGCTGAGGCGGGTGGATTTCTTGAGGCCAGCATGGCAAAACCCCATCTCTACTAAAAATACAAAAATTAGCTGGGCATAGTGGCACACGCCTGTAATCCCAGCTACTGGGGAGACTCAGACATGAGATCGCACCACTGCACTCCAGCTTGGGCAACAGAATGAGACTCTGTCTAAAAAGAAAAGAAAATCTATTATTGTTTTTTAAACTTCCAACCTACTCTCCATAGCCAATTTGGGGCCAAATCCATGGACATTACTGAGCCTCTCAGCTGTCCTCCATCTCAGTCTAACTGTGAGAGGAGCTCGGAAGCAGCTGTCTGAATACTTTCTCAAGTCCTCACTTCTGCCCAGCAGTGACCCGGAATTTGCTCAAGCGTTTCTGGAAAACCAATGAGGCCGTAGGAAGATGGCCCTCCCTCTGCATGAGAGTCCTGTGACAGTCATCCTAGCTGTGAATGAGGATGTAACCAAGATCGCATGGCAGTCTTGACACAGGTAAAGAAACAGGCAGGTCAGGAGAGAAGGACGCTCAGAATTTTGGTAGACTGTATACAAATCTGATTCCAGATTATTCCTCTAGTCCAAAGGTTCTCAACAGGAAACAGTTCTGCCTCCTGGGGACATTTTTGGTTGTCACAACTAGGGGAGAGTGTTACTGGCATCTAGTGAGTGGAAGACAGGGATGCCCCACCACATGGAACATAATTCCACAACATGAAATGATCTCGCCCTTAAGGTCAACAGTGCCCAGGCAGAGAAGCCTGCTCTAGCCACATGATCGGTCTTAAAAAGAAGAGGGCTCCAGGAATAAAATCTGAAGAGCTGCTTCTCTAAACCATGCATTGTATCAAGAGCCAAACAGCACTGCTTCCACCAAGGCAGCATAACACAAGGAATGGAATTCTCACTTGCTGGCTCAAGGCCTTGCACACTCAAAGGCTTTGGCAAGAATATTCAGGGGGCCCTCTGGTGTATTCACTGGGGATGCTTTGGGCTGCATTTAAGAGAATACATGCCTAACAGTGGCCTACATGATAAAAGCTGGGGAAGTGGATTTGGTTGAGCAGATCTTGTCTCTGTCCGCTGTCCATCCAAATGATAGATGTTGTCCTATAAGTATGCCCAAGTGGGGTCTCTGTGTGGTTCCCTGAACTCCTAACAGGCCAGCAGGGTAGACTTGCAGCCAAGCCTCTGACAAGTTGGCCATGGTCTCAAGTAGCCCTGTGCAAGAGAATGTGCCTAGCTCAGTCCAAAACCATCCAATGGCAACAGCAGTAAAGGCTTTACAGCTTGTAAGTGAACATCAGCAAGTACGAAGGGCAACTCATCATCCGCAAAAGCTCTCTACAAAATTGTCCACCAATCTTCCTTCCCATCTCCATCCTTGCAACCTCATCCACCCCTTTATTCCTGAAGGAGGCACCACAGGAAGGAAGGTTAGTGAAATCAACAGAACGTCTACTCGCCCTACAAACGTGGCATCCTGCTGGTGGGCAGGCAGTAGTCTGCAAGGCTGTAGTAACGGGGCTGGGACTGGGACCTCGTCCACTGCGGCCCCTCTGTCTCCCACACTTCCTCTTTGTGTCTCAGGCTGAGTTTCCCTTCCTCTTTTCCCTCCTGCAGATGGTTAGCTGCTTCGATTGTTTCGCTCATAGGACCAGTCCAAACCACAGAGCTTGGCACCACCTTCCAACCTCCCATTTGCCAACGTCTGTTTATCAGATCCAAGGCATGCTCTTATGGGCTGATAGTCTGACAGGAGCTCTGTTTTCAAGCCGGCGAGGGAAGTCCAACTGTTATATAAGGCCATATCGAGCCCCATTCATTCCTCCAGCAATAAAGTGCTTTTGGAAACAGGATGGTAATTGGCAAGATGACAATCATTGTGCAGCAGGCTGGCTCAAATGAAATGACAGCCCTTTCTGTCACGTCGTGGTAAATCTCAGCCTCTCTGCTCCTTGGAACCAGTCCGAGGGTCCCAGTGGGTAGGACGGGAGGGAAGGCGGCAGAAGAGAATAGAGTGACCTCTTCAGAACACTGATTGCGTCAGTTAATTCCTGCTAAACTCGGTCACTGGCTTTACAGTGCTCCGAGGATGAAATCTTTGAGTGGCTGTAGGTGACAGTTTTTGTTTGTTTGTTTTTTGAGATGGAGTCTGTCTCTGTCGCCCAGGCTGGAGTGCAGTGGCACAATCTTGACTCACTGCAACCTCCGCCTTCTGGGTTCAAGCGATTCTCGTGCCTCAGCCTCCCGAGTAGCTGGGATTATGGGCACCTGCCACCATGCCTGGCTAATTTTTGTATTTTTAGTAGAGACAGGGTTTCACCGTATTGGCCAGGATGGTCTCGAACTCCCAACCTCGGGTGATTCACCTGCCTAGGCCTCCCAAAGTGCTGGGATTACAGGCGTGAGCCACTGCACCTGGCCCATAGGCGGCATTTTTTTAATCTAGCCCTGGGACCTCAGCATTTCCTCTCCCACCTCCCTGCCCCTCCCTCACAGGGCACTGTCATGCTGGCCTGAGGCTCCTCTGTCCCCCTCTGGGCTTTGGCACACATCGGCCTTCTGCCTGGGACACTGTTCTCTCTGCTTTGCATCTGGTCAAAGTCTGCTCAAGCTTTGGCGCTCCCCCCAGCAAAGACATCCCTGGCAAACTGGGTCAAAGCCCCTTTTTAAAAGCAACCAGAGCACCCCTTCTCTCCCTGGCCCCACACTTATCACACCTGTACCTGCTCATCCATTCATCGGATCATTTGGTTAATGCCTATCATCTGTCTCCCAGTTAGACCATGAGCTGCAGGAGACAGACTGTATTAGGGTTCTCTTAGAGGGACAGAACTAATAGGATATATATAGGAGTTTATTAAGTATTAACTTACGCAATCACAAGGTCCCACAATAGGCCATCTGCAGGCTGCGGAGCAAGGAAAGCCAGTCTGAGTTCCAAAACTGAAGAACCTGGAGTCCGATGTCCAAGGGCAGGAAGCATCCAGCACTGGAGAAAGATGTAGGCTGGGAGGCTAGGCCATGCTCTCTTTTCACATTTTTTCTGCCTGCTTTATGTTCCCTGGCAGCTGATTAGGTGGTGCCCACCCGATTAAGGGTGGCTCTGCCTTCCCCAGCTCACTGACTCAAATGTTAATCTGAGTTAACACTCACAGACACTCCCAGGATCAATAGTGCACCCTTCAATCCAATCAAGTCGACACTCAGTATTAAGCATCACACAGACCATGCCTCTTTTGGCTTCAGCATCATCTCTCAGCACCTAAAACACACGCAGCTCTCGGTAAATGTTTCTGAATTCCTCTAAAAGTGTCCTGGGTTGCAGAAAATTCCCCATGAGAATTCATTTTCAAGCAAAGAATCTCAGACTAAGCAAGGTGTGTGTTTCTTTGTGGCTTCTGCACAAAGCCTAGGGCCTCCCTTTATAGCGCTTGTTGTGCTGTCTTGGTTTGAGTATCAATATTAATATTATGTCTTCCTCAGCTGGGCACAGCTGCTCACGCCTGTAATCCCAGCACTTTGGGAGGCTGAGGTGGGTGGATCACCTGAGGTCAGAAGTTCGAGACCAGCCTGGCCAACACGGTGAAACCCCATCTCTACTAAAAATACAAAAAATTAGCCAGGCATGGTGGCGCACACCTGTAGTCCCAGCTACTCGGGAGGCTGAGGCAGGAGAATTGCTTGAACCTGGGAAGGGGAGGTTGCAGTGAGCCGAGATTGTGCCACTGCACTCCAGCCTAGGCGACAGAGTGAGACTCTGTCTCAAAAAAACAACAAACAAAAAAACTTAATATCATGTCTTCCTTACCTTACTGATGGTATCATAGCCCCCAAAAGACACACACATACCCAAGCATCACGCAGGCAGACAGGGCCGGCCTCATGGTCGTGAGACCTGGCAAGCGGCATGTGGCCCCGCATTCGTAAGGGCCCTGCACTGCATTCAATGCTCTGCTTTCTTGAAAGTCTGAATATTTGGCCTGGCGCGGTGGGTGGCTCATACACGTAATCCCAGCACTTTGGGAGGCCAAGGAGGGCGGATCACGAGGTCAGGAGATCGAGACCATCCTGGCTAACACTGTGAAACCCCGTCTCTACTAAAAATACAAAAAATTAGCCAGGCGTGGTGGCATGTGCCCATAGTCCCAGCTACTCAAGAGGCTGAGGCAGGGGAATCGCTTGAACCCGGGAGGCAGAGGTTGCAGTGAGCCGAGATTGCATCACTGCACTCCAGCCTTGGAGACTGAGCGAGACTCCGTCTCAAAAAAATAAAAACCAAAAAAACAAGAAACAAAGAAAAACAAAAAAAAAGAAAGAAAAGAAAGTCTTAATGTTTGAACAAGGAGCCTCACAAATCACGCGGACAGCCCTCCAGGCCACTGTGTCTTGCTCATAGTGCCTGGCCCACAGCAGTGCTCAGAAAATATGGCTTGACGAACTACCCTGTCAAAAGGGAAGGCAGTCTGGGCCAAGCCAGTCCAACCTTCAGTGGTGCCCAGAAGAAAAGGACATCGACTTTCAAGTCACACAATCCTGGCTTGAACCTCAGTCCCACCCTTCAAGCTTCGGGACCCCGTCTAAGCCTCTGACCAGCTCCAAGGCTCAGCTTCCTCATCTGCCAGATGGGGACAGCTATATGGTGAAGGCTGGACAAACAGTGCAGGGCTTGGGTCACAACAGGTGGCTGCCATCCTGCCACAGGTATGGAATCAGACATTTACTGCTTCACATGTCTTCTCCACTTGATTGAAATAATCAAATTGACATTTACTGGGGGCTTCTATATGCCAGACACTGTCTTAAATAGTGCACATGTGTTCACCCATTTACGTCTCACAGCAACCCATAAGGTGGAGACTATCGTTATCTCCTGTTTACAGTTTAAGAAACCCAGGCACAGAGAGGTTAGGTAAGGAGTCCAAAACACACAGCTATTAGGTTGGTGCAAAAGTAATTGCAGTTTTTGCCATTGAAAGTAATGTAAAAATCTGTTATTACTTTTGCACCAACCTAATAGAAAGTGGGTCTGGGATCTGAAGCCAGGTGCACAGGCTCCAGCCCCTCTACTCTTTTTTTATTTTTGTATTTTTTGTAGAGACAAGGTTTCTTCATGTTCTCCAGGCTGGTCTTGAACTCCTGGGCTCAAGTGATCCACCCACCTCGGCCTCCCAAAGTTCTAGGATTACAGGCGTGAGCCACTGCGCCTGGCCCACCAGGCCCTATATTATTAACCTCTGTTATGTCCCTGTTTAATGTGATGCCTAAATGATTTTCTCTCCTTCCTTTTTCTTTCTTGCATTAGAAAACTCCAATCTTTGATGAGAGGGAAGGACAGCTCCCCCTCACACCCACAAACACCCATCGAAAGGCAAACACTTTCCCTGGCCTGTAGCAGCGGCTGACCCTTGAGCATACCCCGATTCAACATCTAGAACAGGAGCCCAGGGTTTGGTTTTGAGCAACTTGGGCTTTGATGTGTATGGACCTTCCAGGTCTACAGCACAAGACACGAGGGCTGCAGAGGAGTGAAGGCGGCCCGAGGGAGGCGCGCGGGGTTTCCTGGATGGGCTGGTGGCTGGAATCTTATTCCAGAAAGTCCCAGATGGGCACCTCCAGGGAAGGGCTTGATGAGTGGGCCTTGACTGAGGCCCTAGGAACTCAGAGTGTTTACATCCATCAAAATAAAAACCATATGAGGCCGGGCATGGTGGCTCATGCCTGTAATCCTAACACTTTGGGAGGCCAAGGCGGGTGGATCACCTGAGGTCAGGAGTTTGAGACCAGCCTGGCCGACCTGGTGAAACTCCATCTCTACTAATAAAATAAAAATTAGCCAGGCATGGTGGCGCATGCCTATAGTCCCAGCTACTCAGGAGGCTGAGGCAGGAGAATCGTTTGAACCCCAGGAAGTGGAGGTCATGGTGAGCCAAGATTGCGCCATTGCACTCCAGCCTGGGCAACAAGAGCAAAACTTCATCTCAAAAAAAAAAAAAAAAAAAAGAAAGAAAAGAAAAAGATCATATGAAGCCATGGAATAAAATGTGGTTATTTAGAATGTGGCCAACTTCCATGAATGTAAAATTAAGAGATTCCCTATAGGTTTTCTGACTCCCTCTCCTTCTTTCTCTGTGTGTGTGTTGCATGTGTGCACTGAGTGTGACTATTTTTTGCATGTGCAAAGTCAGCCCAGAACTCTCTCCCACTGACCACCCCGCCTTCTCTTGGAGAAAAACTTCCCACAACTCCCCACCTCATATGGCATATCCACTTGTTTACTGTCTGCCATCCGCCCCACTCAAATGCGGGAGCCAGAAGACCAGAGCTTTGTCTCCTGTTCCCTTAAGGATCCCTTGTGGTAGATGTTTAATGTACATGTGCTTCTGAATGAATGAGACAGTCGGGGAATGAACAACAGAATGAACTGTCAGCACCTGGGACCTATGTCAAACCCAAAGGGGATGGGAGATCCTGGAATGCTCAGCAGGGTGGGGAGGGGGAGCCTCCCTACTTGCCCTTGAAGGGGAGACTTGAACCCCTTGGGCTGGGCCCTGGGTAGTGAGCCCCGTCATGATGCTGTGAGGGAAGGCTCATGCCTGAAACGCAGCCCTTCACATGGATAGGCCCACTTTTCAGTCCCGTCAAGGCCCCTTATGGTGCTGGGTGACTGGTTGTTTTACTGCTAGAAGATTCTTCTTCTCCCAACTCCCTTAATTGCCCAGAAGCCTCTTTAGCACCTTTCCGAGTTTCAAACATCTGTGCATCCATCTGACTACACGCAGCACCAGTGCTGACAAGCTCTCGCCACCTGATGAAATCACAGCCCCGGGAGCAAAACTGGCTGAGTCTGGGCCTGGCAAAGGTGATACCTGCCTCTTGCTGGCTCCCGGAGATCCGCTGGGGGCAGAGCCTCTCGCTGAGATGGGTGCTCCTTGCAAGGGCTTGCAGTTGGCACCTGGGGCTCCAGCAGGGAGAGGCCGGGTCTCTCGCTGGTCAAGAACCTGAGCCCCCACCCCTGGAGGAGGGATTCACCCTGCATGTCGCACATCACCACCTCTCGTGCCTGCCAGCCCAGCTCCTCTCTGCACACAGGTGGCTAGACCAAGCTCCTGGCCCAAAGCAGGGCTCCGCATTTGGCTTTGGGGGATGGCAACTGGCTGCTCCAGGCCTCTGTGGAGCTTGCAAAGCAGTGGCCCTGGGAGGACCCCACCTCACAGATGTGTCCCTTTGGCCCAAGCAGTCAGTGGGTTACTGTTAATGGTGTTGTTACTATTAATTTATTGGCAACAATTTAAGTTGGAAGGAATTGCGCATTAAGTTTGAATCACATGGGATTACTATTTCTGTGGGTTAAGAAATGATCAAATACTGGCAACTTTAGATGGTTATGCTAATGTAAGTTGAGATTTTTCTGCTCAGTCCTGAAAAACTGAAGACCAAGTAGCCGTGGGCTGGAGTGGGATGGCAGGTGCCCGCTGTAGACCAAAACACATTGGTTTACCCCAGGCCTCAACAGTCCCTTTTGTTCCCCAGTCTAGACTTGCTGCCTGCCAGATGCCACATATGCCAGGACAGCTTTGCTTATGGTAGAGTTCTTTCTTTCTTCCTTCCTTTTTTCTTTCTTTCTTTTTTTCTTTCTTCCTCCCTCCCTTCCTTCCTTCTTTCTCTTTCTTTTATTTTTTCTTCCTTCTTTCCCTCCTTCATTTATTTTTCTTTTTTCCCTTCTTTCTTTCCTTCCTTCCCTCCTTCATTTATTTTTCTTTCTTTCCTTTTTTCCTTTTTCTTTCTTTCCTTCTTTCTTCCTTCTCTTTCTTTCATTCTTTCCTTCCTTCCCTCCTTCGTTTCTTTATTTTTCTTTCTTTCCTTTTTTCCTTTCTTTGTTTCCTTCCTTCCCTCCTTCCTTTATTTTTCTTTCTTTCCATTTTCCCTTTCTTTCTTTTTTTATTTTCCTTTATTTTCTTCCTTCCCTTTTTTCTTTTCTTTTTTCTCTCTTTCTCCCTTCTTTCTTTTTCTTTTTTCTTTCCTTCCTTCCTTCCTTCTACTGCTTCCATTCACTGTTTATTTGTCTGGTCTTTCATCCACCCATTCATGGGTTGATTCATTCACTCATTCATTCAATAAGACATTTTGAGTGCTTCCTGCACATCAGGCATTGTTCTTGGCACTGAGAATAAAGCATGGAACAAGACAGCAAAAACAGAAAAAAACAGATTGCAAATATATATGAATACATAAAATGCATAGCTTGTGGCTGGTGATAAACGCTAACAGGAAAATTTCAGCAGGAAAATGGGTTAAGAGTGCTGTGGGCGGGTAAGGAAGGAAGGCCTCACTGGGAAGGTGGCGCTGGGGAAAACCTGCAGAAGGGGAGGGGTGAGCACGGGAAGAGCCCACCAGCTGGAGGGACCGGCAGAGACAAAGGCCCTGAAGCTGGAGCATGTCTGGGCGGTCCTGGTGAAGGGGAAAGAGACTTTCTCGCAGTGCTCTTGCCTCTGTGAAAGCCTGGGGAGGGAGGCAGAGCGCTGGAGAAGAGGGCTGAGTGTCTCGGGAGAAAGGAGTGGGGGCATGTTTTCCTTCCATCACCATTTCTGCGAGCTGTCCGGCCCCCTGTCTATGCCTGTGACCCCTGCACTGTGATGATGTCTTTTAAGTGAAATAAGAGGTCCAGGAGGCTGAGAAGGAGAAGGCAGAGAAGGGTCTACTCCTTCCCCATGTCCTATCGGTAGGGTTGTCACATAATTCTCCATCTAAACTGGGACCCTGTGCTGCAGAGCCCGGCCAGAGAGCAGGCCCCGTCCCCTCTCTCACTGATGCTCAAGTGGCTCCTCTGCTCTCTTCCCCTTTCTGTCCACTCTTAGCAGTCCTGGGCCTGAGATGAGCTTCAGGGGACAGGAGTTTTCTCCTTAAGAAAGGATGCAAGGATGTAGGGAGCCAAAATGTCTCCCTCACCAGCTGGAGGGGTAAAAATGAGAACCTTGCTTGTAGTGGGCAATTAGGTGAAATGCCTTTAAAATCTGGCGAGACCACTGACCCAGCAAGTCCAGTGCAAGGAACCTGTCTTAAGAAATAAATCCTTATTATACAAGTGTATACTCAGCTTCAAGGATATTTGCCACAGCATAATTCAAAATAATGTTTAAGTGAAAATAACCTACACAGCAGGAGGGAGTTAAACACATTGTGATCTCGCTGTGTACTTGAATACAATCCTCACGCTATAGAACGCAAAATTACATGGAGACCCAAGGGCATTCTGCTGTGTAAAAAAAAATCTGAAAAGATTCTATGATGTATAATTCCATTTATCTAACATTCTTTT
Organism: Homo sapiens; assembly: GCF_000001405.40. Taxonomy (NCBI): domain Eukaryota; kingdom Metazoa; phylum Chordata; class Mammalia; order Primates; family Hominidae; genus Homo; species Homo sapiens. The sequence goes on along the minus strand of NC_000020.11, from coordinate 56,714,584 downwards.
GTTTGTTTTTGTGTGTGTGTGTTTGTTTTGTTTTCGTTTTTGTTTTTGAGATGGAGTCTTGCTCTATCGCCCAGGCTGGAGTGCCTTGGTACTATCTCAGCTCACTGCAACCTCCGCCTCCTGGATTCAAGCTATTCTTCCATCTCAGCCTCCCAAGTAGCTGGGATTACAGGCACCTGCTATCATGCCTGGCTAATTTTTATATTTTTAGTAGAGATGGGGTTTCACCATTTGGCCAGGCTGGTCTTGAACTCCTCACCTCAGGCGATCCGCCCACCTTGGCCTTCCAAAGTGCTGGGATTACAGGCATGAGCCACTGCACTCAGCCTATCTAATATTCTTTTAGTGACAAAATTATAGAGGTGGAGAACAGATGAGTGGCTGTCAGGATGGAAAGGAATGGAAAGCGACTGTGGCTGTAGAAAGGGCAGATGAGGGGTGGATGTGATGGAGCTTGATACAAACAGCACGCTTCCATCACGCAGATTCACATATGCAAGCCTAATTCTCAGTGTGACGGTATTCGGATGGTATTAGGAGGTGGGGCCTTTGAGAGGTGATTAGGTCATGAAGGTGGGGCCCTCAAATTTGGGATTACAAGAGACAGCAGAGAGATGATTTTCCTTCTGGCCTTGGTGAGGACACGACCAGAGGGTGGATAGCTGCCAACCAAGGATCCAAGGTTAAGCACATTGTGATCTTGCTGGGTCATAGATACTGGGTCTGCCAGCAGCTTGATCTTGGACTTCTCAGCATCCAGAACTGTGAGAAGTAAATACAGACTGCTGTATCCACCCGGTCTAGGGTGTTATTTGTTACAGCAGCCCAAACTGACTAAGACAGAACCGTCCCGCATCTTGACCTGTGGTGTGGGTCGCACCAACCTACACGTGTGATAAAATGATACAGGACTAAATACACACAAGCGCCTGCAGGAACAACTGGGGGCATCCAACTGGGTGGGAGGCTTGTATCGACGTCCACTTCCTGATTGTGATACTGCACTCTGGTTATGCACGAACTTACCATTTGGGGAAACTTGGTGAAGAATACAGGAGACCCCCCCTGAATTATTCTTTTCAATTGTATGTGAATCTACAAGTATCTCTAAAAAAAATTGTTGTTGTTGTTGTTGTTGTTGTTTTTTGAGATGGAGTCTCGCTCCGTCACCCAGGCTGGAGTGCAGTGGCACGATTTCGGCTCACTGCAAGCTCCGCCCCCCGGGTTCACACCATTCTCCCGCCTCAGCCTCCCAAGTAGCTGGGACTACAGGCGGCCGCCACCACGCCCGGCTCATTTTTTTGTATTTTTTAATAGACACGGGGTTTCACTGTGTTAGCCAGGATGGTCTCGATCTCCTGACCTTGTGATTCACCCGCCTCGGCCTCCCAAAGTGCTGGGATTACAGGCGTGAGCCACCGCGCCTGGCCAAAATTGTTTTTTTTTTTTTTTCAAAACAGGGTTTCACTCTGTCGCCCAAGCTGGAGTGCAATGGCTCACTGCAACCTCTGCCTCTGCTCCCGGGTTCAAGTGATCCTCCCGCCTCAGCCTCCTGAGTAGCTGGGACTACAGGTACACACCACCACGTCTGGCTAATTTTTGTATTTTTAATAGAGACGAGGTTTCTCCATGTTGCCCAGGCTGGCCCTGAACTCCTGCCCTCAAGTGATCCGCCCACCTCAGCTTCCCAAAGTGCTGGGATTACAGGTGTGAGCCACCATGCCTGGCTCAAAAAAAAAAATTTTTTTTTTTTTTGAGACCGAGTCTCACTCTGTCGCCCAGGCTGGAGTGCAGTGGCACGATCTTGGCTCACTGCAACCTCTGCCTCCTGGGTTCAAGTGATTCTCCTGCCTCAGCCTCCTGAGTAGCTGGGACTATAGGCATGGACCACACCTGGCTAATCTCTGTATTTTTAGTAGAGATGGGGTTTCACCATGTTGCCCAGGCTGGTCTCAAACTCCTGGCCTCAAGTGATCTGCCCACCTTGGTTTCCCAAAGTGCTGGGATTACAGGTGTGAGCTACCGCACCGGGCCCCCAATTTTTTTTTAATATTACAAGAAGACACAGAGGGTCGTGCCCATCTACAGTATATCAGTTTGCATGTCTGGGAATATAGGGGTGAGTGGCGAGTGAACAGCAGGGTGCCCGGTGCTGGGAAGGGCTCCCGGTGGTGAGCCACGCCTGCTGCTGACCTGACAGCAGGAAGTCTCCGGTGGAGAGGCCTGCTCTGTGACTGTCTGTATATTCCACATTCCTCCCAGTGAATATGCATTCCATTTACATAAATTAAAGAATGGCTGGGCACAGTGTCTCATGTCTGTAATCCAAGCACTTTGAGGGGGCTGAGGCAGGCAGATTGCTTGAGTCCAGGAGCTCAAGACCAGCCTGGGCAACATGGCATAACCTCATCTCTACTAAAAATACAAAAAATTAGCTGGGTGTGGTGGTGCATGCCTGCAGTCACGCCTGCAGTCCCAGCTACTCTGGGGACTGAGGCAGAAGGATCGCTTGAGTCTGGGAGGTCAAGGCTGCAGTGAGCCCTTATCATGCCACTGCACTCCAGCCTCGATGACAGAGTGAGACCCTGTCAAAAAAATAAAACAAAGCAAAACTTTCTTGGAAGAGAAAGAAATTCATAATCTCTGATTAAAAGGAGGAAGCATTACTTTGTGTAGACTCAAGATCCTCACCCCAGGACAAACTGTCCACCTCCTGATTTTCCAGCACCCCCAGCCTCCCAGCCATGTCCAGCTCACAGCCTCCCAGCCACTCCCAGCTCACTCCGTTTTCTGTCTATACACACCCTATCCATTCTCTGTGGCTCCGTTCAAATCATGTCTTCTCCAGGAAACCACCTCAAGCACCTGACCCCAAACAGTCTCCCAGCGCAGCATAACCCTTCCATGAGGAATTCCTCGAAGGTGGAGGTTGATCTTTTTCACCTTAGTAACCCCAATATTTATTAACACAGAGCCAGTTCCCTGTGCGGGCTCCATACATTACCATGGAAGGAAGCCCAAGTCAAGGGTAAGAGTTGGTTTGACCCCTGATTCCAACACAACAAGCTGTGGGACTGTGAACGGGCAACATCCTCTCTGATCCTCAATATCTTCATCTTTAAATTAGGGAATGATAGCTATGACTTTCATAAAGATAACACAAGATTCAATATAATAATTTTACCTAGTAATTGCTGGAGAGTTTGGAAACAAGGCATGTTAAGTGCCCAGTGCAGTGGCTTGCTTAGTAATGCGTTGTTTTTATTACTAATAAAGAATGACTAAAAAAAGCAAGCTGTGGGTGTGGCGTGTGTAAACACACCGCTCAAGGAGCCCCTGAAACACTTGTCAGAGGCCGCATGCTGTCCGCAAGGTTGCCTGTGGGATCTGCAACCCCAGACGCAGAAGTAAAACAGCAGCAAGGAGGAGAGGAGGAGGGAGGGGAGGAGGAGAAGGGAGAGGAGGAGGAAGGGGAGGAGAGAGAGGAGAAGGGAAAGGAGGAGAGGAGGAGGGAGAGGAGGGGGGAGAGGGAGAGGAGGAGGAGGGAGAGGGAGAGGAGGAGGAGAGGGAGGGAGAGGAGGTGGGGGAAGGAGAGGAGGATGGGGAGGGGAAGGAGGAGGGAAAGGGGGAGGAGGAGGGAGAGGAGGGAGAGGAGGAGGGAGAGGAAGGAGAGGAGGAAGAGGGGAAGGAGGAGGGAAAGGGGGAGGAGGAGGGAGAGGAGGAAGAGGAGGAGGGAGAGGAAGGAGAGGAGGAAGAGGGGAAGGAGGAGGGAAAGGGGGAGGAGGAGGGAGAGGAGGGAGAGGAGGGAGAGGGGATGGAAGGGGAGGGACAGAAAGAGAGGGAGAGGAAGGAAGACAGGAAAAGGGGGAAGAGAAGCCGGGAGGGGAGTGGGAAGAGGAAGAGGGGAGGAACAAAGGAGGGGGAGGAGGAGGGGAGAGGAAGAAAAGAGGTAGAGGGGAAGGGGGAAGGGGAAGAGGGGGAAGAAGGAGCGGTAGGGAAAGAGAAATAAGCCCCCATGGATCATGTGTGCGTGTCAGGCCCCTCCTCAAGGCTCCATGTGCGCCTCTTATTTAATCTTCATAAAAACCTATGACGTGTTGGCCTCCACTCCCAAATTCACCTCATGGTCTAAGATGGCGGTCCCAGTCCTCTAAACATCATGGCATAAATGAGGAAAGGAAAGGAGTAGGACCCTGCCCAGAAGCCCTACACATCAACCCCTGCTTACGTCCCATTGGCTGGACTTGGGCACGTGGTCTTGTGAAGCTGCAAGGGGGCCTGGAAAATGCTGTCTGTATTTGAACGACGTTGTGGCCAGCTAGAGATTGTGGGTTCTTTTGTTAAAAAGCGGAGCGTCAGCTGGGTGTGGTGGCTCACACCTGTGGGAGGTTGAGGTGGGCAGGTCTATGCACTCAGGAGTTGAAGGCCAGTCTGGGCAACACGGCGAAATCCTGTCTCTGCAAACAATACAAAAGGAGCTGGGCATGATGGCATGCACCTATAGTCCCAGCTACTCCGGGGGCTGAGGCAGGAGGATCACTTGAGCCTGAGAGGTCAAGGCTGCAGTGAGCGGTCATCACACATCACTGCATTCCAGCCTGGGCAACAGAGCAAGACTCTGTCTTAAAAAAATAAAAAACAAAAAGCAGAGTATCAGCTATTTTTATATGAGGAAACTGAGGCACGGGGAGGATAAGTGTCTTGCCCACACAGCTTGTAAGTGAAGGAGTTTGCAGGAAATAGAATAAAAGCCCCCCCAGGACGTAGCAGGTCCTAATCCCCAGAACCTGTAAATGTTACCTTCTAAAAGAGGATCATTGCAGGTGTGGTTAAAGAGCTGGAGATGGGGGTGATCCTGGATTAGCCAAGGGGGCCCTAACTGCAATCACATGCATTCTAAGAAGAGGAGGGCAGAAGGAGAGATGGAGACGTGGGATTTGAAGATTGCAGTGGCCACAAGTCAAGTGACATCAGGAACCATCAGAAGCTAGGCCAGGCAAGGGGCCTCCCCTGGGGCCTCCGGAGGGAGCGCAGCCCGGCCCACACCATGATTTCAGCACAATGATACTGACTTCAGGCTTCTGGCCTCCAGAACTGTGGGGCAATAGGTTTCTGTTGTTCTAAGCCACCAAGTTCATGTTAGTGTGTCCTGGGAGCCCCAAGAAATGCACCCAGATTCCAGGCAAACCCAGGCAGCCCAAGGGCAGCCTCTGTGGTCTTTATCTCTGAGTCGCCAGGAGCTCCGAAGGGAACTGCAATGGAGGAAACCCTCCCAGCATTTTGGGTCAGAGACCCTAGCCCTGAAGACCTGCCCCTGCCCCCGTGTCTGGCTGTGACCCCAGAGAGCAAGCGAGGAGGAGGAGGCTCATCACTGCGCCAGCGGTCCTGGCCCCCGAGCCACCGGATGCTACATTCGGCTATGTCCCCAGCAATCCCCCTGGTCCGTGGGCCAGAGTGAGTGACGAGGAGGGGCCTGATTGAAGAATGAGCTCACAGGGAGGGTTATTTATTCTATGGAGGGCTGTCATCAGCTTCTGAGTGGTGCCCACGCGCTGAGCCAAGAGGTTTAGGAGTGGCCAAGCGAACTCCTGCAGCTCATGGGCAAATCTCGTGGGGTGTCAGCAAGCTCAGGCTTTCTTCTCTCTCTTTTTAAAGAGCATTTCTTTCTTTGCCTCTGCCTGTCTATTTTCTATCATATCCTAAGCCTCACCAAATTTTATTCCCAGAAGATAAGGCTGATAAGCCACCCAGAAATCTGGGGAGTCTCCATTTTTTTCCCGTTTGAGACGGGGTCTCACTGTGTCACCCAGACTGGAGTGCAGTGGCATGATCACAGCTCACTGCAGCATTGAGCTCCTGGGCTCAACAACCCTCCTGCCTCAGCCTCCCATGTAGGTGGGACCACAGGCGCGCACCCCATGTCTAATTTTGTGGTTTTTTGTTTTGTTTTGTTTTGTAGAGGTGAAGTCTATGTTGCCCAGGTTGGTCTCAAACACCTGGCCTCAAGCAACCCTCCCTCCTCAGCCTCCCAAAGTTTTGAGATTGCAGGTGTGAGCCGCCACACTCGGCCTGGGTGGTGTCATCACAGTCCACCTTTCACTCTGCCCCACATCCCACCCATCCTTTGGATTTTCCTTCCTCAACATCTTTCAATGCCATGTACTTTCCTCCCTCGTCACCACCCCCATCCTGGCCTAGGCCTCCTCCACCTCTCTCCTGCCATCCCCATCCTGGCCTAGGCCCCCTCCACCTCTCTCCTGCCATCCCCATCCTGGCCTAGGCCTCCTCCACCTCTCTCCTGCCATTCCCATCCTGGCCTAGGCCCCCTCCACTTCTCTCCTGCCATCCCCATCCTGGCCTAGGCCCCCTCCACCTCTCTCCTGCCTCCTAACTGTCTCCTGATTCCAAACTGGCCTCCTTCAAGCCTTCTTTATGCTGCTAGAGTCCTTTTTGCCAAGTGAAAATCATAACTGGCCACTGTCATTGATGGAATGGTGTTCCCTCCAAAATTCATGTCCACCAGAACCTCAGAATGTGACTATTTGAAAATAGGGGCTTCCCAGACGTAATTGGTTAAGATGAGGTTATTTTGGATTAGGGCGGACACTAAACCCAGTGAGTGGTGTCCTTATAAGAAGAGGAGAGGACACACAGAGATACACAAACAAAGCCCATTTGAAGATGGAGGCAGAGACGAGAGCAACACAGGTGCAAACTGAGGAATGCCAGGATGGATGGGAGCCACCAGAAGCCAGACCAGGCAAGGAAGGACTTTGGAGGCAGCATGGCTCTGCCGGCACCTTGGTTTCTGACTTGTAGCCTCCAGAAGTGTGAGAATAGATTTCTGTTGTTTTAGGGCAGCCTTAGGAGATGAACACAGTCCCCCTGACCCCCGCCCCCCAGCTTCACTCTCACCAAGCATCTGGGGGCTCTCGGGATAATGAAGAGGCTCATGTCCTTGGCTTCCAAACTCCTCTAAGTTTTGTCCCAGCTCACCAGCCCGGCCCATCCCCCGCCTGCCGTCCTCCTCTCTGCTCTCTGCTTTTAGTCCCTTGATTCTTCCGTGCTCCGGGCCTCCACCGTCTATTTTCTTGATACTCCCTCTGCCTAGAATTCTCCATTGAGAGGGGTTTGCATGGCAGGGAGAGGGATGGGGACTGAGGCCACATGCCAGGTGCTTCAGTTCTCCCTTGGTCCACAGCTGCATGAACCCAGAAGAGTGAGGGCGGACCTGAAAGAGAACTTGGATCCCATTGCTCACTGATTTTTCCAAGACCTTCTAGGTGCTTCCTGTTTCTGAGTACCCAGCCTAGTGTCCTTGACTTCACAAAGTGCATCTGAAATGCCAACCATATATGGATATTTTTTCAAGAGTGTGTCTGTTTCAGCTCCAATTTCTGAACATGACCTGTTGGGCATTTTCCATCTGGCACCTCGACAACCACATTCTGTGACTTCCAGGTCATCCCGCATCTACTTGCTTCACTTTCTCACTGTGAAAGGCCCTTTGTTGCTCCCAGGAAGTGTCACTAAAACAATGGACAGTTAATTTCACTCCTTTCCTGGGGCTGGACTCAGACCAGGAGGGAGAGGAGGCTCTGTCTCCAGTCTCCCCAGGGGAGGGAGAGAAGGGCCGTCGGGATGAGGCTGTTTCCTTCCAATAGAACGTAAGCTCCATGCAGGCTGAGGGCTCAGCTTGTTTTCTGTTGCCCCCAGAGCCCAGCCCTAGAGGGTTGAGTGAATTCGTTATGGTGGACATCTCTTGTTCCATACCCAGCGTCCACTCAGCTTTCTCCATGTTCCTTGGTTTCCTCAATTTGTTGACCCTTCAGTTATTTTGTTCCTTTATTTCTTTGGCCCAGCCCATGCGGAATATTGAGAGCCGGAGCCAAGCAGATCGTTCTGTTCCATGAGCTCGGGGATAAGCACGTGACCCAGTCTAACCCAAAGACTCACAAGGAGACTGACACTGGGATCCCCGGAAGGTTCTTGCTGCTTCCTTCTTCTGGAATCAGGAAGCCCATGTGGCCCTGGAGCTCCTGGCCGCCATCTTGTGAGATGGGAAAATGTGGGGCCAATACAGAGGAGAGAGAAACCTCATCCTTTTGTTCAGCTAGAGCCCTGCATCCAGCTTTCCCTAAAGCCAGATTTGATTCACCTCTGGCTTATGATTCTGTCACGTAAGTCATTAATTCTTTCCTTCAATTAGGTTTTTGGACCCATGCAGCCAAAATAGGCCTGTTGGATCTATGAGTGAATGAATGGATGGACGGATGAAGAACTAAGCTCCAGTTCAAGCCAATGAGGATGTTCAGTGCCTGCCACACATCCACTCCATCCCTCCTGATTCCCAGCCTCCTGCCACTTCTCTGCCTCCTCCCTGCTCCTATAACACACAGGTTCCTGATCTCCCAGTGCAGACTCAAACATCCCGTCCCCCAGAGTCCAGCCTCCCCCAACAGCAACTTAGCACAATGCTCTCACAAACAAAAACAATTTTCTCTCTAATAGAGATCCTAGGGGCCATTGTTAAGGTTGTACTTTTTTTTTTTTTTCACTCTACTACAAAAGTTAAAACTATTTCAGCTGCCATTTAGGGAGCCCTACCTATCATACACCAAACATTGCTCTGGGCCAGTATTGCAGATGGCGAAACTGAGGCTTGAAGAAGTTAAGTAACTCGCCCAAGATCACACAACTTGATCATGGGCAGAAGATCCAAAACCCCAATGCCCAGAATCTATTTTTCCATTTGAAAGACAAGTCCTCAGGCCGGGCGGGGTGGCTCACGCCTGTAATCCCAGCACTTTGGGAGGCCGAGGCGGGCGGATCACCTGAGGTCGGGAGTTCAAGACCAGCCTGACCAACATGGAGAAACCCCGTCTTTAATTTTGTATTTGTAAAAAATACAAAATTACCCAGGCATGGTGGCGCATGCCTGTAATCCCAGCTACTCGGGAGGCTGAGGCAGGAGAATCGCTTGAACCCGGGAGGCGGAGGTTGTGGTGAGTCGAGATCGCACCATTGCACTCCAGCCTGGCTGACAAGAACGAAACTCTTGTCTCAAAAAAAAAAAAAGAAAAGAAAAGAAAGACAAGTCCTCACATGGTGGCTTCTTGATGGAGGACAGGGCGGGGCCCTTCCTGAGGCCATGCTGTCCAGGGAAATGTTCTACTCTGCTGGAAATGTCCTCCAGCAGCACTGTCCGACAGGGGTGTCACTGTGGCTCTTGAGCACTTGCACTATGACTAGTGTGACCAAAGATCTGAACATTTTAAAGTTTATTTTTATTAATTTTAATTTAGATTTCAATTACCACACGTGGCTAGTGGCTACCAAATTGGGCAATCCCACTTTACAAACTATATGTTGATCTGAATTAAGACTGAGCTTTGGCTGGGCATGGTGCCTCATGCCTGTAATACCAGCACTTTGGGAGGCCGAGGCGGGCAGATCGCCTGAGGTCAGGGGTTTGAGGCCAGCCTGGGCAACATGGCGAAACCCCGACTCTACTAAAAATACAAAAATTAGCTGGGCGTGGTAGCAGGTGCCTGTAATTCCAGCTACTCAGGAGGCTGAGGCAGGAGAATCCTTGAAACCGAAGGTGGAAACTGCAGTGAGCCGAGATCGCACCACTGCACTCCAGCCTAGGCAACAAGAGCGAAACTCCATCTCAAAAAAAAAAAAAAGAAGAAGAAGACTGAGATTTGCATAGGGAAAATAGAAACCTCAGTGTCTTGAGGAAGAAGGGGTCAATCCCAGTCCCTCATCAGATCCAGTCGTGGTAGAGTGACGGCTCATCTCTGGAAGCTCAACCTCCATGTTTCCTCCCAGGACCTCACTCTACTCCTGGAGGGAGCCATGCTCTGTCCTGCCTGGCCCAGGCTGGGCTCTCTGTCTAGAGGAGTCTCCATCCTCTCTCCCCAGCCCATTGACCTGGCTAACTCCTACTCATCCTCAAGGTCTCAGCTGACAAATTACTCTCACCAGGAAGCTGTCTCTGTCCCCTTGGCTGGGTCCACAGAGCACACCACCCTCTCTTTTGTAACACTCAGCACAATTGTAACTAACAATGTGTGAGCTGCTTGCACAGTGGCCATCTCCTCTGCTTTCCTTGGGGACAGGCACATACATGTCTGCCTTGTCCATCTCTGTATCCTGAGCACCTAGCTCAGAGCTTAATGCATATTAGATTCTCAAGAAATATTTGTCTAATGAATGAATCAGTCAATTGAGCCAAAAAATGGAAATGCCAAAAGTTAAATTCTCTGTAGTTCTTCTTGGACCTAGATCATGGGAAGATAAAGTTTTTCTTTAAAGGACCAGATACAGTGGTTCACACCTGTAATCCCAGCACTTTGGGAATCCGAGGCGGGTGGATCACGAGGTCAGGAAATCAAGACCATCCTGGCTAACACGGTGAAACCCCATCTCTATCAAAATACAAAAAAATTAGCCAGGCACGGTGGCGGGCGCCTGTAGTCCCAGCAACTTGGAAGGCTGAGGCAGCAGAACGGCGTGAACCCGGGAGGCGGAGCTTGCAGTGAGCCGAAATCGCACCACTGCACTCCAGCTTGGGCAACAGAGCGAGACTCCGTCTCAAAAAAATAAAAATAAAGTACCAGATAGTAAATATTTTAGGCTTTGTGAACTGTACAATCTCCGTCATGAGTACTCAACTCTACCATTGTAAAGACAAAGCAGCCATAAACAATGTATAAACAATGAGCATGGGCTGTGTTCCAATAAAACTTTATTTAGGAAAACAAGTGATGGGCCACAGGTAGTAGTTTGCCAATCTCCGGCCTGGACTTGAATGGGGAATATCAAGTGGAGGGCAGTGAGGTGGGGCCAGTGGGGAAAACCTCAAAGGCTCAAGTGCCCCGAGGACGGATGGCCAAGTGGTTCCTGTGGCTCTCCACCCTCCCAGCTCCTCCACAGAGAGAAGTGAAAGGACACTCCCCGAGGTGAAGCTCTTTGACCAGATTTTGCGGATGCTGCACAACACTGAGGAAGGGAGTGGGGGAGACCAGGTCCCTTGGTTTCAGACTCTGGCCAGGGCACAGAACCAACTCCTAGAGCTGGGGAATTCGTGCATACAATGGAACCCATTGATGGAGAACAAGAGCTGTGTTGAAAGCTGGTGCGTTTCTTGTCACAGTTCGCCAAGGGGATGTGGTGAGCTGGGCTCTCTCCACATCCTGATGTTGCTGAAAATCTGGCGCACGGGGGCCTTCCTGTCCTCCAGAGAGCCCCCCAGCACTGCTCCAGGGTCGCGGAGCCCCCTCGGGAGTGCACGCCATCCCGTTCTGGCTGATGGAGCCAGGAGCTAGTGTGATCCAATTTTGAGAGACGCGCCAGCCATTCCCCTGGCCATTAGCAGCTCTGCCCCAGCATCGCTGGGATGTGCCTACCTAAGTGGGAGATACAGGATTTTTTTCTTTAATGCTTCCTTGGAATGGGTGTGCTTTACAGCTGTTTAACTGGCGTTGGGCTTAGTGTTGGGCAAAGAGACTTTCTCTTCTATGAAGCAGCCCTTTGTCACACAGGTATTCATGAGAGTAGCTTCCACAGTGACCCCAAATGCATCTGCCCTGAGGGAGCGAGAGGAGGGGTGGGAGGGAGGGCTTTGGAAACCTTGGCACCGGGTCTATTGTTCACCCCACGCTCAGCCAAACATGTGCCCACCCTCACCCACTATGAAAACAGAGCTATACAAAGGATGCCCTCAGTTCTCCTGGGCCAAGGACAAGGTCTAAGGCAGGGGACTCCCCAAAATGGGTGGCAGGCAGCATCTCACGGGCCAGCTCAGAGGCTGCAGGGTTTGCAGGCAGCCTCTCTGTGTTGGAATCTTGGCTCTGCCATGTTGAAATCTTGGGCAAGCACCTTAGCCTCCCAGAACGTCGTCATCCGCATTTTACAGAAAAGGAAACTAATGCTGGTGGAGGCTTTAGGAAAAACGTCGGGGATGTCCACTAAATGGGAACATTGCTATTCGAAGGGCCTTCTGTTGTCGTTGCCACTCCTGGTGAGTCAGCTTGAGTCTCAGAATGGCCGTGTCCCTGAGGAGGGCCCTGGTCACACGGGTGCAGCTTCACTGCCGTACGGCATCATGACCAGGGATTAGGCAAGTCCCAGGGAAGGACTCTGACTGGCTAAACTTGGGTCATGGGCCTTGATATGGTTTGCCTGTGTGTCCCTATCCAAATTTCATGCTGAATTGTAATTCCCAATGTTGGGGAGGGACCTGGTGGGGGTGATTGACTCATGGGGGCAGATTTCCCCCTTTGCTGTTCTCATGATAGTGAGTGAGTTCTCATGAGATCTGGTGCTTTAGAAGTGGGGGGTGGGGGGCAGGCGTAGTGGCTCATTCCTGTAATCCCAGCACTTTGGGAGGCCGAGGCGGGCAGTTCACCTGAGGTCAGGAGTTCAAGACCAACCTGACCAACATGACAAACCCTGTCTCTACTAAATATATTAAAATATTAGCTGGGCATAGTGGTGGACACCTGTAATCCCAGCTACTTGGGAGGCTGACGCAGGGGAAACTGCTTGAACCTGGGAGGCAGAGGTTGCAGTGAACTGAGATCGTGCCGCTGCACTCCAGCCTGGGCGACAGAGTGAAACTTCATCTCAAAAAATAATAATAATAATAAAGTGTGGGGCTGGGCACGGTGGCTCACACCCATAATCCCAGCACTCTACATCTACCAGGAAGCTGCCAGCCATGGTAATTATCCAGGTGACAACACAAACCAACCACGCTCACTCAGAGGTGAGCGGGGCCAGGAGGGGGTCTGTGGAGCTACCATACAAGCCACAGAGGATGCTGAGTACTCCGAGAAGTCTGGTTCTTGCAGGGGGAGTTAACATTTGTGAAATATACGTGAAAAGGGAAGCAAATGAGAAGTGCTGAAGCCCCCACTGGCTGCTCTGAAAAGCCATCTTTGTATTATTTGCCATCAGGCTCCCTGCTTACTGCAGCCACCTCTGGCAGGCAGCTTTGTCACCAGTCCCCGAATCTCACTTTCTTTTTAATCCCCTTCATCAGATCACCTGTGTGCCCCATGTCAGACGCAGCCGTGCACACCAGCTCCTAGATCACCACCAAGACTTAAAGGAGAAGGAGGAAGTTGTGGAGGAGGTGGACAATGAAAGAGATGCCCCTACTAACAGGAATACTAATGAGGGCAATGGGGAGGAGGAGGCTGACCATGAGGTAGACAAAGAAGGGAAGAAGGTGGAGGGCTGGGCGTGGTGGCTCACGCCTGTAATCCTAGCACTTTGGGAGGCTGAGGTGGCCGGATCATGAGGTCAGGAGATCGAGACCATCCTGGCTAAAATGGTGAAACCTCATTTCTACTAAAAATACAAAAAAATTAGCCAGGCGTGGTGGCATGCGCTTGTAGTCCCAGCTACTCGGGAGGCTGAGGCAGGAGAATCACTTGAACCCAGGAGGCGGAGCTTGCAGTGAGCCAAGATCGTGTCACTGCACTTCAGCCTGGGCGACAGAGCGAGACTCTGTCCCAAAAAAATAAAATAAAATTTAATTTAATTTAATTTAATTTAAAAAAAAAAAGAAGAGGAAGAAAGTGGAGAGGAAGGGGGAGGAGGAGGAAGTTGATGGTGAGGAAGAAGATGGAGATAAAGATGAGGAAGCTGAGGCTGCTGAGGGCAAACTGGCTGCTGAAAATGATCAGGATGACAATATTGTTACCAAGAAGCAGAAGACCAATGAGGATGACCAGGCAGCCAAAAAGGAAAATTCAAACTTCAAGAAAACCTTGCCGGCCAGTCGCAATCGCTCACGCCTGTAATCCCACCACTTTGGGAGGTTGGGGCAGGCGGATCACTTGAGGTCAGCAGTTCGAGACCAGCCTGGCCAACATGGTGAAACCCTGTCTCTACTAAAAATACAAAAATTAGCAGGGTGGCGGGTGCCTGAGTTCTAGCTATTTGGGAGGCCGAGGCAGGAAAATTGCTTGAACCAGGGAGGCAGCGGTTGCAGAGAGCTGAGATCGTACCACTGCACTCCAGCCTGGGTGACAGAGCAAGATTCTATCTCAACAAACAAACAAAAAACTAAAGATAAGCTGGGCGCGGTGGGGCTCAAGCCTGTAATCCCAGCAGTTTGGGAGGCTGAGGCGGGTGGATCACCTGAGGTCAGGAGTTCGAGACCAGCCTGACCAACATGGAGAAACCCTGCCCCTACTAAAAATACAAAATTAGCCAGGTGAGGTGTGGTGGCACATGCCTGTAATCCCAGCTATTTGGGAGGCTGAGGCAGGAGAATCACTTGAACCCGGGAGGCGGAGGTTGCAGTGAGCCAAGATTGCGCCATTGCACTCCAGCCTGGGCAACAAGAGCGAAACTCCGTCTCAAAACCACAACAACAACAAAAAAAACTAAAGATAAACTAGGATTTTATTTGGCTGAGTTGTTCAAACAAAAAGAAAGAAAGGTGCCCTAGAACAAGATAGACTCAGGCATCCTCATTCAGGTCTGACCACACTGAGAGATGAGCAGTGAGCCCAATTGTCAAGGAGGCCAGGGTTTCAATTCAAGCCTTGCCATTCACTCACTCATTCATTCCTTCATTCAAAAAGTATTTGTTGGGGCCGGGCATGGTGGCTCACATCTGTAATCCCAGCACTTTGGGAGGCCCAGGCAGGAGGACCACTTGAACCCAGGATTTTGAGACCAGCCTGGGCAATATGGCAAGATCCCATCTCCACAAAAAATACAAAAATTAGTCAGGCATGGTAGCACACAACTGTAGTCCCAGCTACTTAGGAGTTTGAGGTGGAAGGATCACCTGAGCCCGGGGAGGTCAAGACTGCAGTCTGCTGTGATCATGCCACTGCACTCCAACAAGTGAGACCCTGTCTCGGAAAAAAACAAACTATTGGCACCCACTGTGAGTCTGGCTCTGAGAAGATACAGTGTGGGTGAAATAGACATGGCCTTGCCTTTAAATTGTGACAGTCTAGCCGGGGAGACAGTTTCTAAACAAATAAAGACACAGTATTAATATATAATTACAAAACGGAATGAACACGATCAAGAAAAGAGGGCAGGGATTGGGAGGGAACTAGAAGAGAGGCTTTAGAGAGTCAGGGAAGTCTTTTCTGAAGACCTGTCCTTTAAACTGAGAATCACAAGTGAGCCAGCGTTCACCAGGTGAGAAGTAGAGCCAAGAACGTTCCAGCAGAGGAACAGCTTGTGGCAGCTCTTCCAGTCACGTTGAGGAACAGAAAAAGAGACGACTGCAGATTCAGGGAGACCTTAAGGATCTGCAAGAGGTGAGGCTGTCACAAGAGATGCACCTGTCACCAAGTAGCACAGATGCAGAGCCAAAAGGAAAGGTTCAGAAGGTGTGAGGCGCCACCTCCTCCAAGATGTCCTTTGCTTAGACTGGGATTTCCCTGGGGCTGGGAATGTGGATGAAGGACTTGATTGCCACAGAGCTACTTTGTAATCGATGGCCTGGCCTCTGCTGGCTTGCCTGGCCCCACACTTCTCTTGCAGCGCTATCAATTCTCCCCCCATCCGAAGCAGGGCTGCAGGAGTAGGCACTTGACCCAATTACAAGACCCTATTTCCCCTCCATGCTGATTGGCTCAAGCAGTGGGCACGTGCCGCAAGAAGAGCTAATCGGAATCTTCACTGAAATTTGATATTCAATGCCAGGAGGGGGAGGGTCTCACTTTCTTAGAAGTGAGAGCTGCAAAGGACCCTGTTTCCCACGATGCAAAGAAACCCTGTCTAAGCATGAATGGGAATGAAGCCAAAACTCAAAGAAGAGCAGAGAGTCTCAGAGCTGAGTGGAGAGACAAACAGAAACATACAGGCATCATTTGAGTCCCGGATCCAGCTGTACCTGAAGGTAGAATACCCTTGGGTTTTTTTTTTTAATGTTCATGAGATGACATATCTTTTTTTTTTCCTAAGTGGATCTGAATTTAGTTTGTCATTTAAAATCCAGATGTATATCAGAATTCAGAATGGTCCAGATCGTATATAGTACATTGCGTATGCTGTGCACTATATGACCTCCCCGAGGCCTGGGAAGACACACCAGTATCAAATATGTTAATATTTCTAAAGCAGAACATATGAGTAGTTATGCCCATAGGGATAAATAGAGACTATAAAATAGCCTCATGTCAGCTTTTGCTGCCAAGTGAATTTGAACCAAGCATAAGAAGATAAGAAAAACACTCCCTGTTTGTGTAGTTTTAAAAAATGTTGCATTTGTAGCTAAAGGATTATGGACCTGAAATACAACAGAAATTCATTTGACACTTATTGAACCCCTCCCATAGGCTGGGTGCTGTACCAGGTACTTTCCACAGACAACCTTCCGAGCCTTTACCCAGAAACTGGGTCTTCGAAAGATGAAGTGACTTTGCCAAAGTCATGCAGCCCTAAGTACCAGGTTTGTGACCTAAACCTAAGTTTGGCACCAAAGTCTGTACTTTTCTATTACCCCAGTGGTTCACAAAACCCAGTCTGCAATGAATTTTTCACTACTCCACAGCAAAATGACAGAAATAGGGGGAAAATGGATTCTTTCAACAGATAAATTTTAAACATCAGGATTCACTTTTATTTCAAGAATGCCTGCCTGCTGTTTCGTGTTCAGGTGTCCTGAACACGAAACATTTATCAACAATAAACATTTCTTCACAAAGCAAAATACCTTCATCTATTATCTTCATGAGAAACTGGTAAGGACATGTCACCGGCCCAGACGCCAGAGGGCTGATGCGGCAAACTGCAGGCAAACACTCGGCTCCTGCGGTCTGCCATTTGTGGTCCTGATGCAGAGATGAATGGGAAATAAAGCATTTACACTCAAGCCTCAGCTGATTCCTGCAGCAGCTCCATCCAGAGCAGCTTTCTCTTTTCAGCGACATCTGTCATATTCACACTGTGCCGGTCGCAGGAGCAATTGCTGCGTCAGTTCCCTGAGAGACCTGACATCTCATTTTCATGCTCAGGGCTTGCGAGATTGGTGGCACTGCCTGTCTGCCTAGTCTATCCCCAGGGTTGTCCACATCTTTTAAGAATTGTCTTGAGGCCGGGTGTGGTGGCTTATGCCTATCATCCCAGCACTTTGGGAGGAGCTCAAGAGTTTGAGACCAGCCTGGGCAACGTAGTGAGACCCTGTCTCAAAAAATAATAATAATAGGCCTGGTGCAGTGGCTCACGCCTGTAATCCCAGCATTTTGGGAGGCTGAGACAGGTGGATCACCTGAAGTCAGGAATTTTAGACTAGCCTGGCCAACATGGTGAAACCCTGTCTCTACTAAAAATACAAAAATTAGCCAGGCGTGGTGGCAGGCACCTGTAATCCCAGCTACTCAGGAGGCTGAGGCAGGAGAATCGCTTGAACCTGGGAGTCAGAGGTTGCAGTGAGCCGAGATGGCGCTATTTCACTCCAGCCTGGGCAAGAAGAGTGAAACTCCATCTCAAAATAATAATAATAATAAATTTAAAAATAAATTTAAAAGCATTGTCTTGAGGATGGCATGGGATAAAATCTGTAAAGCTCCTAGCACAGCTCCCGTCAGAGAATAGTACAAAGTAAATGCTAGTTTCTCCCTCTGAAAACTGACACATAGGGTCATCTTTATAAAGAAATATTTATGAAGATTAAGTTAGATGGGAGTCCAGGCCAGGCATGGTGGCTCACACCTGTAATCCCAGCACTTTGGGAGGCCAAGGCAAGCAGATCACCTGAGGTCAGGAGTTCGAGACCAGCCTGGCCAACATGGCGAAATCCCATCTCTACTAAAAATACAAAAATTAACTGGGTGTAGTGGCAGGCGCCTGTAATCCCAGCTGCTCAGGAGGCTGAGGCACGAGAATCACTTGAACCCAGAAGGCAGAGGTTATAAGTGAGATGACATCATGCCATTGCACTCCAGCCTGGGTGACACAGCAAGACTCCATCTCAAAAAAAAAAAAAAAAAAAAAATTTAATGTTAGATGAGAGTCTGTTTTTGGTCTCCTTTAATACAGATTTTTTTAAAAATAAAGGCATAATCAAAACCACACTGAGATACCAATTCACACCCACTAGAATGGCTGAATCGGAAGGACTGGCAATATCCAGTCTACACGAGGGTGCAGAGCAACGGGAATGCTCGCACACTGCTGAGAGGTGAACAGATAGACCCACTTTGGAAAGTGGTGTGTCAGTACCCACTGAAGTGAGACATAGGAATCCCTGTGTCTCAACAATTCCACAATCCCAGAAGTGAGCATTTATGTGCACCAAATAGTATAAACAAAAATATTCACGGCAGTTTTATTTATGACA
The DNA here is from genome assembly GCF_000001405.40 of Homo sapiens. Classification (NCBI taxonomy): domain Eukaryota; kingdom Metazoa; phylum Chordata; class Mammalia; order Primates; family Hominidae; genus Homo; species Homo sapiens. The sequence continues at coordinate 56,696,256 of NC_000020.11, read as the reverse complement.
GCCCCAAACTGGAAATAAAGCAAACATTTATCAACAATAAAAATAAATGGTAGTATAATAATACAATGGAGTATTACATAGCAAAGTAAAAGAATGAACATACAATCACATGGATAAATCTTATAGACATAAGGTGGGACCAAAAAAGCCAGACACAAAAGGGCGCATACTGCATGGTTTCACTTAGTTGATATCTGTGATGGTTAATTGTATGTGTCAACGTGGCTGGGCCATGGTGCCCAGATATGTAGTCAAACATTATTCTGGGTGTTTCTATGAAGGTGTTTAGATGAAATTAAAATTTAAGTCCGGGCGCGGTGGCTCATGCCTGTAATCCCAGCACTTTGGGAGGCCGAGGCAGACGGATCACGAGGTCAGGAGATCGAGACCATCCTGGCTAACATGGTGAGACCCCGTCTGTACTAAAAATACAAAAAATTAGCCAGGCATGGTGGCACACGCCTGTAGTCCCAGCTACTCGGGAGGCTGAGGCAGGAGAATGGCGTGAACCTGGGAGGCGGAGCTCGCAGTGAGCCTAGATCGTGCCACTGCACTCCAGCCTGGGCAACAGAGCCAGACGCTGTCTCAAAAAAAAGAAAAAGAAAGAAAGAAAAGAAATTCACATTTAAATGGGTGGTAAGCAGATTGCCCCGCATAACCTGGGTAGGCCTCACCCAATCAGTTGAGGGCCTGAATAGAACAAAAGACTGACCTCCCCCAGTAGGGGGGAGTCCTGCCGCAGACGGCCTTTGGGTTTGAAGGGCAGCATTGGCTCTCCCCTGGGTCTCCAGCCTGCCATTTTGAACTTGCCAACCTCCATAACCGCATGAGTGTATTTCCTTAAAATAAATAAGTTCTGGGTTGGGCACGGTGGCTCATGACTGTAATCCCAGCACTTTAGGAGGCAGAGGTGGGTGGATCACCTGAGGTCAGGAGTTTAAGACCAGCCTGGGCAACATGGCAAAACCCCGTCTCTACTAAAAATACAAAAATTAGCCGGAGGTGGTTGCAGGCACCTATCAGCGCAGCTACTTGGAAAGCTAAGGCAGGAGAATCGTTTGAACCTGGGAGGCGGAGGCTGCAGTGAGCCGAGATCGTGCCACTGCATTCCAGCCTGGGCAACAGAGTGAAACTCCATCTCAAAAAAAAAAAAAAAAAGGAAAAGGAAAAGAAAAGCGGTCTCTTCCACCTAGCAATGTAGCAGGGACAGGCTTGCAGCTGGTCAGGCCATAGCTCAGAGACACTTGCTGTATCCTTTTTATGGGCCAAAGTGGCTGGTTCCTGTTCAGTATCAGGCATGCCAGTCACAAACTGTTAGGACGCTGAACTTCTCCACTGCAAATGACATGAAGATGACATGACTAATCACGCCTGCTGCATGGAATTATTCTAGAAAGTAACCAGTTGGAAACCCACTCCTTGGTCAATTAGGGCCGCCCTTTAATCCTGCCCGCATTGTCAAACATCCTGTATTAATACCACATTTTCTGCAAACACAAAAGAGGAAAATCATATGACGGTGCCCAGGGCTCCTGGTTTCTGTGACAGGCGGCTTCCAGCCCCACAAGGGATGGGATGTCTCTTCCTGGCCTCCTTTGTTTCATTTCTGCAGAGGGAAAGACAGGATCCCCAACACCTCCCAAAGACTGGAAGTATCCCTGGATGGCAGCCCAGTGAGAAACACTTCTCTGGGGAGAGGTTAAGATGCTGGGGACCAAGTTCTGGAAGGACCTAGGGGACTTCGCTGGGATGTAGTTACTCAAAGAAAGGAGGACGGGAATTATTGGGGATGATGACCGGGTGTCCATTGCCTCTCCTGATGACAGCACTTGCATTTTTCTCTGGGGAACCACCTCTCCATTGCTTTCAGATAGGGACTTTCGGTCCTTACCCTCCCACCCCAAGGGTCATGTGACCTCACATGCCCAATCAGTACATTCTCTTCCAGGCTAGGGAATCCCTATGATTGGTTCATGTACGGCACCTGCCCACTGGTACTCAATTCTAGGCCCTCAGATATAATTTTTTGGAGGAAGGAGATTTCTTTCCACTGAGATTCTGGACTTGGAGGGTCTACAGCCGACCTGGAGTCACCTCAAAGAACAGCCAGCCTGAGAGTGCAGCCAACAAAGAAAGTAGCGCCCAGAAAGGGAAAGGCCACATCTTGGAAAAAAATCATGTAAGACCCTAGATCCATCTGTGCCTGAAGCTTGTACACTCTTGGATTTTTCACACACACAAGTCAATCAACTCCACTTTTCACTTAATCTACTTTGAACTGGGGTTTCCAACACTTACAATCAAGGAGGTTTAACAGTGATCCTGCTGGGGGCGGTGGCTCACGCCTGTAATCCCAGCACTTTGGGAGGCCGAGGCGGGCAGATCACGAGGTCAGGAGATCGAGACCATCCTGGCTAACATGGCAAAACCCTGTCTCTACTAAAAATACAAAAAAAAAAAAAAAATTAGGCATGGTGGCGGGCACGTGCAATCCCAGCTACTCAGGAGGCTGAGGCACAAGAATTGTTTGAATCCAGGAGCCAGAGGTTACAGTGAGTGAAAATTACACCACTGCACTCCAGCCTGAGTGACAGAGTGAGACTCTGTCTCAAACAAACAAACAAACAAACAAGAAAGACAGAAAAAGAAAACCCTTTCTGTTACAATAAACAGGATCAGAGGCAGAAGAGGAATCAGCCCAGACTCCGGTTTGTGACAGAAATCTGATTCATATGTGCGTAAGAAAAAAATGGATCTTTATAGCCTCCTTTAACAACAAGGTCAGCTTCAGGAATGGCTGAATCCAGGTGCTCAAAGATGGCTTCAGGAATCTCCCTCCCTCCATCCCTTTCTGTCTCACACACACATTCTGTTGATCTCGCGTGTACTCTCACTGTCTTGGTCTTGCTCACACTCTCTTGCTGTACCTGTCTCTCTCTCCATCCATCCATCCACATACACATTTTGTGGATTCTTGGGTACACTCATGCACCACACAACACTGTTTCAGTCAACGACAAACCACATATACAATGGTGGTCCCATACGATTATAATGGAGCTGAAAAATTCCTATTGCCTAATGTCGTAGCTGCTGTAATGTCATAGTGCAATGCATTGCTCATGTGCTCATGCTGGGATAAAGAAACCTACTGCACGGCCAGTCTTTTGTTTGTTTGAGATGGAGTCTCACTCTGTCACCCAGGCTGGAGTGCAGTGGCATGATCTTGGCTCACTGCAACCTCCACCTTCCTGGTTCAAGTGATTCTCCTGCTTCAACCTCCTGAGTAGCTGAGATTACAGGCACGTGCCACCACGGCCAGCTAGTTTTTGTATTTTTAGTAGAGATAGGGTTTCACCATTTTGGCCAGGCTGGTCTTGAACTCCTGACCTCAGGTGATCTGCCCACCTCAGCCTCCCAAAGTGTTGGGATTACAGGCATAAGCCACTGCTTCCAGCCTGAGTTATGTTTAGATACATAAATACGTTATGTTAAAATTGCCTATAGTAACGTGCTATGCGGGTTTGTAGCCTAGGAGCCACAGGCTATACCATTACGCCTAGGTGTGTAGTAAGCTATACCATCTAGATTTGTGTAAGTACACTCTATGACATTCACACAAGAAAATCACTTAAAAGGCCAGGTGTGGTGGCTCATGCCTGTAATCCCAGCACTTTGAGGGGCTGAGGCGTGTGGATCACCTAAGGTCAGGAGTTCCAAACCAGCCTGGCTAACACAGCGAAACCCCGTCTCTACAAAAATACAAAAATTGGCCAGGCATGGTGACACACTCCTGTAGTCCCAGCTACTCGAAAGGCTGAGGTGGGAAAATCTCTTGAATCTGGGAGGCGGAGGTTGCGGTGAGCCAAGATCGCGCCGTTGAGATAAAGCGAGACTCTGTCTCAAAAAAAATCGCTTAATGATGCATTTCTCAGAATGTAACCCCATCGTTAAATGCATGTCTGTACATGTTTTTCACGTATTAATATCTCTGAAATTAGAATGTGATTTACAGCCAAAGACATGGTTTCACTCGTAGCCTTTTTTTCTTTCCTAATTGTACAAATCAGTGTCCTCCAGACAAACAGAGCCAATAGGATACATATAGACGTATAAGAGGAGATTGATTATAGGAATAGCTTTCAGGATTATGGAAGCCCAGAAGTCCCACAATCTGCCATCTGCCAGTGGGAGAGCCAGGAAAGCCGGTGGTGTCATTCAGTCCAAGTCCAAAACCCTGACAACCAGGAGTTCCGATGTCCAAGGGCAGGAGAAGATGAGCATCCCAGCTGCAGAAGACGGAACTAGTTCTCCCTCCACCATTCTGTTCTATTTGGGCCCGCAACTGATGGGAAGATGCCTGGCCACGTTGGTGAGGGCAGAGCTTCTTCACTCCGTCTGCTGACTCAAATGCTAAATTATTCTGGAAACACCCTCACAGACACTCCCAGAACTAATGTTCTACAGGCTATCTGGGCATCCCGTAGCCCAGTCAACACATGAAATTAACCATCACAGTTGTACATAAAATAATGAATCATATCTTACAATCATTCTTTCTCTCTCTCTCTCTCTCTCCCTCCCTCCCTCCTGCTTCTCTCGGTGGTGAAGGGAAAGGGAACATGGCCAGAAACAATGTTAATATTTCAGGGAGAGCTTATCTCCCCAGGGTCAGCCTATAACATGACAAGGCAGGATTCTGATTAGCCCAGCACAGGCCATGTGACAATTCCCATGGACTTGGGGACGAGGGCTGCAGATTACCAGGCCCAGCCCACACTCCCACCTCACAGCACCGGGTCCAAGCTTTCACAATTCACAGTCCTAGCAGAACCGCTCAGAGCACAGGAGGGCCACTGAGGCGCTGGGGGCAGGGAAAGGAGCTGGACAAACACCATCAACAAATATCTTCAGCCAACCCACACTGACGATCCTGATAATCATTCAATGCTAATGCATGTTGACATAGAAAAATGAGTGGAATCAAAGGGACGGAAATAGAAAGCACCCTCAATGCCACTGATCAGCGCCAAATACCATTAACTCTTTGGTGCATTTCCGAGTTTTCTGTGACGGTCCCTAAATGAAAAGCTAAGCTTGTTTTGCTTGCTTGCTCTCCAGATGAGCCCTACTTCCAAAGGGGCCCATTTACATTGGCTTGGGCTCTTCCACCGAGCACGTGGCCTTTGCCCAGCCTGGCAGCCTAAAACAAGAGGCAGGCAGACGGCTTTGCCAGCCTGACCCGCATGCACATGGCCCCCAGCCTGGGCTCCTTCTCAGCAACCCCATTCCTCAGCCCTCCACAGTGTAGTCATGGGCTGGGAGGGGAGCTGGGGCCCCAGGTGCACCACAGACAGCTCCACTCCTTGTCTTTGTTTTGCTCTGGTGGTTGTGAGTGGGTGCATTACTGGGGTACACATGATTGTGTGTACATGCATGCAGGGGCATGCATGTGCCAGGGAGCCTGTGCAAACGTGTGAGCTTATGTGGGTGCAGGGCTGCACTCACGCCTGACCAGGGTTCTGGCTCACCTAGGCCACTTCCTGCTCTGCCACCTGCTGCCACGCCCACCCCACCTGTAGAAACTGATGATATCTTTTCCCTTTCAAAGCTTTCACCTCCCATCGCACGATCTCCATTCAGTTTCCCAACACCGAGGAGGAGATAGCCTAGGAGAAGGTGGCACAGGTGTCATTATCCCTGTTTACAAGATAAAGAATTTAACGCCCAGAGAGCTAAATGTAAAGCCTACGGTCTTATCATACTTCTGTCACACAACCAGTTACTGCTGGAAGCGACCACTCTCTCCTGACTCCTGGGCCCGTGATCTTTTCACCAGAAAGGGGGTTCTCAGACTCATTCTCATTATGAAGCAACACATTCACTGATCCTTTCAACTAAACAAACACTTCCTGGGTGCTTCCTGGAGCTCAAGACTGGGGCCAGGTGCTTTATATGCAATATTCTGAATCCTTCCAACAGCCCAGTGACTGCATTTTGCATAAAGGAAGCTCAGAGAGGTTAGGCCATGTGCTCCAGGTCACACATCTGCTGTAGCGGATGCTGTGGTCCTAAAGGAAGCTCAGAGAGGTTAGGCTGTGTGCTCCAGGTCACACAGCTGCTGTAGTGGATGCTGTGGTTGCAGATCCACCCTTCCAGACCAGGACACTCCATTCCTGTGGCTGCTGGGAGCGGGAGCTGGCAGCTCACAGCCAAGCAACTCCCCAGGAATTGCCCTCAGCCTCAGAGTTGCCTCATCTGATCCCGTGGCCCCTTCCCTGAGGGACAGCTTGCGTCTGATGACTGGTAGATAAGTTTTGGCCTTGATTGATTGGGAACATCTCTTAAGCGCCCACCTGGCTCAGAGTTCCCATGAGGAAGAGCCGAGACCTCAGCACTGCAGCCCAGCTGCTTACCCTCCCTCACAGGTGCAGCTCTTGAGAAAACGCCCCACTAAACTGCCTGCACATAAATCTCTGATTCAAAGTTTGTTTCCCAAGGACGCAAATGCAGACAGGTAACAGGTGCAGGACTGGGAACCCTGAGCCTGGGCCTGAGGGTCTCCAGTGTCTTGGACTCCTCCACCCGACTCTGTCATCCGACCCAGATGCCAACCTGAGGCCTAACCTCTCACCTAGTGTCCCAGCTAGTGGCCGGCTCCTGCCTCCTCCACCAGGGCTGGGAACAGCGTGGCTGTTAGAGGAAGCTGTGGGCTGTCTTGGAATGTGGAGTTGCCTAAAATTCTGGCAGGAGAGCCATTCGTCTTCTTGGAATCTTGACTCACCAGTCTAATTTAACCCCCTGGGGGTGGTGCGGAACCTGCCTCCCTCCTCCCTCCCACTTCTGCCCTCTCCAGCTCCACCTAGAGCCCCTCCCAGAGCTCTCCAGGTGCCAGCCCTGGACTCCCCAGCTGGGTCCTCACACGTGCTATTCCCTCTGCCAGGAATTCTCTTCCATGCACTAAAGACAGGCAGCCACAGCCTCATCCTCCATGTTTCAGCTCAGATCTCCCTGCCTCTTCCCCAGGAAACTTTCCTGATCCTCCCAGACAAGGTCAGCAGCACCGGGGCCGCTGCTTGCCTGACATTCAACGACTTTTCACCCAAACTCCCCGCGGGGCCTGTCTGCCACGGTGGACGTCCAACTCCATAAGGCAGGGCCCTTTTCTGTTCACTGTGACAGTTTCATGCCTAGCTCTGCAGCTAGTAGGGGCTCAATAAACACTTCCTGCCTTCAGGAACACAGGACACCATCCTCTCTGGCCTTCTCTGATATTCAGGAGCTTGTCAAGGAAAGGAGGGTGTTGGGGAAAAAAATTAAAAACCCTCCCAAGAAGTCAAGCATTGCTTTGGAAAGAGTCAGCCTGAGGTTTTGTGCAGCCTGGAGCAAGTCCTTCAACCCCACAGGGGCTCCATTTCCTCACCTGTAAAAGGAAAAGTGGAATCCAGTCCCCAGAGGGCTATGCGGAGACTAAACCAGGTAAGTCCACCCCAAGTCTTCGATTCAAGTTCAATTTTTTGTCTGTTTGTCTGGTTGTTTTTTTTGGTTTTTTTTTTTTTTTTGAGATGGGGTCTGACTATGTTGCCCAGGCTGGAGTACAGTGACTATTCACAGGCGTCATCCCACCACTGATCAGCACAGGAGTTTTGAACTGCACCATTTCCAACTTGGGCGTGTTCACCCCTCCTTTTAGGCAACCTGCTCCTGGGAGGTCAACATATTTGATGCTGAACTTAGTGTGGACACCAGATCAGCATAGCTAACACACTTCAGCCCAGAACTCCTGACCTCAAATGATCCTCCTGCCTCAGCCTCCCAAGTAGCTGGGAATGCAGGCACCCATCACCACGCCCAGCTCAAGTTTTATTTTAAAGTAAATCTTATAACTATTTTCAAAATGTAACAAAAATTAAAACCCATGTGTCCCCTCTCCCAGATTTAAAACACTGAAGATCACCCACGTGTTACCTGACACGGAAAGAATGAATGGTATGGGGGCACATGTTGAGACACTACCTTTGGCCGAATTTGGCTTTAATATCCTGGTTCTCAGTGCTGACCACTGACTCCGTGGTGGAATCACCTAAGACACTCTTATTTTTTGAGACAGGGTCTCATTCTGTCGCCAGGTTGCTGTGATTATTCACAGGCACAATCACAGTGCACTGCAGCCTCAAACTCCTAGGCTTAAGCGATCCTCCTGCCTCAGCCTCCTAGTAGCTGGGGTTACAGGCATGCACCATTGTACCCAGCTGTCAGCCTAAGGCACTGTTAAAACTGCCAGTGTTGGCCGGGTGCAGTGGCTCACATCTGTAATCCCAGCACTTTGGGAGGCCGAGGCAGGCAGATCACTTGAGGTCAGGATTTTGAGACCAGCCTCGCCAACATGGTGAAACCCCGTCTCTACTAAAAATTCAAAAATTAGCCAGGCATGGTAGCCTGTAATCCCAGCTACCTGGGAGGCTGAGGTAGGAGAATTGCTCGAACCCGGGAGGCAGAGGTTGCAGTGAGCCGAGATCGCGCCACTGCACTACAGCCTGGATGTCACGGCAAGACTCAGTGCTGCTCAGGCTGTCCCACAGGGCAATTATATCAGAGTCTCTTGGGAGTAAGACACTGGAATTTCTTTACATTCCCAACGTTGGGGGACAGCAAACATTTAATCAATGTATCATCTATAATCTATCTATTGTATCTATTGAGGTGGGTGTCTTGCTACATTGCCCAGGCTGGTCTCAAACTCCTGGGCTCAAGTCACTCTTCCACCTCAGCCTCCCAAAGTGCTGGGATTACAGGCATGAGCCACTACGCTCAGAGAGAAAATGTTTTCTATAAAGGGCCAGATACTAAATATCCTAGAAGTGAACTGTCCTGTCTCCAGTGCAGCTCATCAGCTATCCCTGTGCTGCACGAAAGCAGCCATAGACAGAAGGTAAATGAGTGGCCACAGCTGTGTTCCAATAAAGCTTTATTTACAAAAACAGACTGCAGCTGGACCTTGTAGTTTGCCAGACCCGGCCCTGGGTGAGTTAAGATTGAGAACTACTATTATAAGGCAAGCATTAAAAAAAAAAAAAAAAAAAAAAAAAAAAAAAAAACCTGTTACCTGTGTGACTCAGATTCCCTCCCTTGTTTCCATCATTAAAACAAATTCGGGCCGGGCGCAGTGGCTCACGCCTGTAATCCCAGCACTTTGGGAGGCCGAAGCGGGCGGATCACGCGGTCAGGAGATCGAGACCATCCTGGCTAACACGGTGAAACCCCGTCTCTACTAAAAATACAAAAAATTGGCTGGGCGAGGTGGGGGGCGCCTGTAGTCCCAGCTACTTGGGAGGCTGAGGCAGGAGAATGGCGTGAACCTCGGGGGGCGGAGCCTGCAGTGAGCTGAGATAACGCCACTGCACTGCAGCCTGGGCGACAGAGCAAGACTCCATCTCAAAACAAAAAATAAAAAAGGCAAGCATAAAAAAAAAAAACCTGTTACCATTTGCAGCTACTCCCTGTGTGACTCAGATTCCCTCCCTTGTTTCCATCATTAAAACAAATTCGGAAATAAATGGGATGTTAAGGTTTGAGCAAGTCATCTCTCAATAGTGATGATATATTTCAGTTTGCATGGGACAGTCTCCGTTTATACCTGTTTTCCCCACATAATTAGTAAAAGAGCCCAGTTTCACTATCAAAAAGTCCTGGTGACGACGATAAATTAGTTGATCATACTATTTCAAAACTCTATTTCAATATTTGTGCTACCAAAATGACCTCATCTTAATTTTCTATTAATTAATGAAATTATCAATAGAAGCAATAGAACTTATAAAATAAATCAATATGAATTACTAAAAAAAATCAGAGAAGACCTCAGTCGTGCAGGCAGAGAGGAAATGCTCGATGAAAAGTGGGGCAATTGAGTTGAACGGCTGTTCACACCGGCTCTTCAGATATCTGAAGACGATTATACTCAAGACCGCTGACCTTCGGGGATTTCTGTTCATGGAGGAGAGAAGACGCAGCACTGAAGCCAGAACCCCGCCTGGCTCAGCAAGGCCGAGCAGAGAGAGCATCGGTGAGGAGCACGAGCCAAGCGTGAGCTCGTGGCGCCCACTTCAGAAGCGGAGCCAAATGGCTCCATCCTCTGCCAGCTGAGAGGGCAGTCGGGACCCGGGCCAGCTTTTGGTTGGAGCCTCCAGACAGGACCCTGACTCCTGGGGCACGAGGGGGCCGCAGCTGCCAGGGTCATTTGGCAGAGACCCTGGGTCGACTGCTGCCCCAGGGGAGGCCTCTTCCTCCAAGCTGCTCAGGATGAGCACGATGGGGGTCCAGGCAGGCACATCCTGGTTGGGAGTTATTGAGTGATGGTACAGAAGAACCCTTTGGTCAGAAGAGAAGGAAACACATTTGCAGCGCTTAAACCCCCAGGGGGTTCTCTGAGCAGAGAGGACTCTATCCCAGAAGCCAGAGACAGGAAGGAGAGGGACTCCACCAGTGGAGAACTGAGGAGCAAGCAGGAGGCTGGTGGTCAGCCTCTGAGGCTGGTCTCTTGTCTCTGTGTCTCTGGAGCTCTCCTCGGCTCTCTACATTCTCCCCGCATCCTCTGAGCTCCTTTTTCCTTCTTTTTTCTTTTTTTTTTTAAGAGGGTCTCGGGCCAGTCGCGGTGGCTCACGCCTGTAATCCCAGCACTTTGGGAGGCGGAGGCAGGTGGATCACAATGTCAGGAGATCGAGAGCATCCTGGCTAGCACGGTGAAACCCTGTCTCTACCAAAAATACAAAAAATTAGCCAGGCGTGGTGGCGGGCGCCTGTAGTCCCAGCTACTTGGGAGGCTGAGGCAGGAGAATGGCGTGAACCCAGGAGGTGGAGGTTGCAGTGAGCCGAGATGGTGCCACTGCACTCCAGCCTGGGCGACAAAGCGAGACTCCGTCTCAAAAAAAAAAAAAAAGAGGGTCTCACTCCATCTCTTAAAGTGGAGTGCAGTGGCACAATCATAGCTCACTGCAGCCTCAAACTCCTGAGCTCAAGCAATCACCCTCCTTCTCCCAAGTAGCTGGGACTACAGGTGTACATCACCACAACCAGCTAATTTTTTTTTTTTTTTTTTTTTTTTGTGGAGACGGAGTGTCACTATGTCACCCAGGCTGGTCTAGAACTCTTGGCTTCAAGTGATCCTCCCACCTCAGCCTCTCCAAGTGTTGGGATTACAGGCATTAGCCACCTGTAGGTAGCAGGGAGCTATGGAAGAGATTTGAAGCAAGATGGACCTCTGGACCCCCACTGGCCAAACCTTAGCTTGTTTTTCCATTGGGTGATCTTGTCTATTTGTTCACATTTAAAGACGAGACTCTCAAATGCTTATTGGAAGCTCCAGCGGGGACATGGACCAGGCTTACTCTCAGGCCTCTGGGTAGGAGCTGAAGGGATTAAAGCATTTAACTGGGAATGGAACCAGGGTTGGCACCCCTAGCACTTTTTTCTTGGGCCTTAGTTTCTTCTGAACAGCATTGCCAGATTTTACTAATAAAAATTTGTAATTTGGGGGACATATTTATGCCGAGAAAAAAGTATCTGTTGCTTATCTGAATCCAATGTAACAATGAATCCGGTATTTTATCCAGCAACCCTACCTGAGAAGAATCCTCCAGCCTCAGGCCCCTGGCCACCAGCATTCTAGAAGCTGAGCCAGGAAGATGCCAGCATTTCGCTGCTTTATAAGTAGACTTTCCTGCAATTCCGTTTTCAGGGCATGACCTGCAGCCACAGTTAGGCTGGAATCTCTAAATCCAGGTTCCCCTGATTCCAGCCTTCAGAGGAAATCCTAGTTTGTCTTTTCTTGGGATGGAAAAGGGTAGATGCCTAGCTGACCAAAGTGATGGGGAAGATCTGGGAGTCTAACTGTCCCTTTTAAAAGCATTCAGGCCAGGCACAGTGGCTCATGCCTATAATCTCAGCACTGTGGGAGGCCTAGGCGGGTGGATCACTTGAGGTCAGGAGTTTGAGACCAGCCTGGCCAACATGGTAAAACCCCATCTCTACTAAAAATACAAAAATTAGCCTGGCATGGTGGCAGGTGCCTTTAATCCCAGCTACTCTGGAGGCTGAGGCAGGAGAATCTCTTAAATCCGGGAGGCGGAGGTTTCAGTGAGCTGAGATCACGCCACTGCACTCCAGCCTGAGCGACAGAATGAAACCCTGTTTCAAAAAAATAAAAATAAATAAATAAAAATAAACCCGTTGTCGTTTGTCCATCGGCTTTCCTTCTTCCAAACTTTCTGACATCTCTGAAGAGCTGTCATCTCCCCTTCCTGTTCCTGCCCTAGTGAATGTACATGTTTTCATTCCTTTACTGCCTCGTTAGTCAGGCAGGTTCAATCTGTCTTGTTGAACCAGAGGTTCCTGCCTATCTCTGTCCAGGGACTTCACTTCATCCCTCTCTGCTGCTTCTGCTCCAGTCACACACAGCACAAACACAGCCACCCGGAGCTCGCAGGACAAGCCAGCTGAGCCCTGGTCCTGTAGCCAACTGACCCAGTGTATCCACATTCAGATTCCAGATTTCCAAAATAGAAGCTTGCGTCAGTGTCCACTGGGTCAGGATTCTGCACCTGAGCCAGGGATCCACAGAGAGGCAGCATCACCTGGCAATAAGAGCCCACACCTGTGGAAAGGAGGGCAGGTCTCAGAGAAGGTGTAGGCTGGGCAGACATCCCAAAAGATGTCTAATCCAGAGTCAGGAATCTTTGGAACATCATTGACTGTGAAGAGGACCATCGAACATCCTCCCTCCAACTCTCCACAACTTGGCCCTATTCTCACCTCCTCCCATGCCCACTGACGTCTTGTGAATTCCCCTTGCACACAGAGAAACATAACTGAATTACTGTTTTCTACACCTATCTAATCACCATCTCTGCAAATCCTGCCTCCCAAGCACAAATGGTTTTTAGTGTCCACGTCATTACCTTGCCTGGGCCACTGTCATCTCCTCGCTGCAATAGTCTCCTAACTGGTTTTCCTTCTCTAATCTTGTTTGCCTGCAATCCAATCTAAAAAGGCAACCCGTGTAGTGTTCTTAAAACACAGATCCGATCATTTGCTTCAAATCCACAGCTCCCTGCTGCCTACAGGAAATTGAACCAACTCCTCAACTGGCCTTCAACGTTATCCTATTTCACCCCCACGGCACCCCTCCCAGCACTTCACCTCCAGAAGACAGGATTATTTAAAATTTCCCCAACCTTCCACCAACCCACACAATTTCCTTCCATGACACGCTGCTTATAAAATCCACTCTACTGAGACATCCTTTTCCTCCATGTCATCCCTTAAAACTCATTTCCAGGCCAGTCATGGTAACTCATGCCTGTAATCTCAGCACTTTGAGAGGCCGAGGCAGGCAGATCGCTTGAGGTTAGGAGTTCAAGACCAGCCTGGCCAACATGGTGAAACTCCATCTCTACTAAAAATACAAAAAATAGCTGGGCTTGGTGGCACGTGCCTGTCATCCCAGCTACTCGGGAGGCTGAGACAGGAGAATCACTTGAACCTGGGAGGCAGAGGTTGCAGTGAGCACAAATCGCACCACTGCACTCCAGCCTGGGTGACAGAAAAAAAAAAAAAGAAAAGAAAACTTCATCTCCACATCATCTCCCCACAAAGCCTCTCCTGACTCATGCAAATTCACACAGCACTGGGGACCCCCTGGCCTTTGATCCTGTATTATTCTGGGCTCATCTCCATCACTACACAAAGACCCCAAAACAGACTGTGTCATCCAATATGGTAAGATAGAGAAAGTATTAAGCTGCTTAATATATAAAAACTCCTACAAACCAATATTAAAACCAATATTAAAAAACAAACATTCCAATAGAAAAAGATCAAATGAGTCCAGGAGTTCAAGACCAGCCTGGGCAACATAGCAAGATTCCACCTCTACAAAAAATTTAAAATTAGCAAAGTGTGGTGGCATGCACCTGTGGTCCCAGCTAGTATGGAGGCTGAGGTAGGAGGATTGCCTGAGCCTGAGAGGTCAAAGCTGCAATCACTCTACTGCACTGGCAACAGAGTGAGACCCTGTCTCAAAAAAAAAAAAAAAAAAAGCAAAAAAAAAAGGCTGAGCGTGGTGGCTCACGCCTGTAATCTCAGCACTTTGGAGGCCAAGGCAGGTGGATCACTTGAGGTCAGAAGTTTGAGACCACACTGGGCAACATGGTGAAACTCCATCTCTACTAAAAATATAAAAAATTAGCTGGACATGGTGGTGGGCACCTGTAGTCCCAGCTACTTGGGAGGCTGAGGCAGAAGAATCACTTGAACCCAGGAGGCAGAGGTTGCGGTAAGCCGAGATCACGCCACTGCACTCCAGCCTGGGCAACAGAGCGAGACTCTGTCTCAAAAAAAAAAAAAAAAAAAGAAAGAAAAAAAAGAACAAAGACCAGAAACACAAACAGGCAGCTCACAAAAATAAAAACAAAAGCATGAAAAAATTCTCAACCTCATAGTCAATGTTCACGTAAACAAGAAGATGCCATTTTTACCCATTAGATTCACAAATACCAAAAAGTTTGATAATGCAGTGTTTATAAGGAGATGGGGGCCAGGTGCGGTGGCTCACGCCTGTAATCCCAGCACTTTGAGAGGCCGAGGTGGGAAGATCACCTGAGATTGGGAGTTCAAGACCAGCCTGACCAACATGGAGAAACCCCATCACTACTAAAAATACGAAATTAGCTGGGTGTGGTGGCGCATGCCTGTAATCCCAGCTACTCAGGAGGCTGAAGCAGGAGAATCACTTGAACCTGGGAGGTGGAGGTTGTGGTGAGCCGAGATCGCACCATTGCACTCTAGCCTGGGCAACAAGAGTGAAACTCCGTCTCAAAAAAAAAAAAGTAGATGGGGAAAGAGTCATATTCATGAGATTCGTTGCGATAAACATTAATACAATTTCTCAGGAGGACAATTTGGCAATAACTGTAATAGTTTTAAAAGCATATGCCCTTTATTCCAGAACTCCTACTACTATATAATATGTATGTTTATGTGACAGAATGTACATCTATTCTTCCACATGTTCAGAAAGATGAGTGAAAGGTAGGTTCTTTGCAGCATAGTTTGTATTAGCAAAAGAAAAATAATGCTGATGTTAAACAGTCAATAAATTATGCTATATATGCACAATAGAATAGCACGCAACCATGGAAATAATAGAGCTATAATGGCTAACTGCTATTATTTTAAAGAAAGAAAAAAGGCAAAATGCAAAGGAGTGTGCAAAGTAAGTGCCCTTTTGTAGAAGAAAGAAGAGGTCTGTCTCATGCGCTTATATTTGTGCAGACTTTCTGGAAGGAAAGTGTTAACAGTTAACAGTGGCTGCCTCCAGGGGGAAGGATGGGGTCAGAGAGGACATCAAAGTTTACTTTCCAACAAATATAGCTCTTCGGTTCTGTTGGAATATTTTTACCATGCTAACTTTTTTTTATCTAGAGATTTTTAAAATTAAAAATAACGGGCCAGGCTTGGTGGCTCACTCCTGTAATCCCAGCACTTTGGGAGGCCAAGACAGGCGGATCACTTGAGCTCAGGAGTTCAAGACCAGCCTGGCCAACATGGTGACACCCTGTCTCTACTAAAAAATACAAAACAATTACCTGGGCATGGTGTCCCGTGCCTGTAATCCCAGCTACTCGGGAGGCTGAGGCAGGAGAATCACCTGAACTCACCATTGCAGTGAACCGAGATCGCACCACTGCACTCCAGTCTGGGCAACAAGAGCAAAAACTCCTCAAAAAATAAATTAATTAAATAAAATAAAGTAAAATAATAAAATTGAAAATAACAATCCTGAGTGGAGTCCCCCAACTCCAACTGATAAATCCCTGAAAGGCAGAAACACATTCTTACTCTCTCTGGGCCACGTGCACCATTCCATGAGGAGCCAGACTTTCCAAACAAATGACCCTCGCCCTAGCCAAAAGTCCTCCCTCGACACCTACGCTCCCTCAGCGCCCTGGTCCCTGCATGTCTCGGGAACTTAAAGCCAGGAGTTGAAATGTAAACCCTTACAACTCCAACGGCTGGCACCAACAGCACCGCAGCCCCCGCCACCAGGCGCTCTCTCGGAGTTCCTGCCTGGTTCCCTTCCCCGCATCCCCGTTTGCCTGTCAGGGACTGAAGCAAGTCCTGGAGTGGGGTCTGAGCAGACCCAGAGGTCGTGCTCCTCTTCTGCCACTTTCAGACCATGTGTAGAAACATAGCTTGATTCGACAAATACCTACCGAGAATAGTTCACTTCTCCAAATGTTTCCTGGGCACCCATAACACACCAGGCTCCATTCTAGGCACCGCAGTGAAATGCCTCCACACTCAGAAGCACCTGGCCTAGTGTGGAGAGTGAGAGTTTGGTCTCCCAAGTTTGTGGGGGACAGGAGAATTCAGTGAGAAAATGCACGCAGGGGGCTTCGCACTGAGCCTGTACACAGTGAACCCCCATCAAAGCAGGTGGAAGGGCTGGGCGTGGTGGCTCACGCCTGTAATCCCAGCACTTTGGGAGGCCGAGGCGGGTGGATCACGAGGTCAGGAGATCGAGACCATCCTGGCTAACACGGTGAAACCCCATCTCTACTAAAAATACAAAAAATTAGCCGGGCGTGGTGGTGGGCGCCTGTAGTCCCAGCTACTCAGGAGGCTGAGGCAGGAGAATGGCATCAACCTGGGAGGCAGAGCTTGCAGTGAGCCGAGATCGCGCCACTGCATTCCAGCCTGGGCAACACAGCAAGACTCCATCTCAAAAAAAAAAAAAGCAGGAGGAGTCACCACTATCACCACCAATATCCTCCTCCTCCCCTGGCATCCTCCCCTCCTCCAGGCAGGAAACGTATCTTCCCTTTCCCAGTGCCTGCAGTCACAGCTCAGGGCAGAAAACAGCTCCATGTCCTCCATAATACCTGACATGCTGTTGATTCCCACGCATCAGGAAACCTGAGCAGGGACATTTTTGACATTTGATTGAGGTTATAATCGGCATTTCTGGGAGTCCATAATAATCCCATGAAGCAGCCAAGTTTACAGCTCCAATTCATGACCATCCAGCTTTCGTCTTTAATACGCTCCTACTGTGGGCCTGGGCTGCACATTGTGGCAGATTCAGAAGTGGTGTGTGTTGGCCAGGCGCGGTGGCTCACACCTGTAATCCCAGCACTTTGGGAGGCCGAGGTGGGCAGATCACTTGAGCTCAGGAGTTCAAGACCAGCCTGGCCAACATGGTGAAATTCCGTCTCTACTAAAAATACAAAAATTAGCCAGGTGTGGTGGCAGGCACCTGTAGTCCCAGCTACTCGAGAGGCTGAGGCAGAAGAATCGCTTGAACCTGGGTGGCGGAGGTTGCAGTGAGCCAAGATCGCGCCATTGCACTCCAGCCTGGGCAGCAGAGCAAGACTCGGTCTCAAAAAAAATAAATAAATAAATGAAAAACACGAAGTGGTGTGTGTTGTCCCCCAACAATCTGGTGATGCCACCCCCACCTTCTTACAATCTCTCCTTGGGGAGCCGAGTCCTCCACACAGGAGGCAATTAGCAAGTGATGCTGTGGTTCAGTATGTCCAAGAAGGAAAGGGCAGGGTGGGCGGGCAAGTTTAGGCAGACTTCAGGGAGTAGGGGTAAGCTTAGGGGAGGTCCTCTCCATCCTCCTGCTGTACAGATTTACTAAGGCAGTAGCATGTGACCCCAAATCTGTCGTTGGGTCACATCTGTTTGTCAATTGCAGGGTTCTCAACCTTGGCTGCCTATTGAAACCCTAGAGGAAGCTTTTTTTTTTTTTTTTTTTGAGACGGAGTCTCGCTCCGTCGCCCAGGCTGGAGTGCAGTGGCGCAATCTCAGTTCACTGCAAGCTCCACCTCCCGGGTTCATGCCATTCTCCTCCCTCAGCCTCCCGAGTAGCTGGGACTACAGGCGCCCGCCACTACGCCCGGCTAATTTTTTGTATTTTTAGTAGAGACAGGGTTTCACCGTGGTCTCGATCTCCTGACCTCGTGATCCACCCGCCTCGGCCTCCCAAAGTGCTGGGATTACAGGCACGAGCCACCGCGCCCGGCCCTAGAGGAAGCTTTTTAAACCCCACTGCCCTGGGCCGCAACCCAGACCCACTCATCAGAATCTGCAGGGGTGGGGCCCAGGTATCAGGGCTTTGTAAATTTCTGCAGGTGATTCCACCGTGCAGCCAAGTTTGAGAACCAGCCATCTAGCGGCATTCATGAATTTTTTTCTGAGATGGAGTCTCATTCTGTCACCCAGCCTGGAGTGCAGTGGTGCCATCTCAGCTGACTGCAACCTCTGCATCCTAGGTTCAAGCAATTCTCCTGCCTCAACCTCCTGAGTAGCTGGGACTACAGGCACACTCCACCACACCCGGCTAATTTTTGTATTTTTAGTACAGAAGGGGTTTTACCATGTTGGCCAAGCTGGTCTCAAACTCCTGACCTCAGGTGATCCACCCGCCTCAGCCTCCCAAAGTGCTGGGATTACAGGCGTGAGCCACCACACCCAGCACATGAATGTTTTTAAGTAGTATTCCAATGGCTATTTTAACTTTTATTCCAACAGTTCTATGTTTCTTTTAAGGTGAGTTAGAAAAAAAGTGTAAGTAGCACAGCTAAACTGGCACTTCATGGACATTATTAATATGGACAGGGCAACTACACGTGAGCTTTAGTGTTGTTCCCAATCACAGGTGAGCCATCCCTTCTGGTGTGAGTTGGATGTAGTTTAAATGCTGAAAGCCCAGCCTGAGAAACATAGCGAGACCCCATCTCTACAAAAGATTTTTTTAAATTAGCCAGGTGTGGTGGCACACTCCTGTGGTCCCAGCTAGTCTGGAGGCTGAGGCGGGGGAATCACTTGAGCCCCAGGAGGCGGAGGTTACAGTGAGCTGAGATCATGCCACTGCACTCCAGCCTGGGTAACAGAGCAAGACCCTGTCTCAAAAAATTTTTAATTTCAAAAGATTCACCCCCTAGCTGCAAAAGACATCTTTCTGTCCTACTGGCTTGAACGCAGCTTACAGAAGAAAGGCTTTCTGAGAACCATTCCATCCTACCAAAGGGCCCAGTGCTCCCGGAGTGGAGGGAGCACAGGCTTTTGCCTGACCCAGCCCTCATGAAACGCCCAGCTCTGCTGCTTACTGGCCAGTGCACCTGGTGATGGCTATGAGCTGGCCTCTGTCTTCCTCCCCGAGCAATGGAGAAGCTGGCGGGGTTACTAGGAAGCCCTCCCACAGAGCACACAGAGAAAGGGAAGGCAAACGCCTCCCCTTGTCCATGGTTAACAGTGTCTGTCCTGCACTTGTGCCTCCCAGCGGCCTCGTTCTCAGAAGGCTGACCTGTGGCCCCAGATGTCTGCGATGGGAGGGAGACACTGTGCAAAAGGAAGGCACGTTCACAAAGCCTGGGACGTGCAGAGTACCCCGATGCCTTGGAGGGAGCAGGTCTGGGTGGGACTCAGCTCTGCCCTCAGGCAGGCACCTCAGACTGACCAGATGCCTGGCTCCTGGTGCACCTTGGCAGGAGGCCCACGCTGCCTGGGTCCCTTTTCTGGCGAGGTTAGCACCGCTCACACGCTCACGGCGTTGGCCAGGATTCTCCACTGTAAAGTTCCCATGCTTCCCCTGCGGGAAGGTACTTTGAGACCATGTAACCATCCCGTTGCTCTCCAACTTCACACCCACTCTATTAGTTTCTTATTTTGATTTATTTATTTTTAGTTTTTTTATTTTTTTGAGCAGCAGGGTCTCATTATGTTGCCCAGGCTGCTCTCAAACTCCTGGACTCATGTGATCCACCTGCCTCAACCTTCCAAAGTGCTGGGATTACAGGCATGAGCCACTACTCCTGGCCACATCCATTCTGTTTCCTTTGGCTGCCCTAACAAATCACCACAAGCTGGGTGACTTACAACAACAGAAATTTATTCTTGCACAGCTCTGGCAGTCAGAGTCTAAAAGCAAGGTTTCAGCAGAGCTGTGCTCCCTCCAAAGGCTCGAGGGGAGAATCAGCTCCTCGCCTCTTCCAGCTCCCGGTGGCCCCAGGTGTTTGTGGTTTGCGGCTGCATCGCGCCGTCTTTGCCTCTGTGGTCCCGTGGCACTCCTCGTCAAGTGTCTGTCTCTTCTATCTCTTACAAAAACACATGTCAGCTGGGCATGGTGGATCCCAGCAATTTGGGAGGCCAAGACGGGAGGATCACTCGAGCCGAAGAGTTTGAGACCAGTCTGGTCAATATAACAAGACCCTATCTCTACAAAGAAAAAAAAATGTTTTAAATTAGATAGGCATGATGGTGTGTGTCTCTGGTCAGAACTACTTGGGAGGCTGAGGCAAGGGGATCAGTGGAGCCCAGGAGTTCAAGGCTGGCGGCTGCTGTGAGCTATGATCACACCACTGCACTCCAGGCTGGGTGATAGAGTGAGACACTATCTCTAAAAAATAAAAATAATATGTGTCAGACCAAGTATAGTGGCTCACCAAGTGTAATACCAGCACTTTGAGAAGCCAAGGTGGGCAGATGGCTTGAGCTCAGGTGTTCAAGACCAGCCAGGGTAACAGGGCAAAACCCCATCTCTACCAAACACATAAAAAAATTAGCCAGGCATGGTGGTGTGTGCCTACAGTCCCACCTACTCTGGAGGCTGAGGTGGGAGGATTGCCTGAGCCCAGGAGGTAGAGGTTGCAGCAAGCTGAGATTGCACCACTGTACTCCAGCCTGGGCAACAGAGCAAGACCCCATATCAAAAAAAAAAAAAAAAAAGAAAGAAAAAAGAAAAAGAAAAAGAAAAAAGAATAGGTGTCATTGGATTTAGGGCCACCAGTTATCCAGGATGACCTTATCTCAAGATCACTAACTTAAACACATTTACAAAGATTTTTTTTCCAAATAAGGCTGCTTTCACGAGGGCCTTATTAGGTGGTGGACATTTCTTTCCATTCAACCCCTGAGGCCCACTCACTGTGGCATTCGTTGATGATTCTTGCCTGAACTCATCATCATGATGATTTGCCAAGTGCCAAAGATTGCTTTCTAATTCCATCTCACCTTCCCAGCTGCTCATTAGCATCCTACTGTCCCTCTCCACATTTTTAAATTGATTTACACCAGTGGGCTTTCTTCTTCTTTTTTTTTTTTTTTTTTTCTATTTTTTGGGCTGGGGGTCTCACTATGCTGCCCCTCCTAGGCTCAGTGATCTTCCCGCCTCGGCCTCCTGAAGGGCTATAGGCAAGAGCCCCACGCCCGGCCCTTTTTCTTTCTTTTCTTTTTTCTTTTCTTTTCTTTTTTCTTTCCTTCCTTCCTTCCTTCCTTTCTTTTTTTCTCTTTCTTTCTTTCCTTTCTTTCTTTTTCTTTTTTTTAAGACTGGATTTCGGCTGGGCACAGTGGCTCACACCTGTAATCCCAGCACTTTGGGACACCAAGGCGGGCAGATCACCTGAGGTCAGGAATTCAAGACCAGCCTGGCCAACATGGCAAAACCCCATCTCTACTAAAAATACAAAACATTAGCCAGGGATGGGGGCGCACACCTGTAGTCCCAGCTACTTGGGAAACTGAGGGATGAGAATCACTTGAACCTGGGTGGGGGGCAGAAGTTGCAGTGAGCTGAGATTGCACCACTGCACTCCAGCCTGGGTAACAGACCAAGACTCAGTCTCAAAAAAAAAAAAAAAAAAAAAAAAAAAGAGGCCCCCCCGCCAACAAAAAAAAAGAGACTGGATCTTGCCTGTCACTCAGGCTGGAGTGCACTGGCAGGATCATAGCTCACTGCAACCTCAAACTCCTAGGCTCCAGTAATCCTCCCTCCTCAGCCTCCCACAGAGCAGGAATCACAGGCGTGCACCACTGCATCAGGCTCCCCCTTTTGTTTTTCTAAGTCATTCATTTTTGTTGTATTTTATAAAAGTCTTGGTGAGTGACAGACTGAAAATAAACAGAACTGAACCCCCACCCCTGATAGATGGCCAAGTGCTGGTCATGGATACTTGTGGGGTGGGGGTGCAGTCATCCTCAGGGTCCCCCATATTTAATTCCTGAAACCTGCATGTCTGAATTTCAACTCTAGGTAGATGGAGTTTATTGAGTGCCTACTGTGTACCTGCGAATTACCACCTCCCTCCCGGCCCCTTCCACTCCTCACTGATTCATCAAATGGGCTCCTACCTGGTCTCCACCCACCCTCTGCCTGAGAGCCGTGATCTGAAAACAAAAACCCGAAACTCTCCAGTAGCTTCCCAGTGCTCTCGGAACTAAGTCCAAACCCCACACCTCAGCCCGCAAGGCGCTGCCTGACCAAGGCCTGCCCGTTGTCTGGCCTCATCCCCACCATTGGCTCTTTGTGCTGCCAGCCCAGTCACCCAGGCCTTCCATCTGCTTCTGACACGCACGGGCCAGGCCTTGTCCCCATCATACCTTTGCATATACTGTTCCCTCTGCCAGGAATGCTTTTCCAACACCCTTCCCATGGCAGGTCTGTGTCATCCTTCAAGTGTCCGCTCTAATGATGCCTCTTCCAGGCAGCCCAGACAGCCTGGTCTACAGTACCCATCCCCCACTAGCATTCTCTCTATTTCCTTCCCAGAACTGTTTGGGAATTGTAAATCTCTAGGCAGGGCAGGAGCTCAGATAGGATTTTCATTTATTATGCAAATGTGTCTGCCTTTCCCTGATGGCCCAAGGATTCTCTAGCTTTTCCCAGTAGAGACTGAAAGGATGGGACCGCTGAGTTCCAGCTTGGGATGCACACAGTTCATCCGAGGCAGGGAGGCTTCCTGAGCAGGGAGGCTTGGTAGTCAGTATTCCAATGGAAGTGACATGAGGAGGGGCTGGCTGGGATCCCGGCTCCCACTCACCATTTGATGATCCCATCTGGGAAAGGAGAGCACAATGGTGCCTTGCCTGGAGAGGAGTCACTGCAAGGATTCATGGTAGTAGGGCCAAAGGGCAAAGGGCATCAGTGGCTCCAGCACTAGTGGCCACCATCATCACTGGACAGTCACCTCCATGGCAGGGACCAGGTCTATTCTGTTCATCACCATGTGCTATAAATGAGCCAGCACATAGTAAAGGATCAATAAATACCTTATACATGAAGGGCTGGTAAGGTGGAGGACGCAGAAACTTACTAAAAGGTGATTTCAAACCTCCAGGATCAGTCAGGATGCCCGTGCGTGCTTTGCTGTGAACAGAGCAAGGGTGAAGCCTTGTCACAGGGCACACTGGAAAGCAGGAGGGAGGGGCTGATATGGGCAAAAGACATTTCAGCTGGCCAGCCACAGTGGGTCACGCCTGTAATCCCAGCACTTTGGGAGGCTGAGGAGGGGGAACACTTGAGAGCAGGAGTTCAAGACCAGCCTGGCCAACATGGTGAAACCCCGTCTCTACTAAAAATACAAAAATTAGCTGGACATGGTGGCAGTGCCTGTAATCCCAGCTACTTGGGAGGCCGAGGCAGGAGAATCGCTTGAACCTAGGAGGCGGAGGTTGCAGCGAGCCAAGGTCGCGCCACTGCACTCCAGCCTGGGCAACAAGAGTGAAACTCCATCTCCAAAAATAAAAAAGAGACGCAGTCTTTCCATGTTGCCCAGGCTGGTCTTGAACTCCTGGACTCAGGTGATCTTCCCGCCTAGGCCTCCCAAAATGCTGGGATTACAGGCTTGAGCCATTGTGCCCAGCCCTGACTTTTAATCTTTTTGTTTTTTTAAAAAACAACTTTATTAGCCAGGCGTGGTGGTACACACCCATAATCCAGCACTTTGGGAGGCCAAGGCAGGTGGATCGCTTGAGTTCAGGAGCTTGAGATCAGCCTGGGCAACACGGCAAAACCTCATCTCTACAAAAAATTAGCCGCTACAAAAATCAGCCGGGCCTGGTGGCAGGTGCCTGGAATCCCAGCTACTCGGGAGGCTGAGGCAAAGAATCACTTGAACCTGGGAGGCAGAGGCTGCAGTGAGCCGAGATTGTGCCACTTCACTCCAGCCTGGGTGACAGAATGAGACTCTGTCTCCAAAAAAAAAAAAAATTAGCCGGGCATGGTGGCACACTCCTGTGGTCCCAGCTACTCTGGAGGCTGAGGCAGGCTTAAACCTGGAAGGTGGAGGTTGCAGTGAGCTGAGATTGCACCACTGCACTCCAGCCTGGATGACAGAGGATTACAGAGTGAGACCACATCTCAAAAATAAAAAAAAAATAAACTTTTTTGATGTATAATTTACATATCACAAAATTCACCCATTGTTAATGCACAATTCTGTGACTTTTAATATTTTTTGCATATGCATAATCATTATCATAATCCCATTTTTAAATATTTATATCACCCCTGGCAGGGCGTGGTGGCTCACGCCTGTAATCCCAGCACTTTGAGAAGCCGAGGCAGGTCAGGACTTGGAGACTAGCCTGGCCAACATGGTGAAACCCCGTCTCTACTAAAAATACAAAAATTAGCCAGGCGTGGTGGTGGGTGCCTGTAGTCCCAGCTCCTTGGGAGGCTGAGGCAGGAGCATTGCTTGAACCTGGGAGGCGGAAGTTGCAGTGAGCAGAGATCATGCCAATGCACTCCAGCCTGGACGACAGAGCAGGCTGTCTCAAAAGACTCTGTCTCAAAAAAAAAAAAAAAAATTCCATCACCCAAAAAGTTTTTTCGAGTGCTATAGTTTTAAAGCCATTCCCTTTACATTCTGATACCCGAGAGTAAACCTTGAAATCCTCCAAGGCAAAAATGTTCTCCTGAGAGACCCAAGTTAGCTCCTATTTCCATCCTTGGGAGACAGCTCTTTGGGTAGGGTGCTATTTAATTGGCATAATGGGTACTATTTAATTTGCATACTGGGCCCCCTTGCCCCATGAGATAAATAGAGGGATGGCTGGGAGGCCCCAGAGAGACAGTGCCTGGTGATCTGGCAGAGACTATTTTATCATCTCCAAGTAAAAAATGGAGAAAAAATTTGAGACTCCAAAGAGATTCCACCTAAGACGGGGGGTCATCACTCATTGAAAAAATAACATAAACCTGGTTTTGGGGATCTTTTTTCTAGTCTCTGATGTGTCAACCAAAGCCAGTTTTTCTCAGCCTGTCAGGCTCTGGTCTCTTGAGATGTTGAATGCAATTGTGGGAAGGAGGAGGAATTGAGTGATGTCTTCAAACATATTTGAGTAACACTTGGATAAGCAAAACTGTCTTGAGTGCAGAATTTCTCAGAGCCCTCCATGTGCTGGGAAAGACTAGGAACCCCCAAAAGGGAGCTGCTGGACCAGGCAAGTCATTTTTCAGGGAAGATGGAATTGGTACCCACAGAACACCTCTCATGTCTGAGGCCTCTGGAACACAGTTACATAAGAAATAGTAGCAAAGACTCCACGTGTACAATGCCTGTTTCAAAGGCTGAGCTTGGGGCTTTGTGCTGGGTATGTCTTTAGATGACATAGCAGCCCTAGATTTTTTGTTTGTTTGTTTTTTGAGACAGAGTTTCGCCCTCGTCACCCAGGCTGGAGTGCAGTGGCGCAATCTCAGCTCACTGCAACCTCTGCCTCCAGGGTTCAAGCGATTCTCCTGCCTCAGTCTCCCAAGTAGCTGGGATTACACGCATGCACCACCACGCCTGGTCAATTTTGTATTTTTATTTTTATTTATTTATTTATTGAGACGGAGTCTCACTCTTTCACCCAGGCTGGAGTACAGTGGTGCAATCTTGGCTCACTGCAACCTTCATCTCCCAGGTTCAAGCGATTCTCCTGCCTCAGCCTCCCAAGTAGCTGGGATTATAGGCATGTGCCACCACGCCTGGCCAATTTTGTATTTTTATTTTTCTTTGTGTTTATTTATTTATTGAGACGGAGTCTCACTCTTTCACCCAGGCTGGAGTGCAGTGGTGCAATCTTGGCTCACTGCAACCTCCGTCTCTCAGGTTCAAGGGATTCTTCTGCATTAGCTTCCTGAGTGGCTGGGATTACAGGTATGTGCCACCACACCTGGCTAATTTTTGTACTTTTAGTAGAGATAGGTTTTTGCCATGTTGGCCAGGCTGGTCTTGAACTACTGACCTCAGGTGATCCACCCTCCTCAGCTTCCTAAAGTGGTGGGATTACAGGCATAGCCACCGCGCCCGGCCGCAGCCCTGTTTCATAGAAGGTGATGGTCTGAAACTGGAACACCGTGGCCACCACACTAAACCGTCTCCTTTGTGAGGCCATTCCTCTCAGGAGCAGGCACACAGCAAGTGCTCAAAAATTAGCAAGCACTGGCCAGGTGCAGTGGCTCACACCTGTAATCCCAGCACTTTGGAAGGCAGAGGCAGGAAGATTGCTTGAGCTCAGGAGTCTGAGAACAGCCTGGGCAACACAGCCAGACCCTATCTCTACAAAAAAATGAAAAACCAATTAGCAGGGAATGGTGGTGTGTGCCTGTGGTCCCAGCTACTCAGGAAGATAAGGCAGGAGGATCATTTGAGCCCAGCAGGTCGAGGCTACAGTGAGCATTGATTGTGCCACTACACTCCAGCCTGGGTGACAGAACGAGACCCCACCTCAAAAAAAAAGAAAAATTAGTAAGTACTGATTTCAGTGGAAGAACAAACTATCACAGACAGACTCATCCAGCTTAGCATTTGGAAACGTGCCTAATTCTGGTTAAATAAGATGGTTTGGCCAGGCACAGTGGCTCAAGCCTGTAATCCCAGCACTTTGGGAGGTGGAGGCGGAGGGATCACCTGAGGTCAAGAGTTCGAGACCGGCCTGGCCAACATGGTGAAACTCTGTCTCTACTAAACATACAAAAAAATTAGCTGGGCATGGTGGTAGGCACCTGTAATACCAGCTACTTGGGAGGCTAAGGCAGGAGAATTGCTTGAACTTGGGAGGCAGAGGTTTCAGTGAGCTGAGATCATGCCATTGTACTCCAGCCTGGGCAACAAGAGTGAAACTCCATCTCAAAAAAAAAAAAAAAAAAAAAAAAAAAAAAAAAAAGATGGTTTATGCATATAATGAAATACACAGCAACAAAAAAAATGAGACATTTCTTTATAGGTTGACATGGAAAGATTTTAAGATATGTCCTTAAGCAAACAAACAAAATGTATGCACAGCTGGCTTCCACTTAGATGTCTCACAGGCAACTTAATTTATCCAAAGGGCAGCATGTTCTCTTCTTTCATAAACAGCTCTTTTGTTATTGTTGTTTGCTTTTTGTGTTTTGTTTTTGAGACAGGCTGTCACTCTGTTGCCCAGGCTGGAGTGCAGTGGCTCAATCACGGCTCACTGCAGCCTTGACTTCCTGGGCTCAAGGGATCCTCCCACCTGAGACTCCCAAGTAGCTGAGACTACAGGCGCTCACCACCATGCCTGGCTAATTTTTGT
The DNA here is from genome assembly GCF_000001405.40 of Homo sapiens. Lineage (NCBI taxonomy): Eukaryota > Metazoa > Chordata > Mammalia > Primates > Hominidae > Homo > Homo sapiens. The sequence continues at coordinate 56,668,875 of NC_000020.11, read as the reverse complement.
ATTATTTGTAGAGCCTATGTTGCCTAGGCTGGTCTCGAACTCCTGAGCTCAAACTCTAGCCTCAGCTTCCCAAAGTCCTGGGATTATAGGCGTGAGCCACCATGCCCAGTCCCAAACAGCCCTTCTGATACCCAGTCAGCCTGCCAGATGCCCAGAGCAAAAACCCTGGAGCCAGCCTGGACTCTTCTTGTTCTCTTGTTCCTATTTTTCAGCAAATCCTCTTGGCTTTACCTACAAAATATATCCCAACTCTGACGGACCAATTTTCACCTTCTCCTCTACTCTTGTGTTGGCACAAGTGTATTCATTTCCTGGGGCTGCTGTAACAAATTGTCCAAAATTGATGGCTTAAAACAACAGAATCTTTTTCACTCAGGGTTCTGGAGGCTAGAGGTCTGAAATAAAGGTATGGGCGGGGCTGCTTTCCCTCTGAAGGCTCTGGGGGAGGGCCCTTCCTGGCTTCTTCCAGCTTCTGGTGCTTCTGCCAGGAACACCAGTTCCTGGGCATCACTGCCATCTCTGGCTCTGTCTTCACATCCCCTCTCTCTGTGTATCTTTCTGTGGCTTCCCCTTTTTATGAGGATATCAGTCATTTAGGGTGGGTCCTAAGTCCAGGATAATTTCATCTTGAGATCTTTAGCTACATCTGCAAAGACTCTAAGACCAAACAAGGTCACATTCTGAGATACCAGGTGGACATAAATTTGGGAGAAAAACTATTGAACCCAGCACACCAACTCACCACCATCTTTTGTTTGATGATTTCTCTAGCCTCCAACTGTCTTGAGTTTCTGACCTTGACCCCCTACAGTCAATGTACAAGACAGTAGCCAAAGTGATCCTGGTGAAAATGTCAGGTCTCATCCCTGTTGTCCCAACCTTCAAAGGTCCCCACCTCATCTGGAGCAAAAGGCAGACTTCTTCCCAGGGGCCATGAGGTCCCACAGCCCTCCTAGTCCCTGCTTTGCAGCCTCAGCTATCCCAGCTGTTCCTCCAATCTGTTGGGCACGGTCCCCATCTCCAGGCCTTTGCACTTTGTACCCTTTTCCTAGACTTCTGTTTCTTCTACACTTGCTCCCTCCCCTCCCCTCCCCTCCATGAAACTTTCCGAAGCCCCAGAAATGCACATTCCTGCCCCTTTTAATTTTTTCTCCAAAGCACTTCTCACCCTGGGAACACTCAGTGCATTTTACACGTCCGTTGTGTGAGCTGTCTGGGTCCTCACCAGGATGAACCGCCTGAGGGCCAATCTCTTTCTGCTGTGTCCTCAGCACCCAGAACAGTGTCTGGCACACAACAGACACTCTATTGAGTTTTAAATTTTTTTAATATATTAAATTTTAAAAATACACGGAACGCTTCATGAATTTGCATGTCGTCCTTGCACAGGGAACATACTGATCTCTATTGTTCCAATGTTAGTATATGTGCTGCTGAAGCGAACACAGAGTTTAAAGAGGTGTTCAATGACTACATGAATGTACTCATGCTAGGAAACAAAATAGAGGGTGCCCGGAGCCTGAAGCCCACCACTAAAGATAGTTGGGGAGAGGGCAAGAGTGGCCCACCGACATTCCGTATGTTTTTAAAGTGTATTCATTGCCATAGGGATATTTTTCCATCTATCAGACTGTCAAGAATGCAGAATACTAGCCAGAGGCCAGGCGCAGTGGCTCACGTCTGTATTCCCAGCACTTTAGGAGGCTGAGGCAGGTGGATCATTTGAGGTCAGGAGTTCGAGACCAGCCTGACCAACATGGTGAAACCCCATCTCTACAAAAAAATACAAAAAAAGTAGCCGGATGTGGTGATGCATGCCTGTAGTCCCAGTTATTCGGGAGGCTGAGGCAGGAGCATCACTTGAACCCAGGAGGCAGAGGTTGCAGTGAGCCGAGATCGCACCACTGCACACAAGCCTGGGTGACAGAGTGAGACTCTGCCTCCAAACAAAAACAAAAACAGAATACTGGCCAAGTGCTGTGGCTCATGCCTGTAATCCCAGCACTTTGGGAGGCCGAGGTGGGTGGATTGCTTGAGCCCAGGAGTTTGAGACCACCCAGGGCAACATGATGAAAGCCCATCTCTACAAAAAAATTAGCCAGGCATGGTATTGCACACCTGTAGTCCCAGCTACTTGGGAGGCTAAGGTGGGAGGATCACCTGAGCCCTGGAGGTAGAGGTTGCAGTGAGCTGAGTTCACGCCACTGCACTCCAGCCTAGGCAACAGAGGGAGACTCTGTCTCAAAAAAAAAAAAAAAAATTAAATTAAGAAAAATTTTTAAAGGATTTAGAATGATAAAATTAAGAATATATTAATCTAACTTGGCAAGAGCTGGAGACCCAGCCCTTGTGTGGGGCTGCTGGAAGGGCTTCTGGGGTCAGTGTCTCTGGGGGCCAACATGCTGTGTGGGATGAACAAAAGCCTTAGTTCTGTTCAACTAAGGCCCCTCTTGGGCTGTCAGTGACATGTCTAAGATTCTTTCCTTTTTTTTTTTTGAGACAGAGTCTCGCTCTAACACCAGGCTAAAGTGCAGCGGCATAATCTCAGCTCACTGCAACCTCCGCCTCCTGGGTTCAAGTGATTCTCCTGCCTCAGCCTCCCAAGGAGCTGGGATTACAGGCAAGCACCACCACGCCCAGCTAATTTTTGTATTTTTAGTAAAGAAGGGGTTTCACCATGTTGGCCAGGATGGCGTCAATCTCCTGACCTCGTGATCCACCCACCTCGGCCTCCCAAAGTGCTGGGATTATAGGCGTGAGCCACCACGCCCAGCATACCCAAGATTCTTAATTTGTCTTTAGTATCTTGGTCACAAAGTGACTCCCTCTGGTTGGGTCTCATTTTTGTAAACTCTCCCTGGAGGCTCCAATTCCATTTCCAGGAGTCAGAGGGCGGCCGTTGGGACCCCATCGCAGCTAGGGAACCATGGGGCTCCTGAACTGCAGTTACTAGACAGATGATGACAGTACTTCCCTGGAGGCCTATTTGGAGGATTAAAATGTAATAATGGTCGGGCACGGTGGCTCGTGCCTGTAATCCCAACACTTTGGGAGCCTGAGGCAGGCGGATAATTTGAGGTCAGGAGTTCGAGACCAGTCTGGCCAACACAATGAAACCCCGTCTCTACTAAAAATACAAAAATTAGCCAGACATGGTAGCAGGCACTTGTAATCCCAGCTACTTGGGAGGCTGAGGCAGGAGAATCACTTGAACCCAAGAGGCAAAGGTCATAGTGAGCTGAGATCATGCCACAGCACTCCAGCCTGGGCGACAGAGTGAGACTCGGTCTCAAAAAAAAAAAAAGTAATAATGGATGTAAAACATTTGGCCTGGACCCTGGTGCATACTAAGTGCTTAATAAACAATATCTGGGCTGGGAGCAAGTGGTTCACGCCTATAATCCTAGCACTTTGGGAAGCTGAGGCGGGCGGATCACCTGAGGTCAGGAGTTCGAGACCAGCCTGACCAACATGGTGAAACCCCGTCTCTACTAAAAATATAAAAATTAGCTGGGCATGGTGGTGCATGCCTGTAATCCCAGCTACTCGAGAGGCTGACGCAGGGGAATCATTTGAACCCAGGAGGTGGAGGTTGCAGTGAGCCAAGACTGTGCCACTACACTCCAGCCTGGGCAACAGAGTGAGACTCTGTCTCAAAAAAAAAACAAAATAAAATCTGTTGTTATGTTAATCCTTTTAAATAATTATTTAAATGGCATAATTTGCCATTTAAACTTTTTTTTCCCCAAATCAACTGCTTGGCTAATGACCTCCAAGGTTCCTGTCAATGTTGACAGTCAATAAAGCTCTAATGAGCCTCACCCTTGGGCACAGCCCTGTCCTACCTCCTCTGATTACTTTAACTTGAGGAATTTTTATTGTGAGCTAGACAATGCCAGCCCCACCCAGAATGCAGCTTCCCCCATCCCCTGTCCTGGTGTGTCAGGGGCAAGTGGAGGTCCCAGTCTTCAGAGCCACCATAAAACCCATCCATCGTAGGCTTTGGAGCTCCAAGACAGGCCAGCTCCAGGGAAGCACCAGCCACAGGGCCCTGCCTGAACAACTTGGGACCCATCTAAATGACACCAAGAGCATCTCCCATGGAAATTTCCTTCCCTAGGCCTCCCTGCATGGTCTTACTTGCACACAGCTGGTTTATTGAGCCTTTTCTGACTTGGTAAACTTTGCTGAGGCCCAATCCTGGGAGTTTTACATCATCCCCTCTTGATTCCTCACCCTGCTCCTGAGCCCATCCAACTCATCAGCAAGTTCTGTCAGCTCCGCCTTCAAAATACTTCCCAGGTCTTTCTGGCCCTCCATCATGGCTCCTACCAGCCAATGAGCCACCATCTCTTGCCTCAGCGCCTGTGTGGCTTCCTACCAGGCTCCCGGCTTCCACTCTTACCCACAGTGGTTCATTCTCCATGCAAAGTGGTTTTTTAAAATGAAAGCCATGGCCAGGCGTGGTGGCTCACGCCTGTAATCCTAGCACTTTGGGAGACCGAGGTGGGCAGATCACCTGACATCAGGAGTTTGAGACCAGCCTGGCCAACATGGCGAAACCCCGTCTCTACTAAAAATACAAAAATTAGCAGCGCATGGTGACCTGAGCCTGTAATCCCAGCTACTTGGGAGGCTGAGGCACAAGAATCACTTGAACCCGGGAGACAGAGGTTGCAGTGAGCCGAGATTGCACCACTGCACTCCAGCCTAGGTGACAGAGTGAGACTCCATCTCCACAGAAATAAAAATAACACATAAATGAATATGAACGCCAGTCATGTCTCTCCCTGCTTGTAACTCTGCAATGGCTTCCTACAACATCAAGAGTAGAATTTCAATCCCGTTGTAGGGCCCAGAAGACTCCAACTCCCTCCGGCCCCATCCCAGTCTACTCTTCCTCCAGCCTCCAGGCCTTCTGCTCCCTGAACTTGTCCTTGATAGCCCTTCTGTCACCAGCTCTGCACCAAGGGCTCTGCTCAGCCACCAGCCCAGGTGTTGTCTCCTGGAGAGAACTCCCTGAACACCCGTGGAAAGCAGCACCTCAACCAGGCACGGTGGCGCACGCCCATAATCCCAACACTTTGGGAGGCTGAGCTAGGCAGATCACTTGAGCCCAGGAAGTCAAGATCGGCCTGGGCAATACAGCAAGACCCCATCTCTACAAAAAAATAAAAAATAAAAAAATTAGCTAGGCGTGGTGGTGCACGCCTGTGGTCCCAGCTACTCGGGAGGCTGAGGTGGGGGGATCACTTGAGCCTGGGTGGTTGAGGCTGCAGTGAGCTATGATTGAGCCACTGCACTCCACTCTTGTCTGGGTAACAGACTCTGTCTCAAAAAAAGAAAGAAAGCAGCACTTCCAGCAGGCCCATTCATGCACACGAGGGTGTGAACAGGGCCCCAGGATGAGGGCAACACAGTGGGGTTCATTCACTAAAGTGAAATGCAATTTGGCTTTTAGGGGTCCATCCATAAGGTACTCTGTGAAACCAACCACCTGAGCAAGCAGCTCCATTTATTTATTTATTTATTTATTTATTTATTTATTTATTTATTGAGATGGAGTTTCACTCTGTCACCCATGCTGGAGTGCAGTGTTGCAATCTCAGCTCACTGCAACCTCTGCCTGCCAGTTTCAAGCAATTCCCCCTGCTTCAGCCTCCCGAGTAGTTGGGATTACAGGCATCTGCCACCACACCCGGCTAATTTCTGTATTTTTTAATAGAGATAAGGTTTTGCCATGTTGGCCAGGCTGGTGTTGAACTCCTGACCTCAGGTGATCTCCCTGCCTCTGCCTCCCAAAGTGCTGGGATTACAGGTGTGAGCCACCATGCCCAACCAGCTTATTTATTTATTTATTTATGAGACAGAGTCTCGCTCTGTCTCCCAGGCTGGAGTGCAGTGGAGCAATCTCAGCTCGCTGCAACCTCCCACTCCTGGGTTCAAGCAATTCTCCTGCCTCAGCCTCTCGAGGTAGCTGGGATTACAGGCGCCTGCCACCACGCCTGGCTAGTTTTTGTATTTTTAGCACAGATGGGGTTTCACCATGTTGGCCAGGCTGGTCTTGAACTCCTGACCACAAATTATCCACCCATCTCAGCCTCCTAAAGTGTTGGGATTACAGGCATGAGCCACTGCGCCCAGCCCAGCAGCTCCTTTATAACAGCAGGGGACAAGAAACATCACAAACCCTGTAAGGAAAAGATGAGTTATATGTGTGTCACCCTCCAGACACACAGCCGAGGACACCTTCAAAACAAGTCAGCTCTATTTGAATGGAAAGGAGCCATCCACGTGAAAACTCCAGTGAAGAGAGTGAGGTGCCAGGTGGTGTGTACCATACGCCGCTATTTGGGTTAAAAAAGTAAATACATGCAGTTGTGTGTATGTGCCTAAAATAGCTTTGCACACACCTAATTGATAATGAGGTTTGTCTCCAGCCAGGGAAGCGGGTGGCCTGGGGGCAAGTGTGGGAGGGAAACGCACTCCTCTCCGTGGTGCCATTTGCTGCATTTGTTTCTTTGTTTGTTTGTTTGTTTTTTGAGACAGAGTCTTGCTCTGTCGCCCAGCCTGGGTGACAGAGAAAGACTCCAACTAAAAAAATTAATAAATACAAAATAAATAAATTTAAAAACTTTTTTTTCTTAAAAAGATTCATTCGGCCAGGCGCGGTGGCTCACACCTGTAATCCCAGCATTTGGGAGGCCGAGGCAGGCAGATCACGAGGTCAGGAGTTCAAGACCAGCCTGGCCAAGATGGTGAAACCCCCATCTCTACTGAAAATACAAAAATTAGCCAGGTGTGGTGGCAGGTACCTGTAATCCCAGCTACTCGGGAGGCTGAGGCAGGGAATTGCTTGAACCCAGAAGGCACAGGTTGCAGTGAGCCAAGATCATGCCACTGCACTCCAGCCTGAGTGACAGAGCACGACTCTGTCTCAGAAAAAAAAAAAATGTCTATAACAGTGGCTGGCACATGCCAAGTGCTCAAGAATGTAAGCTCTTCCATTCGAGGGCACCATAGCTTATGGCAGGCATCATAGCTTATAGCTGGCATTGAGCTCACTGTTTAAACACGACCCCTGGAAGTAGCCAGGTCTACTCTTGAAGCTGACTCTGCCCTATACCAGCTGGATGAGCTTCGACAACTCGCTGACCTCTGGCCAAGCCTCCAGTGCCTCATCTGTGAAATGGGCTAACATAGGGTTACTGGGAGAATTAAATGACATAATGCAGGTATGTTTTCTGTTCTTCTGTAGATTCTCTTGTAATAGCACTGATGGTTATTTTTTAGTGTTTTAACTCTACCTGATTTCTCTAGGTTTGAAAGCAGGTTTCATTTTGACCACACACGATTAAAACCTTCAAAGCGGATGAAATGATACACGGTGAGTCCCGGCCTGGTGGCTCCCGTGTGTCATCTCAGCACTTTGGGAGGCCAAGGTGGGAGGATTGCTTGAACCCAGGAGTTTGAGACCAGCCTGGGCAACACAGTGAGACTCCATCTCAAAATATGTAAAAAAAATAAATTTAATTTAAAAAAGTAAAAGAGACAAAGTGAAAGGTCAGCCTGCCTGTCATCCATGACCCTCTGCCCCCAGTCTCAGTCCCACATTCCCGCCCCGGAGGTAACCTCTTAGTGGGTGATTGTCTAGCCTCCTTAAAGATATTGTAAGTAGAAATAGGCATGTTACCTGCAGTACTTTTTTTTTTTTTGAGACTGAGTCTCACTCTGTCGCCCAGGCTGGAGTGCAGTGGCGCGATCTCAGCTCACTGCAACCTCCGCCTCCTGGGCTCAAGCATTTCTCCACCTTAGCCTCCCGAGTAGCTAGGATTACAGGTGTGCACTAGCATGCCGGGCTAATCTTTTGTATTTTTTTATTTTTTAGTAGAGATGGGGTTTCACCGTGTTAGCCAGGATGGTCTCAATCTCCTGACCTTGTGATCCGCCCGCCTCAGCCTCCCAAAGTGCTGGGATTACAGGCTTGAGCCACCACGCCCGGCCTACCTGCAGTACTTTTGTCAAAAATAAAGACATTGGCCAGGCACGGTGGCTCACTCCTGTAATCCCAGCACTTTGGAAGGCGGAGGTGGGAGGATTACTTTTTGCTCAGGAGTTCAAGACCAGCCTGGCCAACATGGTGAAACCCCATCTCTACTAAAAATACAGCCAGGTGTGGTGGTGCTTGCCTGTAATCCCAGGAACTCAGGAGGCTGAGGCACAAGAATTACTTGAACCCAGGAGGCGGAGGTTGCAGTGAGCCGAGATTGCACCACTGCACTCCAGCCTGGGTGACAGAGCGAGACTCTACCTTGAAAAAAAAAAAACAAATAAACATGTTAAAAAGTAAAACAATTAAATGATATTGTGACACCTTAAGTCATTCTGTCATTGGCTAGAATTAGTTAGCATCAACAAATAGAAAAAACAATAAATTAAAAAGAAAGAGTTGAGAAAATTCTGCCTTCTTGAAGATTTTCTTAAATGGTTGGTGCTTTCCACCACTGAATTTTTTTTCTGTCTTGTGGGAGAAGACTACTCATGGATATTAGCGGTAGAATAGTGTCTTCTGCTTGCAGAAAATTAGTATTCCTGGGCCTAAGAAGAAAAGAAACAGGAGAGAATGAAGCCCCCCATGGCTCAGAGTGCGGTGGGTGCTGTGGGGAAGGGGCGGTTCCCTCCAAGTGGGCTGAGGACAAGAGCAGGGATGGGAGGAGGCTCTGGGCCAGGGGCTGTCACACCTGTATAAGGACACCCTTCACCTCACAAGGCCCCTCCCTTTCTCCTTTTATCTCCCAGCTGGAAAAGTAAAGGGAAGAAATACAGGAACTCCTGCAAGTTTACCTGAATCTACTGCAACATTGATCGGATGGAAATCAAGCTGAAAAACCCTATGGAAAATTGCCTCACGTGAGAAACCACAGCACCAAATCCAAACTTACAAAACAATTGCGGCCGGCGATGGCTCACACCTGTAATCCCAGCACTTTGGGAGGCTAAGGCATACGGATTACCTGAGGTCAGGAGTTTGAGACCAGCTTGGCTAACATGGTGAAACCCCGTCTCTACTAAAAATACAAAAATTAGCCAGGTGTGGTGGTGGACACCTGTAATCCCAGCTACTTGGGAGGCTGAGGCAGGAGAATCGCTTGAACCTGGGAGGCGGAGGTTGCAGTGAGCCAAAATGGCGCCACTGTAGTCCAGCCTGGGCAACAGAGCAAGACTCCATCTCAAAAAAAAAAAAAAAAAATTGCATCAGGGTGCAGCTGTTTTCCTCTCCCAGAATCTTTGCACAGGCTACCTTTATTCATTATATAAACATTACGTGAATTCTTTTTTTAATTATGAAAGTAACATGTATTTGTTTTTTAAATTCTTAGGCTATATAAAATAATATCAGTAAAAAGTGATGTGGTAATCCACCATGCAAAGTCAATTCTGTTCATGGGGCCAGGCACAGTGACTCACACCTGTAATCCTAACACTTCAGGAGGCTGAGGTGGGTGGATCACCTGAAGTCAAGAGTTTGAGACTGGCCTGGCCAACATGGCGAAAACCCATCTCTACTAAAAATACAAAAATTAGCCAGGCGTGGTGGCAGGCAACTATAATCCCAGATACTCGGGAGGCTGAGATAAGAGAATCGCTTGAACCCAGGAACTGGAGGTTGCAGTGAGTGGAGATCATGCCACTGCACTCCAGCCTGAGCAACAGAGTGAGACTCCATCTCAAAAAAAAAAAAAAAAAAAGAAAAAGAAAAAGTCCGGGTGCAGTGGCTCACACCTGTAATCCCAGCACTTTGGGAGGCTGAGGCGGGTGGATCACTTGAGGTTAGGAGTTGGAGACCAGCCTGGCCAACATGGTGAAACACCGTCTCTACTAAAAATACAAAAAAATTAGCCAGGCATGGTGGTGCTCGCCTATAATCCCAGTTACTTGGGAGGCTGAGGCAGGATAATCATTTGAATCCCGAAGGCGGAGGTTGCAATAAGCCGAAATCATGCCACTGTACTCCAGCCCAGGTGACAGAGCGAGACTTTGTCTCAAAAAAAAAAAAAAAAAAAAAATTAGCTGGGCGTGGTGGTGTGCACCTGTAGTCCCAGCTACTGGGGAGGCTGCGCCAAGAGAATCACTTGAACTCGGGAGGTGGAGGTTGCAGTAAGCCGAGATTGCACCACTGCACTCCAGCCTGGGTGACAGAGTCAGACTCTGTCTCAAAAAAAAAAAAAAAAGCCTCCAGATTTTTTTCTGTGTTTGTGACAGCATTTCTCAACCTCTGGACTGACATTTGAGGTTGGATAATTCTTTGTTGTGGGGAGATGTCCTGTGCATGGGTGGATGGGTAGCATCTCCCTATTACTTAATAGTTGCAGCCCCCAACCTCCACCCCTCACCAAAGTTATGACATTGCCAAATGTCATCTAGGGGGAAATTCCATCCTCTCTCAGAGCCCTCATGCTCAAAAGTTGACTTCCTCCTGGTTCATGAAATAGGAACAATTGGGTCAAGCTGTGGGTAAACTGCCCCCACCCCCCAACCCCCACCCTTCTCCCAAGGGGAGATAGAAGAGAAAGAGGTGAATTGGTGGGAAGAGGACTGGGGCCTATGAACAGAGTAATGACACAGTTCCTTGCTGCCATTATCACCATCTTCATTTTGGAAGAAATCCATCGGCCCCACCATATCCTCCTCCAAGGCATTTGACCAAAGAGGCTGGCCAGCCATCCTGACTGAAGGAACATAAATTGGCGGCTCTCCCTCTGTCATCACCAAGACCCAGGAGAACTGCCGAGTGCCAGAAGCTGCTATAAATAGTTTACAACCGCTTGAAAAGTGCTAGAGGTGTCTCCCGTCCACCTGGCAGCAAGTTCCATCAGGTCCATCCGCAAAACATGCTGGCACCCGGCTCCCCTCTGCCACTCCAGCCTACCCCCCAACCTCCTTGGATCACTACCGGAGCCTCGTAAACTGGCCTCCCTGCCTCCACACTAACCTATTTCTCCCACAGCAGAGGGAATTGTCTGTTTAAAAGCCAAGTTAGATTTTATTTTTTCCTTGCTTAAAACCAAACGTCAACTAGAATAAAATCTAAGCCTCATGCGTTGACTCTGAGCACACTGTGTCTCCTGGGCTTCCCCACCTCTCATGCCTTGCTATAATTCTGGCCTTGTCTCTATTCCTGAGCATCTTTCCTCCCGGCCCACTTATGGCTGGCTCACTCCCATTATTCAGGGCTTAAAAAAAATGCCCCCTCTTTTGAGAAGCCTTCCCTGACCACTCTCGCTAAGGGACTCCCTGCCATCTCTTTCGCCACCGCCTCCCCATCGCAAAACCTCATTTTATTTGCATCGTGGTACTTAGCATGCCAGAAACTTCCCTCCTGCCTGATGTCTTTGGCTTCCCTGACTAGGAGGAAGGTCTGGGGAGCTTCTTGGAGGCTTATCTGCTCTTCCACTGACCAGCCTAGAAGCCTGGATGCCCTAAAACAAGCCCTTGCCAGGTGATTATTAATGAAATGACTTAATGAAGGCTTAGAAGGTAAGTCCCAGATTTGAAACCTTAGCACCTACAGGATCCTTCAGTTGGGCATCAATTTGGTCTTGTAAAAGACTCTGTAAGTTCTAAGAGTTTTCTGTAAAATAATGGCCTCCAACCATGTCATTACAGGGCTGAGGGAGGGAGAGGGAACTCGCAGTCTGGAGCTGATCCCAGTGCATCAGAGTAAACTGCAGCTACTGATAGAGAGGATGCTGGTGAGGTCCCCTAACTCAGGACAGATGCTGGCAGGGGTGGGCAGGGCATTGGCACTAAATAAGAGCAAGGCCAGCTCTCAGCCCAACTGCCAGTTTCCTGAGCCATTTAAGGCACAACAATTCTCCTGATACCTTGCAAATCCTTCTGGCAAGAGACGGGTTAATAATACTAGCAGCTACTATGTGCAGGGCACCCACCAGCAGCCGGCCAGATGCTGCATGCTCTGTAGCCACCGCCATCTCATCTGTCTTCCCAACATCCTCACAGGGGGATGACTAAGATCCTCAGTTTAGGCACGAGGCAATTGGCTCAGAAAAGTGAAGAAACTTGCCTAAAGCCACACAGCTAGGAAGTGACTGAGTCCCACCTCCACCAGCCAGCCCAGCTGCCTGGAGAGGCAGATGAGCTCTCGACCTCATCCCTCAAACTCAGCCGTGTCTGACTTGGGAATGTTCAAGATCCTAAGTCCCTTTGCAGCTCTACGCTTTTGTATTTGCACCTAAAATGGGACTAACATTTCCTATCATGCTCAAATTTCATTTATTCTTGCAATTGTTTTATTAATTACTTAGCAACCACTCTGTGCCAAGTAGTACTCTAGGCCAGGGGCCAGAAAGCTTGATCTGTCACCCGTCTGTGGATGAGACTGTGTGAGTTATTTTCACAGCACGCTCTACAGAGATTCAAATATCCCCCTGTCCCCACCAAAAATGTTTTTAACCTGTGATCTCACCATGGGGCAGGTTTTTTTATTGTCTCATTAACCAGAAGTAACTTAGGCCAGGGGTTAGCAAACCTTATTTGGCCCATCACCTGTGTTTTGCACAGCTCACAAGCTGAGAATGGTTTTTACTCTTATTTTTTCCTTTTTTTAAAAGTGGGTCTCACTTTGTCGCTCAGGCTGGAGTGCAGTGGCATGATCATAGTTTATTCCAGCCTCACACTCCTCAGCTCGAGTGATCCTTCCTCCTCAGCCTCCAAAGTACCTGAGACTACAGGCATGCACCACTATACCCAGCTTATTTTGTTTACTTTTTGTAGACAAGGTCTTACTATGTTGCCCAGGCTGGTCTTGACCACCTGGGCTCAAGTGATTGTCCTACCTTGGCCTCCCAAAGTGCTGGGATTTAAAGGCGTGATGCATTTTTTAATGGTTGAAAAAACATTGCAAGACTATTTCATGACAGGTGAAAATTATGTGAAATTTACATTCTTAGCATCTGTGGATAAAGTTTTACTGGGTACAGCCATGCCCATTTTTTTGCATATGGTCTAAGGTTGCACTAGACCACCTGGCCTCTAAAAGCTGCAAATATATATATATACATTTTTTTTTTTTGAGACAGACTCACTGTCACCCAGGCTGGAGTGCAATGGTGTGATCTCAGCTCACTGCAACCTCCACCTCCTGGGTTCAAGAAATTCTCCTGCCTCAGCCTCCTGAGTAGCTGGGGTTACAGGTGCCTGCCACCACACCTGGCTAATTTTTATATTTTTAGTAGAGACAGGGTTTCACCATGTTGGCCAGGATGGTCTCAAACTCCTTACCTCCAGTGATCCACCTGCCTCGGCCTCCGAAAGTGTTGGGATTACAGGCATGAGACACTGTCCCCAGCTACATATGTATCTTTTTGAGACAGGTTCATGCTTTGTCACCCAGGCTAAAGTTCGGTGGTGTGATCACAGTTCACTGTAACCTCCTCTTCCCAGTCCTCCCACTTCAGCCTCCAAAGTAGCTAGGACTACAGGCATGCACCACCACACTCAACTAATTTTTTTTTTTTTTTTTTTTTTTTTGAGAGATGGGGTCTCATCATGTTGCCCAGGCCAGTCTTGAACTCCTGGACTCAAGCATTCCTTCTGCCTCAGCCTCCCAAAGTGCTGGGATTACAGGCCTGAGCCACCATGCCCAGCCCAAAGCCTCAAATATTTACCATCTGGCCCTTTACAAGAATAGCTTGCCACCCTTGGTTCTGGATCTTGTTGACATGCTGGTGACATAGGGCACCCCACATGGAGCTTACACTCTAGTCCAGGAACAGCCCATACAAATGTCAAAAGCTGAGGCAGACCATTCCAGATCCTGGTCTCTGCAGTGAAGATAGGAGAGAGCAACTTGGGAGCTGCTGTAGCCCGGAGGGTCTCTGAGGGGCTGTGTTCCAGCTCAGAGCTGCAGGAAGAGTTAGGCACAGGGGCTTCCAGAAAGAATCTTTGAGGCAGGGGGACAGCAGATGCAAGATTCTGAGACAGGACCAAGCATGATTCCACTATTGGCAGCAAGATGCAAGGCTGGCGTGGAATGGACAGGGGACCACTTGTAAGTAGGCCAGGTAAGGAGACTGGAACTTTCTTCCGAGCAGAATGAGACATGATTGCATGGTGTTAGGCAGTGGCATGACAAATCCTGGCTCCATTTCAACAGGATCCCTCAGGCTGCCTGATGGGAAAGGCCATATACATTGGGATATGGCCAGACGGGAGATGCCGGTGACGTAGAGGAAGACGATGTGTGTGTGTGGGGAGGAGGAGACAGTTGCACTCAGTGTGATCTGGATGTGGGGCCAGCAGCAATGGCTGATGCCTCCAATCTGGGCTCTCAAGAGGTCCAAATGAGGGAGCCACAGACTGATGACGACTGAAAGCCACACACAGAGGCCACCTGACACTCTAGTTTGCTGGGTCCTTTCACCTTCTCCATCTCACTCTCATGAGCCCCGCCAAGGACCAGCAGGTGGTCCTCGCAGACCCAACTGATAGAAAATGCCAGACCTACCTAAGTTTCCAAGGGCGCCAAGGGTGATGCAGACTGTGACCCACCTCTCCATCAACCAAGGAGCAATTGTTATCATTGTTCTGCCTAAAACAAATCCTTTTGCTTTTATTCGATTCCTTTTGTTTTCTTCCTCAGACACCACACCGTCTCCCCTTTCCGCCCTCTTATTATTTGATCCTCTCAATAACTTTGCAAGGGGCCAGGTGTGGTGGCTCACACCTGTAATGCCAGCACTTTGGGAGGCCGAGGCAGGCGGATCACCTGAGGTCAGGAGTTTGAGACCAGCCTGACCAACATGGCGAAATCCCCTTCTCCACTGAAAATACAAAAATTAGCCAGGTGTGGTGGCGGATGCCTGTAGTCCCAGCTACTCAGGAGGCTGAGGCAGGAGAATCACTTGAACCCGGAAGACAGAGATTGCAGTGAGCTGAGATCGCACCACTGAACTTCCGAGATTGTGCCACTACACCCTAGCCTGGGTGACAGAGAGAGACTCTGTCTCAAAACAAACAAACAAAAAACTTTGCAAGGTAGGTAGGTGCCATGTTATCCATAAACTCAGAAAAAAAAAAAAATAAGCAGAGATAAATGTGCAGCAGTGAGAGGTGCAGACTCGCCCAGTCATGAAGCTGTGAAGTGACAGAGCCAAGGCTTAACCCCAGGCCGGGTTCTTTGATGCCAAAGTGAAAGTTGATTCTCATCAACCTCAACCTGGCAAGGGTGAGAAGAGAAGGAACAAGAAAAAGGGAGAGGCTGGTTCCCGGGATCCAGAACCACATCAAAATCCCCAAGGCAACAAGATGAATTTCAGACTGTGGGGAAAGAAAGATGGTAACCCAACTATTCCCTTTCTATTTCCCCATCCACAACCCAAGCTCCCTGGGTGGAAAAAAAGGCAGGAGATAAAAATGCCAACCACAGAACACTTGATTCACATCCCACTCTGAGGTATTTCCCCAGAACAGAGGAAAGAATGCTAGGCGTGGCGGCTTACTCCTGTAATCCCAGTGCTTTGGGAGGCTGAGTCAGAAGGATCACTTGAGACCAGGAGTTCAAGACCAGCCTGGGCAACATAGTGAGACCCTGTCTCTATAAAAATAAAAATAAAAAATTAGCCAGGCATGGTGGTGCGCACCTGTACTCCCAGCTACTCGGGAGCTGAGGTGGGAGGATTGCTTGAGCCCAGGAGGGAGAGGCTGCAGTGAGCCACGATCACATCACTGGATTCCAGCCTGGGTGGCAGAGGGAGACCCTGTCTCAAAAAGGAAAAAAAAATAAAAAGGCCGGGCATGGTGGCTCATACCTGTAATCCCAGCACTTTGGGAGACTAAGGCAGGCGGATCACTTGAGGTCAGGAGTTTGAGGCCAGCCTGGTCAACCTGGTGAAACCTCATCTCTAAGAAAAATACAAAAATTAGCCAGGCGTGGTGGCAGGACCTGTAATCCCAGCTACTCAGGAGGTTGAGGCAGGAGAATCACTTGGGCCTAGGAGGTAGAGGTTGCAGTGAGCCAAGATTGCACCACTGCACTCTAGCCTGGGCAACAGAGCAAGACTCCTCAAAAAAAAAAAAGGGCCAGGTACGGTGGTTCATGCCTGTAATCCCAGCACTTTGGGAAGCCAAGGCAGGGGGATCACCTGAGGTCAGGAGTTTGAGACCAGCCTGGCCAACATGGTGAAACCCTGTCTCTACTAAAAATACAGAAATTAGCCAGGTGTGGTGGTGCATGCCTGTAATCCCAGCTACTCAGGAGGCTGAGGCAGGAAAATTGCTGAGGCGGAGGTTGCAGTGAGCCACGATCCCGCCATTGCACTCCAGCCTGGGCGACAGAACAAGACTCTGTCTCAAAAAAGAAAAAAAAAAGGCCAGGTGCGGTGGCTCACGACTGTAATCCCAGCACTTTGGGAGGCCGAGGCGGGTGGATCACGAGGTCGGGAGATCGAGACCATCCTGGCTAACATGGTGAAACCCCGTCTCTACTGAAAAAAAAATGCAAAAAATTAGCAGGGCATGGTGGCGGGCACCTGTAGTCCCAGCTACTCGGGAGGCTGAGGCAGGAGAATGGCGTGAACCCGGGAGGTGGAGCGTGCAGTGAGCCAAGATTGCAACATTGCACTCCAGCCTGGGCGACAGAGCGAGACTCCATCTCAAAAAAAAAAAAAAAGAAGAAGAAGAAGAAAGCACATCTACACAGAGATGCACACAGGAATTCTCAGCAGCTGTATTTGTAAAAGACAACAACTGGAGAACTGGAGACAACCCAAATGTCTATCAACTGGGGATTAGATAAACAAATTGTGGCATAGCTGCATAGCTGTACAACGGAGTAGTGCTTGCCAATAAAAAGAACAAACTTCAGATACAAGCAACAGCATGGAGATCTCAACTGCATTGTGCTGAGTGAAAGCAGCCGACAAAATAAAAATAATGCATTATCTCTTTTTCTGTATGCTTCTATTTATGTACAATTCTACGAACGCAAATGAATCCAAAGTGGCAGGAAGCAGGTCAGTAGTTGGCTGGGGGCAGAGTTGTGAGGAGGGGTAGAAGGAAGGATGATAAAAGAACACAAGGGAACTATATTTCGGGGCAACGGGTGTGCCCATTATGTTGACTATGGTGATGGTTTCATAAAACACTAAATTGTGGCTGGCCGTGATTGCTCACACCTGTAATCCCAGCACTTCGGGAGGCAGGGGCAGGAGGATTCCTTGAGCTCAAGAGTTTGAAACCAACCTGGGCAATACAGGGAGATACCCTGATACAAAAAAATCAAACAATTAGTGGGTGTAACGGTGCACGCCTGTAGCCCCAGGTGCTCAGGAGGCTGAGGCAGGAAGATTACTTGAACCCAAGAGGTCAAGGCTGCAGTGAGCTGTGATCACATCATGAAATGCCAGCCTGCGTGCTACAGTAAGACTCTGTCTCAAAACAAAACAAGACAAAAACACTAAATTGTGTATTTATTCTTTTTTTTTTTTTTTTTTTTTACCATTGTCTTTTTCTTTTCTTTCTTTTTTTGAGACAGAGTCTTGCTGTTGTCACCCAGGAGTATAGTGGCACGATCTCAGCTCACTGCGCAACCTCCACCTCCCAGTTCAAGTGATTCTCCTGTCTCAGCTTCTTAAGTAGCTAAGATTATACAGGTGTGCACCACCATGCCCAACTAATTTGTTGGGTTTTTTGTTTTGTTTTGTTTTTGTTTTTGAGACAGAGTCCTGCTCTGTCACCCAGGCTGGAGTACAGTGGCACAATGTCGGCTCACTTCAACCTCCGCCTCCCGGGTTCAAGCGACTCTTCTACCTCAGCCTCCTGAGTAGCTGGGATTACAGGAGCGTGTCACCACACTCAGCTAGTTTTTGTATTTTTAGTAGAGACGGGGTTTCACCATGTTGGTCAGGCTGGTCTCAAATTCCTGACCTCATGATCCGCCCACCTCGGCCTCCCAAAGTGCTGGGATCACAGGCATGAGCCACCATGCCAGACCAGCCCAGCCCAGCCCAGCCCAGGCTGGTCTCGAACCCTTGACCTCAGGTGATCCACCCACCTCGGCCTCTCAAAGTGCTGCGATTACAGGCATCACCACACCAGGCCTCTTTTTTCTTTATTTTTAATTTTTATTTTTAGAGATAGTCTTGCTCTGTTGCCCAGGCTGGAGTACAGTGTGGTGATCATAACTCACTGCAGCCTCCAACTCTTGGGCTCAAGCGATCCTCCCACCTCAGCCTCCTGAGTAGCTGGGGCTGTAGTAGTCATGCCCCATCACATCCGGCTAATTTTTTTTCTTTTTTTTTTTTAAGACCGTACCCATATCCGTTAGGTTTTTAAAGCTTTTCCTTTCTCTGTCACTCAGGCTGGAGTCCAGTGGCACAATCTCGGCTCACTGCAACCTTTGCCTCCCAGGTTCAAGCAATCCTCCTGCCTCAGCCCCCTGAGTAGCTGGGATTACAGGTGCTCACCACCATGCCCAGCTAATTTTTGTATTTTTGGTAGAGACGGGGTTTTGCCATGTTGCTTGGGCTGGTCTTGAACTCCTGGCTCAAGTGATCCACCCACCTCAGCCTCCAAAAGTGCTGTGATTACAGGTGTGAGCAACTGCACCCAGCCCGGCTAATTTTTGAAAATATTTTTCTTAGAGATGGGTCTTGTGTAGGAAGAGTGGATGGATGAGCAAGGAATTGACAATGGGCCAACTGGATGGAAGAATGCCCACGGAGGGTACAGCAGTTAGTAAGCACCCGGTAAACAAAAGTACTATATGTCATGTTTACAATGGACATCACATAAATAACATCTATCAGTGTATGTATATACAGTATGTCACATGACACTATATGACATATACAGTACATATCACTACATATACAATATATGTCACTATAGATCATGTTTACAACATACCTCATGATTTAAAGTGGCACAATGCCTAGCAGATAGTAAACCTTCAGTAAATAAAACCTATTATTACTAGGTTTTTGGGGGCTTTTTTGAGACAGAGTCTCGCTCTTGCGCTCAGGCTGGAGGGCAGTGGCGCGATTTTGGCTCACTGCAACCTCCACCTCCCAGGTTCAAGCGATTCTCCTGCCTCAGCCTCCCAAGTAGCTGGGACTACAGGTACCTGCCACCACACCCGGCTAACTTTTTGTATTTTAGTAGAGACAGGGTTTCTCCTCGTTGCCCGGGCTGGTCTCAAACTCCTGAGCTCAGGCAATGTGCCCGCCTCCACCCACCAACGTGCTAGAATTACAGGCGGGAGCCACCGCGCCTGGCCATCACTGACTTTTTTAAACCTCCTAAAATGACTTTTAAAAATACATTAAGTAAAAAAGCACAGTGTAGGCCAGGCGGGCGGTGGCTCATGCCTTTAATCCCAGCACTTTGGGAGGCCGTGAGCTCAGGAGTTCAAGAGCAGCCTGGGCAACATGGAGAAACCCCATCTCTACAAAACATAAAATAGTTAGCTGGGCGTGGTGGCATCTGCCTGTAGTCCCAGCTTCTCGGGAGGCTGAGGTCGGAGGATCATTTGAGCCTGGGAGGCGGAGGTTGCAGTGAGCAGAGATTGTACCACCGCATGCCAGCCTGGGCGACAGAGTGAGAGACCCTGTCCCCTCCAAAAAAAAAAAGCATAGTGTAAAATATATACCATATGCTACCATTTGTGGAAAAAAAAAAAAGAAAAATACATATGTTGTTACATTTTCATAAAATGTCTCTGAGAGGAGACACAAGGAACCAGAAACAGTTGCCTCGGGAGAATGCAGCTGGGACGCTGGGGCAGTGGAAGACTTTTCAGTGGCTCCTTGTGAATTTGGAGCCCTAAGAACATAATACCTACAATTTTTAATTTTTATTTATTTTAGAGACAGGGTCAATCTCTGTCACACAAGCTGGAATGCAGCGGCACGATCATAACTCACTACAGCCTCAACTCCCGGGCTCAAGCCATCCTCCCACCTCAGCCTCCAAAGTAGCTGGGACTACAGGCAGGCGCCACCATGCCAAGCTAATTTTTTAATTTTTTAATTTTTTATAGAGATGGGGTCTTGTTATGTTGCCCAGGCTGGTCTTGAACTCCTAGGCTCAAGTGAGGAGGCCTGAACTCCACCTCAGCCTCCCAAAGTGCTGGGATTACAGGTGTGAGCCACCATGTCCAGCCAGTAATACCTACAATTTTTTTTTTTCAAAAAATAAAACTCTTGACACACAGTAAATTCTCTGTTGATGGAAGCTATTATGGTATGATGATGATAATGATTATCATTATTGTCATATCAAATCCTCATCTTCCCTAAGGAAGCAGGTTCCTTGGGGACCATGAGCCACAAGTAGTGTGAGTCCTGATGTGCAGCAGGACCTACTCTAGCAGCTGATCCCCGCGTCACAGTGGCCACAGGCATCCCATCGCATCAAACACTGAGGGAAAGACATGTCCCTGGGAGAGAACTACCAAAGACAGCACAGGAAGATGGCAAGAAATAGCTCTCATTCCTTCCCTCTGGCAGCCAGAGGTACCAGGACATGGAATACCCACTTCTTTCTTTCAGCATCACTTTCTACAAAAAGCTTTAAAAACCTAATGGAGTCCGGTGTGGTGCCTCATGCCTGTAATCTCAACTCTTTGGGAGGTCAAGGCGGGAGGATGACTTGAGCCCAGGAGGTGAAGACCAGCCTGGGCAACGTAGTGAAACTCATCTATAAAAAATAAGCAAAATTAGCCCAGATGTAACGGTGCATGCCTGCAGTCCCAGCTACTCAGGAGGATGAGGCAGGAGGATCACTTGTGCCCAGGAGGTCGAGGCTGCAGTGAGCCAAGATTGCACCGTGGCACTCCAGTCTCAGTGACAGAGCAAGACCCTGTCTCAAGAAACCTAAACCAACATCGGTTCCATGTCACTGACCTAGGCAGGGTTTAACATAAGGGATCTTGTAATGTGGTCTCATAACAGCCTCAAAGGTGTTAGGTCCAGGTGTCACACAGCCTCAATTCCTTCTTGCCTTCCTGGGTGCCAGCATGCCTTGGACAGGGGAGGTGAAACTGTAGCTGTTCCAACAGGAGGGCTGAGGTAACCCCTGAGGTTTAGATGTATAATCTTCATAGGTCAATAGGAATTTGGCTAAAAAGCACACACACAGTAGGTTCAGGCAGACCTTTGCATCAGTCAAGGCTCAGCTCAGATGTCACCTCTTCCACGAAGCTGCAATGACTGCACCTGTCTGAAATGAGCTGCCCTGGTCACTACCTGTTTTATTTTCTTCCAAGCACTATTGCTATCTAAAATGCTCTTTGGGGACCAGGCACAGTGGCTCACGCCTGTAATCCCAGCACTTTGGGAGGCCAAGGCGGGTGGATCACCTGAGGTAAAGAGTTCGAGACCCATCCTGGCCAATATGGTGAAACCCCGTCTCTACCAAAAATACAAAATATTAGCCAGGCATGGTAGCAGGCGCCTTTAATCCCAGCTACTCGGGAGGCTGAGGCAGGAGAATCACTTGAACCCGGGAGGCAGAGGTTGCAGTGAGCTAAGATCACGCCATTGCACTCCAGCCTGGGCAACAGAGCGAGACCCCGTCTCAATAAATAAAATAAAATGCTCTTTATCGTCTGGCTCCACCACTAGACCAAGCTCCCTGCCAGCAGGGCCAGACTCTACCCAGTTCACACCTATGCCCCCATGCTTAGAACACAGCCCAGCCTCCAGGAGGTATTCAATAAACATTTGTTGAATAAATGGAAACACAACCAGCAAGACTTCACCCCTCCTTGCCCCTCCAAAGTGAAGAAGTACAGAGAAAGTTGTGCTCAGTGCTCGAGAGAAATGGACGGAGCTGGAATTACACACACACAACCCAGTCTATTCAGCAGCCAGTGGCTGAGTGCTCCCTTCAAAACACAAGATTCGGAAGTTTCTGTGGCCCAAACCCCACTGGCTTCCCCATGTCCCCGGGGGTAAGATCCAGAGTCTGCGTCCTCCCTACATCTGCTGTTCACCCCACCCTCCCCACTCCAGCCACAGGGTC
This sequence comes from Homo sapiens, assembly GCF_000001405.40. NCBI lineage: Eukaryota > Metazoa > Chordata > Mammalia > Primates > Hominidae > Homo > Homo sapiens. Next base: position 56,646,831 of record NC_000020.11, on the reverse strand, counting down.
CTTTCTGCTCTCCCATGAAAATCCCAGCACACCCCCACCTCAGGGCCTTTGCACATGCTCCTCCCTCTCTGGGATTCCCTCCTTAAGTATCTGCACTGCATGCCCTCTCATCTTCCGGCTTTGGCTCAAGTTTGTGTGTGTGTTCTCACCTGGAACATTTATTTTTATTTTCTCTAACCATTTGTTAAGAACAGATTCTAGAAACCAAGGCACAGAGGGACTCACTGAGAGACCTGGAGATCCTAAGTTTGGAAAAGATGGGAGGTTTGAAGGAAGCAGGATAGCAGCCTAAAAATACATGAAGGGGCAGGGTGCAGGAGTTAAGGCCTGTAATCCCAGCACCTGGGGAGGCCGAGGTGAAATTCTTTCTGGTGGGCCGGCCCCAATCCACACATGGCCCTGAGCCCTGAAGAGGCTCTGGAAAAGGAACTGCCCATAGACCCCACCCCATAGCCCAGGCTCAGCCGTATGATTCAATGTGGGTGCTTACTGGGCATTGAGCTAGTGCGTGGAGAGACCCTAAAGCACAAGACAGACATAGCTCTGGCCCTCATGACCTCAGGGTCTACTGAAGAAGCCAGACTGTTTGTTTTGTTTTGTTGCTTTTTTCTGTTTGTTTGTTTTGAGATGGAGTCTCGCTCTGTCGCCCAGGCTGGAGTGCGGTGGCGCGATCTCGGCTCACTGCAAGTTCCGCCTCCCGGGTTCAGGCCATTCTCCTGCCTCAGCCTCCTGAGTAGCTGGGACTACAGGCGCCCGCCACAACACCCGGCTAATTTTTGTAATTTTTTTTTTTTTTAGTAGAGACGGGGTTTCACTGTGTTAGCCAGAACGGTCTCGATCTCCTGACCTCGTGATCCGCCCGCCTCGGCCTTCCAAAGTGCTGGGATTACAGGCGTCAGCCACCGCGCCCGGCCCAGACTGTTTGTTTTTGGGATAGGGTCTCGCTCTGTTACCCAGGCTGGAGTGCAGTGGCACCATCACAGCTTACTGCAGCCTCAACCTCCTGGGCTCAAGGGATCCTTTCACCTCAGCCTCCTAAGTGGCTAGGGCTACAGGCAAGCACCACCAACCCTAATTTTTTTCATTTTTATCTTTTTGTAGAGACAGTCTCCCTATCTTTCCAGGCTGGCCTTGAACCACAGTGTCCCAACTGCTTGGTGCCCTCTGGGTGCAGTAGGAGCCCAAGAGCAGGAGGACATCCCCTGGAGAGGATGCTGGGGACACAGAGCAAGTTACACCCCTCTCCAGAATGGATGTGACTCAATAACATTTTTGAACTAGAAGATGGAAGGCAGTGGTCCCTAAACTCAGCTCATGGTCAAGATCACCAAGTCTGTTTTTAATAAAATACAGATTCCTGGATCCTAAACCCAGAGTTCCTGATTCAGTAAGTCAAAGGCCACACAAGGGCATCAATATTAATCCTTCCACACACTTCTGGTGACCTGATAGGTTTAGTCACTGTTTGGAGGGGATACCTTGAAGAACCCAGTTAAAAGAAACAAGCAGACCGGGCGCGGTGGCTCATGCCTGTAATCCCAGCACTTCGGGAGGCAGAGGCAGGTGGATCACTTGAGCCCAGGAGTTCAAAACCAGCTTGAGCAATAGGGAGAAATGCTGTCTGTACACAAAATTTTAAAATTAGCCAGGCATGGTGGTGCACACTTGTGGTCCCAGCTACTTGGGAGGCTGAAGTGGGAGGATCCCTTGAGCCTGGGAGGTCGAGGCTACATTGAGCTAGGATTATACTTCTGTACTCCAGCCGGGGTGACACAGCAAGACCCTGTCTCATTAAAAAAGCAGATATGGATTTATTGTCTCACAGCTCTAGAGACTAGAAATCCAAAATCCAAATCTCAGCAGGGCCGTGCTCCTTCTGAAATCTGGAGGGGAGAATCCTTCCTTGCTTCTTCCAGCTTCTGGTGGTAGCTGGCAATCCTTAATGTTCCGTGGTTTTTAGCCACATCCCCCTACTCTCCACTTCCCCTGTCACATAGCATTATCCCATCTGTGTCGTCTTTTTTTTTTTTTTTTTTTTTGAGATGGAGTCTCGCTCTGTTGCCCAGGCTGGAGTGCAGTGGTGCAATCTCGGTTCACTGCAAGCTCCGCCTCCCGGGGTCACGCCATTCTCCTGCCTCAGCCTCCCAAGTAGCTGGGACTACAGGCACCCGCCACCACTCCCGGCTAATTTTTTTGTATTTTTAGTAGAGACAGGGATTCACTGAGTTAGCCAAGATGATCTTGATCTCCTGACCTCATGATCCGCCTGCCTCAGCCTCCCAAAGTGCTGGGATTACAGGCGTGAGCCACCGCACCCGGCTTATTTATTATTATTATTTTTTGAGTTGGAATTTCACTCTTGTTGCCCAGGCTGGAGTGCAATGGCACAATCTTCGCACAACCTCCGCCTCCCGGGTTCAAGTGATTCTCCTGCCTCAGCCTCCCAAGTAGCTGGGATTACAGGCGTGCACCACCACGCCCGGCTAATTTTGTATTTTTAGTAGAGACAGGGTTTCTCCATGCTGGTCAGGCTGTCTGAAAGAACTCCTGACCTCAGGTGATCCACCCACCTCAGCCTCCCAAAGTGCTGGCATTAAAGGCGTGAGCCACCACGCCCAGCATCTTCTGATAGAGTCTCACTCTGTCACCCAGGCTGGAGTGCAATGGCACGATCTCAGCTCACTGCAACCTCCACCTCCTGGGTTCAAGTGATTCTCCCACCTCAGCCTCCCAAGTAGCTAAGATTAGGCACTCACCATCACGCCCAGCTAATTTTTGTATTTTGAGTAGAGACGTGGTTTCACCATGTTAGCCGGGTTGGTCTTGAACTCCTGACCTCAGGTGATACGCCCACCTCGGCCTCCTAAATTGCTGGAATTACAGGCATAAGCCACCGCACCCAGGCTTATTCTCTTCTTATATGAACATGTCTTACTGGATTAAGGCCTACTCTACTCCAGTAGGACCTTGGCTCAAATTACCTGCACCAACCCTATTTCCAATTAAGGTCACATTCTGAGGTACTGGGAATTTAGGACTTGAACAAATCTTTTGGGGGCAGCATTCAACCCACAACAACTGTGAAGTCCCAAATGCTTTCCAGCCTCAGCAAAGGCCAGATGCCAAGGTGTCCTCTTCAACTCACCCACGTTCACATTCTCGTAGGGAGTGTCACTCCTGAAGGCCGAGATCTTCCTGGAAAACGTTGAGAAGCCACAGTAACACCACATGTGTCTTGAAACACACACACACACACACACACACACACGGACTTGACCTCGTAAACATTCCTTGGACAGGACCCTGGAATTATGCCTTTCAATTCTATTTGGTTTCCGTGCTTTTCTTCTACCCATTTCCCCCATCTAGATGTTATCCAAAAGAAGTCAGGAAATTACAGCGTTTATGCCTGTGCCAAAAATAATTGAGCGTTCCATGCAACTATGGGCTCTAACGTAAGAGTTACTTTTTGTAAAGCCTAAGGTCAAGTTTGTTTCTGCAGAAGATCATGTTACTAGCAGACAGAGACCTTCAAGGTATGATCTGCCTTGTATCAATATGGACCTTGTGCATGACAGCAGTCTGTATTGGCAAACCTGGGAGGGGTGAGGTTTTGATGGCTCCAAGCATCATCAAGACTCCCAGGGTGGTGACCTGTAGATTTCAGAAAAGCAAATGAGGACTACTAATATGGAAGAGAAACCCATGGTATACTGAGATCTGAAAAAGTTAAGTCAACAATTACCATTATCAGCTGGATGCAGTGGCTCACGTCTGTAATCCCAACACTTTGGGAGGCCAAGAAAGGCAGATCACCTGAGGTCAGGAGTTCAAGACCAGCCTGACGAACATGGTGAAACCCTGTCTCTACTAAAAATACAAAAATTAGCTGGGCATGGTGATGCACGCCTGTAATCCCAGCTACTTGGGAGACTGAGGCAGGAGAATCGCTTGAACCCAGGAGGCAGAGGCTGCAGTGAGCCGAGATTGTGCCATTGCACTCTAGCCTGGGCAATAAGGGTGAAACTCCATCTCAGGAAAAAAAAAAAAAAAAATTACCACTATCATCCAAGAGCAAGATCTACTCCTGGGAAGAGCGTATCCAAGCATTGCAACATCAAAATGCCAAAAGCAAACCCTTTGTCTCTAAACAAGGGGAAAACTCGTACTGCCCACTGAGCTTAGCTGGCCAGGGAGGACTTTGCTAAGGATCCCGACTTCACTCCATCACCTGTCAAACACAAGCAAAAGAATCTCAGGGCTGTTCTTCCCCTTTGTGGCAACAGCAGCTGCTTCCAGGTTCTTCACCTACTTGCTAAGGAAGGCAAATTAAACCGCCACCCCATGATACCCCCTACCAACTTGCAAAAGGAAAAGACTGGAAAACGTTCAGAAGTCCTCGGAAGTAACAGCAACCTCCTTAATAATGCACAGCAGCCAACGTTTCCCCAGGGAATCTCGATGGGCTCCAGAAACCCAACCACTGCCAAGTCATCAGAGAAGTTTCTCTTTGTTTCTCACCCACCCATGACCCTACCTTGTTTTGTTTATTAACATTCAAATATAAGAACCTTTGGTCTCAGAGCTTACTGATACTAGACCCCCAAAAAGAAAAGAATGATGGCCACTGCATGGAATCATTTCAATGAGAAACAGACCAGTCATCCCTTTTCTAACCCACAACTTAAATTGTGCACACATGGAAGGTAAGACAACCAAGAACTGCTATTGAAAACACTCTCTCTGCCCTTTCAGGAAATCTATAGGTGCCCCTATCTGCAGGGCCCGGGGCACCTTCCAAGTGCCAGGTACCCAGATGGCCAAAGTACCCAGTCAACAGATGGGCAATCCCGCCGACAGTCTCTCTCACATAAGTGGAATTCTAGGCAGTATATACCCTTCAGACAACTGATGGGGTTTCTTTCAGTGCAACCAGGGAAAAAAAGGAAGCGTATCTTTATTTCTTCTGTCAGAGGGCCAAGACATCAGTGATATCATGTGCCTCCACAGCCAGTGTGCCACAACAGCACAGGGCAAGGGGAAAAGGGAGGGTGATTCCCACTAACATGGGGCTTGAAACAAAACCCACTCTGGGCCACGAGAAGCGAGGGTCCACCAACCTAATGCCAAAGGGCACTGCACCCTTATTTCACAAGTAAGCAAGAGTTTCCAGAAAAATCTGCAAGGGAGGGCTGGGCGCGGTGGCTCACGCCCGGAATCCCAGTACTTTGGGAGGCCGAGGCAGGTGGATCACGAGGTCAGGAGGTCGAGACCATCCTGGCTAACATGGTGAAACCCCGCCTCTACTAAAAAATACAAAAAAATCAGCTGGGCGTGGTGGCGGGCGACTGTAGTCCCAGCTAGTCGGGAGGCTGAGGCAGGAGAATGGTGTGAACCGAGGAGGCGGAGCTTGTAGTGAGCTGAGATCATGCCATTGCACTCCAGCCTGGGCAACAGAGCGAGACTCCATCTCAAAAAAAAAAAAAAAAAAAAATCTGCAAGGGAGCTAATGTTTCAGTAGGATCCTCTTGAGGGGACCTGGTTTTTGGCTACAGCATCAGCTCAGGTGTTGGGAAGAAAAACTCATTATCGTGCATCAGACTCAAGAGCTCAGTGGCAGTCCCCAGACTTCCAGTGGGGATGTGGAGAAAGAACCCGGCAAGTAAGAAGCACTGCTTGGGCGGGCGTGGTGGCTCACGCCTGTAATCCCAGCACTTTGGGAGGCTGAGGCAGGTGGATCATGAGGTCAGGAGATCAAGACCATCCTGGCTAACAGGGTGAAACCCTGTCTCCACTAAAAATACAAAAAAAATTAGCCGGGTGTGGTGGCGGGTGCCTGCAGTCCCAGCTACTCAAGAGGCTGAGGCAGGAGAATGGCATGAACCCGGGAGGCGGAGCTTGCAGTGAGCCGAGATCGAGCCACTGTACTCCAGCCTGGGCAACAGAGTGAGACTCCATCTCAAAAAAAAAATAAAAAAGAAGCACTGCTTGTGATTCCCTTCAATCCTTGGTTGACTTTGGGGCGTTTCCAGAACACTGACTGCGTTGCAATTCAGCACAGCTCCTAAAAGCCAGACTCTGGTCCAAAAGCAAGTTAAGATGCTGATAACAGAATAGCCCTTTTTCTTTCAGCCCTTTGCCCCCATAACTTCCTCTTAACACTCAACATTTCAAGCCTTGATTGAGAGATAACTGCCAACCTAAGATCTCTTTTCACCACTCCAAAGCAAAGCAATTGTGATCTTGTCATATCAACCAGATAAATCCAACTTAATGGGAATGCTTGGTGGCCAAGGACAAGATGCCAAGAGCAAAGCACTGGGTTGGCAGAGTTTAAGTTACTTAATAACATCCAACGCCAACATTAAGTCAGGAATCGTTGGGCATTTGGTAGAGAATTATGAATTAAAGATTATAAAACTGGCATTGAAGCAATGGTCTTATCCAATGGGGAAAATCCTACGGCTCCCAGTTCCCTTTGAAGCCAGGCCACACATGGCAAACTCTAAACACATCACTTCCTGGAGGAGATGCCAGGCTGCTTCAACTCGAGATCAAGTACCTGCCGTGTGCATCACAAACATCCAGCAAGTACATAACCCCTGCCAGACTCCTCTGCTCCTGGAGTAGCACAAAGACTCAATCTCTGGTTTCCCCTGCAGGCAGATGAAATGAAGAGGATGTCTTGGGTGGATGAGCACGATCTCATTTCCAAAGAGAACTTAGATGAATGGAAAACACTGGCATGCTGCACGTCCACTGCTTGCATTCGACTGAATGCCAAGTCCTCCTAAGAAACACCTGCCCAGCCTGGCGCGGTGGCTCACGCCTGTAATCCCAGCACTTTGGGAGGCCAAGTCGAGCAGATCACCTGAGGTCAGGAGTTCGAGACCAGCCTGGCCAACATGGTGAAACCCTGTCTCTACTTAAAATACAAAAATTAGCCAGGTGTGGTGGTACGCACCTGTAATCCCAGCTACTCAGGAGGCTGAGGCAGGAGAATCGCTTGAACCCGGGAGGTGGAGGTTGCAGTGAGCCGAGATTACACCATTGCACTCCAGCCTGGGGCCAAGAGCGAGACTTCATCTTAAAAAAAGAAAAAAAAAAAAAAGAGAGAAACATCTGCCCAAAGAACACCCATAATCATTTCACTTCCATTCTTGACCACTATACAGTATGCTGAGTACAGTATGCCAGTGTACCTGTCCTCAATACAGTAACCTTCCATGAGACATTGTTCCCAAAACATTGGCCCCTCTTAATGTCAATAAACTGTCCCTCAGACATTTCCCAACACCTCCAGGGTGGGGAGGATGATTCTATCCCTCTGCAGTTGAGAGACACTGATGACAGCATAAGGCCTGGGGTAGCTGAACAGTGTCGCTAGGGAGAAAAGGTGAAACTTCAGGTTCCTCCCCAACAGCACACAAAACTTGCCTGCTCAGGGCATTAACCAAGCCACAGTCAAGCCATAAATCAGCTCTGCCCTAATTCCATTCACCCAAAAGACTTTAAAACAAAAGCAAAAACAAAAACCTATAGCCAGACTTTCAGATTCTAACAAGAATACTTTTATTATACACGTATCATACACACAACAATTATTTGGGGAACATTTACAGGCAGAGAGTTCAATTCCAAATCTCCATTTCACCCACACACACTGTACTGCACACTCACCTTAGGGTTCAGCCCAACAGGAACGAGACAAAGTTATTGCTTTCTGAACAGAGAGTTTCAATTAAATAGAATCTTCCAAGCCAAGAACAGAGCCCAGCATCCTCTTAATTCTTAATACCCTGTATATATATGAATAAAACCTTATGATGTGTTATAGATTACCCCATCACCATTAAAAGTTAATATTAAAATTGGATCCCATGTCTCAAAAAAGTCGTAAGAAGTGCACCAGTATTTACAGACCCCATTAAATTACGCATAAATAAAATCTGTACACTCAACGCACTGTTTCTTAAAATACAGAACCTCCACGGGGACTTGGGGGTGACAAGCAGCAACAAATTGCTTCGTGCCTACCCTTTTCAAGTTTACTCGAAACATCTGAAATAAATATGCAAATAAAGCTTCAGTACCTTAAAGGAACATGTCATTTCAAAGAGTCTCCCATTTGAAGAGTTAACTTTCAAAGTTAAAAAAAAAAAAAAAAAAAAAGGAGAAAAAAATCAATCAGCAGGCTTCGTTTCTACAAGTTTCCTAAAACCAGAAGGCCCCCGTTTGAACACGGGGTTTAGAGTGTGTCAGATACCACTTATTAACTAGTTGCTAAGCAGATAGAACCTTTGCCTCCTACCAGAGGACTTGATCTCTGAAGAAGCTAGATACACACTTTTCTTTTTTTCAAGGTAAATATTTAGCGGACACAAAAACCAACCATTACCTTAACACTGAAAAAAAAGGTATTGTTGATCTGTTGATCTAGGGCACATCAATTTGACATTTCAATGGCTAAGTGTGTGGGTCTGTTGGCCCAGGGAATGTATTTAAAAGATTCTAAAACTTATAGCACCACTTTCAGAGAAGGAAAGAATGGGGTTCAAAAAAAAAAAGCTTAATGAATAAAGAGCCAGTACTTGTCACCTTCTGATAATAGGTCCAAAGTTAGGAGATAGCTCAGCGCTAGAGAAACAACTAAGAAGTCCAGGGGCGGGTGATGCAGAACCAGTGAAGGCTCTTTAAATAGTAAGGTAGGTAACAAACTCTTCCCCCAGGCCAGGAGGGGTTCCCAGTCTGTGCGGTGGAGAAGGATTTTTGCAGTCCTGTTCCTTCCCTACTCTCCTAACCTTTCTTCGTTCCAATTTTATTTCCTGTGTTTCTCCATTTTCTCCAGGGTTTTGTTAGAATCAGCTGGACTCTGGTCTCCAGGGTTCATGTAGGATTTGTCTATGACAATCAGGGCTTCTTTGATGTAGTTCTGCAGGGCAGACACCGCGGCACAGATGGCCTGGCTGCCAAACCCGTGGGTAATCAGGCTGAAATGAGACAAGCAGTTCTGTATGTTCGTCTCCAAGACTGGGGCGAGCCTGCTGGTCCCATGGGGTGTCCGGTCTTGGCTGAGAAGTTCTGTGAATTCTTTACACAGTTGCCTGTGAAGACAGTCAGTTGACTCGATGAGTTCCATCTAGCTCCTTACAGGTCAAGAGCACAGAACCAACTACACTGAGGCTGGCGCCCGGGAGGCAAGCACAACTGCTTCAACCCGAGGAAGGAGAATTTAATACTAATAGCCAACTGCTGCGCTTAGCAACTATTCTGCGCCAGGCTCTGAGTTAAGCTGTTTTAAAGCACTATCTTATTTAATCCTCACTGCAATTAGAAAAGACAACAGGATTAACTTAACCCCAGCTAACTGGCCAAGGTCACCAGGACTGGTAAAAGTAATGGGGCCTGGATTCCAACCCATGAGCTTAAGGGACAGTTTACCTTGGTACAAGTTGGTTCCAATAAACAAATTCCGTGAGGAACCGGGAGAAGGAAGCATCCCCCTGAAATTCTGACTCCTGACACAGCCTGGTTCACTGCGCTCTCTTTTACCCCATTTCCTGGCTCGACTAGTTCTGCTTCATTTACCATCATTTTCAAATCAACTTACTGTTGGTTTCTATGAGAAAACCCACAGCTGCATTAAGTCGTTTTGGAGACAGTTAATTTGCCCACAAATCCACCCTGATCTTTACATTTGAAAGACAAAAGTCTTGCTATCAGGAGGTAGAAGGCACACAATCTCTCTTTACTGGTTGTGACAAAACAAATCGGGTTTTCAACACATTTTTGTAAGATATGCTAACACAATAATGAAAGGGCAGCTCAACTACTTTGGGTTGAATAACTAAGCAGCTCAAAAATACTCATGGCTGAGTCATGCACTCTTCTAAATCATACAAAAAGTTAATGTATTTGACTTTGTAAAAGAAGCTCCCTTGCCATTTTCTTTTGCTCCACCCTAATTTATTTCAAGAATATTTCTTTGTTGAGCCATCGGGACTGTGGAGGGGGAATCTTCTCAACCTCAAGGTCTAGAGCATTGAGTCATCATCAAATTCAAGTTCAGATACTTACTGGGCCGCCAATAGCATGTTCTTCCTAGCTGCCATCTCATTTCGTCCTCCAAGATGAGGTCTGGTTAAATATTCTGCCACTGGTTTACTAGGAAATTCGGCTTCACAGACATAGGCAAAGTCCCTAGCCAAATGAACAGCTTCACCTAGAATAATCAGCAACAGCTTTTAGGATGGCTGTGGTCACTGAGGCCAAACTGCCCTTTTCCTCTCTCTTTTTTTTTTTTTTTGACACGGAGTCTCGCTCTGTTGCCCAGGCTGGAGTGCAGTGGCCCGATCTCTGCTCACTGCAACCTCCACCTCCGGAATTCAAGCAATTCTCGTGCCTCAGCCCCTGAATAGCTGGGATTACAGACATGCACCACCATACCCAGCTAATTTTTGTATTTTTAGTAGATACAGGGTTTTGCCACATTGGCCAGCTGGTCTTGAGCTCCTGGTCTCAACCAATGGCTCATGCCAGGGATTATAGACATGAGCCACAGCACCCAGCCCCCATTTTCTCTCTTTCTAGTAGTATTCATTGTCTACCAGTCATACGTTGCATGCAAGAACGAAATCATATACAGGGCAGACAACTCAGCTGGTAGGTAGAACTTTCTAGGGATTCTCAGTAGGTCCTCCACCCCAGGAATAGAGGGTGGAGATCACACAATGTGAGCAGAAAAGACCCTGAAACTTCTAACTGCACAATCAAGTCAGCCCTCTGTATCCGTGGGTTCAGAATCTGTATTCATCCAAACTCAGATTGAAAAGATTCGGGGGGGAAATAATGAATGGTTGTGTCTGTACTGAACACACACAGACTTTTGCCATTATTCCCTGAGCAATACAATGTAACAACTATTTACATAGCATTTACATAGTATTAGGTATTATAAGTAAGTGATGCAGAGATGATTTAAACTATACGGAAGGATGTGTGTAGGTTATATACAAATATAACATTTTGAACATCCTCAGGTTTTGGTATGGGACCTGGAACCAGTGCCCCATGGATACTGAGATGAGTAAACTTGAAAAATGTTTACCAGTCCTCTGCTCAACAGATAATCAAACATACCCATGTTTTCTCTTTATATTAAGTAGTATCATTTTGGGGAAGTAGGAAAATTTAAGGGCTATAAACATGTTTGACAAAAGCAAACTAGTCACTTCTCTATAAAATGGTGACATCTGACAGCTTACTTTTTTTTTAATAGTGCCTTTTTACTGAAGGGGCAGATCTCTAGAATGTTTCTTTTAAAAAAGATGGGAGGGATGTTTCTCCTAAAAACCAACTTGGAGCACCCTTTTCCCTGTCCAAGTCAGTGGAAGAGCTAAGGGAGGCAACCAAGAGAGTTTCTCCCACCCAAGAGGTACCTTCCCTGGCTCCAGGGTGCAGGACTGGTGAGCTTTGCAAAAACCCAGATGGTGGAGGGGCCCCCTGGGTTGACTGAAGCAGCCTTGGAGAGCCATTGTTCTGGAGCACACTTTCTTATTCAATCACCCTGCCTGGCTAGCAAGAAACCCCAGCAGAACCGCCGATTCTACAGGCAGGACAGCTGTTCTCAGACAGGCAGCTCCTTTCTCCTTGCCCTGACCTCCAAAGGCACTCGTAAAAGGTAAAGCAGGGACTCTGCCAAGTCTCTTTGAGCACCACGTCACGCCATCAGAGCAAGGAAAGAAAGTCTTCAAAAGAGGGTACTGCCACGGGGAGCCCGTTTCTCCTTGGCTTCCCCTGCCCATAGTGAGAGCCCTAAGCCTCTCTCAGCGTCCAACTCTTCCCGGGAGCAGTAACAACATGCTTTGTTTTGTTTTTAAAAAATTATTTTACTTTCCCTTCAGCTCCTTTTAAAGGTTGTGTTGCATTCTTGGCTACTGTCCAGGTTGGGGTAAAGGGGCCCCCCATTCAAGAAACTGAAATGCTATGTCCTACTATCTTAGCACTGGCAAGAGGAACTTGTGCGTGGGCCAGGGGTTCGATTAGTTTTTTTCTTTGGATGGGAGGGAAGAATAGAATTGTGAATCGGGCCAGTCGTATTGTATACAAGAGGTTCTCTTCACTGACCACAATCCCCAGCTACAAAATAACCCACAGCTACAAAAAACAGAAGCAGTACTTCTGCTCACCAGTAAGTAACCAGCTTTTACTCAAGGTGTACCAAATGATCAGCTGTTATCTTCCAAAAAAACTGGTTCATTTAACAGGAAATGCCGACACCCCTAGAGTGTGATTTCTTAGGTTAGGAAAACCAGTTTCTTTCCAACATTGATTCTCTGGGGGAATACAGAAGAGCCTACCTGAGCAACCAGATACTTAAATGTTAACTTATTCGATAAAATTAACTGTGATTCATTCCAATAAACTTAGAGAACAATTCCAATTGCTTTCATCTCTACTTGCAACCAAGTTTTAAGAGTTGTTTTCCAGTTTTTCTGCAATAAGTATTAAAGACACAGGCACAAATTAAAAACATCACGAACCAAAAACAAAACCCCACTGACCTTCTACTAAGGATGTCAGGAGAGTCACATGAGCGGCTTTCCGCCTCCCGGCCGGAAGATTCAACCCAATCTTGTCCAACTTCTCCCGCAAGGACCGGCCTCCATTTTTCGATTTGGCTCTAAGAAAAAGAAAAATTGACTCTGGCTACTCTCAAAAACAAAAACACATACACACGCACACTTTAAAAATTCTAAACTCCTAAAGTGCTGCTGTCAAAGCTGAAACCCATCAAAGACTATCTACATCACGTGAACCATAATGAAAAGTGATAGCAGGGTCCTCTTTCAATTAGTCCCCGTAAGATACAAAATCAATCTTTCCTAGCATCCAACTCTGCATCACCGAATATTTCAAATTGTATGGGAGCAGACAAATTTTCACTTGTGAAACTACAACGGCCCCACAAAAACTCCCTGGGGAACAAACCCAGGGTGCTCCCCCCACCTCCCCTCAATACAGATGCTATCACTTCATACATGGGATCAAATTCTAACCAAGTGAGAATTTGTGAGCGTCGTTTTAGCACTTCCTCCCACATTTGGCACTTTCTAAAGGAGAAGAAATGTACTAAAACTCTAACCCGATTAGAATTCAGTGTTAGGCATAAAGTCACATAAATGTTAAAAATACCTCCTGGGCCTCTGATACACTCACCTTCAACTACCCAACCACTATGCCTAGAATTGTGCCCCAAGTACCTTCTGAGAACACCTCCCAGTAACGAGGCATTTAAGCATTCAGGTGGGGACAGTCGCCTCTGTACTTCAGCCACTGTCACTTTGTATTTAGACGTAGAGCTGAGGAGCGACAATCTTCCAGGGACTGAGCAGAAGACCTCAGTGGGGTTCATTACGGCCCCCACCAGCTCCTTCTGACAGGGGAGGTTCAGAGGGTTCTTGGTCATGGAAATGGGACCTGTGAATGAAGGTCAGAGCTGGCAGTCACAAGAGCTCTCTCTGAGCAAAAGAGACCTTTTCAAAACCAATAACCAAAGCTGAAAGTGATCTTTAGACAAGCATCATTGCACACCCCACGATCAACTGCAGGCTGACTTTATTTAAAAAAAAAAAATAATAAGAGTCTCACTCTGTGGCCCAGGCTGGAGTGCAGTGGTGTGATCTCTGCTCACTGCAGCCTCAGCTTGCGGGCTCAAGTAATTCTCCAGCAGGTGCCCACCACTACATCCAGCTAATTTTTTGTATTTTTAGTAGAGATGGAGTTTCACCATGTTAGCCAGGCTGGTCTCAAACTCCTGACCTCAAGTGATCTGCCCACCTTGGCCTCCCAAAGTGCTGGGATTAGAGGTGTCAGCCACTGCACCTGGCCATGGCTGACTTTTTAAAAAAGCCCCCTACTTCAGAGACAAATCTAATCTGAAATTCACAAGTTAACACCTTGGGAAGTTAATTAGTGAAGATCCAAAGCTTGGAGGGTTTCTTTTTTTTTTTTTCCTAGCAGCTGCTGAAAACTATTTAATTAGAACATTTGTTTTCAGAAGACTGCTTCAATACTAAATAAACGGTGAGTTTTTTCCCCTCAAGAACAACCAAAATCATAGGACACATTAAGATTCTTTCCAAAATTTTTCAGTGCAGTTGATCACAGTAAATTTAATCATCCAAACTAATACGTTCTAAGTTTACTGAAAATTTGTAGTCTTTTCTGAGTTTTTCTTTAAAATCCATTTTTCCTCCATCCTCAATCCATTTAAGCAGTTCAAGTAACAGGCCAAAACTACCTTCAATTTAGGCCTACTCTATTTCCCAAAACAGTCAAAATGGTAATCCTGGTAATCCTGTCAGTTAAGTAACTTAATTTCATAAACCACTCACTCACCAAGTAATCCAATTTTCCAAATCCCCTCCTCCCCATCCTGCAAAACTCTCCCTCTGACAGATCATTCCAAGCTCTGTTCCTTTTACAGGTATTCATTTGGTAGGCCAAATTGCTTCAAAACTTTTCTTGCAGGTCAGAATTAAGGAGGTTTTCCATACACGTGTTTGAAATCAAAAATAAAATCACAACTTATTCAACAATTAAAATTGTTACAGAACCAACCACTCAACGAAGGTGTGCCTGTGACTTTTTTCTTGTTGTTTTTCAAGTTAAATCAGTGTTCACTCGCTCTGGAAGACTTTCTCTCACATTGTGAAACACCCACTGGAATTCATGGACATTTTTCCAAGAAAAAAAACTAGGCAGTAACAACTCCGGAGATGAAGAGACAGCTCCTAGGAGGTCGGAGGGAAATCCCTTTCTGTCACTCCTAAAATCTAGCTTCCATGAATCCCTTTCAGTCCCTTCTACCACAAATGTCCCACGCTGGCCACCAAATACCCCCAACCTTGCCAGTCAACTTCACAAGCCCAGATCGTGTGACCAGAGTTAGACGATGCCACCTTGCTATTTACCTTTGCGAATGACTGTCTGATCGTGCAGCAACAGGTGCTGGTCGTCGACATTCTGGGGGAGAGAGGACAAAATTCCCTTAAGTTCGGGGGAGCCTAGAGGAGTGCGGGGTGGGGGCAGAAGGCCGTAGGGTGAACAGGTCCGGTCAGGAGCCGCAGCGCCGCTCACCTGCACCTCGTCCATCTGGTGAGGCATGTCGTGGAGCCCCAGGTTCTCGGCCAGGCCCGCGGCATCCAGGGCGTGTGCGTGGGGCAGCAGCAGGTCGGAGCGGCGGTAGGCATCCCTGCGGGCGCTCACCGCGCCCGCCTCCAGCCCGGAGAGGTGGGGCAGTAGGCCGGCCGGGCGCCCGTGGTGCGAGGGCAGCCCCGCTCCCTCCTGGCTCTGGCGGCCGGGCCAGGCCTGCTGCTGGCTGCCTGTGGGCGCCGGCTGGTGCAGGGGGTTGATGGCGGCGGCGTACGCTTCCCCCAGATGCGAGTAGGGGTCGGCCGACTGGGAGTAGGCCAGCTGCTGGTAGGGAGGGGGAAAGTAGGGTGGCGGCTGATATTCGGCGACTCCAGTGTGGGAGAGGGGTGGCGCGGGGCTGTAGAGGTGCTGCCCGGCGGAGGAGAGGTGGGGGACCCGCGGATTCCCATTGCTGCTCCCGTCGTGGCGATCCTGGAGGGAAAAAAAAAAACAGGAGACCCCGTTAGTGCGAAACCCCGCTACTGCGAACTGGCCGGCATCGCCGGGCTACGCAGAGGGCCCCGGGGGACCAACCGCACCCCGCCCGGCGGGGCTTGCCCAGGGTCGGAAGGTACCCGGGGGCAATGCGCCCCGAGGATTTCGTTGTAAGCAAAGAGTGCGGGGAGGGAGGAGAGTCTGGTGAAAGACCTGGGGGAACGAGTTCTCAAAGCCCGGCGGCGAAGGTCTAGGCGCTGCTCCCAAGCCCGAGGCGCTTGGAGGCGCCAAGTCCGAACCCTGGGTCTTGGGCCAGAAAAGTCCGTGGCCGGAGCCCGGGGCGAAGGAGCCAGAGCCCGGGGCGAAGGAGCCGGACGCCCGGTGCAGAGCTATCTCGTGGAGCCCGCCCATGACGCAGGGACTGCTGGAGGTGGCAGCGCGGCAGGCGCGGATAGAGTGCGCGGCGCGGGAAATGCGCACCTCCCCCGCCCCCGGGACCCTCCCTTCCACGCCCTCGGGACAAAGACCTCCGAGCGGGCGGCGCTCGGAAAGCAGGGCCCGCCACCCTGCGCCGCCCTGGGAAGTGAAGAGGGAGCGCGCGCACAGGGCGGCCCTCCCTGCTGGCCGGGCCCAGCCGAGGGGAGTAATAAGTGGGGGCGCCCTGCACTGCCAAGGGCAGTGTTCTCGCACGTCGGGGCGCAGAGGGGGCATGAAGAACCCTGGAAATTGGGCAGCCTTGCCCGCGCACGTTCCCTCGCCCCTGGGCGGCCCGACTCAGTTTCTAAAGGATGCGTCCCCATCTGCCCAGGGGTCTCGGGGCGCCGGGAACCTGGAGGAACATGGCGCTGTCGCCTCCTGGCGGAAGCGCCCGGGCCTGCGGGCAGGGGCAGCCCTCCAGGGCCCGGAGGCGCAGTGAACTCCCGCGAGTCCGTAGCCCGAGCTCCGCGCTCCCGGCGCCCCTGAGCTCGCCTAGCGCTGCCTGCGTCTTCTTCCTCTTCCCGCTCGCCGCCTCCTTCTTCCCTCCCACTCTCCGAAACTCTAGCTCAACCTGTCCGACAGGCTGGAGCACTCGCGAGCTCTTACGGCCCCATCTGGCCTCGGGCACCCCCACCACCACTCCCCAGCCCCCACTTCTTTTGAAAGCCAAACTTCGGTTGTTTTCGTGCTTCCCCGAGGAGGTAGCGGGGCAGGTGACAAGCCGGCCTTGGAGGAGTGTCCGCCAAGGTGTCGCTAGCAGGTAGCCTCATCTGACCCCTTTGGACAGAGACTTCGTGCGTAAAAGCCACGTCTGAGGGTTGCAGACGGGGCACTTTTCCGAGAAAACGGGAAGCAGGGCTGTTTGCCGCTTAGGAAAGCGCCCGGTAAGCTGTGTGGGTGGGATTTGCCATTCTCTTTCCAGGCCTCGTTCCCGAGGGGAGGCTATTTAGGAAAAGGCCCTATACAGGAAAGGGGCCCCGCAGAAATGGACTAAGGGGTGTCCGGAGAAGTGGATCCCGTCCCACCGAGAGGCCAGGGCTCCTATGCCCTCGTCCCCGACCTCGGTCCAGTGGCCCCTGCCTCCCGGACTGTCCTCGGCGGGGCGGGGCTGCACCCCGGAGCCCCAGCTCACCTCGCAGTCCTCTTCGTACTTGACATTATCGGTTATTTTCCACAACATGGCGTCCGGCGTCCCCCAAAACAGTCGCCAGTTAAATCCAGGATCCCCCCAGCCCCCAAGCGGTAAATCCAAAATCGGGGTCACGGTGACCAGGCGTCTGCCGCCGCCCCCGCCGCGCGCGGGCCTTGCTGTCCGGGTCACTGGACACGCATCGGCGGCTCTGCGAGCGTAGATGCTGCCGCCGCGAGTGTCAAGACCGCTCCGCGGACGGGGAAAGCCGCGCCCGAACAGTGTGTCCTGGCGATAGCCGGGGGACCCGAGCGCCTTAATGAGAAGGAAATTATCATAACTCCTCCCCGGGGGCCGGCGCGGAGGCCCAGGCGCCGGGCGGGGCGGCCCCCAGCCAGTCCCAGCCTAGCTCCGCCCCGCACCCGGGCCTGGCGCAGCGCCGAGCCCCACGCTGTGAGGGACGAAGCGCGGAGTCAGTGGGCGGTGCCTCGTTGACAGCCGAAGACCTGCGAGGCCTGGGTCCCCCGACGCGCCTTCCTTCTGTCACCTCCACCGTAAACACACCTGAGATTGGCAGAGCTGGGGGAAGGGATCCAAATACTGAAACCCACCCCTCTTTCGCCTAAACGGCCTTCACTCGTTCCTCCAAAAGACGGATGTCACCTGGAGTTAAGAAACTGCGCATTTGGGGAGCGACTCAACAACCGGGGTCTCCTCATCTCCTAAAAACACATCCCATCCCACCTACACCCCACTGAGGCTTAAGGTCTGAGCTGGGATCATGCAGCTGGAGCCCCAGTGCGCCAGAGACGCCCAGTTCCCTCCGTGGGCACAGCGCGGTCCCGGCCCCCGGGCGGGAGGAGAGAGGAAGGGACTCCTGGGGAGTCTGCCCCAAGGGCCGCAGAGGCAGCAGACGGTCCTACCCGCCCAGGAGTTGCGGACAGCGGCGTCTCGCCGCTGTCGCCCGAAGTGGCATCTCCCGCGGCTGGCTGAGGCCAGGGGGAACCCGCGCGCACTGGACCAGCCCAGCGGCCCGGCCCTGCCCTGCCCTGCGGAACGCCGGCTCTGCAGCTGCCTCTGGCGGGCCGGTCACTCAGAAGCCTCTACTCGCCCTGGGAAAGAAGCGCCGGGCAGGAATAAAACCCGAGCGCCACGGGTAAGGTGAGGGTGAGGAGGTGCAGGAAGTTGGGAGAGAGCCTGCAGAGAGCTCTCGACTGGAGAGGTAGACACCCAGGTCCCACATGTTTAGACAGAAAACGAAACTTCCTTCCACACAAACGCTGCTTCCCTCTCCCCTTCGGTACTTGCCACCCAAACTTGAAAGCAAAGTGCAATACTAATTTTTAAAATTTAAACTAACGAAATTCTTTGGCCCAGTTATTATGCAGCAATTGACTTTCATTGTAAGGGGAACATCGCTAATTCTCGAGGGCGTATTTGTTGGGACGCCCCAACTGGCTCCCTGGGCTGGATTTAAACATTCTGTGGGGATTAGAGGACAAGACTATTTCTATTTGATACTGAATACGATTTTGCAATAATCAATGCCTATCAGTACGGTGTCCGCACCTGCAGTAGACATGACTCTCCCATCCACGGAATGGCGGCATCCACTGCCTCGCTGTTCCTTCTCGGGTTCGTTTGAACTTTAGCATTTATTTAGACCCAGGTGGGCCTAAAAGAAAATAATAATAATAGGCGTCCTCCAAGGGAAACTTTCCCCCGGCCTTAGACAGCAGCCAAATCCCAGGTGATTTTCCGACCGGACGCGGGAACAAAATCTGGAAGTTGAAACCACTGAGACTTTTCGGCCAAGCATATCTGCAGGGCTTTGCACTAAGGAGAACAGTGCATAAAAAGACACACAGGACCCTGACACTTCGGTCCCAAAACAGGCTTCTGGGGGTAAAATAAGTTACCGCAGAAGCAGCGCTCCTGGTATTAGCGGCGGGGGAGGGGGACACCTGCCAGAAGCAGAAATTAGACCCAGGCCCGCAGGCACTCCAGAGCACAGGTCCAGGAAGATGGGTCCTAGACTCGCCAGAGGTGCGGCGCCTCTTTCGGGCGCCTGGGACTCCCTGACGGGTGCCGCTGGGCTGTCCGACATTCTGGGCCTTCTAGCCCTCGGTTTTATTCTCTGACCCGGCCTGAGGTGCAGCTTGAACAAGCTGTCTTGTCTGTGCTGGCAAGTTTACCTCCTGCACGCTGGGGCCCGGAATGGGCAAGAAGGTGCTCATCCCCCATCCCAGGCCCTGGCTCTCCTTTCCCACAGCAACACTAGCCAAAGCTGCCCGGAGGAACCGATATGCCTCCCCGCCTGGGAGCGTCTACGCAGGAGGCGAAGGGAGCCGATGGGCACTGAGGGCTCGCGCAGCACCGTGCCGTGGGCCCAAAGGACCCAGAGGATCCGGAACCGCTTGGCAAAGGCCATTCATTCCCAAGGAGCTTCCCTGGACCCCGGCGCTGCCCTCTTTCCAATGGGTAAGCGTTCGAACTGGAGCGCAACCTCCGCGCCCTCTGTACGGAAGGCAGCTAGAACAAATCCTCTGTCTTCTCGGCACGGGAGACCCTTCCCCAATACGCACATTCTCGGCTTCTGGGCCGGCACCCAGGCACGCGCGCGCCCTTGTGAGGAAGCCTCAACCCTTCCTTGACTTCAACTTTTCTGCTCAGCAGAGCCGGGAACCGAAGGCTCCAGCATCCAAGACAGCCTCCCTCCAACGTCCCCGCCCCTTGCCCACGTGAAGACGCGGACTGCGTGGCCGCGCTCAAGACAGCCGGCACCGGCAGAAGGGGACCCCTCTGGAACCCCGGAGGCCTCGCAGCCGCCTGGAGAAGAGGATGGAAGGTTGTCGGGGGTTCCCCTCTACCGCCCCCTAGGGAGCCTAAACTCACTTACTCCCTGGAAGCCCTGGACCCACGCCCCTATGAAACCGCAAACCAGGCCTCTGCAACAGCGGGAGCGCCCCAACAGCGCGCCACTTCCAAAGAGGCGCGAGGTGGTGCCTTTGGAAACAGGGCTCCCGGCCCCAGGCCTGAGTCATCCGCCACCCCTGCCCCCACCCCAGACGGAAGAAGGCGGCCAGGCGGGTAGAGCAAGATTCGGGCAGATCTGCGACTCCTCTTCCCGCCCCAGGGAGGGGACTCCCGAGCAGAAGATGGAGGCCCCCGAGCGCTTTCGCAGACTCCGCGCCACGCGCCGGACGTTTGTCCCGCCTCTCGGGACAACGTGAGCGCCGGTAGGGACCTCAGTAAGTGGCAGACCCGCCAGGATCAAGCAAGGTGGAAAGGCCGGGGCCTGCGGCAAACCCAGGAGGAGGGGGCATTCACGCCCGCCACCCTCCCTTCGCGGCACTGGCACCCACTGGACCGACACTGGCGTCAAAGGGCACCCTGAAGTATCTATGTCCAGTAAGGGCATGCCCTGGGGCACCACAGACATCAAGTCACAGCCACTCCAAAATAATTACAAAAATGATTATCGTAAATAACAGATTGCTTTAATAGGGCGCGAAGCGGCCGCCGCATACAGACGCCTCTGGTCTCAGTCCCACCAGATTCAGTTCACTGCTCGCTTCTTTGCGCTCCGCGTCAGGCCGCATGCTCTTCGTTTAGAACCTTTTGAGCCTTAACTCTTCCTCTCAAACAACTCCTTTTTTCAAACAGGCAAAGTGAGGCGAGGAGCTGAGGGGCTCACAGGTTCCCAAGCTTCCGAGGAGGGCCCGGGTCCACGTCAGTCCCGGCCCGCCAAACGAGACTTCGTGGGCACAGTCTCTAACCTGACAACCACCTGTCCCATTTCACAGCAGGCAAAAGTGAATTTTTAGTCGCCCAACTACCTGAAAGCCACAAAGGTGCCTAGGGTTGAAGGCCACTTTCCTAGCGGTTCTACTAGGGAGCCCGTTAGAGACATGCCTGACTCTCCCCCTGCCCTGCCCCGGGGGGGACCCCCGCCCGCCGGAGGCCTCACACGCTTGGCCGTGGGATGGTAGACTCCTGTCACCTCTCCACTAACATCCCGGAGCCCATCCGTACGCACCCTAACCGCTCGGAGCGCAGGCCCGAGGACTAAGGCGGTAGCCTCGTGTCCCCTGAGGCCTTCTCCGCTCCGTGTTCTGGGTCGCCATACACTTCCCGGCTAAGCCCGGCGCCTTTAACTCAGAACTTGGTCGCCTCCAGGCGTGGAGCAGGCCACTGTTGCCAGACGCTGCGCGGACCCGTCTTCCTGCGCCAGTACTGGGCGACAGGCAGCCCGGGCAGCACCCAGGAGCCACCCTGCACGGCCCCAGGCGCCCGTCCCACCCAGCGCCACCCCTCGCCCTTCGCAGCGAGTCCTCCCGCAGCCTCTCCTCTCTGCTAGCCCCCGGGGTCGCACCTGCCCTCCACACAGACACCTCTTTTCTCACCCGTAGGAACTGGAAGCTCATGGTGCCAGCTCTCCAACCCTCTGTGAGTTGAGGAGTTTAAGAGTAGGAGAGACGTAGAAAAAGAGTTCCCCGAGGGCCGAGTCGTGTGCGGTAAACACACGCTTCCAGCGTTTATTTAATTAACGGGAGGGGGAGGGGAAGGGGGGAAATTCACAGCCAAAACGAGCTATCGCGATTGGAAGACTGGCAGGAAAGGTCCTGGTTACTCCTCCCCTGCCCTCCTCCCCTTGGAAACTATAAACTCTGCATTTGAAAAGGGTATACCCTAGGGTTTTAAATTATCTTTACATATGTATATGACAAGCGGTACGTAGGACTTCTTCAGTCAGAAATTATTTTAAATGTAGCCTACCTCTTACTGGCAAGGGATTTTTTTTTTTAGTTGGTTAGTTTCTAAGACCAAAAGTATTAACATTTCTGGGAATTCTCAGCCTTCATGTCACATCACAGGTTTCCGGGTTCAGCTGAAATTGAACCAGGGGTAGTGAATTCTTGGGGTAGGGGAAGAAAGGGAGTGGGGTTTGGGGTCTTCCTTAAGTGCCAGAGAGATTGGTTTGCACATTACATGCTAATTTGCCTTAAAGAAAGGGGCAAAGTACATGGAAGGAAGGAAGGAAGAAAGGAAGGTAGGCAGGCAAGCAAAAACCAAGAGCCCAGTAAAATAGAATAAGAAGACTGTAAACACAGAAATAAATGCTGATGGTTGACTCTACCATCAGTTTAAACATCCCGGGACCCACTGTGATCACCCAGGCCAGGCAGGAGAAATCAGACTTGTACAGAAGCTGCTTCTCATCATCTGAGTTCTTGCTGGTTTTCACACAAAACCTGCCCAGGCAACCCAAACAGCTTCCTTCCAAGAGAGGTGAGTTGAAAACTTATCCAAGATTGCTCTACATATGCCTTAGAAGAAATAAAAAAGCAGCAGCAGGCAAGCAGAGTTCCACCCACCTGCTGGTAACCTCTCCCAGAGTTTACCAGTGCCCCAGTAGCCTTCAAAGGCAGTGTTTTGTTTTATTTTATTTTATTTATTTATTTATTTATTTATTTATTTATTTATTTTTTGAGATGGAGTCTCGCTCTTGTTGCCCAGGCTGGAGTGCAATGGCGCGATCTTGGCTCACCGTAACCTCCGCCTCCGGGGGTTCAAGCGATTCTCCTGCTTCAGCCTCCAGAGTAACTGGGATTACAGGCAT
This sequence comes from Homo sapiens, assembly GCF_000001405.40. Taxonomy (NCBI): domain Eukaryota; kingdom Metazoa; phylum Chordata; class Mammalia; order Primates; family Hominidae; genus Homo; species Homo sapiens. The sequence goes on along the minus strand of NC_000020.11, from coordinate 56,623,972 downwards.
ACACCACCACGCCCGAGCCCGGCTAATTTTTGTATTTTTACTAGAGATGGGGTTTCTCCGTGTTGGTCAGGCTGGTCTCCAACTCCCGACCTCAGGTGATCCGCCTGCCTCGGCCTCCCAAAGTGCTGGGATTACAGGCGTGAGCCACCGCGCCCAGCAAAGGCAGTGTTTTAAATGCACAAAGAGGCTGGGCGTGTGACTCACGCCTGTAATCCTAACACTTTGGGAGGCCGAGGCAGGCGGATTACCTGAGGTCGGGAGTTCAAGACCAGCCTGGCCAACATGGTGAAATGTCTCTACTGTCTCTACTAAAAATACAAAAAATTAGCCGGGTGCCTTGGCGCGCACCTGTAATCCCAGCTACTCTGCAGTGGCACGTGCCTGTGATCCCAGCTACTCGGGAGGCTGAGGCAGGAGAATCGCTTGAACCCAGGAGGCAGAGTTTGCAGTGAGCCAAGATCATCCCATTGCACTCCAGCCTGGGTGACAGAGCTAGACTCGGTCTCAAAAAAAAAAGAATGGAATGTGCATTTTTATGCTGCACAAAACAAAAAGTGACTTCAGCACAGCGACACTTTCATGGAAAAAGGGTTTAAACATTCATCCCTGGCTACTTCTTGGGCCAAAAAATAGGCAGAATACAAAAATGCAGGGAAAATAAATCTTCATTGGAGGCCTGACTAGGATTTTGATCACTAAGAGCGACACATGCCATTCTGTATGTCCCTGCTACAGGAGTAACTGAAAGGTACACCCAGGCAGGAGGATGGGGTTGGGGGAGGGGAGGTGTAGAGAGAAAGCCAACTTTTTACTTATTTACGGTTGGGTTTTGGTTTTTGTTTTTTCTTATTGCGGGGGTTGCAATTAATATATCCTGTTATAATTATTTCTCAAAATAAGCACAATGATCACTGTTAACATCCTGATTTTATTTAAAAATTTAATCCAGAAAGGAAGATTTTTATTGTTGTTGTAGTTACATGTGATACAATCACAGCAGCAGCAATAAAGAAACATGTAACACAGTGGGCCGGGTGCGGTGGCTCACGCCTGTAATCCCAGCACTTTCGGAGGCCGAGGTGGGTGGATCACGAGGTCAGGAGATCGAGACCATCCTGGCTAACACGGCGAAACCCTGTCTCTACTAAAAATACAAAAAAATTAGCCGGTTGTGGTGGTGGGTGCCTGTGGTCCCAGCTACTCGGGAGGCTGAGGCAGGAGAATGGCATGAACCCAGGAGGCAGAGCTTGCAGTGAGCCGAGATGGCGACACTGCACTCCAGCCTGGGTGACAGAGCGAGACCCCATCTCAAAAAAAAAAGAAGAAAAAAAAAACATGTAACACAGTATCAACTTTTTTTTTTTCTTTTTTGAGACAGAGTCTCAGTCTGTTACCCAGGCTGGAGTGCAGTGGTGCCATCTCAGCTCACTGCAATCTCCGCCTCCTGGGTTCACGCAATTCTCCACCCTCAGCCTCCTGAGTAGCTGGGACTATAGGAACCCGCCACCACAACTGGCTAATTTTTGTATTGTTAGTAGAGATGGGGTTTCACCATGTTGGCCAGGCTAGTCTCAAACTCCTGACCTCAAAGTGATTCACCCACCTCGGCTTCCCAAAGTGCTGGGATTACAGGCGTGAGCCACTGCTCCTGGCCAATATCTACTTTTACAATTTAAAAAACCAAAGGATGCCATAACCATTGTTAATGCCCAAATATATTACCTGTCTTCAGAAACTGGAGCACCTTTTCCTGTCACAATACATGAGGATGAAAAATTGGCACTTCGACAAGGTTCCAACCTCCCCAGGGTCCCTTTCCTCGAGATAACACCCACTGGAAGGGTCTGCAAGGAAGCTGGAGCAACACCTTTTTGGGACAGTTCTTTCTCCTTTGTCCACTTTTTAAACTCCCATGAGCCAGACTGTGGTATCTTAACTTTCTCTCCCTCATCTTCCTCACGTGGCACACAAACATGGGCTTCCCTAGACCCAGTGCCAAGCTCCTGAGTCCTGCATGTAAGAACTCATTTCAGTGGAGCTGCAGGCCCAAAAACAACAGCAATGTGATAAAGGCCAAAATGTCACCGTGGCAACCCAGAGATCCAGAGGGGAACTCTAGCCAGCAAAAATCAACACCAAATTAAAACCAGAACCTCAAAGAAAGAAAAAATGTTATTCTTTAGATCTACTCTGTATACTCTGTAGTATAAAATAAATATCAATCTCCAAGCCCTTTTCAGTACCAGACACACCAATCAAAAATTTTTAGAGACCATATATATATATATTTTCACCTCCACTGAATAAAATCTTTTTTTAATTATTTTTATTTTTATTTTTTAGATGGAGTTTCGCTCTTGTTGCCCAGGCTGGAGTGCAATGGCGTGATCTTGGCTCACTGCAACCTTCGCCTCCCAGGTTCAAGCGATTCTCCTGCCTCAGCCTCCCGAGTAGCTGGAACTACAGGCACGTGCCACCACACTTGGCTAATTTTTTGTATTTTTAGTAGAGACGGGGTTTCACCGTGTTAGCCAGGATGGTCTCGATCTCTTGACCTTGTGATCTGCCCGTCTCAGCCTCCCAAATGCTGGGATCACAGGCATGAGCCACCGTGCCAGGCCAACATTTCCTTTCCTTAAGAAACTTAGATATGCTTGGCTGGGGCCGGGCACGGTGGCGGGCGCTTGTAGTCCCAGCTTACTCGGGAGGCTGAGGCAGGAGAATGGCATGAACTCGGGAGGCGGAGCTTGCAGTGAGCCGAGATCGCATCATTGCACTCTAGCCTGGGCGACTGATTGAGACTCCGTCTCAAAAAATAAAAAAAAGAGAAAAGATATGCTTAGCCGGGCACGGTGGCTCATGCCTGTAATCCCAGCACTTTAGGAGGCCAAGGCAGGCAGATCACAAGGTCAAGAGATCAAGAACATCCTGGCCAACATGGTGAAACCCCATCTCTACTAAAAATCCAAAAATTAGCCGGACATGGTGGCGGATGCCTGTAGTCCCAGCTACTTGGGAGGCTGAGGCAGGAGAATCTCTTGAACCTGGGAGGCGGAGATTGCAGTGAGCCAAGATCACACCACTGCACTCCAGCCTGGCGACAGTGAGACTCTGTCTCAAAAATAAAAAAGAGAAAAAAAAAGAAACCTAGATATGCTCAAAAGAGATTCATAACACTTCCCTACCCTAATTTATCCTACGAGGCAATAATGCGTTTTCATTTTGGTTAAAGATGTCCTACTGCTGCGTAAACAGATCTGTTACGCCCTCGTCCAATGTCATTTATTTGCCATTTGGAAAGTTCTTATCCATTAAAATCCTGCACTTAGCCTGGGCAACATGGCAAAACCCCATCTCTACAAAAAATACAAAAATGAGCTGGGTGTGGTGGCATGTGCCTGTGGTCCCAGCTACACAGGAGGCTGAGGCGGGAGGATCACTTGACCCCAGGAGATTGAGGCTGCAGTGAGCCATGACTATGCCACTGCACTCCGGCCTGGGTGACAGAGAGACCCTGTCTCAAAACACAAAACAAAACAAAAAAAATCCTGCACTCAGCACAAAGCAGTGGCTCTCAAATAAGGCCCCAGACGAAGAGCATCCCATGGGAACTTGTTAGAACTCCCCATTCTCAGGCCCCACCTCAGACCCCTTGAAATCAGAAGATCTGTAAGTGGAGCCCGGCAGCTTGTGCCTTGACCAGCTCTCCAGGTGATTCTGGAACACACTGAAGTTTGAGACCCACTGGCATAAATGATTGCTATGAAAACAAGGGTGATATTATTTATTCTCCTATTCATATGTGAGACTTTAAAACTGTGTACACTGAATCAAACCTGCGTGTTCCAAAACTATAACTGTATAGAATAGGGATTTCTTTATCCCTCACTGTGACTCAGATCTGTGAACCCTTTTTGTGCTGAAGGATGTTCTTTAATCTTATCACAAATTAGGCTTTTACACAATAACTTTACCCTACTCAACACCACTCATTAAGACCTTGACTTTGTTTTAAATAAATAGTTTTTGGCTGGGTGTGGTGGCTCATGCCTGTAATCCCAGCACGTTGGGAGGCCAAGGCAGGTGGATCACTTGAGGTCAGGCGTTCGAGACCAGTCTGGCCAACATGGTAAAACCCCATCTCCACTAAAAATACAAAACTTAGCCAGATGTGGTGGTATGTGCCTGTAGTCCCAGCTACTTGGGAAGCTGAGGCAGGAGAATCGCTTGACCCTGGGAGGCGGAGGTTGCAGTGAGCCAAGATCGCACCACTGCACTCCAGCCTGGGCTAAAGAGCAAGACTCTGTCTCAGAAAAAAAAAAAAAAAAAGACAGACTGTTGTTTGTTTCACTGCCCTGTATTATTGTGCAATGGAAATAGTTATTTCCTTTTATTTTCCCCTCCACCCCAGTTATTTCCAATCAGCTCAAAGTTCCAAGCCCTTCTTTGTCCCCTACCCTTGCTGTCATAGGAGTTGACAATGGCGAGCAAACAGATTGGGCAAGAAGGGGCTTTATCCAGAGTCATGCTTTTTTTAAAAATATATATATTTATTTATTTATTTATTTATATTTTTGAGATGGAATTTCGCTCTTGCTGCCCAGGCTGGAGTGCAATGGCTCAGTCTGGGCTCACCGCAACCTCTACCTCACGGGTTCAAGCGATTCTTCTGCCTCAGCCTCCCAAGTACCTGGGATTACAGGCATGCGTCACCATGCCCAGCTAATTTTGTATTTTTAGTGGAGACGAGGTTTCTCCACTTTGGTCAGGCTGGTCTCAAACTCCTAACTTCAGGTCATCCGCCTGCCTCAGCGTCACAAAGTGTTAGGATTACAGGCATGAGCCACTGTGCCTGGCCGCTTTTTTTTTTTTTTTTTTTTAAATAGAGATGAGGCTGGGCACAGTGCCTCACGTCTGTAATCCCAGCATTTTGGGAGGCTGAGGCATGCAGATCACAAGCTCAAGAGATTGAGACCATCCTGGCCAACATGGTGAAACCCCGTCTCTACTAAAAATACAAAAATTAGCCGGGCATGGTGGTGCACACCTGTAGTCCCAGCTACTCGGGAGGCTGAGACAGGAGAACTGCTTGATCCTGGGAGGTGGAGGTTGCCGTGAGCCGAGATCGTGCCACTGTACTCCAGCCTGGCAACACAGTGAGACTCCATCTCAAAAAAATAAACAAACAAATAAACAGAGATGAGCTCCCACTATGTTGCCCAAGCTGGTCTCAAAATCCTGGGCTCAAGCAATCCTCCCACTTTGGCTTCCCAAAGTATTGGGATTTACAGGTGTGAGCCACCATGCCCGGCAGAGTCATTTTGTTGTTGATGTTGAGTTTTTATTAACTGTTTCCACTTGGGAGGCTTCTTTGGTAAATGCATATGGAGGCGCACATTTTTCTTTGTCTCGGACTCTACAAGGCACTGGCAGCTACGGCCTGCTCTAGTGGGGGGCTGAAGACAGAGAGCAAAGGTGGGGGCCATGCTTTATGGCACTCAGCATTAGAAAATAGGGGACTCAACTGCCTTAAATGTCATATTTTATTGAGAGTTGCCCGTGGAGCTGGAAGGCAGGTGGTGTCTGCCTTTCCCAGAATGCACCACACTCTTGTCCCTGAAGCTCGTGGTTAAGATCACAGGTTGGAAGCCAGGTCTAGTCCACACTTTGACTCTGCCATATCTTAATCAAAGTTCTTCAACAACATGGAAGCAACAGTAGTGCCAGCCGGGTGCGGTGGCTCATGCCTGGAATCCCAGCACTCTGGGAGGCCTAGGCGGGTGGATTACCTGAGGTCAGGAGTTCGAGACCAGCCTGGCCAACATGGTGAAACACTGTCTCTACTAAAAAATACAAAAATTAGCTGGGCATGGTGGCGCGCGCCTGTAGTCCCAGCTACTTGGGAACTGAGGCAGGAGAATCACTTGAACCCGGGAGGTGGAGGTTACAGTGAGCCGAGATTGCGCCACTGCACTCCAGCCTGGGTGACAGAGCCAGACTCTGTCTCAAAAAACAAAACAAAACAATAGTGCCTATCTCATAGGGTTGAGGATTAAAGAAGAAAATGTAGATAGAGTGTTTAGACAGTAATAGCAAAAAAAGGTGTTCGAGCATAACTGTTACTATTGTCATTGAGATTCTCTTCATTCTCATAGCATAGGGGCTCTCTGACCCAGACTGAATCCTATTTCTGAGGCTGACCATCCCCCACACCCCCAGGCCTCCAGGGTCAGGTGCCCCAGCCCTACACTGAGCCACCTCCCTGCACCCCTCATCAGCCAGGTCCACCTCCTAGGTCCATCTGCCAGGTCAGTAGTCCTCAGGTGAATCGGCAAATGAGGGGAGCTTAAGACACTCATTCCTTCATTCAACAGTCGGGACCTCTGCTAGGCTGTCAACGAGCAGGAAACCTGCCTTCTTGCAGCTTGTAGTCCAGGAGGGCATGCACTCATTTATCCAGTCAACAGTTTTTTTCAGGGCCTACTTTGTGGTAGGCTCTATTGCAGGTGCTGGGATACAGAACAGGAACAAAACTGATGACATCCCCAGACTCATGAAGCTTATGTTGACCTGGAGGAGGTAAGCAGTAAGGAAACTGTTATAGGCCGGGCACAGTGGCTCATGCCTGTAATCCCAGCACTTTGGGAGGCCGAGGCAGGCGGATCACCTGAGGTCAGGAGTTCGAGACCAGCCTGGCCAACATGGTGAAACCCTGTCTCTACTAAAAATAAAAAAAAAGTTAGCCGGGCGTGGCAGCAGGTGCCTGTAATCCCAGCTACTTGGGAGGCTGAAACAGGAGAATCGCTTGAACCTGGGAGGCGGATGTTGCAGTGAGTCAAGATCGCACCACTGCACTCCAGCCTGGACAACAAGAGTGAAACTCCGTCTCAAAAACAAAAAGAAATCAGTTTAATGGGAAAAAAAAAAAAGAGGAAGGAAGGAAAGAAGGGAGAGCAAGAGGGAAGAAATGCTGAGAGGACAAAGGCTTCAGCAGAGGCCAGGGAGCCACGTGGCTGTGCGTGTCTGTAACACAGCCTGGGGAGGGGCTAGGCTAGCTAGGGGTTCCCAACAGCTGGACTGCACCGTCAGGCTGGACTGAACAGCTGACTTTGGAACTGGGGAGGATGGAAGAAGGAGATCCTAACACGAAGCCAAGGGGCAGGAAAGGGAAGGGTGTGGCAGGTCCTGGCGTACCCAGAGACAGAGAGCTCATCTTCTGAAAGGGGCTCCATTGTCCACAGGAACTGGGAGCTGAGATGCACGCGTCACTCAACACATGTTAGCTCCAGAGTATTTGGCCCAGAGTAGATGTTTAGGAAGGAAAATGCTGTTCCATCCTTTGATAATCTCACCAGGTGGTGAGTGGATTTCCTCATTCACTCAGCAGGCAGTTTGCCAGCCCCTCTCCTGTGCCAGGGGACAGTGGCAAAAGAGAGGTTAAGTCCCTGCCCTCAAGAAGCATTGAAAGGAAGACCAGAAGCACCATGTACATAAAACCCTCAGGCCAGACAGTGCTAGGAAGAAAGGCCAAGGGCTGAGAAACCACGGGGAGAGAGGGCATTACGAAGAGGTGCTCAGGTAAAGGAGACAGTCTTTAGTGGAGACTTGAATGCTCAAAAGGCAAGCACAGGCTGGCGCCGTGGCTCACGCCTGGAATCCCAGCACTTTGGGAGATCGAGGCAGATGGATCACAAGGTCAGGAGTTTGAGACCAGCCTGGCCAATATGGGGAAACCCTGTCTCTACTAAAAATACAAAAATTAGCCGGCCATGGTGGTGGGCGCCGGTAGTCCCAGGTACTCGGGAGGCTGAGGCAGGAGAATCACTTGAACCCGGGAAGCAGGGGTTGCAGTGAGCCCAGATCACGCCACTGCACTCCAGCCTGGGTGACAGAGTGAGACTCTGACTCAAAAAAAATAAATAAATAAAAAGGCAATCACAAAGGAAGTAGACAAAATAGAATAGTCTCCAATTTCCCCACACTCCCATTCACAGAGATAAAAACTACTAGAACACAGAAGTATAATTCTACATTTTTTCTAGTCATAATCTGTATGATTTATGATATAGAAAACATAACAAATGTTACGTTAAAGCTATAACATTAAACAGAATTTTTTTTTCTTTAAGACAGGGTCTCGCTCTGTCACCCAGGCTGGAGTGCAGTGGCGTGATCTCGGCTCACGGCAAACTCCACCTCCTGGGTTCAAGCGATTCTCCTGCCTCAGCCTCCCAAGTAGCTGGGATTACAGGCACATGCCACCATGCCCAGCTAATTTTTGTATTGTTTGGTAGACATGGGGTTTCACCACATTGGCCAGTCTGGTCTCAAATTCCTGACCTCAAGTGATCTGTCCACCCTCTTCGGCCTCCCAGAGTGCTGGGATTACAGGTGTGAGCCACTGTGCCCGGCTAAAACAATAATATTTGTTTGTTTCTTGACACAGGGTCTCGTTTTGTCACTCAGGCTGGAGTGCAATGGTGCAGTCACAGCTCTGCAGCTTCCAACTCCCCAGGCTCAGGTGATCCTCCCACCTCAGCTTCCCGAGTAGCTGGGACTACAGGTGATCCTCACACCTCAGCTTCCCGAGCAGCTGGGTCTACAGGTGCATGCCACCTTGCCCGGTTGATTTTTGTATTTTATGCAGAGAGGGGGTTTCCCCCATGGTGCCCAGGCTGGTTTCCAACTCCTGGGTTCAAATGATCCACCTGCATTGGCCTCCCGAAGTGCTGGGATTATAGGCATGAGCTATCACATCTGGCTCATAATGAATTGTATTTTTTTTTTTTTTTGAGACAGAGTTTTGCTCTTGTTGCCCAGTCTGGAGTGCAATGGCATGATCTTGGCTCACTGCAACCTCCGCCTCCCGGGTTCAAGCAATTCTCCTGCTTCCTGGGTAGCTGGGATTATAGGAATGTACCAACACACCTGGCTAATTTTTGTATTTTTAGTAGAGATGGGGTTTCTCCATGTTGGTCAGGCTGGTCTCGAACTCCCGACCTCAGGTGATCCTCCCGCCTCAGCCTCCCAAAGTGCTGGGATTACAGACATGAGCCACCGCACCCAGCCAAATTCTTTTTTAATAACAATAGTGGAGTCATCAGCCTGGGCAACATAGCAACATAAATTTTTTTTTTTTTCTTTGAGACGGAGATTTCGCTCTTGTTGCTCAGGCTGGAGTGCAGTGCCGTGATCTCATCTTAAAAAAAAAAAAGATAATAACTGCCGTGTTAGGATGTTAGGATTTTTTTTGTTATGTTATTATTATTATTATTATTTTTCAAAGACGAGGTCACAGTATGTTGCCCAGGCTGGTTTTGAACCCCTGGCCCTCGAGCAGTTCTCCCACTTCAGCCTCCCAAAGTGACAGGATTCCAGGTGGGGACCACTGAGCCTGGCCTTTTTTTTTTTTTTCACTTTTGTTAGGCTTTTTTCATATGCCGCATGGCTAACAGGCCTACCGCATGTTCCTCACCAGCCCTCTGCATGTACTAGTTCATTTAATCCTTGTATGAACCCTGTGAGGTAGGAAGGATTATATGTTCATTTTGCATTTGAAGGAACCAGGGAACATAGTGGTTTAGTAACTCACCCTTCAGGGCCAGGCAGGTGTCAAAAATGTGTGAACACTAGGTGCTGAGCACACACCCTAACAAGCTGAGTCAAGCTGCCTTTTAAAGTAACCTGTGGCACAAACAAACACATCCACAGGCTATTTAGGGCCTGGGGGCTGCCAGGGTAAGGCTGTAGGAGACTACAGTCTCTAAAAGGTCCCACTCCCTCATCTTCCCTACAGCAATGCAGGAAAAGTGCTAAATCCAGATGTTGTAGGGAGGAGAGTTACTTTACCAGTCCTCAATTTTTTGCCAACAAGATAATCCACTCCAAAACAAAGTGCACATTTGATATGCATTTTTTTTTCTTTTTTTGAGACGGAGTCACACACTGTCGCCCAGGCTGAAGTGCAGTGGCGCAATCTCGGCTCATGGCAACCTCCATCTCCCGGGTTCAAGCAATTCTCCTGCCTCAGCCTCCTGAGTAGTTTGGATTGTAGGTGCCCACCATCACGCCCGGCTAATTTTTGTATTTTTAGTAGAGACAGGGTTTCGCCATGTTGGTCAGGCTGGTCTCAAACTCCTGACCTCAGGTGATTCGCCCACCTCAGCCTCCCAAAGTGCTGGGATTACAGGCAAGAGCCATGGCACCTGGCCTGGAAATGTCACCTTTAATCATATAATGAGCTGACCTCTATCCATGTGCCTTCTTCTGCACCCTCTTACCTGTTTAGTTGATTCTATTCCTATGATTCTGTCCCACTGAGTCTATTCCTATGTTGAGGCCAGACTGTTTTGATTATTGTAGCTTTCAGCCTTGTTTCAATTTCTGCCTCATCTCCCTCGTTCAAGTCTTCCAGTAAGGTTATAGAACCAATGTGTCCTGTTCTTCCCCACCTTCCAACACATAAACAAATCTTGCTCTAATTTTGTGTGGAATTACTCAGAATGGGTAGATTTAAAGACTGGATATCTTTCTACTAATGAGGCTGAGATAAGGTCTCTTTTCAGTCTAGAAAGGGCAAGCCCTGGGGCAGAAGTCTTATATTAAAGCAGTAGCTCAACCAAGGCGATTTAGTGCCCCCGACCCCCCAGGGGACATTCAGCTAGGTTCGGGGATATGTTTTGGTTGTCATGACTAGGGAGGGTGCCCCTGGCATCTAGTGGGTAGAGGCCAGCAATGCTGCTCCACATCCTACAAGCACAGTCCCCACAACAAAGCATTATCTGGTCCAAAATGTCAACAGTGCTGAGGTTGAGAAACCCTGGGTTATCAAATCAAAATCCAAACAGGTGGCCCAGAGGATGGCCACAAGGGCATAGAGTTCTCAAATGACTTACCTGTGCCTCTGGCCTAAGGCTTCTTCTGACTTCTTTCAATGAAGGCAGCACAGGACACAGTGTGGGAGTGCCCAGGCTTCCCACCCTGAGTGAGGCTGAGCAGCATGCCAGGGTCAGGTCCGAGTTGTTAGGATCAGTCTCCCTTTCCTCTTAGGTACCCTCTACAATGGTTAGAATCACAACGACCTCCATAAAATTAGCCTTTTCCATATATGGATATATATTTACTTTCTTTCGTTCTTTTTTTTTTTTTTTTTGAGACGGAGTCTCGCTCTGTCGCCCAGGCTGGAGTGCAGTGGTGCAATCTCAGCTCACTGCAACCTCCGCCTCCCAGGTTCAAGCAATTCTCCTGCCTCAGCCTCTGGAGTAGCTGGAACTACAGGCGCCCGCCACCACGCCCAGTTAATTTTTTGTATTTTTAGTAAAGACGGGATTTCACCGTGTTAGCCAGGATGGTCTCGATCTCCTGACCTCGTGATCCGCTTGCCGCAGCCTCTCAAAGTGTTGGGATTACAGGCGTGAGCCACCGCGCCCGGCCTTACTTTCTTTCTTTCTTTCTTTTTTTTTTTTTGAGATGGAGTTTTGCTCTTGTTGCCCAGGCTGGGTCTCAGCTAACTGCAACCTCCGCCTCCTGGGTTTCAGTGATTCTCCTGCCTCAGCCTCCTGAGTAGCTGGGATTACAGGCACCTGCCACCACGCCCAGCTAATTTTTGTATTTTTAGTAGAGACGGGGTATCACCATGTTGGCCAGGATGGTCTTGAACTCCTGACCTCAGGTGATCCACCTGCCTCGGCCTCCCACAGTGCTGGGATTACAGGCATGAGCCACCGTGCCCAGCTGCTTACTTTCTTTTTTAACATTTTAAATCAACCTTATAGAGATCTAGTTTACAAAGTATAAAATGCACAGATTGACTGGGTGCAGTGGCTCACTCCTGTAATCCTAACACTTTGGGAAGCTGAGGTGGGTGAATCACTTGAGGCCAGGATTTTAAGACCAGCCTGGCCAACATGGTGAAACTCTGTCTCTACTTAAAATAGAAAAATTAGCCAGCCATGGTGGTGGGCGCTTGTAATCCCAGCTACTCAGGAGGCCGAGGCAGGAGAATCACTTGAACCTGGGAGGCGGAGGTTGCAGTGAGTCAAGATCGCACCATTGCACTCCAGCCTGGGTGACAGAGCAAGACTCCATCTCAAACAATAAAATAAATAAAATAAAATAAAATAAAATAAAATGCACAGATTAAGTGTTGGGTTTATAGGTGTGAGCCACCATGCCTGGACCAGAATAATGTTTGACTAATGTCTGGGCACCACGTGTGCCTTCATCTTGACACCTAAGGTGAAACATCATAATGTCCAAGCGAAGACTTGGGGGATCCCTATGAAGATCTCTGGAGTCCTTGGTGGAACAGGTGAAACTTCTGAGCTTGGGCGCCTAATTCCACCAGGAAGACTTTAAGCCAGGCCACAGAGGAGGGCAGGAGGGCTGAGTGGCATCGATAATGAGGCTGAGACCCTGCCTGGGCACCGACTCTGTGCCAGGCACAGTGCATTATGATTTCTGGGCATTGATCTAGATAAGATCCTCCTCACATCCCTGAGATGGAAACATGGGTTTTGACTATTTCACCCACAGGGAAGTTGGAAGACTGTCCAAGGCCCCAGAGCCAAACCTCAAACCTTGGGTCCAGAGCTTGGTGCTAATCAGGATGCCCTCCTGCCTCCCACAGGAAAGGGAAGGCCTCTTGCATGTGAAAGGTGGGGTTCAGCTTAACCCGTAATGAGCATTAGTGAAAGATTTGTTCCTCTGGGGCTCGCTGGGCATGGAACAGGCACCGCCAGGAGGTCAGGGATGCGAATGGCCAGCCCCGCACAGCAGGAACCCCACCTGACCTGGGCCCTGTGCACGAGGTCATCTGAGCTTCACGATGCCCTGTGAAATGGGTCCTTTGCATATTTCTATTTACAGACGAAGAAACTGAGGCTCAGGGAGGTTAGGAGGGAACTTTCAAACTTTGTCAGTGTCAGAGCCAGCAAGGCCTCAAGTGCAACCAGGACCGAGGCAGCTGGCTCCATGTGAGGCTGCACTGACCTGGGGTCCCAGGGCTCCAGGTTCAACCCACCTTCATCCCTCACTGGAAGCGACCTAACCTCTCCGTGCCTCAGTTTCCACACTTTTAAAATAAAAATGATAGCCGGGCGTGGTGGCTCATACCTGTAATCCCAGCACTTTGGGAGGCTGAGGTGGGTGGATCACTTGAGGCCAAGAGTTCAAGACCAGCCTGGCCAACATGGTGAAACCCCATCTCTACTAAAAAAAAAATAACAAAAATTAGCGGGACAGGGTGACACCCGCCTGCAATTCCAACTACTTGGGAGGCTGAGGCAGGAGAATCGCTTGAACCCAAGAGGCGGAGGTTGCAGTGAGCCGAAATCGAGCCACTGCACTTCAGCCTGGGTGACAGAGCAAGACTCTGTCTCAAAAAAAAAAAAAAAAAAAAAATGAAAATGATAGTCTCAACCTCTTGGGATATGGGGGAGAGATAAGTGAAAAGTAATGTCTGCAGAGCGCTTGGGGGGCTTGGAAAGCCAAACCCTTCATCCTAACAAAGGCCTCATTCAGGCTGTGCCCAGGGTCTGCATGTGTCTGTGGCATGAGCACCCGGGAAGGCCTAAGTGGTCCCCTCTCGGGCCAGGTGTTGAATCACATGCATCACCTTTCAGACTGGCCACCCAGGTCTGCCCAGGTCCCTCCATGCTGGGATTCCCCACCTCTGCCCCAGTTGTCAGTCTGGTACTACTCGTGCATTCATTCCACAGATTCCCAGGCCCTGTGCTGGGGAGCTGACACTCAACCAAAGAGGCCAAAATCTGGCTAGCGTGATGGCTCACGCCTGTAATCCCAACAATTTGGGAGGCTGAGGAGGGAGGATCGCTTGAGCCCAGGAGTTCCAGAGCAGCCTGGGCAACATAAGAAGACTCAGTCTTTACAAATAATAGAAACATTAGCTAGGCATGGTGGCACGCGCCTGTGCTCCCAGCTACCCAGGAGGCCGAGGTGGGAGAATTACTTGAGCCTGAGAGGTCAAGGCTGTGGTGAGCCATGATTGTGCAGCTGCACCCCAGCCTGGGCGACAGCGAGACCCTGTCTCAAAGAAAAAAAAAAAAAAGAGGCCAAAAATCCCCATCTTCAGGGGGCTTCCCATCAGCAGTGGGAGATAAACCTTCGCACTTGGTGGACAGTTCCATAACCAGCCCAGCATTTACAGAGGTGATACAGGAGGGTGCTATGGGAGGCTACGGGTGGTCTGGTCCAGTCCAGGGGTGAGAGAGCTTCGCAGCAATCCTGAGGGTCTTGAAGGATGGAGAAGATTCTTAGAGGAAGCAGGGGGAGGGGAAGGGATAGCAAGGCCCTGGGGCACCCAGAGCTCAGCCAGAATTGGAGCACTAAGGGTGGGGTCAGGAGCTGGTTCTTTCAGTCCACAAACATCCATCCTCTTATCTACCTTGCTCAACAAAGCATTTGGACCACAGCGAGTGTTTAGTAAATACAATGCTTTACTTAAGCTGCATGGGCGGTGGATAAGACTTTCTTGTTCCTGTAACAGATACACTCTGAGCACCTCCCAGATGCCAGGCCTGGCTTGGGGACCCCGGGGAACAAAAGCAACAAAGCCCCTGATCTCACAAAGCTTACCATGATTGGGGAGGATAAACCACCACAAACAAATACTTAGGACACTGTCAGGCAGCACTCGGAAGGAAAGAGAAGAGGCATGGTGTCTTACAGGTCACAGCAAGTCCTCTCTGTGAAGGTGACTCCCCACTGCACACTTCAGAACCCCAGAGGCAGATGTTTAGAGATGTCCCCTTTAGGGCCAGGCAGGCGGCTCAAGCGAGATTCTCACACCAGGTGCTAAACCACTTGCTTTAAGATTAAACTATTCCCCTGCTTGATTGCAATATATTTTAATATAGCCTGTGGCCCAAGCAAAAGCCACCCCACAGGCTGTTTAGGACCTAAGGGCTGTGAGCATTTGGGAAGTTCAATGCTACAGAATGTAATGGATCCATCCCCCATAGTATCTATAGGACTTACAGAATCATACAGGTACATGCTATAGGGTAAATGCAAGAAGGGAGGGTGTAGTGTCCAAGAGTTTTTAGCTAATGCTACATTTAGGTTCTCAAATGCTCCCATCAATTGAATTAGACCCCTGCCGACAGCGAAGAAGAGAGCCTGTGTCCTGGTAAGTTCACCTGCAATGGATGTTCCACTTGGTACACTATAACAAGTAGGAACTCCCTAGCTTCTCCACAGAAATAACCAGGATTAAGAAGTCTGTAGCCATTGAGTCCTTTTTCTATATACTGTATTTAAGTACATATTTCTGCACACAGCTTTTTTAAAGAAGATCTTACTGCTCTTTTACATGAATTTGCCAAGCAACATTCTTGGCCCTTCTTCGACGGTATCTCCAGCTATGTCTCATTTTCTGTTTGTTTGTCATTTTAGTATCTGTGCGCCCTGATGGTAGAAATGGTATGGTGATGACAACTCTTCTGGTATTTACTGTATTTACTTGTATTCCTTCTTCAGTGAACTACCTGTTTAAGCTCTTTGCTCATGTTACCATTGCACTATCTTTTTAGTGTTCTTTCTCTTTTTCTTCTTCTTCTTCTTCTTATTATTTTAAAATGGAGTCTCACTCTGTTGCCCAGGCTAGAGTGCAGTGATGCAATCTCTGCTCGCTGCAACCTCTGTCTCCAGGGTCTGGTCCAAGTGATTCTCCCGCTTCAGCCTCCGAGCAGCTGAGATTACAGGTGTGGACCACCAAGTCCGGCTAATTTTTGTATTTTTCTTTCTCTTTTTTTTTTTTTTTTTTTTTGAGACAGAGTCTTGCTCTGTCACCCAGGCTGGAGTGCAGTGGCACAATCTCAGCTCACTGCAACCTCCGCGTCCCAGGTTCAAGCAATTCTCCTGCCTCAGCCTCCTGAGTAGCTGTGATTACAGACATGCACCACCACACCTGGCTAATTTTTGTATTTTTAGTAGAGACGAGGTTTCACCATTTTGGCCAGGCTGGTCTTGAACTCCCAACCTCAGGTGATCTGTCTGCCTTGGCCTCCCAAAGTGCTGAGATTACAGGCATGAGCTACCACACCCGGCTTAATTTTTGGATTTTTCATAGAGATGGGGTTTTGCCATGTTGGCCAGGCTGGTCTCGAACTCCTGGCCTCAAGCGATTTGCCCACCTCGGCCTCCCAAAGTGCTGGGATTACAGGCATGAGCCACTGCTCACAGCCTTTTTATTATTCTGTTTAAATGGTGCTCTACATATTTAAAGAAACTTCTCTAGTAACCAACTATAGAAATTATCCCTGAAAGTGTAGTTTCTTTTTTTTTTTCTTTTTTGAGACGGGGTCATGCTCTGTCACCCAGGTTCAATCACTCAATCGGGGCTCACTGCAGCCTCCATTTCCTGGGCTCAAGCGATCCTCCCACCTCAGCCCGGTGAGTAGCTGGGACCACAGGAGCATGCGAGCACACCCAGCTAATTTTTGTATTTTTTGTAGTGACGGGGGTCTCACCGTGCTGCCCAGGCTGGTCTCAAACTCCTGGCCTTAAGTGATCCTCCTGCCTAGGCCTCCCAAGGTGTTGGTATTATGGGCATGAGCCACCACCGCACCTGGCCCAGTCTTCTTTTTATTAGTCTTGTATCAAGCATTCTCATAGAATTTGTTTTTTTGGTTTGGGTCTTGAGCCCGTGTGGAACTGTGGAATGTGCGTGTATATGTGTTTGGGGTTTGAGGAGGAAGCCTCATGTTACTGTTTGCAAATGAATAGACTTCCAGTTGATTGGCCTAATAGCATTTACTTAAAAATCCCTCCCATTTAAAGTGCTGTCTTCATCATTTCCCTGATTCCTGCATATTCTTGGATCCTTGCTGGACTCTGCCATGCTGTGGGTGAAACCATCTATTGGACACAGATACCAGATGGAGCGCAAAGGCCTTCGCCTTGTTTCTCTGCCTCCTCTCACTGACTCCACCCTCCACAAGAACTTTACAATCTCTTGGATTTCTTCAACTCTACACAATTCCCTCCTCCGCCAAAAAAATGTTTTTCCTTTAATTTTGAGCAGAATTACTCTTAATTTGTAGATGCCTTTTGAGAGATCTGAGATCTTTATATGAATGAGGCTGGTCCCTTTTAGGTATAGCTGGAACAACAACAAAAAAAGCCAGCTCTTTGGTGCAGAGCCCGGGGGCTAAAAAAAATAAAATTCCAGACAGGTGACCGAAGGATGGCCACAAGGGCATAGAGTCCTCAAATGACTCACCTGCGGCTCTGGCCAAAGGCTTCTTCCGGATTCTTCTGCTCAGGGCAAGGGTGTGGCAGCACCAGGCTCCCAGCCCTGAGGTGAGGTTGGAGCAGCACCCAGGATAGGGTGCAATTTATTTTCAGTGAAAGAATTGTAGCCTCATTCCACATAGGAACTCTTCCCATGGGTAGGAATCAGATGTATTAAAAAACAATCGCTAATCAGGTATTGATCACTTTTAGGCACTCTCATTGTTTGAAAAGTCATAGTAGCTTTCATTCAACAAGTATTTCTCCTACTCCTTCTGTGTCCTAAGGGTGGGTATATGGCAGTCTGTGTGTGATGATTACTTCCTGGCCTGGGAGAAAAGCAATGAGCAAATAAGTAGTAAGATGCATGGCCCAGCATCTGGAAACAGGGCCACAGGGCAAAGTAAAGCCAGAGGGGGAGGACACCTTAGGCGCTGGAACCATTTCTTTTTCTTTTCTTTTCTTTTTTTTTTTGAGACTGAGTCTTGCTTGCTCTGTCAACCAGGCTAGAGTGCAGTGGTGCGATCTCGGCTCACTGCAACCTCCACCTCCCAGGTTCAAAAGATTCTCATGCCTCAGTCTCCCTAGTAGCTGAGATTACAGGCAGGTGCTACTATTCCCAGCTAATATTTGTACTTTTAGTAGAGACGGAGTTTCACCATGTTGGCCAGCTGTTCTCCAACTCCTGACCTTAGGTGATCCGCCCACCTCAGCCTCCTGAAGTGCAGGGATTACGGGTGTGAGCCACCGCACCTGGCTCTGCTGGTGCAATTTCAATAGGCTTGTTGGGGAGGCCTCGCACAACTCATATGTTAATAATCACAACCTGGGATTACTCTATTT
This sequence comes from Homo sapiens, assembly GCF_000001405.40. Classification (NCBI taxonomy): domain Eukaryota; kingdom Metazoa; phylum Chordata; class Mammalia; order Primates; family Hominidae; genus Homo; species Homo sapiens. Next base: position 56,605,876 of record NC_000020.11, on the reverse strand, counting down.
CTTTATCATTTATTAGCTTCTTGTCTGTATCTTGCACTAGAATAGGAGCCTGTCAACGGCAGTGACCTCAACTGTCCCCATAGGCCTGGTTGATGTTTAACACATGGCAGGCTCTCACTGCTGGTGGGAAGACTCAGTGAAGCTGCTATCAACCAGCAAGATCCAGGCCTCAAGAAAAAGTAGATTAATTCAGAGAGGACCAGCCACTGCCTTCCACACAGTGGAGATAGCCAACCTTAAACTTTAATGATCCATTGGTTTTGGTCCAGCGGTAGTTCAGTTCCACTGGATCTGGGGCCCTGGGCCTGGGATTTTGCATTTCTAGCAAGCTCCAGGGTGGTTTGGTGGCCCTGCCTGGGGATCACACTTTGAGCACAGCCCTTGAAGACATTCATTTAAGTGCTTTACAATGTTTGGCAAGTTTCCAAAGCTTTCCAGCTCTTCCTCTGGTCTCATTTAAAAGCACAGAATTGAAAAGGGGACCTGTTGTTAGATGGTAAGAAATTATTATTCATTTATTATTATTATTTTTTGAGATGAAGTCTCACTCACTCTGTTGCCCGGGCTGGAGTGCAGTGGCATGATCTCTGCTCACTGCAACCTCCCCCTCTCAGGTTTGAGCAATTTTCCTGTCTCAGCCTCCCCAAGTGCTATGATTACAGATGGGAGTCACAGAATTAATAAGTGCCTGGCTTATTTATTTATTTTGAGATAGGGTCTCACTCTGTCACTCAGGCTGGAGTGCAGTGGCACAATCATGGCTCACTGCAGCCTCAACCTCCTGGGCTCAAGCAATCCTCCCACCTCAGCCTCCCAAGTAACTGAGACCACAGCCTTCCACCACCACGCCGCGCTAATTTGTGTGTGTGTGTGTGTGTGTGTGTGTGTGTGTGGAGATGGGGGTCTCACTCTGTTGTCCAGGCTGGTCTCAAATTCCTTGCCTCAAGCCATTCCCCTGTCTTGGCCTCCCAAAGTGCTAAGATTACAGGCACAAGCCACTGCACCCAGCCCAGAAATTTTTATTAACGTGTACTGGGAGTGACGATCACACTGGGCGTTAGAAAAACAAACAAGCAAGAACGCCTTTATCTGCTTAGATGGACACTGATATATTTCTGGGTAAAATGATATGAGGTCGGGGTGTGTTTTACAATACTGAGAAAGGAGGGACGGGTGGAGGAGAGGGATGGGTGAACCCAAGCGGCAGAAAATGTGGCAGTTGGGACCCCCATGGGTAGGCCAGGCACAGTGGCTTACGTCTGTAATCCAAGCGCTTTGAGAGGCTGAGGCAGGAGGATTGATTGAGCCCAAGAGTTCCAGACCAGCCTAGGCTGTTCTCTACAAGACCCCGTCTTTACAGGAAATTTAAAAATTAACCAGCCATGGTGGCATGTGCCTGTGGTCCCAGCTACACGAGAGGCTGAGGCAGGAGGATTGCTCAAACCCAGGAGGTTGAGGCTGTAGCAAGCAGAGTTTGTGCCACTGCACTCCAGCCTGGGTGACAAAGCGAGACCCTGTCTCAATTTATAAAAAAGAAAAAGGGCCAGGCATGGTGGCTTACACCTGTAATCTCAGCACTTTGGGAGGCCCAGGCAGGTGGATCACTTGAGGTCAGGGGTTCAACACCAGCCTGGCAAACATGGTGAAACCCCGTCTCCACTAAAAATACAAAAATTAGCCGGGCATGAGGCACGTCTGTAATCCCAGCTAATCCAGAGGTTGAGGCAGGAGAATAACTTGAACCCAGGAGGCGGAGGTTGCAGTGAGCAGAGATCGTGCCACTGCACTCCAACCTGGACAATAGAGGGAGACTCTGTCTCAAAAAAAAAAAAAAAAAAAGAAGAAGAAGAAAAAGAAAGAAAAAGAAACAGGATCAAGCACAATAGCTGCTGCTCTTATTCTAATTAACATCAATATTATTTAAAGGGCAGGGTTGGGTGCAGTAGCTCCCACTTGTAATCCCAGCACTTGGGAGGCCTAGGCAGGCAGGAAGAATGCTTGAACCCAGGAGTTCAACCTGGGCAACATAGTGAGTCTCCATCTTTACATACAATTTTAAAATAATAAAAATTGGCCGGGTGCAGTGGCTCATTCCTGTAATCCCAGCACTTTGGGAGGCCGAGGCGGGCAGATCACTTGAGGTCGGGAGTTCGAGACCAGCCTGGCCTACATGGAGAAACCATGTCTCTACTAGAAATACAAAATTAGCCGGGCGTGGTGGCACATGCTTGTAATCCCAGCTACTCGGGAGGCTGAGGCAGGAGAATCGCTTGAATCTGGGAGGCAGAGGTTGCGGTGAGCCGCTATTGTGCCATTGTACTCCAGCCTGGGTAACAAGGGCGAAACTCTGCTTTAAAAAAAAAAAAAATAATAATAATAATAATTAAGGCCTGGTGGTCAACTGTTGTGCCTGTACACTATGTGTAGAAGGGTTTCGGATCAGACTCAGAGGTACTCATTTTGTGGGTCATCGTCTTCTCTTTCCTTTCTTCCTTTCTTTCCTTTTTTCCCCCTCCATTGGAGGGATGGTTTAATTTCTTTCTCCTCCCGTGACCACACCCAATGCATAGCCATCAAAATTCGCTGCAGAAAACCCTTGCTATTAGCATTTTCTCTTAACAACAATATTTACTTACAAAGGAACAATTCCACATCTAAGGGAACATTGTTTATGGTGGCTGCCTGGAAGTGGGGAAGGCAGGTGAGTGGTGGGTGGGTAAAGACAGAGACTTGCATTTTTTTCCACTTGATAACTTTGTTAGCTTTTGGTATTAATGTATTTTTAAAATCCAGGAAGGCATACGTACATTTTGGTTATAAAATACTCTTAAAATATGTATACGTGTATTGCCATGGAACACATAAATGTCCATCTTCCTGGCTTTTTCCCAGAATTGAACATTATTCCTGAGGTTAATAGGATATTTCTCTCAGACTCTGCCCTGGTAGGTGCTCTTCCCATACCAACAAGTAGGAATTGCCTCGCTTCTCCCCAGAAGGAAACATGGTAAATATCCTGTGAGTCCCTTTTCTATATATTTAAGTACATATATCTGCATGCAGCTTTTTTTTTTTTGAGGTAGAGTCTCGCTCTGTCACCCTGGCTGGAGTGCGGTGGCATCATCTCGGCTCACTGCAACCTCCACTTCCCGAGTTCAAGTGATTCTCCTGCCTCAGCCCCCTCTAGTAGCTGAGATTACAGGTGCCCGCCACCACATCCGGCTAATTTTTGTATTTTGTAGTAGAGATGAGGGTTCACCATATTGGCCAGGCTGGTCTTGAACTCCTGACCTCAGGTGATCCACCCACCTCGGCCTCCCAAAGTGCTGGGATTACAGGCGTGAGCCACCACGCCTGGCCTCACATACAGCTTTTATAACGAGGATCTTATTCTTTGCAATTTTATATAAATCTACCACCTGGCAATATACTTGTCCATTCTTCTGCATTATTATCTATGCCCGTATCTCGTTTTGTTCTCTACTAGCCTTTTCCTCTAGTTTTGTTAAGCTGAAACTGACAAATAAAAGTTATGTATATTTACAGTGTACAACATGTTTTGATATATGTATAATACAATTGTGGAGGCTGGGCACGGTGGCTCACGTCTTCTTTTTCCTTTGGGAAAAAAATATATATACACACATACATATATATAAATATATATACATATATACACACATAAATATATATGCATATGTATACACACATATATATAAATATATATACATATATACACACACACACACATATATATATATTTGAAGGATTCCTTTTGTGCCCACAAAGATTTTTCTCAGTTTGCACAAACTTGTACTTGGCCTCCTCAGGTGTAATACGATGTACAGCAAAGCGACCCTTGGTGTCATAGATCAGACGGAAATTCTCTCCCGACTTGTCAATGCTGTTGACATCCATGAATCCAGCAGAGTAGGTTATATCAGTACGGACCTTGCCATTGATCTTAATGAACCGCTGCATGCAAATCTTCTTTACTTCATTTCCAGTGAGGACATACTTAAGTCTGTTCCTTAGGAAAATGATGAGGGGGAGACACTCTCTCAAATTGTGGGGACTGGTGGATGGATGAGGAGCAAACACACCAGTCAATTTATTCAGCATCCAATGCTTTGGAGCTGCTACCTGCTTCAGATGCTTCTTGGGACCACGAGCCATGGCTGCATTAGGCAAGGAAAGAGGACCTCTGTCTTCCGGTGTGCGTAGACATTGGGGCCCTAATTTTTATATTTTGCAGAGTCGGGGTCTCTCTATGTTGCCCAGGCCAGTCTTGAACTCCTGGGCTCAAGCTATCCTCCCACCTCAGCCTCCCAAAGTGCTGGGATTTCAGGCATAAGCCACCATGCCCGGTCTTTTCTCTTTTTTTTGTAAATACAGAAAAGGTCTTGCTCTGTTTCCCAGGCTGGAGTACAGTGGCACCATCATAGTTCACTGCAGCCTCCAACTACTAGGCTCAAAAGATCCTCCCACCTCAGTCCCCCAAGTATCTGGAATTACAGGCTTGAGCCACCACGCCCAGCATGCATTTTTTAACATCTGGGGAAAAGTCCACCTTAAGGAATGTAAGTTAGTTGATACATAAAAACAATAATTTTCTCCTGTGGTAGGAGACCAAGATTTGTAGGATATGTTATTCTAGTAAACAAGAAAATATTCCAGGAGAATTTAGAATTTTCATTTTATCAGGTGGCAGCAAATCTATGAGACACCCCCACTCCCCAGGTGTGGTGATTAAGGGAAAGTCTTGTAAGCCTGAATAGCCCATCCAGGAGACAGGTAACAAAAGCACTGGCACATAAACCATAACCAAGACAACCCAGGGCATGGGCATGATTTCTGCTTCCTGGGTCTAGCTTATTTACATTTTTATTTTTATTTTTATCTTTAGACACGGAGCCTCCTGTCACCCAGGCTGGAGCGCAGTGGCACAATCTCGCTCACTGCAACCTCCGCCTCCCGGGTTCAAGTGATTCTCCTGCCTCAGCCTCCCGAGTAGCTGGGACTACAGGCGCGTGCCCTCATGCTCGGCTAATTTTTTTGTATTTTTAGTAAAGATGGAGTTTCACCATATTGGCCAGGTTGGTCTTGAGCTCCTGACCTCATGATCTGCCCGCCTCAGCCTCCCAAAATTCTGGGATTACAGGCATGAACCACCACACTGGCCGGGTCTAACTTATTGAAAGGTGGCTTGGTACCAATGTTTAAATAAAAGCAACCAAAATGAGGACTGCTCTGTTACTCACAGACTCTGGGTTACTCAGGCACGGGGTCACAGCACCTACACAGATAATTGATGGAAGCAGAGGCTTTTCTGTTACTGGAATGCACACCATGTCGCTGGACTTGCGAACATCTTTAGAGGATTCTGTACTAGACATTTGGAGACTGAGCCTGTCTGTGATCAAAAGCCCTCTGGCACATAATTATTCGCATGTCTTTTTTTCTTTTTTTCTTTTTCTTTTTTTTTGAGATGGAGTCTTGCTCTGTCGCCCGGGCTGGAGTGCAATGGTGCAATCTCGGCTCACTGCAACCTCCACCTCCCAGGTTCAAGCAATTCTCCTGCCTCAGCTGGAGTAGCTGGGATTATAGGTGCGTGCCACCATGCCCGGGTAATTTTTGTATTTTTAGTAGAGTTGGGGTTTTACCATGTTGGCCAGGCTGGTCTCAAACTCCTGACCTCAGGTGATCCGCCTGCCTCGGCCTCCCAAAGTGCTGAGATTACAGGCGTGAGCCACTGCACCCAGCCTTTTTTTTTTTCCCCCCTTTTGAAACTGAGCTTCACTCTTGTCACCCAGGCTGGAGTGCAATGGCGCAATCTCGGCTCACTGCAACCTCCGCCTCCCAGGTTCATGCAATTCTCCTGCCTCAGCCTCCTGAGTAGCTAGGATTACAGGCACCCACCACCACGCCCAGCTACTTTTTGTATTTTTAGTAGAGACGGGGTTTTGCCATGTTGGCCAGGCTGGTCTCAAACTCCTGATCTCAGGTGATCCACCCACCTCAGCCTCCCAAAGTGCTGGGATTACAGGCATGAGCCACTAGGCCCGAAATTATTAGTATGTCTTAACCCTTTCCTAGGCACCAGGATAAGGGTTTTCCTGTAAATCCACAAACATCCATTGAGCACCTACCATACACTCTCACAATTACAGGCACTGCGCATAGAGCAGTGAACAAAATAGACCTAGTGCCCAACACTTTGGAGTTTCTGGTCTACTGGGGACACAGCAATCAAATATCTATGTGGTATTGCATGCCTTAGTCGTGGCTACTCAGAAGGCTGAGTGGGGAGGATCACTTGAGCCCAGGAGGTTGAGGCTGCAGTGAGCCGTGATTGTGCCACTGCACTCCAGCCTAGGTGACAAAGTGAGACCCTGACTCAAACATATATATATATATCACATACATATATATATATATATCACATACATATATATATATATATCACATACATATATATATACACACATACATATATATAAAATATATGTGATATATATTATATATATACACATACATATATATAATATATGTGTATATATAATATATAAAATAAATACATATATTTATACTATATATATACACACACCATATATATACACATATATGTGCTACAACATGTGAAAGAGTGATGGAGGAGGGAAGATATTCCAAATAAAAGAAACAGCATGTGTCTTGCTATGCAACTTTAACTTGAGGAATTTCACCTACTCCCTAGCAGTATGATTTTGGATTAGACAGCCACTCATGACCTCATTTTTTTCATCAATAAAGTACTAACAACCACAGCGCATTGCTAGCCCCAAAGGTGCATCATTTCTAGCTAATGAACAGGGACCACCCAGAACCCTGGGGAAATAATTGCAACCTCCCTTCGCTGGTCCTAAGGCCCTGCATGCTCCCCAGCACCCCAGCTGGGCTCTTGCTCCTTAATCCTGCTGCGAACCCTAACCCAGAGCTTTGTCTCTGGGAAGTGCGGTTAGGAGAGGTGGGAAATTAAACTCTCTAGGTGTTGTCTCAACATCATTTACCAGAAGCACGTGTCCTCTTGATAATAATACCAATTTTAATTAAGTGATCTGGTACTGGTATAGGGTAATCAGAAAACTTAATAAAATAGAATAAGGTGTTTAGAATTCCATCCACATATATATGGGGGTTTGGTAAATGGTAAAAGGTATTATTTCCCATCAGTGGAGAAATAACAAGTTATTCAATAAATGACATTAAGGAGAAGCATTTTGGGGAAATTTTTAATTCCTTATTCCAAAAAAGATTACAGTTGTCCCTCAGTATCCATGGGGGATTGGTTCCAGGACTCTCCTCAGGCACCAAAATCCATGGATGCTCAAGTCCCTTGCATAAAATGATGGAGAATTTGCATGTAACCAACCATACATCCTTCTGTATACAGTTAAGATTCTTAGAAACTTTGACTTAAAGGGAAAGGATGTATAAACAAAACCAATTTGTTTTCTCATCAATGATATAATGAAACAATGTTAAATGAAAGAATGTTGGCCAGGCACAGTGGCTCATGCCTGCAATCCCAGCACTTTAAGAGGCTGAGGCGGGCGGATCACCTGAGGTCAGGAGTTCCAGACCAGCCTGGCCAACATGGTGAAATCCCGTCACTAATAAAAATACAATAATTAGCTGGGCATGATGGTGGACACCTGTAATCCCAACTACTTGGGAGGCTGAGGCAGGAGAATCGCTTGAACCCAGCAGGCGGAGGTTGCAGTGAGCCAAGATCACACCACTGCACTCCAGCTTGGGTGACAGAGCAAGACTCCATCAAAAAAAAAGACTCCATCAAAAAAAAAAAAAGTTATTTGAGGACCTGCTGTGCAGTCTTTAGCTTTAATACCTAATACAATGTAAATGCTATGTAAATAGTTGTTATACTGTATTGTTTAGAGAATAATAACAAAAACTGTCCATGTTCAGTACAAACACAACCATCCTTTTTTATTTCTAATAATTTCCACCTGCAGTTGCTTGAATCCATGAATGAGGACCCCATGGATATGGAGGGCTGGCCGTTAGATATAGCAAACAGCTGAAGGTGTAAAAATATATTAGGAAGAAAAAGTGTTTAAGGCCAGGTGCAGTGGCTCATGCCTGTAATCGCAGCGCTTTGGGTGGCCAAGGCAGGAGGATTGCTTGAGCTCAGGAGTTTGAGAGCAGCCTGGGCAACGTGGTGAGATCCTATCTCTACAAGAAATAAAAATAATTAGCCAGCCATGATGGCTCACACGTGTACTCCCAGCTACTGGGAAGGCAGAGGTGGGAGAATTATTTGAGTCCAAAAGGTTGAAGCTGCACTGAGCTATGATCACACCACTGTACTCTAGCCTGGGTGACAGGGTGAGATCCTGCCTCTTAAATTTAAAAAAAAAAAAAAGATTTAGTAATACACATGATTTTAACACCAAGACTTGAAGAAAGAGGTTGACAAAATTTATTACATAAACATTTAAAATATGAAATATTTCAGATAGGAAAACATGGGAGGAATAATAGAATAGCCACGTGTGTACTCCCTCCCATTACAGAAGTAAAACATTATAGCAAGTTACCACCCAGGCAAGCACAATTTGGAATATTTCCTTCTGTGCATGTTTTTATTCTGCTTTTTCCCTGGTAGGTATCCATGAATCATAGGTAGGTACAAAACTCAATATAGATTTCTTTTTTAAAATTTTTTTAATTTTTATATTTATTTATTTATTTATTTATTTATTTTTTTGAGACAGTCTTGCTCTGTCATCCAGGCTGGAGAGCAGTGGTGCAATCCTGGCTTACTGCAACCTCCACCTCCTGGGTTCAAGCGATTCTCCTGCCTCAGCCTCCCGAGTAGCAGCTGGGATTACAGGCGCCCACCACCACACCCGGCTAATTTTTTTTTTTTTTTTTTGAGATGGAGGAGTCTCTGTCGCCCAGGCTGGAGTGCAATGGCGCAATCTCGGCTCACTGCAACCTCCGCCTCCCGGGTACAAGCGATTCTCCTGGCTCAGCCTCCCGAGTAGCTAGGACTACGAGTGCATGCCACTGTGCCCAGCTAATTTTCGTATTTTTAGTACAGATGGGGTTTCACCGTGTTAGCCAGGATGGTCTCGATCTCCTGACCTCATGATCCACTCACCTCAGCCTCTCAAAGTGCTGGGATTACAGGCGTGAGCTACCGCGCCCGGCCTAGATTCTAGTACCTAAATTTTTCCACCCAAGGATACATCCTGGAGATCCTTCTAGGTTGAGACACGTAGCTGTACAACACACAAATGCAAAACTGCGAAAGGAGCAGGCAATGATGCGGTACACAGCGCCCACCTAGCTAAATTCTCTCAGTGTCACCCTCAATTCTCACCTGGACCTGACCCTCTGGGGGGTTCAAGCTCTTCTCCCCATGACGCATGTGGTAATTGGGGCACAAGAGAATCCACCGTTGTGTCTAAACCATGGGGCTCTGAAGAACCCACAGTGAGAGGGAAAAAAGCCGAGATTGGCCAGAATCTGGCGGCTCTGCAGGTGAGCGATTGAAAACGCAGATCCCCTGTGGAAATAACAAAGGGCAACATCAGCCCTGGAAATTCAGATCATGCCTCAGAAAAGGTCCTTCCCCTTTTCTCCTGGGAATTGGCTCATTTACCCCAATTGATGGTCTTCCTAAACTCTAGAACATTGGTTCTCACAGAGCTATTCTCTTTGAGTGGTTCTCTTTGTTGCAACGTCAACATCTCCTGGGAAATAGTAGAAATGCAAATCAGGCCTTCTGTCCCCGTTCTTCTCCAGTCAGGAAAAGCTGGGTGGGTGGGGGGCGCGGGGTGGGGTGGGCGGGGAAGAAAAGAACAAAAAATAATTTTAAAAAGAAATGCAAATTACAGGGTCCCACTCTAGAATTCCTGAATTAGAAAGTCCCGGTGGGGGATGGGCACAGTGGCTCATGCCTGTAATCTCAGCACTTTAGGAGGCCGAGGCCGGTGGATCACTTGAGGTCAGGAGTTTAAGACCAGCCTGGCCAACATGGCGAAACCTCGTTTCTACTAAAAATACAAAAATTAGCTGGGCGTGGTGACAGGCATCTGTAGTCCCAGCTACTCAGGAGGCCAATGCAGGAGAATCGCTTGAACTCAGAAGGTGGAGGCTGCAGTGAGCCAAGATCGTGCCACTGCACTCCAGCCTGGGCAACAGAAAGACTTGGTCTCAAAAAAATGAAGAGGCCAGGCGCAGTGGCTTATGGCTGTAATCCCACCACTTTGGGAGGCTGGGGCTGGTGAATCACCTGAGGTCAGGAGTTCGAGACCAGCCTGGCCAACATAGCGAAACCCCGTCTCTACTAAAAATACAAAAATTAGCCAGGCGTGGTGGCACACGCCTGTAGTCCCAGCTACTCTGGAGGCTGAGGCAGGAGAATTGCTTGAACCTGGGAGGTGGCAGTTGCAGTGAGCTGAGATAGCACCACTGCACTCCAGCCTGGGCGACAGAGCGAGACTCAGCCTCAAGGAGAAAAAAAAAAGAAAGAAAGAAAGTCGCGATGGGGTCTGCCTTCCTCCAGGAAATTCAGATGGGAACTCCAGCTGGCAACTGCCGTGAATTTAAGATGCTCAGGGTCTTCTCTTTCTGCCAGTGCTCAGCAGTGCACAGCAGATCATAACTGATATGAATAAGCAGTAGGTGCTCAACAAATACTGTGAATAATTCTGTAAATATTTTCTAAATGCTCACCACGTGCTAGGTCTTTGCATGATGTCCCATGTCCTGGGCATCTGGAGGTAAAGTCCAGTGGGGGAAACCTGTAGGGAAAGGAGCCCTTTCGGAAGCCAGCTCTGATGGTGAGACCTTGACCCCAGCTGAGCACAAATGGGAACAAGGGGTGGGGTTGGATATGTACATGGGGAGAAGGAGATTTAGGTGCAATTTCTGCTGTTCTTCAGGGCCTGTGCTAATGTGTTTGGACTTACGTATAATAAAATACTTTGTTTTGTTTTTGTTTTGAGACAGGGTCTCTCTTTGTCACCCAGGCTAAAGGGCCATGCTGGTATCGTAGCTCACTGCAGCCTCGATCTCCCAGACTCAAGCAATCCTCCTGCCTCAGCCTCCCCAGTAGCTGGGACCATAGGTGTGCATTACCATACCTGGCTAACTTTTAAAATTTTTTGTAGAGATGGGATCTGGCTATGTTGCCCAGGCTGGTCTTGAATTCCTGTGCTCAAGGAATCCTCCTGCCTCAGCCTCCCTAAGTGCTGGGATTCCAGATGTGAGCCACTGCACCCCGCCTAGTTTTTTAATTATAAAAACAAGACATCTGCATGGCCCAGAAGACAAACAAAAACAGGGCAGAAGGACCAAAAATAGAAATTGATTTCTCCATTCCCCCAGCAATTCATCCAAATTTTAACTTATTTTTTATTTTTAAATTTTCTTTTATTTTTTATTTTTTTGAGACGGAGACTCACTCTGTCGCCCAGGTTGGAGTGCAGTGGCACGATCTCCACTCACTGCAACCTCTGCCTCCCAGGTTCAAGCTCTTTTTGTATTTTTAATAGAAACAGGGTTTCACCATGATGGCCAGGCTGGTCTCGAAGTCCTGACCTCGGGTGATCCACCCACCTCAGCCTCCCAAAGTACTGGGATTACAGGCATGAGCCATCACGCCCGGTCCATCCTCATTTTTATACTATTATTTTTTAAATTTTGAAGTCTTACTGATTTGCAAAATAAATGGCCCCACATTGTGTAGCGTGCCCGTGGCTGGAAGGCCTTCTTTAGAAACCAAGTTCATAGAGTTTCCTCACCCAAACATGCTTCTGTAGTGATTTAAGTACAGGAGTGTTAAAATGTCCTTCTTTGGAACTTCATATAAAGGTAAGCCACAGGGCTTTGAGTAAAACAAATCTAAGACAAGAAGGCCGGGCGCAGTTGCTCTCACCTGTAATCCCAGCACTTCGGGAGGCCAAGGTGGGAGGATTGCTTGATCCCAGAAGTTCCAGACAAGCCTGGGCAACATGGTGAAACCCTGTCTCTACAAAATCTACGAAAATTAGCTGGGCGTGGTGGTGTGTGTCAGCCGTCCCAGCTACTCGGGAGGCTGAGGCAGGAGAATCGTTTGAACGCAGGAGGCGGAGGTTGCAGTGAGCCAAGACTATGCCACTGCACTCTAGCCTGGTTGACCGAGCAAGAGTCCGTCTCCAAAAAAAAAAGAAAAAGAAAAAAAGTTCTGGAAGAAGTTTCAAAAGGGTATATCATGCATCCACGAAGATGGCTACGACCAAAACTGTCAGGCCTCTGAGCCCAAGCTAAGTCATCTTATCCCCTGTGTGACCTGCACATATACAAGACTCAGCCCGCCTGCACCCAGGTGATTAAAAAGTTTTATTGCTCACACAAAGCGTGTTTGGTGGTCTCTTCACACGGACGCGCGTGACAAAAACCATGAGAAGTGTTGACGAGAATGACAGACATGGGGATTATGATGCCACAAGCATGGGTACATTTTTCTAGGGAAAAAGGGCCGGAGCCAGAGTGACCATGTGGTTTATTACAGAAGGAAAGGGGGCGCAGTTAGTAATTTCCTCAGTTCATGAGACACCAACCAGGTGGATCCCAGGAAACCCTGACGTCCATCATCCTACTCCAGTGATTCTCAACCACAGGTGGGGATGGGATGGGCAATTTGCACTTCAGGGGATATCTGGGTCTGAAGACATTTTTGGTCGTCAGAACTGGGAGGGGGTGATACAGGTATCGAATGGGTAGAGGCCAAGGAAGCTTCTGTATACCGTGCAATGCACAGGGCAGCCTCCCAGAACCAAGAATGACTCAGACCCCAAAGTCAGCAGCGCAGAGGCTGAGAGATCTCCTGGTAGTCAGTCCTGTCACCGGATTCAGACCAGAGCTGAGGCTGAATTTTCAGGCTATTTTTTGGCAGGGGGATGTCGGAATGAAATTTTAACTTATTTCTCCTGCTGCCCAGCTCTGGAAAAACAATCTTAAAGTGACCAAGGAAGCACTTGAACTATTAACACCACCATTTACTTACAATGGAATTGTAACCTGCTTAACGTTATTACCTTTTTGTTCAACTTTTGCTTGTTTTAATGCAGTAAGTGTGTGTCTTCTAAAATGACCTCAATATTATCTAAATACAATCTTTTTAAAATGCCAAAGAGGTAACAGATTTAAGTACTTTGCATTTTTAGGCCCTTGTCTAGGCAGTTATATGAGTATCTATCTCTGTGCAAGCATACATAATGTTAATGTTTGCTTTGTTCTCTAATGCCAAATCCTTGATACCATCTTCAGCTCAGCCTCCTTATTTTTGACACCTGAGAGGCATTCCATTGTATGGATAGACCCTGATGTGTAAGTCAGCAACCCCTCTCTCCTCAATAGACCCTTAGGTTATTCCAGTTTTTCCTGCTTTTACAAAGAGAGATAAAAGAAGTATCCTCTGCACACCTGCTGGTTGCATGTTTTTAAAGATGAGGTTCCTGGAGTTCAAACTGCTGAGTCATGGGGTCTGCACATATTTTAAATCTTGTTAAAAACTCTTCTATAGTGATTGAAGTTTTAATACCAGGACCATATATTACCTTCATCTAAATACACAAATATGTGTGGGTTAATATCCTCCTGGAACTAGGAGACCCCCGCAGTAAAGACCAAGGCATAGCATTATAATATAGTAACTGTTAAGAGGAGGCACGGTTTTTCATCGTGTCCAAAAAAATCCTATCTAATTCAAGGGAGATAATCTTGTGAGGGCCAAGCCCAAAGTATGGTAATTACAAAAAAAAAAAACAAACCTGTTTGCTGGGGGACATTTGGAGCCAGGCCCTAGCCAGGCATATAAACCATACCTGAGAGCGCCCAGTGCATGGCCAGAATTTCTCCCCGCTCTTATGTCTGCCCAGCTGTGGGAGATGGATGTTTATCAAATACAGTGACAATGATGAATGATCTCTTCCTCACCAATTTTTTTTTTTTTTTTTTTGAGACAGAGTCTAGCTCTGTCACCAGGCTGGAGTGCAGTGGCGTGATGGCTCACTGCAACTTCTGCCTCCCGGGTTCAAGCAATTCTCCTGCCTCAACCTCCTGAGTAGCTGGGACTACAGGTGCACGCCACCACGCCCAGCTAATTTTTGTATTTTTAGTAGAGATGGGGTTTCAACATGTTGGCCAAGCTGGTCTTGAACTCCTGACCACCTCAGCCTCCCAAAGTGCTGAGATTGCAGGCGTGAGCCACTGAGCCTGGTGGAAGACAGGTTTCATTTAAAAATAACATAAATGGGCCGGGCACAGTGGCTTTGCCCTGTGATCACAGCACTTTGGGACGCTGAGGTGGGTGGATTGCTTGAGGCCAGGAGTTGAGACCAGCCTAAGCAACATGGTAAAACCCTGTCTCTACAAAAAATACAAACATTAGCTGGGCATGGTGATGCATGCCTGTAGTTCCAATTACTTGGGAGGCTTGAGGAGTAGGATTGCTTGAGCCTAGGAAGTTGAGGCTGCAGTGAACCAATCACTGCACTCCAGCCTGGGCAACAGAGCAAGATTCTGTCTCAATTAAAAACATCAAAATCGAAACAAATCACACAAATACATAGTTACAAAGTCTGGCATTGTGTTGAGTTGTTCCAGGCAGAAGGATAGCACCTGGTCTGCTATGCAGCTTTAGCTTGGAGAATTCTTCCCAATTAGCCGTGCAGCCCTAAGCATGTCACCTAAGCTCACTGATCCATCCCCTTTCACCTACTGAGTAAAAGTAATAAGCATAGTGTCACCATATTGGAACTGTGCCCATATAATTCATCATCTAAGGAAGGACTCTTTGGGGAATAATAAAAGGACATGGTCGGACGTGGTGGTTCCCGCCTGTAATCCCAGCACTTTGGGAGGCCAAGGGGGTTGGATCACGAGGTCAAGAGTTCAAGACCAGCCTGGCCAAGATGCTGAAACCCTGTCTCTACTAAAAATACAAAAATTAGCCGGGT
This sequence comes from Homo sapiens, assembly GCF_000001405.40. NCBI lineage: Eukaryota > Metazoa > Chordata > Mammalia > Primates > Hominidae > Homo > Homo sapiens. The sequence continues at coordinate 56,590,862 of NC_000020.11, read as the reverse complement.
GTGGTGGCATGCGTCTGTTATCCTAGCTACTCGGGAGGCTGAGGCGGGAGAATCGCTTGAACCCTGGGCGGCGGAGTTTGCAGTAAACCGAGATTGCACCACTGTACTCCAGCCTAAGCAACAGAGCAAGATTCTGCCTCAAAAAAATAAAAAATAAAAAAGGACACTACTAACAATGATAACAATGACAGGGGGCCAGGTGCACTGGTTCACACCTGTAATCCCAGCAATTTGGGAGGCTGAGGCAGGTGGATCACTTGAGCCCAGGAGTTCAAGACCAGCCTGGCCAACATGGTGAAACCCCGTCTCTAGTAAAGATACAAAAAAAAAAAAAAATGGCCTCGTGCAGTCGCTCATGCCTGTAATCTCAGCACTTTAGGAGGCTGAGGCAGGCAGATCATGAGGTCAAGAGCTCGAGACCATCCTGGCCAACATGGTGAAACCCCATCTCTACTAAAAATACAAAAATTAGCTGGGCGTGATGGCGTGTGCCTGTAGTCCCAACTACTCGGGAGGCTGAGGCAGGAGAATCACTTGAACTCGGGAGGCCGAGGTTGCAGTGAGCCAAGTTCGCACCACTGCACTCCAACCTGGCAACAGCGCGAAACTCTGTCTCAAAAAAAATAAAAATAAAAAATTAACTGGGCCTGGTGGCATGCACCTGTAATCCCAGCCACTAGACAGGCTAAGGCAGGAGAATCGCTTGAACCTGAGAGGCAGAGGTTGCAGTGAGCTGAGATTGCGCCACTGCACTCCAGTCTGGCGATAGAGCAAGACTCTGTCTTAAAGCAAAACAAAACAAAAACAATGACAGGGAAGCATGGTCCCCTTACTCATGTGGGCACACAGTGTGCACACTCCTACACACTCGAAGTGGGAAGCATTATCCTGATTTTACAGATGAAGACATGGAGACTCACCCAGAGAACTTACCTGCCTATTCACCTGGCAGGTAGGTGGAGGAGCCCGGATTTTTATCCAAGACTTTTTGACTCCAAAATCCAAGAGGGGAGTTATTGCGCCATACTGAGATTAAGTTGAAATACCTGCCTTGTAGGGTTGTTGTAATTGTCAAAATGTATTCAAAATTGCCTGGCCTGTAGGAGGTGCTCTAAAAAATGGAAATTATGGCCTGGCATGGTGGCTCACGCTTGTAATCCCAGCATTTTGGTAGGCCAAAGCAGGTGCATCACAAGGTCAGGAGATCGAGACCATCCTGTCCAACATGGTGAAACCCCATCTCTACTAAAAATACAAAAAATTAGCTGGGCATGGTGGCATGTGCCTGTAATCCTAGCTACTTGGGAGGCTGAGGCAGGAGAATCACTGGAACCAGGGAGTCGGAGGTTACAGTGAGCCGAGATCGCACCACTGCACTCCAGCGTGGTGACAGAGTGAGACTCAGTCTCAAAAAAATACTATTATTGTAATTAGCAAGGGCTAAAACCAACATAATCCTTGGGTTAAGCAATATCAAGACAGGCAAAAGTCACTTCACTTCTTGCTCCAAAAAAATACCTGCTCTGGAAGATAAGATTATGCATCAGATGTGAGTTCAAAACCCTGTCTTCCTGGGCCCACCATTCCAAAGCTCTTATGTCAGAAACTCCCCAATCGCAACCAGTTTCCTGCCTTGCAAGACTTGCTTTAACATCACCCAGCCAGGGCCCTAAAAACCCATAAATACCATTCCCTAATTTCCCTAATTTGAATCTGTTGACGGTGTTCTCCTTTACTGCAGGAAGTCCAAATAACCTAGTTTTGCTCGATCAACAGGTTTTTCAGGTGGAATTAAGCTAATGGAATTAAAGTCTATGAAGGCATTCAAAAATGTTTTTTGTTATTAGTCTACAAAATAGAAACAGCCAAATGTGGTAGAACCAATAATAGCCCCCAAAAGCTGTCCACATCCAAATCCCTGCAACCTATGGATATATTACCTAACATGGCGAAGGGATCTTACAGATAGGAGTAAATTAAGGATCTTGAGATAGAAAGATTATCCCAGATTATCTGGGCAGGCCCAAGGTAATCACAGGGCGCCTTCCAGAAGGGAGAGGCAGGAGGATCTGAGTCAGAGGAGGAGAGCTGAAGATGGAAGCAGAGGCTGGAGTGATGTCTGGAAAGATGGAGGTGACCACCAGGAGCCAAGGAATGCAGGCGGCTTTTAAAAGCTGGAAATGGGGCCGGGCATGGTGGCTCACGCCTGTAATCCCAGCACTTTGGGAGGCTGAGGCGGGCGGATCACGAGGTCAGGAGATCCAGACCATCCTGGCTAACAAGGTAAAACCCCGTCTCTACTAAAAATACAAAAAAAAAAGCTGGAAATGGCAAGGAAATGGATCCTGCTCTAACACCCCAGAAGGAATATAGTCCCACCAATCCTTTTTTTTTTTCTTTTGAGATGGAGTCTTGCTCTGTTGCTAGGCTGGAGTGCAGTGGCATGATCTCAGCTCACTGTAACCTCCGCCTCCCAGGTTCAAGCAATTCCCCTGCCTCAGCCTCCCAAGTAGCTGGGACTACAGGCGCGTGCCATCATGCCCAGCTAAGTTTTTTATTTTAGTAGAGACTGGGTTTCACCATGTTGGCCAGGATGGTCTCCATCTCCTGACCTCGTGATCCGCCCGCCTCAGCCTCCCAAAGTGCTGGGATTACAGGCGCCCGGTCCCACCAATCCATTTTAAACCTCTGCCTTCTAGAAATGTAAGAGAATAAATCTGTGTTGTTTGTGCTTATTTGTTGAAGCAGCAATAGAAACGAATATACTAAATATTCAAGAGAAAGAAACTATCTGAAGGTTGCCAATAGAAAGCAGTGGTGAAGCCCACAGTCTCGAAGCTAGGTTACCTGGGTTCAGATCGCTTCCCTGCCACACCCAGGCTGGGTAACAATGGTTGAGTTATTAAAGTATCTCTCTGAGCTTTACTGTTTCCATTTATAGAATCAGGATGATACAGTAACTGCCTTGCAATGTGGTGGTGAAACAATGAGATCTAATTGTATAAAGAGCTCAGTGCGGTGCCTGGCACATAGTAGGTGCTCAGCACATCTCAGCACGGAGGTTAGACATGGAGGAGCTGGGGCACATTCCTCACTCATTTTTTTGGGAAAGAGCAGGAGTGATTGGGATAACCAGGCTAATCTCAGCCATGCCGTTGCTATATGTCACTGGGCACATAATTCATCCTTCTGACATTTTATTCCTTAACTTACACAATAAATTGTATATCCTGCAAGGATTATTTCCATGGATACATTGCACCTACATCTAAGCAGCTGTAAATATGCTATAAAATGTTTTTCATGAGCATGAAGCAAGGGGCAGGATACATGCCAGAGAACTGGGAGCAGTTCATTCTCCCTTCCTCCTCCTCCTCCTCCTCCTCCTAATCCTCCCCCAACCCCCCGTCACTTCTGCATTGTTCTATGGATTGCATAAAACTTCTAGGAGAAGGAGAAAGACAGGAATGGCACTCTAGATAGCAGCAAGAACAACGAGAAAGTTCATGGGGTGGTGAGGAGGAGTGGACTTTGTGATGGGCTTGAAAATAAGCTCTAAAGACCAGCCGGGCGCAGTGGCTCACACCTGTAATCCCTGCACTTTGGGAGGCCGAGGCGGATCACCTGAGGTGAGGAGTTCAAGGCCAGCCTGGCCAACAAGATGAAACCCCATCTCTACTAAAAATACAAACAATTAGCTAGGCGTGGTGGCACATGCCTGTAATCCCAGTTACTCAGTAGGCTGAGGCAAGAGAATCACTTGAACCCGGGAGGCGGAGATTGCAGTGAGCTGAGATCATGCCACAGGAACAAAACTCCTTCTCAAAAAAACAATAATAATAAAATAAAATAAAAAACAGCCTGGGCACAGTGGCTCACACCTGTAATCCCAGCACTTTGGGAGGCTGAGGTGGGTGAATCACCTGATGTCAGGAGTTTGAGACCAGCCTGGCCAACATGGTGAAACCCCATCTCTACCAAAAATACAAAACAATTAGCCGGGGGTGGCGGCGCACGTCTGTAATCCCAGCCACTCCAGAGGCTGGAGCAGGAGAATCACTTGAACCCAGGAGGTGGAAGTTCCAGTGAGCTGAGATCGCATCATTGTACTCCAGCCTGAGCAACAAGAGCAAGACTCCATCTCAAAAATAAATAAATAAGTAAATAAAATAAAATGAAAAATGAGCTCCAAACACCTGACAGAGAAAGGGAATTCTATAAAGTAGCCTGCCTCTCTCTGTCCCCCGCCCCCCACTCCTTTTTTTTTTTTTTTTTTTTTTTTTTTTTTCAGACAGAGCCTTGCTCTGTCGCCCAGGCTGGAGTGCAATGGCCCCATCTCACACACTGCAACCTCTGCTTCCCAGGTTCAAGTGATTCTCCTGCCCAGCCTCCCGAGTAGCTGCGATTACAGGCACATGCTACCACACTCAGCTAATTTTTTAGTGGAGACAGGGTTTCACCATGTTGGCCAGGCTGATCTTGAACTCCTGACCTCAGGTGATCCGTCTGCCTTGGACTCCCAAAGTGCTGGGATTACAGGCGTAAGCCATCGTGCCTGGCCTATGTCCCTTCCTCCTTCTCACACACACACACACACACACACACACACACACACAGAGCCCTGCCTCTAGATAAGATATTTATTTATTTATTTAATTTTTTGAGGCAGAGTCTCTCTCTGTCACCCAGGCTGGAGTGCAATGGAGTGATCTCGGCTCATTGTGACCTCCACCTCCTGGGTCCAAGTGATTCTCCTGCCTCAGCCTCCCAAGTAACTGGGATTACAGGTGTTCACTACTATGCCCAGCTAATTTTTGTATTATTAGTAGAGACAGAGTTTTACCATGTTGACCAGGTTGGTCTTGAACTTCTGACATCAGGTGATCCACCCACCTCGGCCTCCCAAGTGCTGGGATTACAGGCCTGAGCCACCAACACCTGGCTCTTTTTTTTTTTTTTTTTTTGAGACAGAGTCTCTCCCTCTGTCGCCAGGCTGGAGTGCAGTGGCGCGATCTCGGCTGACTGCAACCTCCAGCTCCCGGGTTCAAGCAGTTCTCTGCCTGAGCCTCCCTAGTAGCTGGGATTACAGGAGCCCATGACGACGCCTGGCTAATTTTTTGTATTTTTAGTAGAGACGGGGTTTCACCATCTTGGCCAGGCGGATCTTGAATTCCTGACCTCGTGATCCACTTGCCTACGCCTCCCAAAGTGCTGGGATTACAGGCGTGAGCCGCCGCGCCCGGCCTCTTTTTTTTTTCTTTTTTTTTAAATTTACTTATTCAGGCCGGGCGCCGTGGCTCACGCCTGTAATCCCAGCACTTTGGGAGGCCAACGCAGGCGGATCACCAGGTCAGGAGATCGAGACCATCCTGGCTAACACGGTGAAACCCTGTCTCTACTAAAAATACAAAAAAATTAGCCAGGTGTGGTGCAGGCGCCTGTAGTCCCAGCTACTCGGGAGGCTGAGGCAGGAGAATGGCATGAACCCAGGAGGCGGAGCTTGCAGTGAACCGAGATTGCACCACTGCACTCCAGCCTGGGCGACAGAGCGAGACTCCGTCTCAAAAAACAAACAAACAAACAAACAAACAAAATAGCTCCCCCATAAGTCACATGAAGTCCCACTTGGAGAAATAAAAGTAAATAAAGCCGAGATTTAAAACAGGAAAAAAGCTGGGATTTGAGCCTTAAGCACATTCTCTGCTGCACCAGCTCCCCAGGTGGGCGACTGGAAATGTGGACCCACCCCATGAAGGACAATGGTAACATCAGCCCAGGAAAGAGCTGGAATTCAGTGTGGGCCTCAGAAAAGATTCTTGCTTCTCTCTGCTGGGAATTGACCCATTTGCCCTAATTCATTGTCTTCTCAAACTCCAAAACGGTGGCTCTCAAATGTAAATGTGGACCAGAACCACCCAGAGAAATTGTTAAGCCATGGATTGCTAGGATCAACCCTTAGAGTTTCTGATTCAGTGGGTCTGGGGTGAGGCCCAGGAATTTTGGGATACTGATGCTGCTCGGGTGGGGAGTGCACTTTGAGAACCCCTGGTCTAGAATTTAGGGTTTGCAGAACTCAGCACGGTGCCTGGCAGTCATCATAAATCCAACCATCACTGGGTCCTCAATTATGACTGGGTATAACTCCTCCCACTGACAATTCCTAACCGCCCACCGTCTGCCAGGGTCTTTGCCCAACACTAGGGACCCTGCTGCTCAACATATAAAGGAAAAGGAGGGGGAAGGTCTGTCTTGGGGAAAATCAGAGTCTCATGAGGAGAGCCGTCAGCAAGGGAACCCCGACAGTACAAGCCCAGCTTAGAGAGTGGAGCTTGACTTTGGTTGAGGGCAACTGGGGTGCAGATGGCCAAAGTCGGGGGATGATGCGGAATGAGCAGTGGGAGAGATGAAGATCATACAAAAAGCAATAAGCAATTCCTTGGTCACTTGTATTTCCACGCACATTAGTTATCTATTGTGTAAACAAATTACCCAAAACCTAGTGGCTTTTTTCTTTTTTTTTTTTTTGAGACAGAGTCTTGTTCTGTTGCCCAGGCTGGAGTGCAGTGGTGCGATCTCGGCTCACTGCAACCTCCACCTCCCGGGTTCAAGCAATTCTCCTGCCTCAGCCTCCTGAGTAGCTGAGATTACAGGCGCCCGCCACCTTGCCCAGCTAATTTTTTTGTATTTTTGGTAGAGACGGGGTTTCACCATGTTGGTCAGGCTGGTCTCAAATTTCTAGCTTCAAGGGATTATCCCGCCTTGACCTCTCAAAGGTCTGGTTTCTTTTAGTGGAAGGTGGTGTTTAGAAACAAAGATCTGACTACTAAGTGTGCTCATTACTACTGGGGTATGGGTGTGTGTGTGTACACATTTACATTGATTGTTTTATATATTTATATGGAAAAACACATTCATATTAATTCTTCCCATTCCAAAAAGCTCCCCAGGATTCATTCTAGCATTTCCTCCTTCCATAATTGGACTTTTTTTTTCTCTGAAAATAAGAAACTTGAGCCGGATGTGGTGGCTTATGCCTGTAATCCCAGCACTTTGGGAGGCCAAGGCGGGCAGATCACGAGGTCAGGAGATCGAGACCATCCTGGCTAACACGGTGAAACCCCGTCTTTACTAAAAATACAAAAAAAAAAAAAAATTAGCCAGGCGTGGTGGTGGGCACCTGTAGTCCCAGCAACTCAGGAGGCTGAGGCAGGAGAATGGCGTGAACTCAGGAGACAGAGCTTGCAGTGAGCTGAGATCGCGCCACTACACTCTAGCCTGGGCAACAGAGTGAGACTCTGTCTCTTAAAAAAAAAAAAGAAAGTAAGAAACTTGGATCCCTGAAATCCTCCATATATTGACTCATTTTCTCCGTCACCCTGTGTGCAGCAAATCTCCTCAACTACTGGGCCATTGGATCTCCCAGGCACCCTGACAATATGAGCACCAGCTCCCTGCCAGGTTGCTGCCCCACCCTGTCCCAGGGACTTCCACAGAGGGCACACAAAATATATGTTCTCCATATTTAGTTCCATTTGGCTTAATGATACTTTACGTAGTATTTTTGAACTGTGTTCCTAAGCAATACTGGCCATGGTGTTTGTTTCTCTCCTCTCTGGTATTGTACTAAGATGAATCTAGCCTCACTAAATGAGATGGGTGCTGGGTGAGGTGGCTCACACCTGTAATCCCAGCACTTTGGGAGGCTAAGGTGGGTGGGTTACATGAGCCCAGAAGTTGGAGACCAGCCTGACCAACATGGTGAAGCCCCATCTCTACTAAAAATACAAAAATTAGCCAGATGTGGTGGCATATGCCTGTAATCCCAGCTACTTGGGAGACTAAAGCAGGAGAATTGCTTGACACCAGAAGGCAGAGGTTGCAGTGAGCCAAGATCACGCCACTGCACTCCAGCCTGGGTGACAGAGTGACACTCAGTCTCAAAAGAAAAACAAATGAGATGGGGAGTGAAATGGTTTGACTTTGTGTCCCCATCCAAATCTCATCTCAAATTGTAATCCCCACATGGGAAGGGAGAAACTTGTAATCCCCACGTGTCAGGGGAGGAGGAAATTGGATCATGGCTGTGGCTTCCCCCATGCTGTTCTCAGGAGATCTGATGGTTTTCTAAGTGTTTGACAGTTCCTCCTTCACACACGCTCTCTCTCGCCTTCTGCCATGTAGGATGTGTCTGCTTCCCCTTCTGCCATGTTTGTAAGTTTCCTGAGGCATCCCAAGCCATGTGGAACTGTGAGTCAGTTAAATCTCTTTCCTTTATAAATTATCCAGTCTCAGGGAAGTTCTTTTTTTTTTTTATTGAGACGGAATTTTGCTCTGTTGCCCAGGCTGGAGTGCAATGGCGTGATCTTGGCTCACTGCAATCTCCGCCTCCTGGGTTCAAGTGATTCTCCTGCCTCAGCCTCCCGAGTAGCTGGGATTACAGGCATGGACCACCATGTCTGGCTAATTTTGTATTTTTAGTACAGACAGGGTTTCTCCATGTTGGTCAGGCTGGTCTCAAACTCCCGACCTCAGGTGATCCGCTTGCCTCAGCCTCCCAAAGTGCTAGGATTACAGGCGTGAGCCACCGCGCCCGGCCAGAGAGGTTGTTTATAGCAGTGTGAAAACAGACTAGCACAGGGAGTTTTCTCTCATTTTTTATTCTCTGGAACAATACAAGGATTATCTGTTTTTTATTTGTTAGGACTTTCTTGCAAAATCACAGAGGTTTTGTAGAGTCTCTTGGCTGCATGTAAAACTACTGATTCAATATAATGAATGTAGGTGTACTGCAGTCCTCAAAAGTGATTTTGGTAGGTTGTGTTTTCCCAGGAAATTGTCGTTTTCTTCTAAATTTTCAAATTCATTGGTATATAGCTGCTTCAAAGTGTTCTCTTATCTCTGTGTATTTACTTTTCAGAGACAGGGTCGCCCTCTGTCACCCACACTGGAGTGCAGTGACATGATCACAGCTCACTGCAGCCTCAAACTCCTAGTCTCAAGTGATCCTCCTGTCTCAGTCTCCCAAGTAGCTGGGATTAGAGGCACATGCCAGTGTGCTTGGCTTGTCCTTTTATTTTTTAATCTCTACCATGTCTGTAGTGCCTCTGTTTCCATTCATAAAATGTATAATTTTCTTTTTTTTCATAAATAATATCTTAGTTATTTGTCTTAGTTATTAGTCTTAGTTATTTGTCTTCATTTTCAAAGAGCCAACTTCTGGTTTTGTTGATACTCTGAGTGCATTCTAATTAATTTCTACTATTATTTTTATCATTCTCTTTCATTTTCTTTGGATTTACTCTGGTGTCCTTTTCTAATTTGTTGAGTTGAAACTTTAACTCATTATTTTTTGGTCTTTCTTCCTGATTATATATGTGCATTTATTTAAGGCCATATATTTTCTCTTAGGTACAACCTTACCTGCCTCCCACGCATTTAACTAGGTAGGGTTTTCATTGTCCTTCAGTTCTAGGTATTTTCCCATTTACATTGTGATTTCCTCTTTGATTGTGACCTATTTAGAGGCTTGTCTTTAAACTTCCAAATGTATAGAATGTTTTTGGATTCTTGATATAGCTTTATATAAAAACATAATAAAGTTTGAATCACAAGAACAAATTGAACTATATTCAGCTGGCAAAACTCAGTTATACATTTTAAAACATTTTATAGCAAAGAAAATGTTGGCTGGGCATGGTACTCACGCTTGTAATCCAAGCACTTTGGGAGGCCAAGGCGGGCAGATCACCTGAGGTCAGGAGTTCGACACCAGCCCGGCCAACATGGTGAAACCCTGTCTCTACTAAAAATACAAAAATTAGCTGGGCATGGTGGTGCATGCCTGTAATCCTAGCTACTTGGGAGGCTGAGGGGGGAAAATCACTTGAACCCGGGAGGCAGAGGTTGCAGTGAGCTGAGATCACGCCATTGCACTCCAGCCTGGGCAATAGAGCAAGATTCTGTCTCAAACAAAACAAAACAAAAAAAAAGAAAACCTTTCAGATGTGTGCAGCAGGTGCATTTTGTTATGGTTTACAGGTTGTGGGGTGTCAGTAAGTAAAGTATGAATGTGTAGATCCTACAAAGATCTTCAACTGATCTTGAGGGGTTGGAAATAAGTCTAAGGCAGACATGAGTTACTGTGGGAGATAAAAGATGACCCCTGGTTCCAAAGAACCTAGAAACAATGTGGACAGGAAAGAAAACAGCTAAGTTCATCATCCTTTATCCCCTCACTTCTCCATCCATGGAGAACTGTTTTCCCAGGTCCAGCCTGCCTTCTGCGAAAGGATTCCTCTTTTTTCACATACCCAGGCCTAGTTAGAAATGCTCCCGAGGGAGTGTCCACAGGGGTTGGGGCGCAGGGAGGGATGCCCCAGGCTGGTCTCTTCGAGTGGATGCCAGGTAGTCCCGCAGTCAGACACTCGGGAGGGCCGGCCAGTGGTCGGCGTCGGGTTGTGGACCTGCATCTGCCGGGGATCCAGGCCTAGGTAGCCTCTCAGTGATGTTTCCCCCCAACCCACCCACCTTGTTCTTTTTGACGCTCTCAGGGGCTCCTGGAGCAGACTTTTTGTTCTGAATTAAATGGTGGTTTTGCCAGCAACCTTCAGGGCTGGGGTATTTCCAGCAAGGGATGCCCCGACTCCTCTTCCCACGGGTGTACTGTGGACGGAGAAGACACAGCCCAGGTGCAGTCAGGTCTCTTCCCCTCACACTGGAGCCACTGGGCCTTCCCTCCTCCATTTCTACAGCAGAGAAGGGTGGGAGCAGCTGTGGGATGGGGGTGGCCACCCCAAATAACTGCAGTGATAACAATAATATAAATGAAACAAAATTAGGCGAGGCTGTGTTCAAAGTGAGAAGGAAAAGACCCTTATTTGGGCCCTAACCGTGCCAAGGTTCTGAAGCAGGAGCTTCGGCTGCTTGAATAAACCCTGTGGGTGCCCAGTGCCCACTGTCCTGAATCCTTCATTTCCCTTGCCAAAAAGCAATGCATGAGGGTCGTTGGTTCTCTCTAGAACACAGAGAAGTAAACTCTGAAGACGGCCCTCCTAAAGATCTGTCCTTTCTTACACCCTTTATTAACCCTCCTGAGAAGCTCAAATGTTCTTGTAATGCCACACGGGACCAGCTGTGAGCGCAGGGTCTGGAGGCCAGTGGAGACAGGGCAAGTCCTCACCCACCCCTCCCAGCCTTGCGCATGTCACGTCACCTCCCTGAGCCTCAGAGTCCTCATTTGCAAAATGGAAATAAACCTCCCTGCAAGGCTGCTGGGATGATGAAATGAGGTAAGGTTATAAAATACATACCTCTGTGGTCACACTATGAAAATGAGCACTTTGGTCAGAAGAAGCTCTTTGGACAGATGGCCACGACCTCAGACACACAGTTCCCCAGTAGGGAGCAGCTACTGAAAATTGCTGAGTGACCCTGGGCCGGGCCCCACCTCTTTCAGGATCTCAGCTTCCTCTCCTGTAAAGCAAAAAATTGCTGGGCGAGAGCTCCACTAAATTCCTGAAATTCTGTACACCTGGGACATGACCTGGAGCACACAGCCCCGCTCACAGGCTCTCTGGATGCCTGTTCATCAGCAGGAAGAAGGAGCTGGGCTTCCAAAGCACCATGGCTTCTGTCCTCACTGGCCGTTTCTGCATCTCATTCTGGGGTGCCTGCCTGGCACCTCCGGCCCTAACACTGTCCAGCCTTCCGCTGGAGCTAGAGCCTTGGGCTCACTGCTGACCTGGGGAGTGGAAGTCCTGCATTTTGAACAGAGCCTTGAGAATTCTTGCTTTCTTTCTTTTATTATTATTATTTTTTTGAGACGGGGTTTCGCTGTTGTTGCCCAGGCTGGAGTACAATGGCACAATCTCAGCTCACCACAACCTCCGCCTCCCGGGTTCAAGTGATTCTCCTGCCACAGCCTCCCAAGTAGCTGGGACTACAGGCATGCACCACTATGCCCAGCTAATTTTGTGTTTTTAGTAGACACGGGGCTTCTCCATGTTGGTCAGGCTGGTCTCAAACTCCCGACCGGTGATCCGCCTGCCTTGGCCTCCCAGAGTGCTGGGATTACAGGTGTGAGCCACTGTGCCTGGCCCGAGAAATCTTGCTTTCTACCTGCTTTTCTCTGAGCCTCAGTTTCTTCCTCCCTAAGATAAGGTGGTTAGACATTTACTTATTATAATTTTTTTTTTTTAATAGAAATGGAGGTCTCACCATGATGCCCAGACTGGTCTCAAACTCCTGGCCTCAAGCAATCCTCTCCCAAAGTGCTGGGATTACAAGTGTGAGCCACTGTACCCAGCCCCTATTTTTTTTGTTTGTTTGTTTGTTTGAAACGGAGTCTCACTCTGTCACCCAGGCTGGAGTGCAGTGGTGCGATCTCGGCTCACTGCAATCTCTGCCTCCCGGGTTCAAGCAATTCTCCTGCCTCAGCCTCTTGAGTAGCTGGGACTTCAGGCACACGCCGCCACACTCAGCTAATTTTTTTTTTTTTTTTTTTAGAGATGGGGTTTCACCATATTGCCCAGGCTGGTCTCAAACTCCTGAGCTCAGGCAACCTGCCCGCCTCGGCCTCCCAAAATGCTGGAATTACAGGCTTGAGCCACTGCGCCTGGCCTTTTATTTATTATTTTTTTGAGACAGAGTCTCACTCTGTCGCCAGGCTGGAGTGCAGTGGTGCGATCTCAGCTCACTACAACCTCCACCTCCTGGGTTCATGCCATTTTCCTGCCTCAGCCTCCCAAGTAGCTAGGATTACAGGTGCCCGCCACCATGCCTGGCTAATTTTTTGTATTTTTAGTAGAGACGGGGTTTCACCGTGTTAGCCAGGATGGTCTCGATCTCCTGACCTCGTGATCCGCCTGCCTCGGCCTCCCAAAGTGCTGGGATTACAGGCGTGAGCCACTGCACCTGGCTGACAGCTGCCATTTCTTACTGGGTCTTCACTGTGAGAGATGAGTGTGTTGCTGTCCCCATGAGTCGGATACAGAACCTGAATCCTCTTTGGTCATATGGCTGGGAGTGCAGGAACCGGGACTTGAACTCAGGCCTATAGACCCTGAACTTTGGTGGGAGGAGAGACCTGGGTCCAAATCCTGTCTCCACAAGTACACGGAGCCCTGGGAAAGCAAGATGGGAGATGTGCAGTCCTTAGGTTTGGCCACATGATGGCAAGCTGACCCCAGGCATGTGTTCCTAGGCCTTGCCATCAAAGAGGCACAAATGTGTGTTGACTCCCCAGCCCATACCTTATTTTCTCTCTCCAGTCCTGAATCTGGTTTTGCAGGGATTGCAATGATCTTTAAAATAAAATAAAATAAAATAAAATAAGATCAGGGATTATGTTAAAGTCTCTCGGGACTTCTCATCATATTGAGAATAAAATCAACAAATCCAGGTAAGACCTGGCCCCTGCACACCCTTCCTCCTCCACGTTCTTCCATCCTGCAGGCAGCCTGCCTGCTCCGGGACAACTGTGGGTGAGCAATGGCTCAGCTGGCTCAACTGATAAATTTGGAGGTTGGGCCCTGGGTGGTCCAGGGATTCTCCCATCCTGCCATCCTATAGTTCCATGATTTGGAGACTGAGAGTCTTGTGTATGCTGATAAAATTAACCGCTCCAGGCCAATAACATGAAACTTGAAGCTCTGGTTTGAGAGTGATTTCATTCGTTCATTCATTTATTCATCAAAGTCTTTTTTTTTTTTTTTGAGACTGAGTTTTGCTCTTGTCGCCCAGGCTGGAGTGCAATGGCGTGATCTTGGCTCACTGCAACCTCCGTCTCCTGGGTCCAAGCAATTCTCCTGCCTCAGCCTCCCAAGTAGCTGGGACTACAGGCATGCCCCACCATGCCCAGCTAATTTTTTTTTTTTTTTTGAGACGGAGTTTTGCTCTTGTTGCCCAGGCTGGAGTGCAATGGCGCAATCTCGGCTTACTGCAACCTCCGCCTCCCAGGTTCAAGCGATTTTCCTGCCTCAGCCTCCTGAGTAGCTGGGACTACAGGCATGTGCCACTACGCCTGGCTAATTTTGTATTTTTAGTGGAGATGGGATTTCTCCATGTTAGTCAGGCTGGTCTCGAACTCCTGACCTCAGGTGATCTGCCCACCTCAGCCTCCTAAAGTGTTGGGATTACAGGCGTGAGCCACCCCGCCTGGCCTAATTTTTGCATTTTTAGTAGAGATGGGGTTTCACTATGTTGGCCAGGCTGGTCTTGAACTCCTGACCTCAGGTGATTCACCTGCCTAGGCCTCCCAAAGTTCTGGGATTACAGGCGTGAGCCACCACGCCCAGCCATTTATTCATCAAATATTGATCTATCTCCTCCTCTGTGCCCAGCACTTGGGATACCATTAATAGTGGTGCAGAAAGATGTCAAGAGGAGGTCACAGCCACACTCCAGCTCCAGCCGTGTCCTCAGGCCACCCCAAATAACTGTAGTGATAACAATAACATAAATGAAACAAAATTAGGCAAGGCTGTGTTCAAACTTCAGGAGATGGGTTATGATTTAATTTTTGAAAGGCAGAAGCCAATTCTGTAATCTATCATTGGAATAACTGACCACTCATAGAAGAAGGAGGAGGAAGAAGGAGGAGTAGGAGGAGGAGGAGGGCAAGGGGAAGGGGCAGGGGAAGAGGAAGGGAGGAAGAGGACGACGCCAGGTGTGAGCCACCACCCAGCACTTTGAGAGGCTGAGGTGGGTGGATCACTTGAGGTCTGGGGGTGGCACTGGAGGTGGGAGAGGCAGGGAGGGGCTGGCTGGGAAGGGCTGTGTAAACCAAGTTAAGGAGGTTAGCTTCACCTGAAGAGCAATAGGGAGCGTGAAATGGTTTTAAGCAAGGGACTGGCTTGATTTGATTTTTATTCTAGAAAGATCTCAATGGCAGCAGCGTGAAAAATGGGGGCTGTCGATCACTTAGGAGGCTGTCACAGTGTCCAGGCAGGAGCTGATGGTGGCCTGGCCTAGGGTGGCAATGTGAGGATGGAAAAAGTGAGGTCTGAGGAGGGGAGGGTTTAGGGAGGAGGAGGAGGGAATCAAGCTTGGCAGCCAGGCACCAGGTGGAAGGGTGGCACCAGTGCCGGCTCCAAGGGAGACTGGGAGCAAACCAATGTGGAAGGCCCTGGACAGTCTGATTTAGGAAACACTAAGTGTGGAATGCCCAAGAGACAGAACAGGGGTATCCAGCAGGCCACGGACATGTGAGTTGACAGCAAGACCAGAGATGCAATATGGGAGTCTCAGCTTCTAGATTATGTTAAAAACCTTGGCCATGGATGAGACCATCCCATGAGAGTCTAGCTAGAGGGGGACCCAGGGCTTAGCCATGCAGAAAGCCAACATTCAGAGAACAGAAAGAGGAAAAGTTGGAAATGAAGACTGAGAAGAGATGGCCAGGGAGGAGGTGGGAAAGCCATGAGCGTGTTCCAGGAGAGGAGGGAGGAGAGCGCCCTGGGTCCGAGGAAGGAGGCAGGAGGATCAGAGGGAGGAGGCAGGAGGGTCAGAGGGAGGAGGCGGGAAAGCCATGAGCGTGCCCCAGGAGGGGAAGCAGGGGAGCACCCTGGGTCAGCTGCGTCAAGTGCAGCTGGGAAGACCCATCCCGCGAGGACATGGAAGTGCCTGTTGTACTGTGCACCGGGTATTCCTGGTGACCTTGACAAGAGTGAATCTGAGAGGAGGGACAGTGGGTGCCAAAGCCAGCTGGAAGTGGGCTGGAGAATGGACGGGAATTGAGGAAAGGAGGCAGGGGGTGCTGAGAAGTTTGTCTCTGAGGAAAAGCAGGAAAAAAGGTGGAGGGGGTGGTCGGAGGGGTTTCTGTTTTTGTTTTAATCTAGAAGCAGGTCTGTACACTGCTGAGTCACAAGGGAGAGGGAGAGATGGATGAGTCAGGAGAGGGAGAGGATCATTAGAGACTTGTAGTCCTTGAGAAGGTCAAAAGGGGTGGGATGAGGGCGCCCGTGGAGGACTGGCCTTGTGTAAAAGCAGGTGTGCTGTTTCTTCACAAGGGAGGAGAAACCCAGGGGAGAAGGGAACACACAGGGAAGAGAAGGCTGGGCTGGCTATGTGCCTGCACCCTTGGGCCCTGGAACTGGGGGGAAAGCCTCTCGGCATGATGTGGCTTGTTTCTGAAGTCTGAAGCAACTCGCCCAAGAGGTGAGTTGATTTGGCCCAAGAATGGAGACCCAGCCCAATGCAAATGCCATAGCTCACCTGCTCCAACGTTGGCAGCCTTCGGCCCACCTCCCTGCGAAGGCTGCACACAGCGGGTTCCACCCAGCCAGGGGGAAGCCAAACAAGGTCCTGGAGAAACAGTTGTTACCAAGGGCATTCTTTAGCAATCCTTCAGGTCTTGTCTCTGCAGACAGGAGATGAGACATTGACAAAGGGCCCTAATCCTCCCTTAATCCTGCCCACTGCCAACCATGAGCAAACTGCCTGTATTGCTTATTGAGTTACTTAAGAAAAGGTATCAACTGACTTTGGGCATTTAAGGAAGAAAGGGAGGGAGGAAGGGGGGCAGGGAGGACAGAAAGAGGAGCAAAGGAAGAAGATCCCTTAATGTCAGGATGTCTTAAGGGGAGAAGCTTCTGGAGTGACTTGTCCCACCCATCCACACACAGCCAAGCTTTGCAGCAGATGGAGGCACTGGCAGCTGCTCTCTAGCATGGGACCACAGGCCTACCGAGGCTCAGCTTGGAGATGCATCAATAGTCAAATCCTGGTGCAGTGCCTGCCTAAGCTCTGCTCTAAGTCGGCAGTAACTATCACACGTTCCCTGTATTGAGCACCAAGAATCAGGTGCTTCAAATGCTTCTCAACAACTCTGCAGTTACCCTCATTCTGCGGCGAGAAAACCAAGGCTCTGAGAAGGCCAGTGCCTAAGCTTGCCCAGCTAGTGAGAGGTAAACCCCGAATCTGAGCCCCTCTGAAGCAGAGGGAGGCAGGTTTGCAGAGCAGTTATGTGACTCTCTGTGACCAGGCTGCCTGGGTTTGAAGCTTTGACACTTGCTGGTGTGTGATATTAGAAAGGCCACTGTGTCCTCACAAATGGGGGTATGAAAAGGACCTGCCCCACAGGGTTGTTAGGAGGTTGAAATGAGTTCATACTAATAAAATTCACAGAAAATATCACAAGTGCTATGTTGCGTTTGGCTATTATTATTGGGAGGGTATTTCTCTACCTCCCAATCCCCATCAGCACCCCCGTATCAAGCCACGCCAGATAAGCATACAATCTAAATAAAAAATGTATGCTTTCTGGCCGGGCGCGGTGGCTCATACCTGTAATTCTAGCACTTTGGGAGGCGGATCACTTGAGGTCCGGAGACCAGCCTGGCCAACATGGTGAAACCCCATCTCTACTAAAAATACAAAAATTAGCTAGGCAGGGTGGTGGGTGCCTGTAATTCCAGCTACTCAGGAGGCTGGGGCAGGAGAATCACTTGAACTTAGGAGGCAAAAGTTTCAGTGAGCCGAGATTGCGCCACTGCCCTCCAGCCTGGGTGACAGAGCGAGACTCCATCTCAATAAATAAATACATAAATAAATGTATGCTTTCTAATTAATCCCTTCTTCCTTTACCCATAGAATTTCTAGAACAGTCAGTCTATTTGTATTCTCTTTGCTTTATTGGCTTCCAGCCTTCTATCCAGTCAATACTGCAAGATCCATTGAAATAATTCCTTTTTTTTTTTTTTTTTTTTTTTGAAACAAGGTCTCGCTCTGTTGCCCAGGCTGGAGTGCAGTGGCGCGATCATGGCTCACTGAAGCCTCAATCAGGCTCAAGCAATCCTCCTGTCTCAGCCTTCCAAGCAGTTGGGACTACAGGCATGCCACTATGCTTGGCTATTTTTTGTATTTTTTGTTGAGATGGTTGGGGGGAGGGGGTCTTACTATGTTGCCCAGGCTGGTCTTGAACTTCTGAGCTCAAGATGTCTACCTGCCTTGGCCTCCCAAAGTGCTGAGATTATGGGCATGAGCCACTGCATCTGGCCCAGCTGTTCTTTTAATTGTCTTTTTTTCCCTCCGTAAGGTTCTGCCCTCTTTTCTCTCCACTTTTCAAATACATCGTGGAGACCATCTCAGTGCAGAGGCATCAGCCTCGTTCGCTCTTTCTTTCCGTCCTTTTTTTTTTTTTTTGACAGATTCTCACTGTGTCACCCTCAGGCTGGAATGCAGTGGTATGATCTCAGCTCACTGCACCCTCCACCTCCCAGGTTCAAGTAATTCTCATGTCTCAGCCTCCCAAGTAGCTGGCATTACAGACACGCATCACAACATCAGGCTAATCTTTGTATTTTTATTAGAGATGGGGTTTCACCATGTTGGCCCAGCTGATCTTGAACCCCTGAACCTCAGGTGATCTGCCTGCCTCAGCCTCCCAGAGTGCTGGGATTACAGGTGTGAGCCGCCACACCCGGCCAGCCTTGTTCTTTCTTAAAGGGGCATCCTATTGCCCCACTGACTGGATGCTTTGCAGCTTATTGCACAATCTCTAGTTGGTGGAATTTAGGTGGTTTCCCGCCTTTTGCTATTACAAATAGCATTGCAATTAATATCCTTGTAAGTAGAGCATCTCAGGCTTTGGGGGAACTGTCTTTAGGACAAATTCCTGTAAGTAGAACTGTCTGGCGATGAGTTTTTGTAATGGGAATTTTGCTTTGTATTGGTATTGTATTTGTATTTTGCTTTGTATTGTATTTTGCTTTGTAATGGGAATAGAGTGGAGGCCAACTCTGAGCACACCCATCTCTGCTAAGTCTCTGGTTTCAGTCACTCAGCAAAACTGCTACTAACAGACATAAAATGGGCACTTGCCATGTGCAAAGCATGGTCCCAGCTTCTGGGCAGAATATCAAGACAAATGGAATGAGATATGAATAAGCAATACGGCTCAAGAAAGGTACCAAGCTCACTAATAGCTTCCATTTTGTTCATCTATCAGCCACACACAGGTCACCTTCTTATTCTTAATTTCTCAGCAGCCTTTGAAATTGTGGAGCGGTGCCTCTTTGAAACAATAACGTCACTTGGTTTCTTGGATCTTTCGATTGTTTACCTTTGTTAGTTGTTCATCTGCCCAACTCTCCTAAATATTAGTACTCCTCAAAATCCCTTGCACAAAGTTTTTATGAGTATCAGGTGAGATAATGAAAGAAAGTAAGATTTCATATAGGTGTGAGCAAATTTCTAGAAATGTCAGAACATTTTCCTCTTTATCTCATTGCCCATAATTGCATTCTGTTAAATTAAAGTAAATTCAGGCCCAGTGCAGTGGCTCATGCCTGTAATCCCAGCACTTTGGGAGGTTGAGGTCAGGAGTTCGAGACCAGCCTGACCAACATGGTGAAACCCCGTCTCTACTAAAAATACAAAAATTAGCTGGGTGTGGTGGCATGTGCCTGTAACCCCAGCTACTTGGGAGGCTGACACAGGAGAATCGCTTGAACCGGGGAGGCGGAGGTTGCGGTGAGCCGAGATTGTGTCATTGCACTCTAGCCTGGACAAGAAGAGTGAAACTCCGTCTCAAAAAAATAAATTAAAAAAAAAAGTAAATAAAAGTGTGTGGCAGTTCCCCCTTCACTATATCTTTCTCCTGCCGCCATTGTGAAGAAGGTGCTTGCTTCCCCTTCACCTTCTGCTGATTGTCAGTGTCCCAAGGCCTCACAGTCATGCTTCCCATTAAGTTTGCAGAACTGTGAGTTAGTTAAATTAATTTTCTGCATAAATTACCCAGTCTCAAGTAGTTCTTTATAGCAGTGTGAGAACAAACTAACACAGAAAATTGATACCAGGAGTGGGGTTTTACCATGTTGGTCAGGCTGGTCTCAAACACCTGACCCTCAAGTTATCCACCCATCTTGGCCTCTCAAAGTGCTGGGATTACAGGTGTGAGCCACTGCTCCTGGCCTCCGTTAGAGACTTTAATGTAAAGCTAGCTGGGGAAAATTTCTCCCCAGAAGCAGATGGTGTTCTAGACCTGGACGGCTTTTCCAAGATCAAGGCTCCTCTACCATCAGGAAAGCCTTATTCCCTCCCTCCCTCCCTCCCTCCCTTCCTTCCCTCCCTCCCTCCCTTCCTTCCTTCCCTCCCTCTCTCCCTCCCTTCCTTCCCTCCCTCCCTCCCTTCCTTTCTTCCTTCCATCCTTCCTTCCTTCCTTCCCTCCTTCCCTTCCTTCCTTCCTTTCTTCCTTCCATCCTTCCTTCCTTACTTCCCTCCCTCCCTCCCTCCCTCCCTCCTTCTCTCTCTCTCTCTCTTTCTTTTTTTTTTTTTTTTGACGGAGTTTCAATCTTGGTTGCCCAGGCTGGAGTGCAATGGCATGATCTCAGCTCACTGCAACCTCCGCCTCCCGGATTCAAGCAATTCTCCTGCCTCAGCCTCCCAAGTAGCTGGAATTACAGGCGTGCACCACCATGCTCAGCTAATTTTTTTAGTAGACAGGGGGTTTCTCCATGTTGGTCAGGCTGGTCTCGAACTCCCCCCGACCTCAGGTGATCCATCCACCTCGGCCTCCCAAAGTGCTGGGATTACAGGCGTGAGCCACCACACCCAGCATTCTTTTTCTTTTCTTCATTTTTTGCTGTCTTAATCCTTTCCTTTACTCTCCAGGAAAATCCATGGAACCATAGTTTATGAATGGCCTTAGCTAAGGTTTATGCTTTAGCAAAAACCTGAGCAATTATGGGGTTTATGAAGACAAGTTAGTTTCATCGAGGAAAGATTCCAGTGAGGTTTCTGGAGGCTCACTCTTGGCAGTTGTGGGACACTAGTAGTATAGAATTTGACACTCATCTGTAAACTGGGGAAACACCTTGGACCTTGCAGTCAGCCAGACCTCCCTGCTGTTCAGAGGGGTAGAAGCCACTTTCTAAAAAGTGGGTGATAATACATGTGTTCAACAAAAACACCTAGCAGAGCATCCTGCTTTAGATCTCCTTCTGTCTCAAGTCGGAGCCTTGTATATGGTTTTTAAGAAAACGGAATATTGTATCTATTTTTCTTTTGATTTTCCTACTACAGAAAGCTTAATTAAAAAGGTGGCTGAAGGCAGGGCACAGTGGCTCACGCCTGTGATCCCAGCACTTTGGGAGGCTGAGTGGGCGGATCATGACGTCAGGAGTTCGAGACCAGCCTGACCAACATGGTGAAACCCCGTCTCTACTAAAAATACAAAAATTATCTGGGCATGGTGGCGTGCACCTGTAATCCCAGCTACTCAAGAGGCTGAGGCAGGATAATTGCTTGAACCCCAGAGGCAGAAGTTGCAGTGAGCTGAGATTGCACACTCCAGCCTGGGTGACAGAGCAAGACTCTGTCCACCCCTCCAAAAAAAAAAAAAAAAAGGTGGCTGATACTGTTGTTTCTTTAGACACTGCTACCAAATACACTAAGAAAATTTCTCAAGACATGGCTGAGTGCAGTGACTCATGCCTGTAATCCCAGCACTTTGGGAGGCCGAGTTGGGAGGATCACTTAAGACCAGGAGTTCGAGACCAGCCTGGCCAACGTGGCAAAAACCTTGTCTCTACTAAAAATACAAAAACTAGCCAGGCATGGTGGTGTGCATCCGTAATCCCAGCTGCTTGGGCAGCTGAGGCACGGGAATCACTTTAACCCGGAAGGCAGAGCTTGCAGTGAGCCAAGATCGCGTCACTGCACTCCAGCCTGGGTGACAGAGCGAGACTCTAGCTAAAAAAAAAAAAAAAAAAAAAAAAAATTGCCAATGTAACAACAACAATAAAAAAGAGAATTTCTCAAGGAAAAGGAACAGATGATGTGTTTATGGGAGCAGCCACCAGTTGGTCCACGGGCCTCCTCAGCGGTGGATGGCCAGCTTGGTGTTTCCAAGCTTTTCTCATCTTGTTCTCTTGGTAAGTCTCTAGATTGCTACAGCCTGTATTATCAGGCTAACAACAAAAACAGATACCTCTTTAAATCAGGCCATTTTACACCAAACTATAGTCCTTAATTGCCATCAAATCCAGAATACAGACCATGGCCAAATATTATTGAGCTGTCTATATTGCCTGAACTTTGATTTGGATGGGTTCAGTTCCTACAAGCTTTTGTTAAGGAGTACACTTCAGTCTTTTTGGTGTAACCCTCCTGACAGCCATTATAATAGTCCTCCTGGTGCACCGTATCCTATCCTCTCACATCTTAAATGTTTGTATACAATCATTCGTCAAATGTTGAACGGTCTCATTTGAACTAGATCTGCCAGAAGATAAAGAATTGTTCAACTGTTGTGACTTGTGAATTGTATACAGAGACTAAGTAAGTTCCGTATTTAGTCGGATGATGGTGACAGAGAGTAGTGTCAAGGTTTTGGTCAGTCTCTCAAAATTGAGACCGACCAAAAGGGAGGAATTGTTAAATTAAACTAAATTTGGCCTGAGGAGGCTTCCATACTTTGGCCTTTATGTAATGAACTGTAACCTAACATAACACATAAATTAACTGAGAGGCTAAATTAGGAGTATATTCTTTTAACCAATAGCTAGCTGAGCTTCAGTTAGTTGCAGGCAGCCAAATGTTTAAACTGTGTTCAAATAAGGCAAATGCTGAGGTGTTTCCAACTGGGTTCTCCTTGTATACAGAAAATTTCCTTTTTCTGTATAATCATTCCTCGGTATCCCTGGCGCAGTGGTTCCAGGATCCACCCGTGGATACAAAAATCCTTGGATTTAGCCAGGTGCGGTGGCTCATGCCTGTAATCCCAGCACTTTGGGAGGCCCAGGCAGAAGGATCACCTGAGCCTAGGAGTTCAAGACCAGCCTGGGCAACATGGCAAAACCCTGTCTCTACAAAAAATACAAAAATTAGCTGGGTGAGGGGTTGTGCACTCCTGTAATCCCAGCTACTGGGGAGGCTGCGGTGGGAGGATTGCTTGAGTCCTGGAGGTCGAGGCTGCAGTGAGCCATGATGGAACAATGCACTCCAGCCTGGGCGACAGAAGAAGACACTCTCAAAAAAAAAAAAAAAAAAAAAAAGCGGGGGGGCCGGGCACAGTGGCTCATGCCTGTAATCCTAGCACTTTGGAAGGCTGAGGCGGGTTGATCACTTGAGGTCAGGAGTTCAAGACCAGTCTGGCCAACATAGTGATATCCTGCCTCTACTAAATTATAAAAATTAGCTGGGCCTGTTGCACACCTGTAATCCTACCTACTGGGAGGCCAAGGCATGAGAATTGCTTGAACCCAGGAGGCAGAGGATGCAGTGAGCCGAGGTGATACCACTGCACTCCAGCCTGGGTGACAGAGCAAGACTCCATCTAAAAAAAAAAAAAAAAATGGAAGGGGAAAATTTGTCCTACAGTGTTATTTATTCTCTAATGATCATTTAATAATAAAAAATTATAGGCCGGGCGCAGTGGCTCACACCTGTAATCCCAACACTGGGAGGCCGAGGTGGGTGGATCACCTGAGGTTGGGAGTTTGAGACCAGCCTGACCAACATGGAGAAACCCCGCCTCTACTAAAAATACAAAATTAGCTGGGTGTGGTGGCACATGCCTGTAATCCCAGCTACTAGGGAGGCTGAGGCAGGAGAATCGCTTGAACCCGGGAGGCGGAGGTTGTGGTGAGCTGAGATCACGCCATTGCACTCCAGCCTGGGCAACAAGAGCGAACGCCATCTCAAAAAAAAAAAAAAAATTATTATATTATTTTATTTTAAAGGAGTTGTGGCTAAAACTCCAAAATTAAAGATTAAAAAGGGCAGTTCTGTACATTTAAAAAATTAGCATAATGATAATCTTTTATATCTTTCTGGCTCCACCAATGTGTCTAAAAGTTGGTTGGGAGGTGACATCTGCATTTGACATGTCTGAGGCGATAAATGCAGGGGTATAACTAGGTCTGAAACTCCTGAGACTGCTAGGAGAAGCACTCTTCTGGGTCAGGAGCAGAAAGGCTCATATTTATCAAGTGAAAATGCCACCAAGAAAACTTGGCAGTAGTCCAAGGTTACAGGGAGCAAAGACAGTAATCCCTCTTTTATAAAAATAGAAAAGCCTAAGAGGCAACACTTTCCAAACAATGACTGACCCATGAGCCCCAAGGGATCTTGGGTGACAAAGAGCTCCACGTCATTTGCAAATCTAGGTAGGGTTTCCACCTAAGAAAAGTAAACCCAGAGAAGAATCCGGAGAGTGCCTGGGAACTAGAAAAACTGGTTCGGAAATAGCCTCTGTCTTGAACCCTCCTCCCTGGATTCAGCAAGGAGACCCCCTAACCCAGCTTGATCTTTAATGGCCCTTGGCAAGCAATAAATTCTTTGCTTTCAGAAAGACCAGCTGCAAACTATAATTAAAGGGAAAAATAGATTTTAAGGAGCTTTTTGCAAATAGCTGAAAAATAGCTTCACGTGAATAGGACCAGGTTACAGGGAAAAGAAGAGACTGCCCTGAGTCATCTTAGGACAGGGCCTACAGGATTGCTCAGCAGGTGGCCTAATTTATAAGTTTGAAGAGTTTCAAGATCTTGGATCAGGAGAAATGACTTAGAAAATGCCCATTTTTCAGCCCGTCGGAGCTTAGACACTAGGGCAGGGCTGGTTGAGAAGTCAGGATTTGCAGATACTTTTCCTATTGCTATTCAAAAGGTGTCTTATCTTGGCAGATTCTGTTTTGAATGTCATTACTAAGCAGCTTTGGAAGCATTGGTGGAAGGGAAACAAAATGCAGCCATTAAAAATGGTGGTAACAGCCTGGCCAACATGGTGAAACCCCGTCTCTACTAAAAATACAAAAATCAGCTGGGCGTGGTGGCGCACCCCTGTAATCCCAGCTACTCGGGAGGCTGAGGCAGGAGAATTGCTTCAACTCGGATGGCAGAGGTTGCAGTGAGCTGAGATCGCACCATTGCACTCCAGCCTGGGCGAGAGAGAGACTCCATCTCAAAAAAAAAAAAAAAAAATTGGTGGTAAGCAGCAGGGCTTGGTGATGTGCCTTTAGTCCCAGCTACTTGGGAGGCTGAATGGGGAGGATCTCTTGGTCCCAGGAGTTTGTTTCCAGCCTGGGCAATATAACAAGACTTCATCTCAAAAAAAAGATGGTGGTAAGAAAGATGTTCATACTATATGACAGGGTTGGCAAACTTCTTCTGTAAAGAACCAGATAGCAAAATGTAGGCTTTCTACTCCATATGGTGTCAAAAGCTGCCACAGATAATATGTAAACAGTATGGCTGCTGTCACTACAACAAAGTCTAGCACCGTGGCAGAGAACAGACGGCCCATGAAGCCTAAAATATTTACTATTTCTGGCAAATTACAGAAAAAGTGTGGCGAGAAGCTCTCCGAGTACACTGGGTGGATCACAAACCAGTGAAGCAGCCACCTTGAAGAAGCCCTGCCCTTCCGTCATCATCAACGTGAGGGAATAAACTCTCCACGAAGACGGAAACCACAGAACGGTGAGCCACCCAGCCTCCACCACCTGGACCAGGCATCCCTGGCAGATGTCCTTTCTGGGAGAAAAGCCTAGATTTGGATCCAGGAGACCATGGTTCCTGATCCAGTGACTTGCTTTCTCTGGGGCTTACACCTGGAAGATACAGGAAATGTCAGCCCATTTCCCTCAGTTGTGTCTAACTGCAAGCTGGTCTCCCTTAGGCCTGGGGGAGTTGGCTTGCTTTTGTGATCCTCCCAGATCCAGACCCACCCTCCTCCTGAGCCTTAATTCTGCTTGCTCCAGCTTTCACTTTGCATTCTCATAATTATTTAGTGTGGTTTGTTTGTTTGTTTGTTTGTTTGAGACGGAGTCTCACTCTGTCACCCACGCTGGACTGCACTGGTGCAATCTCAGCTCACTGCAACCTCCGCCTCCTGGGTTCAAGTGATTCTTCTGCCTCAGCCTCCCGAGTAGCTGGGATTGTAGGTGTGCACCACCACACCTGGCTAACTTTTTGTATTTTTAGTAGAAACAAGGTTTCACCATGTTAGTCAGGCTGGTCTCGAACTCCTGACCTCAGGTGATCCACCTGCCTCAGCTTCCCAAAGTGCTGGGATTACAGGCGTGGGCCACTGTGCCCGGCCTCCTGGTTTTAAGGAGCAAGACCAAGAGGCCTTCATGTTGAGAGCTTGGGCTCAACTGTGCTTGGCCCTTCATTCCTGAGTCACATTTCCAGAGGAGCATCTGGCTGGCTGCCCTGAAGACTCAGCCACCTCTGCTGGGGCTGAGCATAGTGTTCTTTTTTTTTGAGACAGAGTTTTGCTCTTGTTGCCCAGACTAGAGTGCAATGGCGTGATCTCGGCTCACTGCAACCTCTGCCTCCCAGGTTCAAGAGATTCTCCTGCCTCAGCCTCTCGAGCAGCTGGCATTACAGGTGCCCACCACCATGCCCGGCTAATTTTTGTATTTTTAGTAGACACGGCGTTTCACCATGTTGGCCAGGCTGGTCACGAACTCCTGACCTCAAGTGATCTGCACGCCTTGGCCTCCCAAAGTGCTGGGATTACAGGCGTGAGCCACACCGCACGGGGCCACTGGGCAGTGTCTTGCTTGATGGTCCCACCAAGATGATACACAGTGCAGGTGATAGAGAAGGGATGGGGAGATGAGGTGGTTCCCCAAAGGAAAACTGGGCTGCTGTGACAACACAGGGCACGGATGCTGGTGAGTGGGACCCTCCGTTGTCGTTGCATTCCTCCTGTCACCAGCAGTCAGAGGTTCTCTGTGGGGTGTCCTTGAGGGTGCAGCCTTCCTCATCTCGGCTATTCCAGAACCCAGCCAAGGCCTGTCTTCAACAGCCACTTTATCTACATTTTGCTTGTTTGCTTGTTTTTGTGTTCATTTAAAAATTATTTTAGGGCCAGTCATGGTGGCTCACGCCTGTAGTCCCAGCACTTTGGGAGGCTGAGGTGGGCGGATGGCCTGAGCTCAGAAGTTCAAGACCAGCCTAGGCAACATGGTGAAACCGTCTCTACCAAAAATACAAAAAATTAGCCACATATGGTGGGGCATGCCTGTGGTCCCAGCTACTCAGGAGGCTGAGGTGGCAGGATCACTTGAGCCTGGGAGGCAGAGGTTGCAGTGAGCTGAAATGGTAGCACTGCACTCCAACCTGCGTAACAGCATAAAACCCCATCTGAAAAAAAAAAAAATGTTTAGGCCAGGTGCAGTGGCTCACTCCTGTAATCCCAGCACTTTGTGAGGCCAAGGTGGGAGCACTGCTTGAGCCCAGGAGTTTGAGACCAGCCTGGGCAACATAACAAGACCCCATCTCCAAAAGAAAAAAAAAAAAGAAATTATTTTAAATTTCTATGAACATATACAAATATATATGTATACACACACACATAAATTACATACATGCATAAATGTGACCATGTCATAATGATTTTGGATCTTTTGGCAGGTTGTTTAATTTCACTTTCTGCTTATCTCCTTCTCTTCTCCTTTCTGCCCCCATGTTAGTTCCCCACCTACACAAAGTGGCTCATGTTAACCTAAAATTCTGTATTTTCTCTATGAATGTGAAATCATATACAAAACATATATCCTGGCCGAGTGCAGTGGCTCACTCCTGTAATCCCAGCACTTTGGGAGGCCGAGGTGAGCGGATTACCTGAGGTCAGGAGTTCAAGACCAGCCTGACAAACATGGCAAAACCCTGTCTCTACTAAAAATACAAAAAATTAGCTGGGCGTGGTGGTGCATGCCTGTAATCCCAGCTACTAGGGAGGCTGAGGCAGGAGAATCGTTTGAACCCGGGAGCGGGAGGTTGCAGTGAGCCGAGATTGCGCATCGCACTCCAGCCTGAGCAACGAGAGCGAAACTCTGTCTCAAAAAACAAAACAAAAACAAAAAAACCAAAGAAAAAACCATATATCCTAATACACACATATTGCCTTTTACTGATTTTTTTTTTTTTTTTTTTTGAGACAGAGTCCTGCTCTGTCGCTCAGGCTGGAGTGCAACGGTGCAGCTTGGCTCACTGCAACCTCCGCCTGCCAGGTTCAAGTGATTCTCTTGCCTCAGCCTCCCAAGTAGCTGGGGCTACAGGAGCGTGCCACCACACCAGCTAATTTTTGTATTTTTAGAAGAGACGGGGTTTCACCATGTTGGCCAGGCTGGTCTCAAACCCCTGACCTCGTGATCCGCTGGCCTCAGCCTCCCAAAATGCTGGGATTACAGGGCAGAGCCACCGCACCCGGCCCACTCATTGTTTTTCAAAACTGAGATTATATTAAGCATTCTTTCTTACATCTTGCTTTCCTTAGTTAACACTACCTTGTGGAAAGCTGTCATGGCCAGCTGATAGATAGCCCTAGGTTATTTTTCCTATCCTGCAAAATATTCTAAGATGCAACATTCAATCATTTCTCTATTTATAGGACTGTGTGCTTAGAAAACTCAAAACATACTAGTTATTTTTTCAAAACACTGGAATAAATAAGAAAGTTTGGTTAGATGGCTAGTCTCAGGATAAATATACATCAAACAAGGCTGGGCGTGGTGGCTCACTTCTGTAATGCCAGCACTTTGGGAGGCGGAGGTGGGTGGATCGCCTGAGGTCAGGAATTCCAGACCAGCCTGGCCAACATAGCAAAACCCCATCTCTACGAAAAATACAAAAATTAGACAGGCCTGGTGGTGGGTACCTGTAATCCCAGCTACTAGTGAGGCTGAAGCAGGAGAATCACTTGAACCCAGGAGGCGGAGGTTGCAGTGAGCCCAGAACAAGCCACTGCCCTCCAGCCTGGGCGATAGAGCAAGACTCCATCTTAAAAAAAAACAAAAAACAAACAAAAAAAACCACACAATAGTTTTCTCACACTGTAGCAATAAACACCTAGAAATTTAAATAAGAAACATTTTCATTCAGCATGCAGACAAAAACTATGAAACACTTAGAAATAAATTTGGCTGGGCGCAATGGCTCATGCCTGTAATCCTAGCACTTTGGGAGGCGGAGTGGGTGAATCACCTGAGGTCAGGAGTTCGAGATCAGCCTGGCCAACATGGCAAAACCCCATCTCTACTAAAAATACAAAAATTAGCCAGGCATGGTGGCGGGTGCCTATAATCCCAGCTACTTGGAGGCTGAGGCAGGAGAATCGCTTGAACCCGGGGGGGCAGATGTTGCAGTGAGCTGAGATGGCGCCACTACCCTCCAGTCTGGGTGACAGAGCAAGACGCCATCTCAAAAAAAAAAAAAGAAAAAAAAAGAAAAAGAAAAAGAAAAAGAAAAAGTTGCCGGGCATGGTGGCTCACGCATGTAATCCCAGCACTTTGGAAGGCTGAGGCGTGCAGTTCACCTGAGGTCAGGAGTTTGAGACCAGCCTGACCAACATGGTGAAACCCCGTCTCTGCTAAAAATACAAAAATTAGCCAGGCATGGTGGCGGGCACCTGTAATCCCAGCTACATGGGAGGCTGAGGCAGGAGAATGGCATGAACCCAGGAGGCAGAGGTTGTAGTGAGCTGAGATCGTGCCACTGCACTCCAGCCTGGGCGACAGAGCGAGACTCTGTCTCAAAAAAAAAAAAAAAAAAAAAACACAAAAGTCAAAATCCCCCAATTATGATATAAATTGAATACAATTCCAATTAAAATTTCAGTAAGATTTTTTTCTTGGAGAGGTTGTGTTAGGCATTGAATAGTTTCCCCCAAAAAACCTATGTTGAAGTCCTAACCCCAGTACCTGTGAGTGTGACCTTACTTCTTTGAAGATATAATTAAGATATCATTTAAGATGAGGTTATACTGGATGAGAGTGGACCCATAATCTAATATGACCGGTATCCTTAGAAGAAAAGGACTGCAGCACTATTCGCAATAGCAAAGACATGGAATCAACCTCAATGCCCATCAGTGATAGACTGGATAAAGAAAATGTGCTACATATAGACCATGGAATACCATGCAGCCATAAAAAGGAATGATATCATGTCCTTTGCAGGGACATGGATGGAGCTAGAAGTCATTATCCTTAGCAAACTAATGCAGGAACAGAAAACCAAATACTGCATATTCTCACAAATGGGAGCTAAATGATGAGAACACATGGACACATAGAGGGGAACAACACACATTGGGGTCTGGCCAAGGGTGGAGGGTGGGAGGAAGGAGACGATCAGAAAAAATAACTAGGCTGGCCACGGTGGCTCATGCCTGTAATCCCAGCTACTCGGGAGGCTGAGACAGGAGAATCACTTGAACCCGGGAGGCGGAGGTTGCAGTGATCCGAGATGGCACCATTGCACTCCAGCCTGGGCAACAAGAGTGAAACTCTGTCTCAAAAAAAAAAAAAAAACAAAAAAGAAAAAATAACTAATGGATACTAGCTTAATACCTGGGTGATGAAATTAATAATCTGTAAAACAAACCCCCGTGACACAAGTTTACCTGTATAACAAAGCTGCACATGTACCCCTGAACTTAAAATAAATGTTTTTGTTTTGTTTTGTTTTTTTAAAAAAAGAGGAGGGCCCGGCCCAGTGGCTCACACCTGTAATCTCAGCACTGTGGGAGGCTGAGACAAGTAGATCACTTGAACTCAGGTATTCGAGACTAGCCTAGGCAACATGGTAAACTGCTCTCTCTACTAAAAATACAAAACATTAGCCGGGCTTGGTGGCATGAGCCTGAAGTCCCAGCTTCTTGGGAGGCTGACGTAGGAGGATCACTTGAGCCTGGGGAGGAGGAGGTTGCAGTGAGCTGAGACTGTGCCACTGCACTCCAGCCTGGGCCACAGAATGAGACCCTGTCTCAAAAATAAAAAAAGAAGAGGCACAGTGAGGAGAGAGCCATGTGACCCCAGGGCAGGTGCTGGAGTGATGAGCCTACACCCAAAAAGTGCCAAGAGCTGCCAGCAACACCAGCAGCGAAGAGAAAGGCAGAGAAACATTCTCCCCAAGAGCCTGTGGAGGGAGAACATGGCCCTGCTAATCGTTTGATTTGAGACTTCTGGCCTCCAGAACCGTGAGAGGATACATGTCTGTTGTTGTTGGGGTTTTTTGTTTTGTTTTTTTGAGATAGAGTCTCGCTCTCACTGCAACCTCCGCCTCACAGGTTCAAGCGGTTCTCCTGCCTCAGCATTCCGAGTAGCTGGAATGGCAGCCGTGCGCCACCACCATGCCCGGCTAATTTTTTTTGTATTTTTAGCAGAGACAGGGTTTCACCGTTTTGGCCAGGCTGGTCTTGAACTCCTGACCTCAGATGATCTGCCCACCTCAGCCTCCCAAAGTGCTGGGATTACAGGCGTGAGCCACTGCGCCTGGCTACGTGTCTGTTGTTTCAAGCCACCCAGTTTGTGGTACTTTAGGGTTACAGCAGCTGTAGGAATCTAGTAGAGGATAGAATTAAATAACTGTTGAATGAATGAAGTTAAATTCCTGATTTCATTGGGCAGATATAAATTTTCCTTGCCAGAAAAGAGGATACAGTTGGCAAATCTTCCCCAAACCACAAAAAATAAAAATAAAATTAAAAAAACCTGATCAGAGGGGATTATCAGCATTCTGACCTGGGCTTGGAGTGGGATCCTCACTTCTTCCACAGGATAACTGTAAAAACTGCCGCAAGATTTGCATCTTGGTGGGACCAGCAAGTTTCAGGAATTCATTCCCAGAAACAGTGGCTCCTCCTGCCCCGACTTCCTCAGCCACCGCCAACACACCCATTTCCACCTTGTGTTCCAACACCTCCCTTTTATGTGAACGATTCAGAGAAAGATAAAGTTGATTATGTGATTCTCAAAGCAGAGGGAGCTGTGGCCAAGAAGAATGCAGTGTCTCACGGCCACACCAAAGGATTTTTCCTACCTGGAAATTACGAGGTCTTTCTTCTTCCTGAACTTACCTTGCCCTTGTTTCCCAGAGGCCTAAATCAAGGGAGCAGGTGTGTTTCCAATCACTCATTCACCAGCTGTGAGCAGGGCATACAACCAGTGGTAAGTCAGACAAAACTTAGTGCCTGCATTGAGCATCCAGTGCACCGAAGAGTCCAGTGCACTGAAGAGGGACACAGATTTTCTGTAAATAAACAAGATAATATCCTAATGTGATCAATGTGGAGAAAGTCAGGTGGTGTGATTAAGAATGAGTAGGGGCGGCTGGGCGCGGTGGCTCATGCCTGTAATCCCAGCACTTTGGGAGGCCAAGGTGGGTGGATCACCTGAGGTCAGGATTTCGAGACCAACCTGGCCAACATGGTGAAACGCCATCTCTACTAAAAATACAAAAATTAGCTGGGCGTGGTGGCAGGCGCCTGTAATCCCAGGTACTCGGGAGGCTGAGGCAGGGAGAATTGCTTGAACTCAGGAGGTGGAGGTTGCAGTGAGCCAAGATTGTGCCACTGCACTCCAGCCTGGGTGACACAGCAAGACTCCATCTTAAAAAAAAAAAAGAATGAGTAGGGGCCAGGCATGGTGGCTCACGCCTGTAATCCCAGCATGTTGGGATTTTGTGAGACCTTGCCTTTACAAAAAACAGAAAAAATTAGCTGGGGGTGATGGTTCAGCCCTGTGGTCCAAGCTGCTCGGGAGGCTGAGATGGCAGGAGCACTTGAGCCTAGGAGGTTGAGGCTGCAGTGAGCTGTGAACACACCACTGCACTCCAGCCTGGGCAACACAACGAGACTCTGTCTCCAAATAAACATGCTCATCACCTTAAAAAGAACCTCAAGGCCATTAGCCCTTCCTCTCCTAAGCTCTTGGTAATCACCATTCTACTTGTCAGCTCTATGGATTTGCCTCTTCTGGACATTTCACACACAGGGAATCATATAATATGTGGCTTTTGTGTCTGTTGCAGGTACCAGTACTTCATTTTTTTTTTGAGACGGAGTCTCACTGTCGCCCAGGTTGGAGTGCAGTGGCACAATCCCGGCTCACTGCAACCTCCGCCTCCTGGGTTCAAGCGATTCTCCTGCCTCAGCCTCCGGAGTAGCTGGGATTACAGGCGTGTGCCACCACGCCCAGCTAATTTTGTGTATTTAGTAGAGACGGGGTTTCACCATGTTAGCCAGGCTGAGCTCGAACTCCCGACCTCAGGTAATCCACCCACCTCCCACTCCCAAAGTGCTGGGATTACAGGCGTGAGCCACCGCGCCTCGCCCTCCCACTCATTCTTTTCTTTTCTTTTTTTTCTTTTTTTTTTTTTTAGACAGGGTCTTGCTCTGTCACCCAGGCTGGAATGCAGTGGTAGATCACAGCTCACTGCAGCCTCCATCTCCTGGGCTTAAATGATCTTCCCGCCTTAGCCTCCTGAGTAGCTGGGACTCCAAGAGGGCACCATCACACTCGGCTAATTTTTTTTTTAAATAGAGACAGGCTTTCACCATGTTGCCAGGCTGGTCTCGAGCTCCTGAGCTCAAGCAATCGTCTTGCCTCGGCTTCTCAAAGTGCTGGGATTACAGGCGTAAGCCACCGCACCTGGCCCACACAGTGCTTGAATAATTATTCTGGCAGTGTCTCACACGTCCAAAGAAGTATGGAGTTCTAGGGAAAGTTCATGTTTGGCAAATGAATGACTGGTTGCTGAATGAAGACTAATGTTGGATTTCTAAATACTGGCAAGCTTTGCACTCTGAGGGAATTTTTGCCTTTCTTTTTTTGAGATGGAGTCTTGCTCTGTCACCAGGCTGGAGTGCAGTGGCAAAATCTTGGCTCACTGCAACCTCTGCCTCCCGAGCTCAAACCATCTTTCCACATCAGCCTCTTGAGTAGCTGGGACCACAGGTGCACACCAAAACATCTGGCTAAGTTTTGTATTTTTTGTAGAGACAGGGTCTCACTTATGTTGCCCAGGCTAGTCTCGAACTCCTGGACTGAAGCCATCCACCCACCTCAGCCTCCCAAAGTGCTGGGATTACAGGCATGAGCCACCATGCCTGGCCTGAATTTTTGTCTTATAAGAGATGATCTTGCACCATCAAAAAAGGTTAAAGGATGTTCAGTCTATTCTGTCAAAAAGGCAGGAGAATACATAGCACGGTTCATAAGACTAAAATTTTAAAATTCTTTATCGAAGGGATTTTGTTTCCTTGGGTGTCCACAGCACCTTTTTTGGTGTGATAATGAAGGATTGTTCCTAAGCACCTGGTACTTGCCAGGCTCCATGCTAAGGGTTTCAAGAGTAAATACTTCACTGAATCCTCTCAATGATCCTGCTCTATTCGAAAAGCACTTTGCGATGAGATTCAGAGAGGTTAAGGGACCTACTTAAGGTAACACAGCTGGTAAGAAGCAGCTGTGGTTTAGGAAGGCAGGACTTCCAGCTTCCAGCTTCTATGCCTTCTCCACTGCCTCACACTGTCACACTCAATGGCTGACTCCTCATCTATGCGTTGACAAAGCCCTGGTGCCTCCAGAAAGCTGGCCTGGAGTGGAGAGTTAAGTGTCTGGGAGCCTTCCCTCCTGAATGCGACATTTCTCTCCACGTTGCATGGAATGGCACCAAAACTTTTTTTTCTTTAAGACGGAGTCTACTCTGTCTGACACAGTGGTTCACGCCTGTAATCCCAGCACTTTGGGAGGCCAAGACAGGCGAATCACGTTAGGCCAGGAGTTCAAGACCAGCTTGGCCAACATGGTGAAACCGCTTCTCTACTAAAACTACAAAAATTAGCCAGGCATGGTGGCGCATGCCTGTAGTTCCAGCTACTCGGGAGGCTGAGGCAGGAGGATTGCTTGAGCCCAGGAGGTGGAGGTTGCAGTAAACTGAGATCATGCCACTGCACTCCAGCCTGGGTGACAGAGCAAGACTCAGTCTCAAAAAACAAAAAACAAAACAAAAAAAACAAAGATGATCAGGTCCCTGATATAAAATTGTGTAGTATTTGCGCATAACTTACACATATCCTCCTGTGTACTTTAAATGATCTCTAGATTACTTATAAATGTAAATGCTATGTAAGTAATTGTAGTTTAAATAGTTTAAAACAATATGCTACATTGTTTTAAGATTTTTATTATTTTTTATTGCTGTACTGGCTTTTTCTTTCTTTTTTTTTTTTTAGAGACAGAAGGCTCTGTCTCCTAGGCTGGAGTGCAATGGTGCGATCTCGGCTCACTGCAACCTCTGCCTCCGGGGTTCCAGCGATTCTCCTGCCTCAGCCTCCCAAGTAGCTGGGATTACAGGCACCCGCCACCATGCCCAGCTAATTTTTGTATTTTTAGGAGAGACAGGGTTTCACTATGTATTGGCCAGGATGGTCTTGAACTCCTGACCTCAAGTGATCCCCCCGCCTCGGCCTCCCAAAGTGCTATGATTACAGGCATGAGGCACCGCACTCGGCCGTATTGGGTTTTAAAAATATTTTTTATTTGAGGTTGGTTGAAGTCGAAGGCCTGAAACCCATGGATACGGAGGGCCAACTGAATCTGTTGTTTAAGCCACCTGGTGACCTGAAATGATATTTTGTTACAGCAACCTGAACAGACTAACACAACCTTTGTTAGATGATGATTTGAGAATATTTTCTTCCATTCCCTCAGTTGTTTTTTCACTTTCTTTCCATTTCCTTTGAAGCACAAAAGTTTTTCATTTTGATGAAGTCCAATATCTATTTTTTCCTTTTTGATTTCTTGTGCTTTTTGTTGCATTGCTTTGGAATAAGAAAAAAACAGGGGGGGAACATTTTATGAAAAAAAAACAGGCCCAGACATACTGCAGCCTATTCATGCAGTGACATTCCTGTCCACGGGGAGCTAACACTCAGTCAGCATTCCCATGGGGTTGACTCCTCCATTCGTCTTCCTCTCTGGCCTTTTTCCAGGTTGCAGGAGAAGTCTTTCATGTTCTGATGAGCCAGATGGCACAACAAACAGCTTTGAATTTAAGTGGGATGAGTCATCACTTAAATGTACTTAGAAATTCTAAAATTAGTCCAGTGTAAGCCATTTCTGCTTTCTGTTTTCAGTTTCTCTGACTGGATGTGCCAACAGTGTTTGCTGACTGTAGAGTAAACCCCAACACTGGCAGATGGTGGTTGTGCTGCTTGAAGTGGAGATGGGCAAACCCTGCCCGATCTAGAAAAACGTGTACCATGTGTGTTTTTAATAGCAAAACATCGGGGAAACCTAGACATCCACCAGTAGGGAACTGGTTAAATTATGATACATGTAAACCAGAATAATAACAGCCAAATATATTGAGGGTAGAGAGTTGAATATGTTAAGCAGGAAAAACTTTTCCTCTACCATCTTCAGTTCGGTACCTGGGATCTGCAAATTAAAGTAACAAAAGACAGATTAACAGGAGAAAAAGCATATAATTTTTGTTAATATTTACATGCATGAGAATTTATAGAAAAGAAGTAAAACTCAAAGAAATGGTTAGATTCAGGCTTATATAACTTTTATTTTTGACACAGAGTCTTGCTCTGTTGCCCAGGCTACAGTGCAGTGGTGTGATCTCAGCTCACTGCAACCTCTGCCTCCCATGCTCAAGCCATTCTC
Organism: Homo sapiens; assembly: GCF_000001405.40. Taxonomy (NCBI): domain Eukaryota; kingdom Metazoa; phylum Chordata; class Mammalia; order Primates; family Hominidae; genus Homo; species Homo sapiens. Next base: position 56,554,453 of record NC_000020.11, on the reverse strand, counting down.
CTGCCTCAGCCTCCGGAGTAGCTGGGACTACAGGCACCGCCAACACGCCCGGCTAATTTTTGTATTTTTAGTAGAGATAGGGTTTCACCATGTTGGCCAGGCTGGTCTCAAACTCCTGACCTCAGATGATCCCCCTTGGGCTCCCAAAGTGCTGGGATTACAGGCGTGAACCACTGTGCCTGACCTTATATAGCATTTTAACAAAGGAAATAAGGTTTGGGTTTCAAGCAATGATAAACTGTAGGAAAGTGACCAGGAAATGGGAGAACTAATGGAAGATAAGGGCTAATATAGTAAGGTTGGCTTATGCAAATTAATATCTTAGTTTATGTATTGAGTGGCCAGGTGCAGTGGCTTATGCCTGTAATCCTAGCAGTTTGGGAGGCCAAGGCAGGAGGATTGCTTGAGTTCAGGAGTTTGAGACCAGCCTATGCAACAAAGTGAGACCCGTCTCTACAAAAAATTTAAAAATTAGCCCAGCGTGGTGGTATGCACCTGTAGTCCCAGCTACTCAGGGGGCTGAAGTTGGAGGATCGCTTGAGCCCAGGAGATCAAGGCTGCAGTGAGCCAAGACCACATCATTGTACCCCAGCCTGGGTGAGAGATCGAGACCCTGTCTCAAAAACAAAAACAAAAAAATTTGGTTAATGTTTCAAGGTCACATTGTGAAATTATTAGTTATATTTGTTGTATTAGTTATGTAATATATAAAACTAATATATAATATTATATAATAAATGAGTTATGATAATAACTCATGTTTATATTTTTGTATTATTATAATAACTCATTTGTTAAGCATTTACTGTGAGCCAGGCATTGCCTAGGCTTGGCAGTGGAGACCCGATGGTGGTGGGTTGTGCCCTCCCGAAGCTTCTCCTTTAATGCTGTGAGTCAGAAACCCAGTCGCAATGGTAATGAATGTGTAATTAAGGGCAGCGTGTACCCTTGGTAGGCAGGAGCGGGGCTCAGGACCTTTGTACTTTCTGTGCATGCTCTGTTCCAAAGTGTCCTCTTAAAGGTCTTCCCTGACCATGAAGCCCAGGAGCCCCTCCTCCTGGTGCATCCTTCTTTCTAGGCTGATCTTCTCCTGACATGCTATTGTATATTCCCGTGTCATTGCTGTTGTCTGCTCCCCGTTGTCTAACAGCCTCTAAGAGGCTGACAACTCATAGGATTCTATTACCTCTGCATGCTCAGTGCTGAGAGCCTGCTTGGCTCATGGGAGTCAGTTAATATTTAGAGAACAAATGGATGTCTGGCAAGGTAGGTGGGCTGAGACCAGGCTGAATGGGCAGGGTGGGGAACCCAAAGTTGTGCCCACTGTCCAAGTCACACAGTTTCTGTTCCCTTTTTTTCTTTTCTTTTTTATTTTTGAGATAAAGTCTCACTCTGTCACCCAGGCCAGAGGGCAGTGGCGTGATCTAAGTTCACTGCAACCTCCACCTCCCTGATTCAAGTGATTCTCCTGCCTCAGCCTCCTGAGTGGTTAGGATTGCAGGTGCCTGCCACCACACCTGGCTAGTTTTTGTATTTTTAGTAGAGATGGGGTTTCACCATGTTGGCCAGGCTGGTCTTAAACTTCTGACCTCAGGTTATCTGCCCACCTCCGCCTCCCAAAGTGCTGGGATTACAGACATGAGCCACTGCGCCCAGCCTACAGAACTGTTAAGTAGCTCAAACATGATCAGAGCCTGAGGACCCCCTGAAGGGCACCCTGCACAGGCTAGTTTTCTGCCAATGGCCTCCACAGACCTTCTGGTCCATTTCAGAGTGGTACACAGCCCTACCTGACTGCACGTGTGCCCTTTCTGGGAAGGAAGGCTTGTTGCCCGCCACTCCCAGATTGTCAGAGCCCGCTGGGTCCAGAGTCCAAGTGTTACAGGAAAGGGGTCCTGATCCAGACCCCCAGAGAGGGTTCTTGGATCTCGTGCAAGAAAGAATTCAGGGTGAGTCCATAGAGTAAAGTGAAAGCAAATTTATTAGGAAAGTAAAGGAATAAAGAATGGCTACTCCATAGACAGAGCAGGCCCGAGGGCTGCTGGTTGTGCATTTTCATGGTTATTTCTTGATGATATGCTAAACAAGGGGTGGATTATTCATGCCTCCCCCTTTTAGACCCTATAGGGTAACTTCCTGACGTTGCCATGGCATTTGTAAACTGTCATGGTGCTGGTGGGAGTGTAGCAGTGAGGATGACCAGAGGTCACTCTTTTTGCTATTTTGGTTTTGGTGGGTTTTGGCTGGCTCCTTTACTGCAACCTGTTTTATCAGCAAGGTCTTTATGACCTGTATTTTGTGCTGACCTCCTATCTCATCCTGTGACTTAGAATGCCTTCACCATCTGGGAATGCAGCCCAGTAGGTTTCAGCCTCATTTTACCCAGCTCCTGTTTAAGATGGAGTTGCTCTGGTTCACACACTCTGACACAAGCTCCTCTCACGATCAAATCCTGGGATCACATCTGGCCCATGGTAGCCATCAGTAAGTACCTGGTGAATGGGTGATCTGCGGTGAGAGGAGTGAGCTGAGGACAGCTGCTTTCTGGGCTTCTGAGGGATTTGATTTACTCTCCCATGGCTCTCCTTTCTCACGGGGACAAATCCAAAGTCCTTTCAGTAGCCTACAGGGTCTCCAAGGTCCACACCCCGCTCCAACGCTGCTCGCGCCTTCTCTCCCTGCACTGGCACCTCCATCATGCCAGGCTGCTCCTGCTGCGGGCTCTCTGCTGGCCCATTCCTCCTGCCGTACACCCTCCCCTCCCAGCTTGTCCTTACAGCTTCCTCTCTCAGTCAGCTGCTTCTCAGTGAGCCCTTCCCTGATCACATTGTTTAAGGTTGTAAACTAACTACCCTGCTCACCACATACACACACACACACACACACACATGCACGCATGCACATATATGTGCACACAGGCACGCACACACACCCTATTCCCCTTCTGTGCTTTCTCCATAGCACCTACGCTCCCCAATAGACTATGTATTTGGCTTTTGTATTTCCTTACTGTCTCTCTCCCCCAGGAGAATGAAAGCTCTATGCAGGCTGATGGTTGTGTTTGTTTTTAAATCTCTTCATCCCAGTGCCTATAACAGCACATAGAACAAATATACACTTACTGTATGAATGAATAATCAAATGAAAAATGTTACTTGCTAATAAAAATAATGTTACTGTTCCTACTAGTATTACAAATGCTAGTTGTGGCCTGAGTGGTGGCTCATGCCTGTAATCCCAGCACTTTGGGAGGCCGAGACAGGAGGATCACTTGAGGCCAGGAGTTTGAGACCAGCCTGGGCAACATAGTGAAACCCTGTCTCTACAAAAAATTAATAAAATTAGCTGGGCATGGTGGCATGTGCCTGTAGTCCAGCTACTCGGGAGGCTGAGGCAGGAGGATCACTTGGACTCGGAGGTTAGGTAGAGGCTGCAGTGAGCCAAGATCAAGCTACTGCACTCCAGCCTGCACAAGAGAGCGAGACTGTCTCAAAAAAACAAAAAACAACCTACAAAACAGCTAGTTGTTGTGCTATTAGTCATTTAGAAACATTCTATTACTTCAACTTACACAATTGTTATCAAAGGCCCCTGAAGCAAAATCTGGAAAAAGGTGTGCTCACTGTTGTCTGTGATGGGCTGTATCTGCCATCTAGTGGCTCTCTCTAGTAACTGCAAGCCGCGTAAGCACCGGTTCTAACATTGATGCTGCGGGGTGAGATGTCAGCCAGCTCTCCAGCCATCTAGCCACACATCAGTCTCAACACTTGTACTAGCATCTCTTGTGAGAATACAAATTGGCACAATCCTTTTAAAGGGAAATTTGGCAATACCTAACACAACTGCATATGCACTTACCTTTCTAACCTACGATCACTCTTCTAGGTATCTACCCTGAAATTACAGCTTCAGCAATACCAAAATACACAGGCACAAGGTTAGGCCCTGCACTGTTGTTTGTCATTTCAAATGTTTGGATGCTCCCTGCGTGTTCATATCTGAGAGCACAGCTGTGTAAACTATGGCACGTTCACACAATGAAGTTCTGTACAACTGGAAAAAAAGAAGAGAAAGACCTCTGTGAGCTGACATGGAGTAGTAACCTGTGGACACACTGCCAAGCGAAAAAGAGCAAAGTCCAAAAGAATATCCATAGTGTCTACTCTTTTTTTTTTTTTTTTTTTTTGAGATGGAGTCTCACTCTGTTGCCCAGGCTGAAGTGCAGTGGTGAGATCTTGGCTCACTGCAACCTCTGCCTCCCAGGATCAAGCAATCCTTGTGCCTCAGCATCTTAAGTAGCTGGGATTAAAGGCGTGTGCCACCATGCCTAGCGAAATTTTGTATTTTTAGTAGAGACAGAGTTTCACCATGTTGGCCAGTCTGGTCTTGAACTCCTGACCTCAGGTGATCCACCCACCTCGGCCTCCCAAAGTGCTGGGATTACAGGCGTGAGCCACCGTGGCAGGCCCATAGTATCTACTGTTCATGCCATATCCAAAAGGAACCCAAAATGAAATACAAACACTAACAAATGAACCTAACAAATAACAAATGAAATGAGACCCCATCTCTACAAAAAATAAAAAAAAAAAAAAATAGCCAGGCGTGGTGTTGCACACCTGTAGTTCCAGCTACTCAGGAGGCCGAGGTAAGAGGATAGCTTGAGCCCGGGAGGTCAAGGCTGCAGTGAACTATAATCATACCTCTGCACCCCAGCATGGGCAACAGAGCAAGACAGTGTCTCTAAAAAACACACAAAACTACAAACAACAAATAAGTAACACAACCACCTAAAGGGGCCAGGGAAGGAAAAACGCATTAAGTAACTTTGGGTTTTTTTTTGGTTTGAAACTGAGTCTCGCTCTGTCACCCAGGCTGGAGTGCAGTGGCACGATCTCGGCTCACTGCAACCTTCACCTTTCGGGTTCAAGTGATTCTGCTGCCTCAGCCTCCTGAGTATCTGGGATTACAGGTGCGTGCCACCATGCCTGGGTAATTTTTGTGTTTTTAGTAGAGATGGGGTTTCACCATGTTGGTCAGGCTGGTCTCGAACTCTGACCTCAAGTGATCCACCCCCACCTTGGCCTCCCAATGTGCTGGGGTTACAGGTGTGAGCTACCATGCCCAGCCACACTGAGTAACTTTAGAAGATAACATCGTGACTGGATACTGTGAGGCTCAAGATGAAATGAGCTGTCCCCAAATGTGCAATCTAGTTAATACATATGTTCTTAATGGGCTATGGGTTTGCAACTCTTTGTATGTGTACTAGAATTGAACACTATATTAGGATTGCTATAAAGAAATACCTGACACTGGGTAATTTGTAAAGAAAAGAGGCTTAATTGGCTCACAGTTCTGCAGGCTGTACAGGAAGCATGGTGCTGGCATCTGCTGGGCTTCTAGGAAGGCCTCAGGAAACTTACAGTCACGGTGGAAGGCAAAGGAGGGGCAGCTACGTCACATGGCCAGAGGAGGAGCAAGGGGGTGAGGGGAGATGCCACACACTTTTAAACAACCAGATCTCACAAGAACTCACTCACTGTCATGAGAACAGCACCAAGGGGATGGTGCCAAACCATTCATGAGAAATCCACCCCCATGATCCAATCACCTCCCACCATGCCCTACCTCCAACATGGGGGATTACACTTCAATATGAGATTTCAGCGGGGACACAGATCCAAACTATATCAAACATATAAGTAAATATAGATCATGAAAGCCAGGTTTCCTGCTGCTGGAGAAAGAAGCTGTAAAGAAGGGGAAGGAGGATGGCTGGAATGAACCTGAAGTGTCTTTCTAGAATGGAGAGGTCAGCATAGAATCATGGTATTTCACATTCATACACCCAGACAGATGCAGAACCATAGCTGTGTTCGGGGAGAGGCTTCATACACCCATTTATATTTCCTACAAGATGGCCTAAGAGCAATAGCAGCCCAATAGCAACAAGCACACCCAGTAACCAGGTCCTGGCTTCTAAACACCATTCTCCAAGAAAAGGAACCTGGCCCCTTGGGGAAGTGGCTGATTCCAGGACGAAGGCAGGCAATGAACCAGATGAGCATGGAGCATCTTGGGTTGCCAGAAAGTAAGGAATTGCTCAGAAGAGGAAGGGGCTTGCTCACATAACACAAGTGCCAACCCAAAGGAGCTCCTAATGCCAAAGGTGGCAAGGTTGAAGCCAGAAAATAACAAAAACATCAGATTTTAATAGAATAAAATAAACACCCATAAGTCCATACTGAAATCCATCCATCAATCAACAGCGAAGGAACAGCTCTTCCTTACAGCAGAATTCCAATCAATAAAAAATGTAGAAGGAGAGGAAAATTGAAATCACCATTAGGTAAGCACCAAACCCTGCGGAAATAGTTGTTGCAGCCAAGGCCCACCGATGCATGCTCAGCTTAGTGGGTGGAAGGCTAAGGAGGCAGGATTGGTGCAAATTCAAAGTAGTTCCCCTAATGCATTTATTAACAACAACGGGGAAAAATACCCTTCCAGAGCAGACACCCATCATAGCCCAGTGAACACCAGTATCGTCCAATGAGCACAGCTAATGTCCACTGTGAGGGGCACAAACACAACATGAACCCCTGGTCCGGGGCACTGAGAAGGCCACCACAGCGCTTCCCCAGCATCACTGCCACACACATACAACCGCGTTCCTATCATGAGAAAACACCCTTCGAACCCACATCGAGGGACATTCTACTGAATAGCCGATCGCCATTCTTCATTGTACAATTGACTGTTGAACCACACACGTTTGAACTGCGGGTCCACCTATGCTCAGATTTTCTTCCTTCACCACCACACCTGAGACAGCAAGACCAACCCCTCCTCTTCCTCTCCCTCCTCAGCCAACTCAATGTGAAGATGACGAGGACGAAGACCTTTACGATGATCCACTTCCACTTTGGGAACAGTGAATGTATTTTTTTCTTGATTTATGAATAATTTTTTTCTCTAGCTTACTTTATTGTAAGAATACTGTATATAATCCATATAATATACAAAACATGTATTAATCAACTGTTTATGTTATCAGTAAGGCAGTCAGTAGTAGGCTATTAGTAGTTATGTTTTTGGGGAGTCCAATGTTAAACATGGGCCAAGCATAGTGGCTCACACTTATAACCCCAGCACTTTGGGATGCTGAGGTGGGAGGATCACTTGAGCCTAGGCGTTCAAAACTAGCTTGGGCAACATAATGAGACCCTGTTTCTACAAAAAATTTTGAAAAAGTAGCTGGGCGTGGTGGTGCATGCCTGTAGTCCCAGCTCCTCAGGAAACTGAGGTGGGAGGATCATTTGAGCCCAGGAGCTTGAGGCTGCCGTGAGCTGAGATCACACCACAGCATTCCAGCTTGGGTAACAGAGCAAGACCCTGTCTCAGAAACAACAAAAACCAAATGTTAAACATGGTGGTCGGGTGTGGTGGCTCACGCCTGTAATCCTAGCACTTTGGGAAGCCAAGGAGGGTGGATTGCCTGAGCTCAGGAGTTTGAGGCCAGCCTGTGCAACACGGTGAAACCCCATCTCTACCAAAAAATACAAAAACTAGCCAGGCATGGTGGTGCATGCCTGTAATCCCAGCTACTTGGGAGGCAAAGGTAAGAGAATTGCTTGAACCCGGGAGGCGGAGGTTGTAGTGAGACAAGATCGCGCCACTGAACTCTAGGCTGAGTGACAGAGCAAGACTGTCTCCAGAACGAAAACAAAAACAAATGTTAAACATGGGTTTTCGACAGCATGGGGCTAGGGGTACCCTTAACTTCTGTGTTGCTCGAGGTTCCACTGTACCAAACAACTGATCACTATCAAGGTCATAGAAGATGAGGGAAGACTGAGGACTGTTCCAGGCTGGAGGAGACTAAGGAGGGATAAGTCAATGCATTCTGGGTGCACATTCATGGAGTGAATTTTATTCCTGAAGGAAATTCAAATAAAATTGTTAACAGTGCTGTACCAATATCACATTTCTTGGTTTTCACAATTGTACTGCAGTTGTGTAGGATGTTAAGTTCAGAGACAGCTGGATGAGAGGGGCACAGGAACTCTGCACTATTGCAACCTTTCCGTAAGTCTGACAGGTTTTTTTTTGTGTTTTTTTTTTTTGAGACGGAGTCTCGCACTGTCGCCCAGGCTGGAGTGCAGTGGCGCGATCTCGGCTCACTGCAAGCTCCGCCTCCCGGGTTCACGCCATTCTCCTGCCTCAGCCTCCCGAGTAGCTGGGACTACAGGCGCCCGCCACCACGCCCGGCTAATTTTTTTTTTTGTATTTTTAGTAGAGACGGGGTTTCACCGTATTAGCCAGGATGGTCTCAATCTCCTGACCTCATGATCCACCCGCCTCGGCCTCCCAAAGTGCTGGGATTACAAGCGTGAGCCACGGCGCCGGGCAAGTCTGACAGTTTTTAAAACTCGGCCAGGCGCGGTGGCTCACGCCTGTAATCCCAGCTCTTTGAGAGGCCAAGGCAGGTGGATCACCTGAGGTCAGGAGTTCGAGACCAGCCTGACAAATATGGTGAAACCCTGTTTCTACTAAAAATACAAAAACTAGCCGGGCGTGATGGCATGTGCCTGTAATCCCAGCTACTTGGGAGGCTGAGACAGGAGAATCCTTGAACCCAGGAGGAGCAGGTTGCAGTGTGCTGAGATTGAACCACTGCACTCCAGCCTGGGAGACAGAGCCAGACTCTGACTCAAAAGCAAGCAAGCAAACAAAAAACAACAACAAAAATTAAAACTTTATACTGAGTACCTGTTACATGCCAAGCCCTGTCCCAGATGCTGAGAATATGGCAATAAATACAATAGACACTGTCCTGTGAAAGACAAGAGAGGCCAGGTGTGGTGGCTCATGCCTGTAATCCCAGCACTTTGGGAGGCCGAAGTGGGCGGATCACTTGAGGTCAGGAGTTCAAGACCAGCCTGGCCAACACAGGGAAACCTCGTCTCTACTACAAGTACAAAAATTAGCCGGGCGTGGTGGTGCACAATCGTAATCCCAGCTACTCAGGAGGCTGAGGCAGGAGAATCACTTGAACCCAGGAGGCGGAGATTGCAGTGAGCCGAGATGGCGCCACTGCACTCCAGCCTGGGCAACAGAGTGAGACTCTGTCTCAAAAAGAAAAAAAAAAAGAAGACGAGAAACAAAACCATTGTTCATGCTCTCACACTCACCACATTCTACCTTTGGTTACTATAATGTATACGTGTGTGTCAGTGGGGCTGTTTCCTACACATCAAGCAATTCCCCAGCAGACACCAGCTGGGGGTCCTCCAATTCAATTCTGACACTACCTACCTGGAGACAGCATCAGATCCCACAGGATGAAGACTCAGTCCCAAGACTGCCTCCCACTTCAGGCAACACCCACAAGTCCCAGGCTGAATCTCTAACCAAGCGGGTAGAGATTGAGAGTTTTCATGACCTGCTTCTCTGGCTTGATTAATTTGCTACCGTGGCTCACAGAACTCAGAGAGACACTAGTCATGTTTTTTTGTTTGTTTGTTTGTTTGAGATGGAGTCTTGTTCTGTTGCCCAGGCTGGAGTGCAGTGGTGCAATCTCAGCTCACTGCAACCTCTGCCTCTCGGGTTCAAGTGATTCTCCTGCCTCGGCCTCCCAAATAGCTGGGACTACAGGCGCCCACCACCACGCCCGGCTAATTTTTTGTATTTTTAGTAGAGACAGGGTTTCACTGTGTTAGCCAGGATGGTCTCGGTCTCCTGACCTCATGATCCGCCCACCTTGGCCTCCCAAAGTGCTGGGATTTTTTGTATTTTTAGTAGAGACGTGGTTTCACCATGTTGGCCAGGATGTTCTCAATCTCTTGACCTCGTGATCCGCCCGCCTCAGCCTCCCAAAGTGCTGGGATTACAGGCGTGAGCCACCACGCCCAGCCGCCTTGTTTTTTTATTGTAAAGGATATTGCAAGGGATACAGATGATCAGCCAGCCGGAAGAGGTACACAAGGCATGGCGAGGGGGAAGGGGGCGGAGCCTCCATGTCCTCCCCAGGAGCGCCACCTTCCATGAACCTCCAGATGCTCAGCTATCCAGAGGTTCCTCACACTCTGTCCCTTGGGTTTTTATGGAGGCTTTATTACATAGGCATTACTGATTACATCACTGGTCAATGGTGATCGACTCAAACTTCAGCCCCTCTCTCCTCCCCGGAGGTTGAAGGGTGGGACTGAAAGCTCCAACCCTCCAATCACAGATTTTTTAACCTGTGATTAAAAAAATCACAGGTTATTCCATCCCGAGGCTGTCCAAGTGCCCTCAGCCACCAGACATCACTTGGGAAATTCCAAGGGGTTTAGGAGTTGGATGCCAGGACAGGGGGAGGGATGAAGACCAAATATTTATTTCTGATTATGAATTACAATATCACAGTCCCTGTCTATGGGGAGAAGGCAGAAACAAGAAACAGGTTAACAGAAAGCATAATGTCCCATAGTAATAGGTGCTGCAAAAAGAAAAAAAAAAAAAAAAGAGGGTGGGGGGAGGGGGGAGGGATAGCATTGGGAGATATACCTAATGCTAGATGAAGAGTTAGTGGGTGCAGCACACCAGCATGGCACATGTATACATATGTAACTAACCTGCACAATGTGCACATGTACCCTAAAACTTAAAGTATAATTAAAAAAAAGAAAAAGAAAAAAAAGAAAGAAAAAAAAAAAGAAAGTCGGAGGATGTGATAGGAGAGATGGGAGGGGCCCCGTTAGCTGGGTTGCCAGGGAGAGCCACCCTGAGGGGTGACCGCTGAGCAAAGACCAAAGTCACAAGCCTACTAGCCAGCAATGTGGTATCTGGAGGAAACATGCCAGGGAAGGAAGCCTGTGCAAAGTCCCTGAGGCAGAAATGAGCTTGGCACATGCAGCTGGGAGGGGACTATTCACAGAGCTAGGAGGGGACCAGGACCTGTGGGCACCTGCAGGCCAGCGGAGTGGGATTGAACACCACTGTGAGCACAGTGGGAAAATACAAAGGGTTTAAATCCATTGTGATACATCCCCCATTGTAATTATTTGCATATTATCGGTACTTATGGTTTGCTATCTATCTCTCCCATTAGAATACATTAGAATATAATGTGAAATTTCATTGTAAAATGTTGGCCACTGTATTAGTCCGTTCTCACGCTGCTATAAAGAAATACCCAAAACTGGGTAATTTATAAAGGAAAGAAGTTTAACTGACTCACTGTTCCACAGGGCTGGGGAGGCCTCAGGAAACTTACAATCATGGCAGAAGGGGAAGCAAATGCATCCTTCTTCACATGGTGGCAGCAAGGAGGAGAATGACAGAAGTGCGGAGCAAAGGGGAGAAAAGCCCTCACGAAACCATCAGGTCTCATGAGAACGCAGTCAATATCATGAGAACAGCCCTGGGGAAGTACCCCCATGATTCAATCACCTCCCACAAGGTCTGTCCCCCAACACGTGGGGATTACAATTTGGATTACAATTCAAGATGAGATTTGGGTGGGGACACAGAGCCAGACTCTATCAGCCTCTAATTCAAACTTTCAAAAAAATTACTGTGGGCTGAAATGCACTTACTCCATGATCCAGAAATTGTACTTCTGGGCATTTATCCCAGAGTCATGAAGACTCGTGTCCACACGAGAGCCTGTGCGTGATTCTCCATAGCAGCTGTTTATAATACCAAAGCTTTTTGAAACAACCTACGTGTCCCTCCATAAGGGGATGGTTCAACAAAGTGGGACACGTGGTACTCAGTGACAGAAAGACTTGAACTCATGGTGTGGGTAACAACCAGGGACCTCAAAGGAGTTAGGCTAAGTGAAAAGAGCCCCTCTCAAAAGGTCGCAGACTGTATGATTCCACTTATAGAACACTCTCACAACAAAATTACAGAGGTGGAAATTAGTGGTTGCCGGGGGTTAGGGATGGTGGGGGAAGGCAGCTCGGTGCACAGGACACTTCTGTATCTTCTTTTCCTTCTTTGTTTTTACATAGCCCTAACATAAAGATCATTTTTTAAAAAAATTTTTGAGACAGGGTCTCACTCTGTTGCCCAGGCTGGAGTGCAGCGGTGCAATCTCAGCTCACTGCAGCCTCGACCTCCCAGGCTCAAGCAATCCTCCTGCACAGCTTCCTGAATACCTAGGACTACAGGTGCAAGCCACCATGCCCAGATAATTTTTGTATTTTTTGCAGAGACACGGTCTCACTATGTTACCCAGGCTGGTCTCAAACTCCTGGGCTCAAGTGATCTTCTCGCCTAGGCCTCCCAAAATGCTGGGAGGCGTGCACCACCACGCCCAGCCCTTCTGTATCTTGTTGGTGGTGGTGATTACCAGAATCCATGCGGGGGATAAAACAGCCCAGAGCTCTGCAAACACACGTTGCTCCGCGTCACCTCCCTGGTTTTGGGATTGACTTACCTAAGACGCAACCACAGGAGGAAACTGGGTGAAGAGCACACGGGACCTCTCAGTGCCACCTTTGCAACTTCCTGTGAACCTACTATTATTTCAAAAGAAAAAGTTAAGAAAAATTACTGTGGGCCAAACAAACATGGTATGGGCAGGGGAGGTTTGGTGTCTGAGCCAATAGTTCATAGCCTCTGCTTTCAAGGGACTGGGTGTTCTCATTCTTGATCCATGGCTGCTGTTTCTTTGGTCTCATTTCCCTGGTTCAGAGACCCAGTGACTAGGTCAAAGGGCAAGGTGGACGTGTCAGCTGTGGTATCAGAAGTGGCAGATGGAAACATTTTGTGTGTTTGTGTGTGTATGCATGATGTATTCAATTGCTGTGTAAAAACTTGGCCATAAGTGTAGTGGCTTACAACAACGCCCACTTATCACACAGTTTTTGTGGGTCAGGAGTACACGTAAGGCTGGCGGGGTCTCTGCTTAGGGTCCCACCAGGCAGAAATCAGGTGTCGGTCATGGCTGCTCTATCATCTGAGGCTTAGGCTCCCTCTTCCAAGCCACTGGTTGTTGGTGGAATGCATTTCTACAGCTATAGCACTGGAGGCCACGCTTTCTTCCCAGCTGTTGTCTAGGCTTTCTTTCGGGTCCTAGCGGCCACCCTCATGTCCCTACCATGGAACCCCCGTGGTCTCACAATACCGCAGCCTCCATCTTCAGGCTGCCAGGGAAGTCTCGTGGCTACTATGGGGTCTTACGTAAGACAATGTCATCGTCTTCACAGCTCCCACCACACTCAAGGGAAAGATTACAAAAGGTGAGTGCCAGCCGGGGGCAAGTGGCTCACGCCTGTAATCCCAGCACTTTGGGAGGCCGAGGCAGGCGGATCATCTGAGGTCGGGAGTTTCAGACCAGCCTGACCAACATGGAGAAACCCCGTCTCTACTAAAAATACAAAATTAGCCGGGTGTGGTGGCGCATGCCTGTAATCCCAGCTATTCCGGGGTCTGAGGCAGGAGAATCGCTTGAACCCGGGAGGAGGAGGTTGCGGTGAGCCAAGATTGTGCCATTGCACCCTAGCCTGGGTGACAAGACAAAACTCCATCTCAAAAACAAAAACAAGCAAACAAAAAACCCCCCAAAAACCAAAAGGTGAGTGCCTCTCGGGACCATCTTAGAATTCAGCCCACCACCCGCATCGAGGTTCATGAACAAGGCCCTGTCCAGTGACCATGTCCCCTCCTGTCTAATGCTCAATTTTTTGTTAGCAGCAGCACGACGCCTCCATCACCTCATGCTGGAGCAGCGTCTTTGCAGCTGGGTCCCATTCCTGGTATTCAAACCGTGAGTGACCTGTTTCCACCCAGTAGAGCATGGCAGAGCTGATGTCCATGGCTCCCATGATGACATCACATTGTGAGGCCCCTGTTGTATGAGTGACTCACTCTAGAATCTTACTCTCCTTATTGGCTCTGAAGATGCGAAATGCCACGAGTCCTACAGCTGCAAGGGAATGCATTCTGCAGACAGTCTGAGCTGTCAGCCTGCTCTGATAAACACTTTATTAGGATTTAGGCAACTACAGTGATCAGCAGTTATCATTTATGCATCAGCTTCTCTTTTTATTTTTCATTTTCTTTTTTAAATTTTTAAATTTTTATTTTTTTTTGAGATGGAGTCTCACTCTGTTGCTCAGGTTGGAGGACAGTGACATCGTCTCGGCTCACTGCAACCTCCACCTCCCTGGTCAAGCGATTCTCCTGGCTTAGCCTCCCGAGTAGCTGGGACTACAGATGCACACCACCATGCTCAGCTAATTTTTGGATTTTTAGTAGAGACGGGGTTTCATCATGTTGGCCAGGCTGGTCTTGAACTCCTGACCTCAGGTGATCCACCCACCTCCGCTTCCCAAAGTGTTGGGATTACAGGCATGAGCCACCACACCTGGTCTTATTTTTTTTTTGAGACAGGGTCTCACTCTGTCACCCAGCCTGGACTGCAGTGGTGGTATCACGGCTCACTGCAGCCTCGACTTCCCGGGCTCAAGTGATCCTCCCACCTCAGCCTCCCTAGTAGCTGAGACTGCAGGCATGCACCCCCATGCTCGACCAGTTTTTTTTTGTTTGCTTGTTTTTGTTTTGTTTTTTCTTTTCTTTTCTTTTTTAAGACTTTTTCTCCAAAGGCTCCATTATCCAGACTATTCTGCGTATTTTTTATAGAGTTAGGGTATCACCATGTTGCCCAGGAGTGTCTTGAACTCCTAGACTCAAGGGATACTCCTGCCTTGGTCTCCCAAAGTGCTGGGATTACAGGCATGAGACACCACGCCAGGCCTCAATTTCTCTTTTTAAACCACAGGGTGTGGTAACAGAATTTGAGTTTATGCTATGACAGTAGAGTTGAGTAACTTTAAGATATGGCTCCAAAAATACATCTAATGCATTTTAGCATGAAAATACTGCATGAAATTGACTGGATTGAGAAAACACTATTTTCTAGGCAAAACTGTGGTCTGCACAGTGTGTATTAAGCTAGGCCAAAGACATGGAGGATACCATTTTTGAGGAATTGTTAAATCCAAATGTACAGCAGATTTTGTTCTAATTTACATCCTTGGTGCACTTGCTCTAAGGAGTTTTGACAATTTCCCCTTTCGGAGGATCCCCATCTTTAGTTGCTAGTGCCCTGGATGGAGCTATACACAAAAATGTGGTTTATAGGCTGGGTGTGGTAGCTCATACCTGTAATCCCAGCACTTTGGGAGACTAAGCAGGAGGATCACTTGAGCTTGGGAGTTCAAGACCAGCCTGGGCAACAGACTCTACAAAAAATATCTTAAAAATAATAGCCTGGCAAGGTGGTGCATGCCTGTGGTCCCAGCAACTAGAAAGGCTGAGGTGGGGCCGGGTGTGGTGGCTCACGCCTGTAATCCCAGCACTTTAGGAGGCCGAGGCGGGCGGATCACCTGAGGTCAGGAGTCAGAGACCAGGCTGGGCAACATGGCGAAAACCCATCTCTACTGAAAGTACAAAAATTAGACACTTGCCCAGCTCTCTTGCCCAGGCTGGAGTGCAATGTTGCGATCTCGGCTCACTGCAACCTCCACCTCCCGGGTTCAAGTGATTCTCCTGCCTCAACCTCCCAAGTAGCTGGGATTACAGGCACCCACCACCATGCCTAACTAATTGTGTATTTTTAGTAGCGACAGAGTTTCCCCATGTTGGCTGGGCTGGTCTCAAACTCCTGACCTCAAGTGATCCACCCACCTCAGCCTACCAAAGTGCTGGGATTCCGGATGTGAGCCACCGCGCCCAGCTTCTGCTTGTTAACATATGAGATTAGCATAAATTAGGGGTTGGCAAGCTTGTCCTGTAAAGGGCCAGTTAGTAAATATTTCTGGGCTATATTGTTTTCTGTTGCAATAATTCAAGCGTGCCACTGTAAGCACAAAATCTAGACCCATAGACAACGTGGAAATTCTGTGGCACAAAAGCAGCCATAGATAATATGTAAATTAAAGAATGTGGCTGTGTTCCAATAAAACTTCATGGGTGCTAAAATTTGGATTTTATGTGAGTTTCATGTCTTCAAATATATATATTATATATATATATGTTGCCATATATATATATGTTGCCATATATATATATATATAGCAACAGGTTCTCACTATGTTGCTCAGGCTGAACTCAGACTCCTGGGCTCAAGCAATCCTCCTGCCTCATCCTCCAGAGTAGCTGGTACTACAGGTGCACACCACCACACCCTGCCTGATATTTTTAACCACGAAAAAATATAAAAATCATTATTAGTTCACAAGGCTGTACAAATATAGGCAGGCGGCCAAATTGGCCTGTGAGCTGTAGCTTGCTGACCGCAGATCTAATAGCTACTGGTTAAATGAAGACAATCTAAAACCTGCCCCATCTTGAGATTACTGGTTAAAACCAATTTTTTTCTTATCTGGATTTCTTCAGAGTGGGCTGTGACAATAACTCACATACTCTGGTTTGCTTGAAAACACTCATAAATAATCTGGAAGGCAAAAGGAGTAATCTTGGCTCCTTCCATTTCCCCCATATTGAAAGCTGAGAGTTAAGACAAAAAGCAAAATGTTCAAGGACATTTTACAAGAGGTCCACCTCCTACACATGGAGAAAATCACATGTTCAGGGAGGATCCTGAAAGCCTTGTGCAAATAATGGGAGCGGACAAATAAAGGAAGGTGGCAGAGATTCAGGACTTCTCTGTCAGGCACCAGAAGTTTGGACTGAAGTGAAATAAAGGAATTTCCATGGTGTCCCACAGCTAACTGTTCTCTCCAGCCACGCACAAGTGTGTGTGGCCTTTTATTTATTTATTTATTTATTTTTGAGATGGAGTCTTGCTCTGTCGCCAGGCTGGAGTGCAGTGGCATGATCTCGGCTTACCGCAACCTCCGCCTCCTGGGTTCAAGCAATTCTCCTGCCTCAGTCTCCCAAACAGCTGAGACTACAGGCGCCTGCCACCACGCCCAGCTAATTTTTGTATTTTTAGTAAAGACGAGGTTTCACCACATTGGCCAGGATGGTCTCGATCTCTTGATCTCATGATCTGCCCCCTCAGCCTCCCAAAATGCTGGGATTACAGGCTTCAGCCACCACACCCGGCCACAGGTTGGCCTTTTAAATGAGGGAAGGTCGGCTCAGGGGTCAGTAGGAGACTTACAGCCCTAAGTGTGTGCAGAGTCAGCCACACTAACATGTAAAATATCCACATTTTAAATAAGTATGATAAAGTACATATCAACTGATTGGGGAGCCCCTGGTTAGCACATCTGTATCCAAAACCCCAATGATATAGAAAGGATGAATTGTTTTTCCCTTTTTTTTTTTTCTAATTTAAAAATAATAGAGAAGGAATCTCACTATGTTGCCCAGGGTGGCTTCAAACTCCTGGACTCAAGCAATCCTCCCGCCTTGGCCTCCCAAAGTGCTAAGATTACGGATGTGAGCCACCATGCCTGGCCTCTCCCTTTTTCTTAATCCAACTACTGACAAATGTAACTGCCAGTTTGGTAGAAGGAAAAGTCAATGCATGGAACCTTTGACATGGAATGAGTGAAAGGACTCTTGTGGTGAGAGAATCAGATAACTCTAGAATACACCCCTCCTAATTGAATCATTTTACCATTTTAAAACTATCATTAACGCCGTCTTTTGTAATAAATCAAAGATAAAAAGCAGTTCTGTATCTTGCACAAGTAGATACTACAGAGAGCGAGAGTTTGTATGGAAGTGACGTCAGCATCTTATCCCAGATTTCCCTAGCTCCATCGTCCACCCGCGGCCATTGCACGGAAGCACGAGCTCATCACGTACTATTATGTAGCTTTCGGTGCTCTCCTCACCATCCACAGCTCTAGATGACATGAGAGAGGCAAAAACAAAACCATCACTGCTATGGCTACTGGTCTCCCATTCACTTTTTCTTCTAGTGAAAAAAAAGAAAAGAAGCAAGCTCTCAAACATGGAAGTTCTTTTCTTCAGAATAGTTTTATTAGTTTGCATACAGTTTGTCAACACTCAACTTTTTTCTCTCCTGACACACAAATCCATTCAGCTAGAGCTTTCTTCTCCCCATATTTTACAGATTGTGACATGGTATGGATCTGCAGGCATCTCTGACCTTCGAAGCTTGAGGTTACTGCCACTGCCTGTTGCCATGGCACCTTTAAGATTCTGCACTTCGGACACAAATTTCAAAAGCTCCACTTCAAGTTCGTTTAAGGTATTGAATACACAGTCTTTGTAAAGAGAAGCATTTTGATTTTTCTTTAGTGGAGTGCGAAATGGGAAGCCTCGAAGGCCAGGAGGACTCTGCTCCTGTCAAGAAAGATATTCAAGGTCAATAATATCATGGACTTTGCTGGTTTTGACACAGTTCCAAGACAGTTGGGCTCATTTAAGAAAAGATGGTTCTAGCAGTGCTCGAGTGCAGGCACTGGCAGACTATGGCCAAATTTGGCCCTCCACCTGTTTTTGTAAATAAAGTTTTATTGGCACACAGTCATGCTCACTCATTTCTATATTGTTTAAGGCTGCTTCATGTTACAACAGCAGATTTGAGTAGTTGCAAGGAAGACCGTACTGCCCACAAAGCTGTAAATATTCACTCTCTGGCCCTTTACAGAAAAAGTTTGCCAATCCTTCCTCTAATCAGTTTGGGCACAGGATCATGAAATGCTGGGTCTTTCTAGGGGAGAATACGCTTTCTTTCCCTTTCTCCTTCTACTTGAAAGAATTGTTTATGGTCACTTTGAGGCCCAGCTGTTACTACTTTACACCTTCATCTCTTTTTTTTGTTTGTTTTTTTGAGACACAGTTTCACTCTGTCACCCAGGCTGGTGTGATCTTGGCTCACCGCAACCTCCACTTCCTGGGTTCAAGCAATTCTTTTTTTTTGTGAGACGGAATCTTGCCCTGTCACCCAGGCTGGAGTGCAGTGGCATGATCTCGGTTCACTGCAACCTCTGCCTCCCAGGTTCCAGCTATTCTCCTGCCTCAGCCTCCCGAGTAGCTGGGATTACAGGCACCCGCCATCATGCCCGGCTAATTTTTGTATTTTTGTAGAGACAGGGTTTTATCATGTTGGCCAGGCTGGTCTCGAACTCCTGACCTCAGGTGATCCACCCGCCTCGGCTTCCCAAATTGCTGGGATTACAGGCATGAGCCACCACCCCCGGCCGGGGTTCAAGCAACTCTTATGCCTCAGCCTCCCAAGTAGCTGGGACCACAGGTGCCCACCACCATACCAGCTAATTTTTTTTTTTTTTGAGACAGAGTCTCACTTTGTCGCCCAGGCTGGCGTGCAGTGGCACGATCTCAGCTCACTGCAACCTCTGCCTCCCAGGTTCAAGTGATTCTCCTGCCTCAGTCTCCCGAGTAGCTGGGATTACAGGGGTGTGCCACCACACCTGGCTAATTTCTGTATTTTTTTTTTTTTTTGAGACAGAGTTTTGCTCTTGTTGCCCAGGCTGGAGGGCAATGGCGCAGTTTCGGCTCACTGCAACCTCCACCTCCCGGGTTCAAGCGATTCTCCTGCCTCAGCCTCCCGAGTAGCTGGGATTACAGGCATGCGCCACTACGCCTAATTTTGTATTTTTAGTAGAGACGGGCTTTCTCCATGTTGGTCAGGCTGGTCTCAACTTCCTGACCTCAGATGATCCGTCCGCCTCGGCCTCCCAAAGTGCTGGGATTACAGGCATGAGCCACTGGGCCCAGCTTTTTTTTTTTTTTTTTTTTTTTTTGAGACAGAGTCTCACTCTGTCACCTGGGCTGGAGTGCAGTGGCTCCATCTCGGCTCACTACCACCTCTGCCTCCAGGGTTCAAGTGATTCTCCTGCCTCAGCCTCCCGAGTAGCTGGGATTACAGGCGCCCGCCACTACGCCCAGCTAGGTTTTGTATTTTTAGTAGAGACAGGGTTTCACCATGTTGCCCAGCTGGTCTCGAACTCCTGACCTCGTGATTCACCCGCCTCAGCCTCCCAAAGTGCTAGGATTACAGGGGTGAGCCACCGCGCCTGGCCTAATTTCTGTATTTTTAGTAAAGACGAGGTTTCACCATGTTGGCCAGGCTGGTCTCAATCTCCTGACCTCAAGTGATCTGCCCGTCTCGGCCTCCCAAAGTTCTGGGATTACAGGCATGAGCCACTGTGCCCGGCCTACACCTTTATCTCCTTACAGAAGTTTCATATTTTGTTGGGATGATATCATTTCCATTTAGCTCAGGAATTTTCAGTAAGTCAAGCACTAGGAAAAATGTAAAAAGCAAGGGAACAGTGAATTTGGCCCTGTGAATAATATAATTTTGACCTTCTAAAACACACCATAAGTTCTTTATTTTGAGACAGAGTCTCAGTCGCCCATGCAGGAGTGCAGTAGTGTGATCTCAGCTCACCACAACCTCTGCCTCCAGGGTTCAAGCCATTCTTCTGCCTCAGCCTCCCGAGTAGCTGGGATTACAGACACACGCCGCCATGCCCAGCTAATTTTTGTATTTTTAGTAGAGATGGGGTTTCACCGTGTTGGCCAGGCTGTTCTCAAACTCCCGACCTCAGGCAATCCACCTGCCCTGGCCTCCCAAAGTGATGGGATTACAGCATGAACCACTGCGCCCGGCTGAGTTCTTGAATCTATCCTACATTTGAAAAAATCCATCTAACCAGAAGAACTTTGAGCCAAGAAACTAGAGGTCATCTTCCACTGTTTGTCCCAATATCTGTGGATGTGGGGACTATTGTCTTCACTAAGGATACATCAGGAAGTGAATTTGCCAGCTTTGCCCAGGACCATGAGGTCGGTTCATTATACCCAACGGTGCCGCCTAGACTCACTAGAACATCCGTTTCCCTGAGACTCCTGAGATTGAATCAATATGGTGTAAAAAAAATGGAGCCATCCTTACCTTATTCTTCTCACTGTCTCTTTGACACTGCAGTATCACAAACGGCACAACAGCAAACAAAAGCCAGAGCCATTTGCTCCCAAGCCAGCCTTGGGTGTGCTCTGGTAGGTTCTGCCGAATCCGAAAGTGCTCTCCACACGGCACCTTCCCCTGGGGTTCGCTAGTTTTCTGTCTCAGAGAAGAGAACATAAAGGCATAGCTGCAGGTGAGGCACAGAAGCAGGACCAGGGACGATTTCAGCGTCCACATGGTGAGCAGAGATGGGGAAGGGAGTTGCTCATGACGGGTTTGCTTGCCCTCGCAACTGGAAGACTGGGCACCTGGTGCCAGGCCCTTGGTGATGTCACAGAGGCCCTGAGCTGAGGCCACCCTGGCCATTGTGATGATTTCAGGACAGAGGTTACAGGTCACAGGAGTCGCCCGGGAGGAGGACTCAAAGGGAGATGGGGGCATTTCCAGCAGGCAGTCAGAGAGAGAGGATAGGCACGACGGGGTGCCAATTCCCTGCCAGGGGACTCTTTCCAACCCTCGAGCTTTTGCTGGTAGAGGCCGTCATGTTTCTGTTTTTCATTTGTTTGATCCAAACACTATGATGAGCAGAGGGAGATGCCATGTGCCCCGTGGAGCTGAGTTAAATGGGAGAGAAAGATATTAAACCACAGGCTACCTACAAACTCGGAGCCACCTATGTGTTTTGTTTGGCCTATGTTGTTTCTAAAAATTATTAGTCAGTACTTAAATGTTGTGGGGGGTGGGTATTTCACTTTAAAAGTCCAGGTTTCCGGCTTCCTTTGAAAATATGAGAGCGTGGCCGGGCGCGGCAGCTCACGCCTGTAATCCCAGCACTTTGGGAGGCTGAGGCGGGCAGATTACGAGGTCAAGAGATCGAGACCATCCTGTCCAACGTGGTGAAACCCCGTCTTTACTAAAAATACAAAAATTAGCTGGATGTGGTGGCACACGCCTGTAGTCTCAGCTACTTGGGAGGCTGAGACAGGAGAATCACTTGAACCCAGGAGGCAGAGGTTGTGATGAGCCGAGATCACGCCACTGCACTCCAGCCTGGCAACAGAGCAAGACTCTGTCTCAAAAAAAAAAAAAAAAAAAAAAGAAAAAGAAAAAGAAAGAAAAGAAAATATGAAGAGTTCTGGAAGCACTGGGCCCACACTGTCATAGAACCAGTCTTCTGCTAGAGCCAAGTGAAATCATCCATCCTGTGGCCATATTCCCTCCACAGTCCCCACCACTCCCTATTACCACATACCATCATTGACAGCAGCAGTGTGTGCCTGCCTTGGGTTAAGAGTATACTTTGGAGCCAGGCCTGGTGGCTCACACTTGTAATCCCAGCACTTTGGGAGGCCAAGGTAGGCAGATCACCCAAGGTCAGAAGTTTGAGACCAGCCTGGCCAACATGGTGAAACCCTATCTCTACTAAAAATACACAAATTAGCCAGGCATGGTGGCATGTGCCTGTAATCCCAGCTACTTGGGAGGCTGAGACGGGAGAATCACTTGAACCCAGGAAGTAGAGGTTACAGTGAGCTTAGATGGCGCCACTGCACTCCAGTCTGGGCAACAGAGCAGGGCTCAGTCTCAAAAAAAAAAAAAAAAAAGAAAAGAAAAGAAAAGAAAAGAAAAAAAGAGTATACATTGGGCCAGGCACAGGGGCAGGGGCTCACACCTGTAATCCCAGCACTTTGGGAGGCCAGGGTGGGCAGATCACCTGAGGTCAGGAGGAGTTCCAGACCAATCTGGCTAACATAGCGAGACCCCATCTCTACTAAAAATACAAAAATTAGCCAGGTGTGGCAATGCACGCCTGCAATCTCAGCTACTTGGGAGGCTGAGGCAGGAGAATCATTTGAACCTTGGAGGCAGAGGTTGCAGTGAGCTGAGATCAAGACACTCTACTCCAGCCTGGGTGACAGAGTGAGACTGTGTTTCAGAAAAGAAAAAAGAGTATAGTTCGATTAAAATTGTGGTAAGAGGCCGGGCACGGTGGCTCATGCCTGTAATCCCAGCACCTTGGGAGGGTGAGGTGGGTGGATCACCTAAGGTCGAGAGTTTGAGACCAGCCAAGCCAACATGGAGAAACCCCATCTCTACTAAAAATACAAAAAAATTAGCTGGGCATGGTGGTGCATGCCTGTAATCCCAGCTACTCGGGAGGCTGAGGCAGGAGAATTGCTTGAACCTGGGAGGCAGAGGTTGCGGTGAGCTGAGATTGTGCCATTGCACTCCAGCCTGGGCAACAAGAGCGAAACTCCATCTCAAAAAAAAAAAAAAAACAAAGAAAGAAGAAAAAACAATTGTGATAAGAACAGGAAGCTTTAGAGACGAGCACAAGGGGACTGCTCTATACTAGGTTATGCAGGAAGAGTGTCCAGAAAAAGATGGTTGAGTAGAGCAGGGGAGATGATTAGGAGTTGGTGGGTAAAATGGGAAGGGGCTGAATCCCCCAAGTGAGAAGGAACAGCTAGCTTGACAACTGAGGCCAAGGCTGGGAATGAACCTAGGACTCCACAGTATACCTGAAACCATGAGTTCTTTAAAATGACATGAAACAAGAAATCCTGGGTGCTGGAATGCACGGCTTGTACTTGTTCCCCTGGGTCATCTGTAGAGCTATCTTCCTGAGGAAGGCTCTGATTCGCAGATTTACTCCCGAGGAGCAGAACTTTATGCTGCATAGGAAATAATCAAGAGTCAGCTGGGCACCCTCGCTGTGCCTTAAATTGTACTGAGCTCTGTGGAGTGACAAAGAAGTTCTACAAGCTATGGCCAGGGGCAGTGGCTCATGCCTGTAATCCCAGCACTTTGGGAAGCCAATGTGAGCAGATCATCTGAGGTCAGGAGTTCGAGACCAGCCTGACCAACATGGTGAAACACTGTCGCCACTAAAAATACAAAAAAAAAAAAAAAAATTAGCTGAGTGTGGTGGTGCATGCCTGTAATCTTAGCTACTTGGGAGGCTGAGGCAGGAGAATCGCTTGAGCCCAGGAGTTGCGGCTGCAATGAGCTCAGATGATGCCATTGCACTATAACCTGGGCAACAGAGCAAGACTCTGTCTCTAAAAAAAAATGAATAAATTCTCCTGAGCAGTCTAGGGGAAAAAGAACAGAACACATGTGGTACATACCATAGTTGTTCAATGAATCCTTCTGTAAAATGATGTCTGATCTGGCCCTTATCAACCCAGCAAACCCAACTTCCTCCATTCCCACCTGCCCTGCCAGCGTCCTCTCTGCTCCTCCACATGACAAACTTGAGCAAACTCTTCCCTTTGTCCTGACATCTGCCTGGACCACTTTTCCAGAATCCTTTTCCTGCCTATGACTTTGTCCTCCATTCCTGCTCCTTGCCAAAATGGCATACAGTAGATACTCAGTATGTTGTTGAATGGATGGATGAGTGGGTGGGAGGGTGGATGGGTGGGTGGGTAGATGGATGGATGGGTTAGTGGGTGGGTGGATGGATGAATGGATGGATGGATGGGTGGATGGTTGGATGGATGGGTGTGTGGGTGGGTGGGTGGTTGAGTGGATTTTTGTTGTCGTTGTTGTTTTGAGACAGAGTCTTGCTGTGTCGCCCAGGCTGGAGTGCAGGGGCACTATGTCAGCTCACTGCAAGCTCTGCCTCCCAGGTTCAAGTGATTCTCACTCCTCAGCCTCCTGAGTAGCTGGGACTACAGGTGCATGCCATCACGCCTGCCTAATTTTCGTATTTGTATTTATTATTTGTTTATTTATTTATTCTTTTTTTGAGATGGAGTCTCTGTTGCCCAGGCTGGAGTGCAATGGCGTGATCTCGGCTCACTGCAACCTCCACCTCCTGGGTTCAAGAGATTCTCCTGCCTCAGCCTCCTGAGTAGCTGGGATTACAGGCACACGCCAACACACCCAACTAATTTTTGTACTTTTAGTAGAGATGAGGTTTCACCATGTTGGCCAGGCTGGTCTCAAATTCCTGACCTCAGATGATTCACCTGTCTCGGCCTCCCAAAATGCTGGGATTATAGGACTGAGCCATTGTGCCAGGCCTGTATTTTTATTTTTTAATTATTATTATTTTTGAGATGGAGTCTCACTCTGTCACCCACTGGAGTGCAATGGCACAATCTCAGCTCACTGCAGCCTCCGCCTCCAGGGTTCAAGCAATTCTCCTGCCTCAGCCTCCCAAGTAGCTGGGATTACAGGCACCCACCACCATGCTTCGCTAATTTTTGTATTTTTAGTAGAGACAGGGTTTCACCTTGTTGGCCAGGGTGGTCTTGAACTCCTGACCTCAGGTGA
This sequence comes from Homo sapiens, assembly GCF_000001405.40. Classification (NCBI taxonomy): domain Eukaryota; kingdom Metazoa; phylum Chordata; class Mammalia; order Primates; family Hominidae; genus Homo; species Homo sapiens. Next base: position 56,529,294 of record NC_000020.11, on the reverse strand, counting down.
TCCGCCTACCTTGGCCTCCCAAAGTGCTGGGATTACAGGTGTGAGCCACCACACCCAGCCTAAGAATAATTTGTTTTCTTTTTTTTTGAAATACGGTCTCACTCTGTCACTTAGGCTGTAGTGCAATGGCACAATATTGGCTCACTGCAAACTCCGCCTCCTGGGTTCAAGCGATTCTCCTGCCTCAGCCTCCCAAGTAGCTGGGATTACAGGCAGGCACCACTGCACCCGGCTAATTTTGTATTTTTAGTAGAGACAGAGTTTCACCATGTTGGCCAGGTTGGTCTCAAACTCCTGACCTCAGGTGATTCACCCACCTCGGCCTCCCAGAGTGCTGGGATTACAGGTGTGAGCCACCATGCCGGGTCTTCTTTTGGGTTTTAATGGCAGCTTCATTAAACAGGGATGATACACAATCATGAAGAAATGTGATTGGGCCAAAAATTAATATGCTCTCATATTAACAGACTGATTGGGGAACCCATCAGGGCCTGTCCAGATTCCTCTTGGTCTCTCTGTGCAGCTTTCCTTGCTCTAGGGTATGCGGCATGACCCTCTCGAATGAGGTCTTTGGGCTCCCAATCTGATTAGAGTCCTACCTTGGGCAGGGAAAGGAGGACAGAAAGTCAGAGAGAGAGATTCTGTTTCCCTAGGACTACTCCTAAGGACTAAAGCACCCCAACTTTTTTTTTTGGACACAAGGTCTGGCTCTGTCACCCAGGCTGGAATGCAGTGGTGCAATCATAGCTCACTGCAACCTCCACCTCCTGGGCTCAGGGGATCCTCCCACCTCAACCTCCTGAGTAGCTGGGACTACAGGTGCATGCAACCATGCCCGGCTAATTTTTTTTTTTTTTTTTTTTTTTTGTAGAGAGGGTTTTGCCATGTTGTGCAGGGTGGTCTTGAACCTCTGGGCTCAAGTGATCTGCCTTCCCCAATTTCCCATAGTGCTAAGATTACAAGTGAGAATCATTTTGCCCAGCCCCCAAACATTATTTTTATTTTTATTTTGAAGACAGGGTCTCACGCCACCACCCAGGCTGTAGCACTACGGTGCAATCATGGCTCACTGCAGCCTCGACCTCCCAGACCCAAAAGATGCTCCTACCTTAGCCTCCCAAGTAGCTGGGACCACAGGTGCACAGCACCGCACCTGGGTAACCATTCTTTTTATTTATTTATTTTTTTGAGACAGAGTCTAGCTCTGTTGCCCAGGCTGGAGTGCAGTGGTGCAATCTCAGCTCACTGCCACCTCCACCTCCTGGGTTCAAGTGATTCTCCTGCCTCAGCCTCCTGAGTAGCTGGGATTACAGGTGTCTTCCACCATGCCCAGCTAATTTTTGTATTTTTGATAGAGACGGGTTTTCACCATGTTGGCCAGGCTGGTCTTGAACTCCTGACCTCAGGTGATCTGTCCACCTTGGCCTCCCAAAGTGCTGGGATTACAGACATAAGCCACCATGCCCAGCCACCATATTCTTCCCGGGAAGATGCTGCCCACCCTTCAGGGCCCGGGGTTGGGACCCTTGAGGGACGCCTATGCCTTCGAGGCAGGGCCTCCTTCCCCTGAGGCCCCAGGCATCTGGGCTGCTGTCTGCCCTGCCTCCCTCTCCTGCTTCTGCTGCAGCCGCAGAAGCCATGGCCTCCTGCCTCATGGTCTTGGTCTTCCTTGCGCCCTGGGTGACTTTGATGCTTGTGAGGGTGACAGCACTGGTCAACTGGGTACCGGCCCCAGAGATGCCTATGCACTCATTCCTGGGACCTGTGGGCCTGCAGTTCATGTGGCAAGAGACATTTTGCAGATGAATTAAATGAAGGATTTTAAGATAAGTCATGATCCTGGCTGCAGGAGGGCAGGTCACCATTCTCCAAGAAAGGGAACCTGGCCCCTTGGGGAAGTGGCTGATTCCAGGATGAAGGCAGGCAATGAACCAGATGAGCATGGAGCATCTTGGGTTGCCAGAAAGTAAGGAATTGCTCAAAAGAGGAAGGGGCTTGCTCACAGAACACAAGTGCCAACCCGAAGCAGCTCCTAACGCCAAAGGTGGGAAAGGTGGAGCCAGAAAATAATCCAAAAAAAAAAACACACCTGTAAGTCCATACAGAAACCCATCCATCAATCATCGGCGAAGGAACAGCTCTTCTTACAGCAGAATTCCAATCAATAAACACTGTAGGAGAGAGGAAAATAGAAATCACCATTAGGCAAGCACCTAAGTATGTACAGAGATGCCATCAGCCACAGTAACATGTAAAATATCCACATTTTGAATAAGTAGGATAAAGAACATGTCAATTAATCTGGGAGCCCCTGGTTAGCACACTTGTATCCAAAACTCCAATGGCATAGGATGAATGAATTTTTCTCCGTTTTCTTGTTAATTTAAAATAATAGAGATGGGGTCTCACTATGTAGCCCAGGGTGGTTTCAAACTCCTAGGCTCAATCAGTCCTCCTGCCTCGGCCTCCCAATGGGCTAAGATTACAGGTGTGAGCCACCATGCCGGGCCTCTCCTTTTTGTTTTTTTCTTTTGAGATGGAGTCTCGCTCTGTCACCCAGGCTGGAGTGCAGCGGTGCGATCTCAATGCAACCTCTGCCTCCCGGGTTTGAGCGATTCTCCTGCCTCATCCCCCTTTTTTTTTTTTTAAATCCAATTATTGACAAATGTAACTGCTAGTGTGGTAGAAGGAAAAGTCAATATACACGGAACCTTTGACAGGGAATGAGTGAAAGGACTCTTGTGGTGAGAGAATCAGATAACTCTAGAATACACCCCTCCTAATTGAATCATTTTACCATTTTAAAACTATCATTAATGCTGTCTTTTGTAATAAATCAAAGATAAAAAGCAGTTCTGCATCTTGCACAAATAGATGCTATAGAGAGCAAGAGTTTGTATGGAAGTGACGTCAGCATCTTATCCCAGATTTCCCTAGCTCCATCGTCCACCCGCGGCCATTGAACAGAAGCACGAGCTCATCACGTACTATTATGTAGCTTTCGGTGTTCTTCTCACCACCCACAGCTCTAGATGACGTGAGAGAGGCAAAAACAAAACCATCACTGCTATGGCTACTGGTCTCCCATTCACTTTTTCTTCTAGTGAAAAAAAGAAAAGAAGCAAGCTCTCAAACATGGAAGTTCTTTTCTTCAGAATAGTTTTATTAGTTTGCATACAGTTTGTCAACACTCAACTTTTTTCTCTCCTGACACACAAATCCATTCAGCTAGAGCTTTCTTCTCCCCATATTTCACAGATCGTGACATGGTATGGATCTGCAGGCATCTCTGACTTTCGAAGCCTGAGGTTACTGCCACTACCTGTTGCCATGGCACGTTTAAGATTCCGCACTTTGGACACAAATTTCATAAGCTCCACCTCGAGTTCCATTAAGGTATTGAATGCACAGTCTTTGTTGGGGGAAGCATTTCTTTTTTTCTTTAATGGAGAGTGAAGTTGGCCGCCTCGAAGGCCAGGAGGACTCTGCTCCTGTCAGGAAAGATACTCAAGGTCAGTAATATTGTGAACTTTGTTGGTTTTGACACAGTTCGTGTTACAACAGCAGACTTGAGTAGTTGCAAGAAGACCATACTGCCCACAAAGCTGAAGATATTCGCACCCTCCCTGGCCCTTTACGGGAAGGGTTTGCCGATCCCTGCTCTCATCAGTTTGGGCACAGGATTATGAAGTGCTGGGTCTTTCTAGGGGAGAACGCACTTTCTCTCCCCTTCCTTTTCTACCTGAAAGAGTTGTTTGTGGTCACTTTGAGGACCAGCTCAAACTACCTTACATCTTTATCTCTTCAGCACAAGTCTCATATTTTGTTGGGATAATGATATCATTTCCATTTAGCTCAGGATTTTGTAGTAAGTCAAACACTAGCAAGAATTTAAAAAACAGGGGCTAGTGAATCTGGCCCTGTGAATAATTTTGACTTTCTGAAACACACCATAAGTTCTTGAATCTATCCTACATTTGAAAAAATCCATCTAACCAGAAAATCTGTGAGCCAGTAAGCAGAGGTCACTTTCCACTCTTTGTCCCAGTATCTGTGGATCTGGGGACAATTGTCTTCACTAAGGATACATCAGGAAGTGAATTTGCCAGCTTTGCCCAGGACCATGAGGTCGGTTCATTATACCCAACGGTGCCGTCTAGACTCACTAGAACATCCGTTTCCCTGAGACTCCTGAGATTGAATCAATATGGTGTAAAAAAAATGGAGCCATCCTTACCTTATTCTTCTCACTGTCTCTTTGACACTGCAGTATCACAAACGGCACAACAACAAAAAGAAGCCAGAGCCATTTGCTCCCAAGCCAGCCTTGGGTGTGCTCTGGTAGATTCTGCCGAATCCGAAAGTGCTCTCCGTATTGCACCTTCCCCTGGGGTTCGCTAGTTTTCTGTCTCAGAGAAGAGAACATAAAGGCATAGCTGCAGGTGAGGCACAGAAGCAGGACCAGGGACGATTTCAGCGTCCACATGGTGAGCAGAGATGGGGAAGGGAGTTGCTCATGACGGGTTTGCTTGCCCTCGCAACTGGGAGACTGGGCACCTGGTGCCAGGCCCTTGGTGATGTCACAGAGGCCCTGAGCTGAGGCCACTCTGGCCATTGTGATGATTTCAGGACAGAGGTTACAGGTCACAGGGGTTGCCCGGGAGGAGGACTCAAAGGGAGATGGGGGCATTTCCAGCAGGCAGTCAGAGAGAGAGGATGGGCACGACGGGGTGCCAATTCCCTGCCAGGGGACTCTTTCCAACCCTGGAGCTTTGCTGGGAGAGGCCATCATGTTTTTGTTTTTCATTTGTTTGATCCAGACATTGTGATGAGCAGAGGGAGATGCCATGTGCCCCGTGGAGCTGAGTTAAACGGGAGAGAAAGATATTAAACCACAGGCTACCTACAAATTTGGAGCCACCTATGTGGCTCAAACTAAACAAACAAAAAATTTGTTTTTGTTTTTTTTTGGGGACGGAATTTTGCTCTTGTTGCCCAGACTGGAGTGCAATGATCTTAGCTCACCGCAACCTCCGCCTCCCAGTTCAAGCCATTCTCCTGCCTCAGCCTCCTGAGTAGCTGCGATTACAGGCATCCACCATCACGCTTGGCTAATTTTGTATTTTTAGTAGAGACAGGGTATCTCCATGTTGGTCAGGCTGGTCTCTAACTTCCGACCTTAGGTGATCCACCTGCCTCGGCCTCCTAAAGTGTTGGGATTACGGGCATGAGCCACTGCGCCCGGCCCACCTATGTGTTTTGTTTGGCCTACATTGTTTTTAAAAATTGTCAGTACTTAAATATTGGGGGGCATTTCACTTTAAAACTCCACATTCTGGCTTCCTTTGAAAATATGGGAGGTCCAGAAACAATGAGTGCACACCCTCATGGAACCAGTCTCTCTGCTGCAGCCAAGTGAAACCGTCCTTTCGGTGGCCATATTCCCTCCACAGTCCCCACCACTCACTATTACCTCACACCATCATTGATCGTAGCAGTGTGTGCCCACCCTGGGTTAAGAGTATACTTTGGGCTGGGTGTGGTGGCTCACACCTGTAGTCCCAGCACTTTGGGAGGCCAAGGCAGGTGGGTCACCTGAGGTCAGGAGCTGGAGAATAGCCTGGCCAACATGGTGAAACCCCATGTCTACTAAACAAAAATTAGCCCGGCATGGTGGCATAGGCCTGTAGGCCCAGCTAGTTGGGAAGCTGAGGCAGGAGAATCACTTGGACCTGGGAGGCAGAGGTTGCAGTGAGCTGAGATCGCACCACTGCACTCTAGCCTGGGCAACAGAGTGAGACTCCATCTCAGGAAGAAAAAAAAAAAGAGAGAGAGTATACTTTGATTAAAATTGTGATAAGAACAGGAAGCTTTAGAGACTAGCATAAGGGGACTGCTCTAAACTAGGTTATGCAGGAAGCAGGAAGAGTGTCCAGAAAAAGATGGTTGAGTAGAGCAGGGGAGATGATTAAGAGTTGGTGGGTAAAATGGGAAGGGGCTGAATCCCCCAAGTAAAAAGGAACAGCTAGCTTGACAACTGAGGCCAAGGCTGGGAATAAACCTAGGACTCCATAGTATACTCGAAACCATGTGTTCTTTAAAATGACATGAAACAAGAAATCCTGGGTGCTGGAACGCACGGCTTGTACTTGTTCCCCTGGGTCATCTGTAGAGCTATCTTCCTGAGGAAGGCTCTGATTTGCAGATTTACTCCCGAGGAGCAGAACTTTATGCTGCACAGGAAATAATCAAAGTTCAGCTGGGCACCTTCGCTGTGCCTTAAACTACTGATCTCTGTGGAGTGACAAAGTAGTTCTGCAAGACTATGGCCAGGGGCAGTGGCTCATGCCTGTAATCCCAGCACTTTGGGAGGCCAAGGCATGCAGATCACCTGAGGTCAAAGAGTTTGAGGCCAGCCTGACCAACATGGTGAAACCTTGTCTCCACTGAAAATAAAAACAAATTAGCCAGGTGTTTTGGTGCACACCTGTAATCTCAGCTACTCTGGAGCTGAGGCAGGAGAATCGCTTGAATCCAGGAGGCGGTGGTTGCAGTGAGCTGAGGTGGTGCCACTGCACTCCAGCCTGGGCAACAGAGTGAGACTCTCTCAAAAAAAAAAAAACCAAAAAATAGTTCTGCAAGACTACTCTAGAAAACCGAAAGGGGAAAACGCTGTTGGGCTGTGCTGCACAGCTTCTTCCTCCATGAGCATGGTGCAGTGTCGGCTGGGGAGTGGGGCTTCCTGCCAGAGACTGGGCACGATGGAGAGATGCAAATCTCCAGGTTGACCAGAAGACGGGCACTTCTCTTCTTGCAGGGGCCCACTCAGCTTGGCAGCTACTGCCTGGAATTACACCCACTGTAGAGGCAGCTGCCCTGATTTCCAGGGCCTTGGGCCACCCTGTGACCTCAGTTTGGAGGCCTGTCCTTGGCATCATGCGGCTCCCTGTCCCCAGTGTTCCCCATTCCAGCAGCTTTGAGGGATGGCTAATTATTTTCAGAGGCCCCCATGTCCATACACAGCCTGTGTCTTTTCTTTGAGATAGGGTCTTGCTGTGTCATCCAGACTGGAGTGCAGTGGAATGATCTTGGCTCACTGCAGCCTCGATAATTTTTGTTTTTTTTTTTGTTTTGTTTTTGGTAGAGACAGGGTCTGGATAATTTTTATTTCATTTTTGGTAGAGACAGGGTCTCCCTGTGTTGCCCAGGCTAGTCTCAAAACTCCTGGGCTCAAGCAGTCCTCCTGCCTCAGCCTCCCAAAGTGCTGGGACTGCAGACAGGAGCCACAGTGCTCAGTCAGCCCGTGTCTTAAGTCGGCTGGGAAGTTTGGTGGCTGTGGTGCGATGGAGCAGTAAGGGGCAAACAGACGTGGTTTACAGGAATGGCCCCAAACAACAGAAATGCTCACAAGTTTTGCCACATGTGATTTTGTTATTTGGAAATGTTCAGTCTTTAATAATGGGAATCACTTTTTCCTATATGTATTCAAAAGTCTACAGCACTCTCCAATAGAGCAGGACCAGTGGGTAAGCAGACCAGATCTTTGAGCCAAACTTGTCTGGGCTGTGGGGTGGGGCGGCACTTCTTTCATTCATTTTGGCACAGCTTTCATTTCATTTGTTGGAAATGAAGTGCTGTGGTGTTGCAGGAAGTCAGGGACCCCAAATGGAGGGACTGGATGAAGCCACGGCAGAAGAACATAAATTGTGAAGATTTCATGGACATTTATTCCTTCCCCAATCAATACTCTTATAATTTCCTATGCCCGTCTTTACTTGAATCTCTTAATTCCGTCGTCTTCGTAAGCTGAGGATGTATGTCGCCTCAGGACCCTGTGATGATTGCGTTATCTGTACAAATTGTTTGTAAAACGTGTTTGAACAATATGAAATCTGGGCATCCTAGAAGAACAGGATAACAGCAATTTTCAGGGAACAAGGGAGATAACCTTAAGGTCTGACTGCCTGCGGGGCCGGGCAGAACAGAGTCATATTTCTCTTCTTGCAAAAGCGAATAGGAGAAATATCGCTGAATTCTTTTTCTCAGCAAGGAACAGCCCTGGGAAAAGAATGCATTCTCAGGGGGAGGTCTCTAAAATGGCCGCTCTGGGAGTGTCTGTCTTATGCAGTTGTAGATAAGGGATGAAATACGCCCTGGTCTCCTGCAGCTCTCCCAGGCTTGCTAGGATTGGGAAATTCCAGCCTGGTGAAATTCTAGTCAGATCGGTTGTCTGTTCTTGAACCCTGTTTCCTGTTAAGATGTTTATCAATGACAATGCGTGCACAGTGGGACATGAAACCTCATCAGCAATTCTAATTTTGCCCTGGACTTTGATCTCGCTCTGCCCCCATTTGCCTTGTGATATTTTATTGCCTTTGAAGCATGTGATCTCTGTGACCCACAACCTATTCGTACACTCCCTCCCCTTTGAAAATTGCTAATAAAAGCTTGCTGGTTTTGCGGCTCGGGAGCAACACAGAACCTGCTGACGTGATGTCACCCCCAGAGACCCAGCTGTAAAATTTCTCTCTTTTGTACTCTTTCTCAGACCGGCCGATGCTTAGGGAAAAGAGAAAAGAACCTACATTGAAATATTGGGGGCTGGTTCCTCCGATACTGTGGGAAATTGAATAGATGCTATTTTGGAGAATTTCAACATCTTTTCAATTTTCTCCTCCCAGCTCCCTCCTTGGTGGAAAGCAGCTTGGGTCCTGGAGGTGGACGGAGGAGGAGGGAGAGCTAGGAGATGCCCCACTTTCCTCTTGGGCACAGCACCTGAACCCGTGGTCTCGGCGCCTGGGTGGGAGCCTGCCCCAGCCGCCACTGATTCCTTCATTTGGTACGGACTGAATGGGGAGAAGGTGCGGTGTGGCCAGGCAGAACTGTCATTCGCCTTGCTGCTTTGGGCCTCAGGCACCTCACCTATAAAGTGGGGGATGGCCATCTTCCCATTGCACTGGGTGGCTGGGGAGTCCCAGGGGAAGAAGCCTGTCAAGTGCTTGGCTGCTCAGTGAGCCCTAAAAATAATGCGAATGATCAGCCCTCCCCAGCCGTTGGTGTATTGAGGCCTCATGCCCAGCAGGAGCACAGATCATGGATACCTTCTTCCCTCAAGCTGGCCAGGAGCCTTGAAGAGTGGTGCCTTAGCAAAATATTAAAGGCTGGCTAGAAATCTCCAAGGAAACCCTGATCCCTCCTGCATGGATGGTCCTGAGGGCAGCTGGAGGGAGGCCCACAGCCTGTTTATTTCAGAGAGGCCCAAAGCAGAGGACTTTGAGATGCTGTAATTTTTGTGTTGAGGATGCTGTGACTCAGTTACCAGAAAAAACTGGACACAGTCAATACATTCAATGCAAAATAAAACTGATTCAGGCTAACATTCAGAAAACCGAACCTGGTAAAAATAATGGTCATTAAAAGAAAAGGGGGCCCAGGCAGCGTGGCTCACGCCTGTAATCCCAGCACTTTGGAAGGCCGAGGCGGGCAGATTGCTTGGTCCCAGAAGTTTAAGACCAGCCTGTGCAACATGGCGAAACCTCATCTCTACAAAAAATAGCAAAATTAGCCGGGTGCGGTAGTGCGCACCTATAATCCCAGCTACTCGGGAGGCTGAGGGGGGTGGATCACCTGAGCCCAGGAGGTCAAGGCTATGGTGAGCCATGATCATGCCACTGCACTCCAGCCTGGATGACAGAGTGAGACCCTGTTTCAAAATTTAAAAAAAAAAAAAAAAAAAAAGGGGGAAATAAAAACAATGAGAAAATGGTTGAGTTTGGCTGTATAGAAAATTGGGGAAATTAAATGGCTAATCCAGGTTTGTTCTGGAAAAGTCCATGACAAAAACGCATCACTTAATTTTTATTAAAATGCTCTATACTCACAATGTCAAAATATCCTTGGGGCCAAACCTTCCCATCAACTGTGAAGCCGGGAACCACACAGGGTTTGAGAAAAAGCAGGGCCACACATGGTTCTCCCTTGCTGGCCTCTCCCTGGAGTTCTGCCCACGTGTCTGTGTCTCCCACAGAACCTGCCTGTTCACCTCCCACCATTCACCTCCCACAGCTCCTTCTGCTTCTGAAGGAAACCCAGGGCCCCGGGGTCTGTATAGAGAACCAGTCACTATCTCAGTCATACCACCGTGTGCAGAAAGCCACGCAGAGGCCTGTGGCTCTTGGTTCTTCATTAGGAGTCTCATGAGAAGTTTCACTAGCTATTGACGTCAACACAACTTATAGGCAGATAAAATGCACCTCTTTTTGGGTACGATTCTCCCTTTACCATCTGCTGGAGGAGAGAAGGGTGGGTTCTTCTGACTTCATGGAATGACTCCTGTAATCACCAATGCAACGGCTGCAATGTTCTTACCCAAGCATGAGCAGAAGGTAGAAAAGATAAAAACACAGAGGAGAGAAGAGGCAGACCAGCTTTATTTTTGAACCCAATCACTGGGTGCCCAACTATGACTCTGCTATCTTCGAAATGATGAGATGGGGCACACTCCCCTAACAGTATTTAGCTAGACCAACAAGGATCCTGGCTCCTCCCAGGGCTGTAGCAGAGGGACGAGGCCCTTCGAAGCTTCTAGTGGGCACAGTGTATTTGAAATCCATCCTTTTTAAAGCCCAGTTTCACTTGGCCTACTTGATTTATTGCTGGTAGCAAGATCATTAGAATTTTAGTTAATTAATATGTGCCAACTCTGCACCGGTGAGGACTCTGGAGTCTCTTGTTACTGCAAGCATAAAAAGTGCAGCCCACAGGGCTTCCTGGCCATGGAAAGGACCAAATGCACCTGCAGGTGGAAGCAAGCATGACCTCGGGCCACTGTGCAGCCCCTCCCATGTCCCCCCTGGAACCGACACGCCTCACATCAAGAGTGGCCACACCAGCTTGAAGGCTGGCCAGGACAGCTTTATGACACAGAACTATAGAGAGAACACACAGCAGCGCACTCAGAGGCACAAAGCGACCTGCCTACGTGGAAACTAAACAACCTTCTGGGGCAGGAGCGGTGGCAGTGCGGGCTTCAGAAGCAGTAGGACGTGTGGGTGACCCAGTGGGCAGACTCCTCCTTGGAGCGCTTGGCGGAGCTGTGAGTGGTAAAGAGGGACTTGTAGGCCTCCGATTCTTCACTGTCAGCGATGGACCTCTTTGTGGCTCCACACGGAGGCTTCCCAGCTTTTCCAGAAGAGCTCTCATTCATTGCTAGAAAAATGAAGAGCCAAAACTGTCAGGGTTGGGATAAAGATGATTCTAAACTTCGCATCCTCAGAAGGGAAGCCCATCAGTCACTCTGTCCCAGACGTTCTCTTGCTGGCTGTGTGAGTGCTGGCGGACGTCATCTTAATTGCCAACTCCAGCAAAGCAGACACAGCACAACACATCTATCATTTACTGTCTTGCTCTGTCGCAGACACTGGTCCCAGCCCCGTGAATGACTTAGATTGTCCTGATGAGGCAGGGCCTGCGTTCCAGGGGAGGAAATGGGCACAGGAACCTGAGTGGCTGTCCCATGTAGAGCCGGGATGGGAGCCTGTCAGCCACCCTGGATGCTACTTAGAGCACAAGATCACACACTCTTAACAATGAATCTGTATTTTTCTTTTTGTGAAATAAATGGTATTTTCTTTGAGTTACAGAGAGTGAGTTTTAGGAGAAACTGATCCTTGGTCAAGAGGCAGCAGAGAGGGGACTCTGAGAGCCACACGTGGAGCCCATGAAAGCCCCAAGAGTAAAGAAACTGGGGGCATTCCCCGCAGGCCCTGAGCCACAGTCCATCTGACAGTCTCTGTGCAACATCTGAGCCAGTTCTCAGCGCAACCTCTTTTGCTTGGCACCAAGCACTTACTCGACAGGAATCTAAACAACCAGCATTTGTGCCCAGACCCCATCACTCCTGCCACGGCTCCTGATGAGGGTGTGTTCAATATTTCTTAGTTACCCCCCTAAAGAGAGTTCAGTGCACTCTCTAGAGACATGACATAGGACAGGCTTGGGCTTCCCATCCACCCACTCCAGTGAAACCTGGACTCGGCCACCTGGGTTTCCAGCCTTCTCGAAACAGCTCCCTGTAGCTACAACAGGACCCACCTGTGCTTTTGGGAGCCAAGTTGGTTTTCTTCTCTCTAGAATCAAGGCTGGCTTCTTCAGGCTTCCCTGTCTTAACTTTTGATGGCCCTGGGGCTTCTGTAAAAGAAACAAAGTAGGCAAAGCAAAAACAATGCAAAACAAAGCATGAACATATTAGCAGACTGCCCTAGAGTCGCATTTTGCTAAAATAAGGATCTCTTGAAGGATCTTACCTTCACTGACATCTGGTTTTGAAACAGACTCTGCTGCCTTGGGTTTCTTTGTTTTCTACAAAAAGATAGAGAATGTTGGAGGCTGTGCTCAGATTCACTCCACTTCAGCGTCAGTGTGGCTGCCCATTGTCCCGGGTGCCCTGTCTGACTGACCGATGCTAGTCACATGAGACAGACAGTCACTCTGAAGAAGGCTTTTGATGTTCCGTAACTCCTAAAGCCTTCACCCTCTGCATGTGACACCAGTCATGCACTTCTGCCTCACACAAAAATGTATCTGCACAGAGCTGCTCACTTTTATATTTACATCTCCCAAATCACATTTGCAAAAATTTAAATGAGGCTGACAGATTTCAGTAATAAGGGCCAATGTTGATGGTGACAACTGTATACAAAAGCGCACTTAAATGAGTAACACAGAGTATATATGGGTATGTGAAGTCCAGCCAGCATAAACACCAACTAAATCTTGCACATTCCACTAACTTTTTTTCAAAGCTGTCAAACTGCTTTGGTATTTGTTATTCAAGTGTAAGGCCTTGAAGTTTATATTAAAGACAGTTGAGCTAATTCTTCTAAACTCAAAACTACTCTTGTTAGATTTCCAGGCACTAGAATTCTGCTACTCATAATAGTTATTTTGATCAGCAATAATAAAACAAACCATTCTACGGTCACACAGCTGCGTTGGAATTGATTTAATCGCAGAAATGACAAGTAGGACTATGTTCATTTAATTTACTTTAAAATGTCAATTTCCTAAGCATCCAAAAGGTGGCACTAAAAATAGGCAGCCTGATTACTTCAGCCATCTCCCAGCACTGAGCATTAAAGAAAGACCTCTCAGGCCTTGAATTTCTAACATATACATGCAGTGTGATTTATAACAGAACATAAAGACCTTCTGTGCATTTCACACATGCAATGCAAGCATTCACATCTGTGAAAACTGATACTCGGTCCTTCAAACAAATAAGAGACAACTGTTTACTTCTAAGCCCTCCATTCACAGCTGAGGTTATTTGAAAAGCACAGGCAAGAAGGAGTTAGAGAGGAAATGTTATATCTTGCTTCCAGCTGCAAGTGTATTTGGGAAATATTTTGGTATCCTGGTAGCAGTAGCTATGAGGTATTCCCAGAAGCTCTGGAGAATATTTTGCAGAGAGGAGCATGTTAGTCCCACTGGGCTTTGAATTAACTTGGCAGGAAACCTGTGACAGAGAAAACTCACGAAAGCAAAATGGTCAAAGGGAATATGAACATTTCTAGTAGTTTCCTTTGAAATGCATTTTTTCCGTGTGTGTGTGTGTGTGTGTGTGTGTGTCTCTGTCTGAGACAGAATCTCACTGTGTGTGTGTGTGTGTGTGTGTGTGTGTGTGTGTGTGTGTGTCTCTCTCTCTCTCTCTCTCTCTCTGTCTGAGACAGAATCTCACTCTGTTGCCCAGGCTGAAGTGCAGTGGTACGATCTTGGCTCACTGCAACCTCCGCCTCCCAAGTTCAACCAATTCTTCCGCCTCAGCCTCTGGAGTACATGGGATTACTGGCGCACGCCACCACATCCAGCTAATTTTTGTATTTTTAGTAGAGATGGGGTTTCACCATGTTGGCCAGGCTGGTCTCGAACTCCTGACCTCAAGTGATCTGCTTGCCTCGGCCTCCCAAAGTGCTGGGATGAAAGGTGTGAGCCACGGCACCCGGCTGCCCTTTTGTGTTTTTTAAAACTGAGCTTGATCAATGGTAGCAATTAAGAACAGGGAGATGGCTTTTGGCAACTGTCCTTAGTTAAAAAGACCTCAAACTTAGTTTCCCTCTTTTTTTCTCTCTTACAATAATGAAATCATAGTAATTTAGAAAACCAACTTAGAATTAACACACTTTATATAAGATACACATGTATTTACTTTTCAACCTGAACACAGCATTTCAATGGCCAAGCGGCTTTTTTTTTTTTTTTAGAGGGAGTCTGTCAGGCTGGAGTGCAGAGGTGCGATCTCGGCTCACTGCAACCTCCGCCTTCCGGGTTCAAGTGATTCCCCTGCCTCAGTCTCCCCAGTAGCTGGCATTACAGGCACACGCCACCACGCCCGCCTACCAAGTGACTCTTTAAACAGTTGTTAGGAATGTTGTATTAACATCTTATAATATTGCTCCACGGAGTATTTCTACTCGCATCTGAATTCAGAGTTTGGGCACCGTTCCTTGAACTACAGAGCCATTTTCAGACATTATTTTCTACCTAAGTAAAACGATGAAGGGAGAAAATACAAATGCCTTTGGCTCTTTCTGATCATTCTGGATCCATGCATAATGGTAATACTGCTACCATGTGCTCAAGCCTCGGCTTTTTAAAGCCTCACAACCACGAATTACACATTATTCCAGGGTGATACGGTCCTGTCTTGTTATGATTTTTTAAAAACCCCAAACCTCTGAAAAATCTTCAGGTACTCCATCACTCTCGCCTCGGACTGGCACTGGTAAAATGCACACCCACGCGAGGGCAGGCGATTTGTTTCATAATTTTATGTCCTCAGCCTACTGGAGCTAATTTTCTAGTACTTCAAGCATTCTTTTGCCTTAGTTCTGATCACATAAAGTTTTCTCCCTAGCTTATCCTGAACCCAACTTTTTTTTTTTTTAAAGAATAAGAAATTTGCCACTCACGAAAGGCCTGTATTCCATAGCTATCATCTGTAAACATGAACAACATTTACTGCTGGATGGGGAATCACCAGCGCATGGAAGAACTCTTGGTGGATGCGTTGTCTGGAGCCTGCTCACTCCGCCACGTTACTCAGCAATGCTTTCCCTGTTTCTGGATACCACGCTCCCTTCTGAACGATGAAGCATGAAGCACCACGCTCCATAAAAGACCCTCCCTCTCCCCGTGGGAGGGCTCAGGAAGGTGAGGGATTTGGCCCCCATTTTTGGGAAGGCTACTCATTAGCTCCTTGTTATTCAAAGTGTGACCCTGAGGAGTTGCATCCACACGCCCTGGGAGTGGGTGAGACGCACAGGCACCCAGGCCCACCCAGGCCTGCTGGAGCCCAGACTGCCAGGGCCCTCCCGAGCACATTCCAATCTGGGCAGCAGGGGAGCCTTACATTTTGCTGGGATGATGGTGACTTTTCATTTTTCCTTTGTTTTACAAGCTATGAGACCTGAGTATGTACTGCCTTAAATCAACAGCAACAGTAAGTGACAGCAGCAGCAACGGTGGTGGCTGCCCTTCCCCAAGGGCTTGCTGAGGCCGTGTCAGTGTCAGTGCTTTATGGCCATGGTCTCTGGAGCCTGCTGACAGCTCCGTGCCCTCGCATGCTGTCACTACCCCACTTCACTGATGAGAAAGCTCGGCGGGGAAGAGCAGAGCCGCCGTGCTCACCACAGCAAGGCAGTGCCTGGGCCTCAGCTGGAATCTGCTTCTACAGTCCAGGCCCTTCTAGGTTATAAAAATCGCCTTGATCATGCAAACCCCTAAGCAGCTGCCAGCTCAGTTCAGTGATTTGCAGTCGGCTCTGGAGCAGAGATGGGGGCTGGGCGGAACCTGAAGACTCCCATTACCTTTTCCAGCTTCGCTCTCAGCCTTCTCTCCTCCATCCTTGTCTTCAGCACGTCCACATCCTCCTTGGTGCCATTGAGCATGATGACATCATCCTCCTGGAAGGCAGCCCCACACTGGAGAGGGCAAACAAGAGAGGGCAGATTCCATCACCAGTCAATGGGGAGGCCACGCTTCAGTCCCCCACTCTCAGCCCCAAGCAGTGGCCCCCAGGCTCCGAGTAAATTCCTATTACCGGCTTTCTGGTCAAAGCCTTGGTTTGGAAAGTTCCCGCACACAGCAAAGTGTCAGCGTAGCAGGTTAAGAGTGCTATCACTTGCAAGGCTGGTGCCTGGATGGTGTCTGGGAACTTGGATTTTGGGAGGGTTCCCGCCATTTTTTAACTGACAAGAGTAGCTTGGCTCACCGTGCCTAGACCCTTTTGTATGAACAACGTGGTCTATGCTGACACCTACCTGCTTATGGGAGTGTGGAATTCTGGAACATGCTGGGCCGAGGGTATAAAGCCAGCCCTCAGCCAAAACTCTGGGTACTGAGTCTCTCATTTGCTTCCCTGGGCAAAAACATCACACGTGTTGCAGTTTCGTTGCGGGGGGAAGTATTCACTTCGTACAACCCCTTGAGGGAGGGAGTGCGCGTAAGGAAGCCCCACGTGGATTCCTCCAGACTCTGCTACATGCGCCTTTTCCCTTAACACCCAGCTGTGCATCCATACCACGCTGCTGCAGTGAATGTTAGTTGAATACAACCATATGCTAAGTCTCAAGTCTTTCAGAAAACCCCCAAGCATGACGGCAGCCTTGGGGGCGCCCAACACACCCCGGCAGAACAAGACTGCGAGCAGGGTCTAGACCATCCTGACAGTGTTGTGGTGGTAGAAACGCACACATACACACCAAAGGCATGCCCACACTCACAGAGCTGTCAGTGAGTGAGCCACCTCTGCAGAGGCTCCCTGTGACCATGCTGTCACTGGTGGGATCCCAGCACTCTTTCTGTGTTGGCTCCATGGCACTAATCATGACCTGGAGTCTTGTCTTCATCACTTTGTCTATGTTGTTTTCTTCCCTGCTGTGGCCCCAGCAGCTACCCAGTGCCTAGCACAGCAGAGGTGCTCACGGCTGGGGACAGGAAAAACAGGGAAAAAAAGAGAACGAGGAGTGGAGGTTCCCAGTCCTGCATTTTGAATTGAGATTTCTGCCACCATCTGTCTAGGCCACCTGGCTCAGGCCACACCACTTCTCTGGGCCTCAGTTTCCTCAGCTGCAAAAATGAGGGGTCTAAGACTGGGCGCGGTGGCTTATGCCTATGATCCCAGCACTTTGGGAGGTCGAGGTGGGCGGATCACCATTTGAGGTCAGGAGTTCGAGACCAGCCTGACCAATATGGTGAAACCCCGTCTCTGCTAAAAATACAAAAACTGTGTATGGTGGTGCTGGGTGTGGTGGTACATGCCTGTAGTCCCAGCTACTCGGGAGGCTGAGGTGAGAGAATCGCTTGAACCCGAGAGGCAGGGGTTATGGTGAGCCGAGATCGTGCCACTGCACTCCAGCCTGGGCGACAGAGCGAGACTCCGTCTCAAAAAAAAAAGAGGGGTCTAACCCAAGTGCAGTGGCTCTCTAACCACTTGGGGTCTAACGCAAGTGCAGTGGTTGATCCTGCTCCCTAGTGGACATTCGGCGATGTCTGGAGACATTTTTAGCTGTCACATCTGGGGTGCAGGTGCTATTGGCATCTTGTGGGTAGAGGCCAGGGATGCAGCAAGCATCATACAGTACACAGGATGGCCCCCCCACAGAGAGTTACCCAGCCAAGATGCCCCTGTGCTGAGGTTGAGAAGCCCTGGACTAGGGTTATAAACACCTAAATGTAAAAAAGGAAAGAAGAATAATTTATAGGAAAATGTGTTTTATAACTAGGGTAGGAAATGTCATCTAAAACAGTAGTTCCCAACCTTTTTTGCACCTGGGGCCAGTCTCATGGAAGACAATCTTTCCATAGATGGTTGGGGGAAGGTTTTGGGATGAAACTGTTCCACCTCAGATCATCAGGCATTAGAGTCTCATAAGCAGCACGCAACCTAGATCCCTCACGTGCGCAGTTCACAACAGGGTTTGTGCTCCTAAGAGAATCTAATGCCGCTGATGGAGCTCTGGCACTAATGTTCTCTCGCCTGTGGCTCACCTCCTGCTGTGTGGCCCGGTTCCTAAGAGGCCACGGACTGTCACCGGTATGGGGGTTGGGGACCTGTGATCTAAAGCTTTAAAACTTATTTTAAATAATTTTTATTTAAACTTTAAAAACTTATTTTAAAAAAATAAGTTTTACCATGTAAAAATTACAAACTTTTACATGACAATGTCACAACAACAACAAAAAACAATAAGCCAAAGGCTAAGTGAAATATTCATAGCATATATAACATTCAAAGGATTCATTTATGGAACATACTCATAGTCATGTAAACTTTTTTTCTTTGAGACAGGGTCTCACTCAGTCACCCAGGCTGGAGTGCAGTGGTGCCATCATGGCTCAGTGCAGCCTCCACCTCCCAGGCTCAAGCCATCCTCCCACCTCATCCTCCTACCTCATCCTCCTGAGTAGCTAGGGCTATAGGTGTGCGCCACCATGCCTGGCTAATTTTTGTATTTTTTGTAGAGACAGGGTTTTGCCATGTTGTTCAGGCTGGTCTTGAACTTCTGGGCTCAGGTAATCCACCCGCCTCAACCTCCCAAAGTGTTGGGATTACAGGCGTGAGCCACCATGCCTAGCCTCAGTTTAAAGATTTCATTGATTTTACCCTGAAGCTGGTAGGCCCTGTGTTAAGACATAGTCTCTGCCCCCTATGAGTTGGGTGGCAAGTTTTTAAAAATAAAAAATGGAGCAGTGAGCTTACTATTATCATCTTGTCTATGAAACTTCTGTCTTCCCCTGCCTGAGGAAGTCTCTTCAAACTTTTATTTACTCTGTAGCTAACTCTTAGAAGAGCATTCTGGGTTTCTGTTTTACATCTTCTGATCTCCCAAACCTTTTTTTAGGGGTGGGGGAAGCAGAAATCATGTTCTATCTCTTAGCTCACAGCACAATGCTCAGGACACAGAATGCTAAGAGCCGGCTCTAAAAGGAACAGCTTCAGCACCACGTGCATTTGCTACCTAACTCGCCTTTTTAAAAAACAGGTTTTCTGAAATCTCATTTACATAACATAATGAAGTATAGAGTTCAATGGCTTTTAGTATATTTAGAGTTGTGCAACCATCACCATAATCTAATTTTAGCATATTTTTATCACTTCCAACAGAAATCCCATACCCACTGGCACTCACTCCATTCCCCTTTCCTCAGTCTTAGGCAACCATTAATCTACTTTCCATCCTACAAATTTGCCTCTTCTGGACATTTCTATAAATGAAATCATACAATATACATGTTTTTTTTTTTTGTGACTGGATTTTAGCATAATGTTTTAAAGATTTATCCATGTTATAGTATGGATCAGAACTACATTTCTTCTTATTGCCAAATAAAGTTTCATCTATGAATCAGCTGACAGAGTTGTTTCCACTTTCAGACTAAGAAATTCACATGGAAGTCTTTTGTGGACAGTTGTTTTCATTTCTGTTGGGTAGATACCTAGGATTGGGATGACTGGCCATAAGTTAACTTTATGTTTAACCTTTGGAGGAACTGCCTCTCCTCAAATGATGAACTTCCAAAGAGGCTGCACCATTTTACATTGCCACCAGCAATGCCTGAGGATTCTCATTTCTCCACATCCTTCCCAACACCTGTCATCGTTTTTCTTTTTTTTTTTTTTTTGAGATGGGATCTCGCTTTGTCGCCAGGCTGCAGTCCAGTGGCATGATCTCGGCTCACTGCAACCTCCACCTCCTGGGTTCAAGCGATTCTCCTGCTTCAGCCTCCTGGGTAGCTGGGATTACAGGCCCCCGCCATCATGCCCAGCTAATTTTTGTATTTTTAGTAGAGATGGCATTTCAACCATGTTGGCCAGGCTGGTCTTGAACTCCCGACCTCAGGTGATCCACCTGCCTCCCAAAGTGCTGGGATTACAGGTGTGAGCCACTGCAACCAGCCCATTTTTCCTTTTAGTTATAACCATCCTAATGGGAGTGAAGTGCTGTCTCATTGTGGTTTTAATTTGCATTTCCCAAATGACCAGAGATGTTAAGCATCTTTTCACGTGCTAACTGACCATCTGTATACCTTCTCTGGAGAAATGTCTGCTTAAATCCCTGGTCCATTTCTTAATTGTATTATTTGTCTCTTTGATGTTGCGTTCTAAGAGGTCTTTATACAGCATATTCTGGATATAAGTTCTGTCTTAGTCCAAGACTGTTATGACAAAATATCTTACACTGGATAATTACAAAAGTTTTTTATTTTGATGAAATTGGACTTAGCAATTTTCTCTCTTACTGCTACGTTTTTGGTGTCATATTTAGTAAGTCATCGCCTAACCCAAGATTGTGATTTACTCCTGCGTTTCTCCTAAGTGGTTTGTAACTAAAACTTACAGATTTAGGTCTGTGATCACTTTGAGTTTATTTTTACATTCAATGTAAGGTAAGGGTCCAAATTCATTCTTCTGCATGTGGATATCCAGTTACCCCACACTATTTGTTGAAAAAACTATTCTTTCCCCCATCGAATTGACTTGGCCCTTTTGTCAAAAATCAATGACCATACATGTGAGGGTTTATTTCCGGACTCCCTATTTTATTCCATTGATGTATATGCCCGTTCTCATGCCAGCACCACACTATCTTGATTAGTGTAGGTAACATGACTTCAAAGAGTCACATATTGAGTGGATCAACCAAAATTTATCTTTCTAATA
The DNA here is from genome assembly GCF_000001405.40 of Homo sapiens. Taxonomy (NCBI): domain Eukaryota; kingdom Metazoa; phylum Chordata; class Mammalia; order Primates; family Hominidae; genus Homo; species Homo sapiens. The sequence continues at coordinate 56,508,572 of NC_000020.11, read as the reverse complement.
TCTATGAAAAACTCTATTAAATGTTATAGTCATAGATGTTTAAAAGTATGCCAGATAAGGTCTGTTATTAACTAAAATATTTAGTTACTCCATAAGACACTGCCTTTGAAAAACATAAAGGCAGGCAACCAAATAATAACAAAATTCTTTCAACAACTGGAACAGTAATTTTAACAGACCTACTGTGCCCAGAGCAATAACAGACATACTATGCCCGGAATCTCTTTTGTAGAAAACATTATCAGCACAAGAAAAGCCATAAAAGTACTTTTTTTTTCCTGAAGTTGCCAAAGATTTTCCAGAATCTCCCAAATGCACAGAAGATACCAACAAGCATTTGCTGACTCTCCTCAGCCCCTGCCTTAGCTGGGTTATTTAATGTGGTTCTTGTCTCCAACAGTGATTTTCAGGTTAAGATCAGCTTTTTTTCTAGGGTGGGTCTGGTAAATTTTCGTGACTGAAGATACCTTTTTGACCCACAAATCCCTGAGGGTGGTGCCATAGAGAAGTTATATGAATGACTGAAGCACGTGCCCAATCTAGCATTTAACTGGTACAACCCTTGAAGAAAAGGAGCTTGTTTTTAGCCATCACTGTAGAGAGCTGGGCCTACAGGAGGAGGGACAGCCTGCTCTGCTAGAGGAGGTTCCCTGGGAAGTCTCACGCTATGGGAGGTCTGAGTAGAGCTTTCCCTTGGCTCTGGAAGATGGTCTCTTCCTTGGAATGAAAAAGAATCTGCAGGAACAGAACCAGGTGGTAGTTAAGGCCCAGTGGGGCCTGGAGCTGTGGCTATGACGTAAAGGGCCCAGGGGTGGGGAGGAACCCAGCGTCTGCTCCCTGTGGGTGCTGCCCCCACCTTTCTTTTTCTCTCCTCCTGGGTTTCTGCTGCTGCTTCTTTCTATCACTCCTTGCTGCCCCTCCTTCCGACAGTGTTGGGGTAAGCGGTCTCCTTCCTCTAGATCAGACTGTTCAGAGGACATGGACCTTATTCTGCATACAGTTGTGTTGTGTTGTGCCCAGACTTATTGTACTTTTAAAGTTGAATTGGCCACTGACAATAAGAAGTCAGGAACCCCTCACATTAGAAATTGAGTAATCTTGCTCTTTCTCTCGAAAATTCAAAAGATCCATTAACACCAAACCCACACCCTCAAGGGCCTCAATGGCTTGAACCTTGGTAGGAATTGCCCCTGGAGACTGGGCAGAGTCCTCCCAACTGCTAGGGGCCCCATCACTCGTTCTGGGTAGGTGCTTGACCCGAGAGACCTGAGTGCAGTGGTTCATCCCTGAAGGATGAGGGAAAACAAGGGTAGGGGCTACTGCGGAGATGGGGAGTGGGGCTGCCGCAAAGTCACAGCTGGTCCACAGGGACCTGCTCCCCACCTCTTTAGTAAATAATATGTATTATACCAACAGAAAATCACCCATATCTTCCTGCTAATGCATTTTTCTTGAGTACTGCTATTGTACGGTAGAAATTATACATCCATTTAAAACTGTATCTTCATCCTTTTTATCGCTTGAAACTCAGATGTCCAAAGAATGGGTGAAATGGTTAAAAAAATCATAATACGGCCAGGCGCGGTGGCTCACGCCTGTAATCCCAGTACTTTGGAAGGCCGAGGCGGGCGGATCACGAGGTCAAGAGATCGAGACCATCCTGGCTAACATGGTGAAACCCCGTCTCTACTAAAAATACAAAAAATTAGTCGGGCATGGTGGTGGGCGCCTGTAGTCTCAGCTGATCGGGAGGCTGAGGCAGGAGAATGGCGTGAAGCTGGGAGGCGGAGCTTGCAGTGAGCCGAGATCGTGCCACTGCACTCCAGCCTGGGCGACAGAGCGAGACTCTCTCTCTCAAAAAAAAAAATTATAATACATTCCCAAAAAGGAAGATTATATGGTTAGAGTTTGGGGCAATGTAGAAAATGCTTATCATAAGTTAAACGAAAAAGCAAACTAGTAATTGTATATTTATATTCATATGCCCTCTGGATGCTTTTTTAAAGTATTTTTAAAAAGGCCAGTAGGGGAAGTGCCAAGAGGGGAACAGTGGTCAAATTAGGAGCAATATGCTAATGTATCTAGATATTTATATCACTTTAACAAATGGAACAGTGGCTTCCCAATCTTTGTGCTTACAATAATATTAGCAATGAACAGCTGACTGCATGCATCTCTGACCTAGGAATTCCACTTCCGAGACATGGTCATTCTCTTATCACGGAATCCTGTTTTTGTTTCCTGTGCAGTACCCCATGGCTTAGAGTAAATGAGTGTATGTCTGCATGTTTGTACTGACTTTTGAAACAGTGTGTTTCCTCCACTACACTGTTAGCCCCAAGCAGGAAGCATTTTGTCTTCATGTTCCATGGCGGGAGGAGCCTAGGGTTCTGCCCACATTGGACACAGTGAATAACTGCTGAATGAATGAATAAGAACAGAGCCTAAGGAAATATTTCAAAGTAGTATAAAAGGAGATGAGATTTTAAAGCCAAGCAGTTCTCCCAAAAGCTTGCATGAAAATATACATCCCCATACGTGACGGTGCCCATCACGTCGTATGTTTTGAAGGAAAACTTATGCTAATCTGAATGGCAAGGGAGATAGCTCCTTTTTGGCTTGGATTAAGAAACATAAAAAAACCCCACTGTATTCACGACACCTGTTTTGTAAATTATATCGTATGTCCTTTTATTTATTAGGGATTTCATTTTTTAAATGTTTTAGTCAATCTGTATAAGAGGTTTATACATAAAGCCGATTTACCCTTTGTCCATTTATTACCAATAGAAATGGGTGGCTCAGCTCGTCTAGTATGTTTGCTTCTTGTGTTGGCATTTCCCGCAGCAATGTGGAAGTGTAACGTTTAATGTGGGCAACACTCCCCAGCATTTCCTCAGTTGCTTCTTCCACTGCTATTTGGCTTAGAATGGCTTCCTCCTTCCAGATGTAGAATGTGAGACAAGAAGTGAAACCCAGCACCAACCCTCGACCCCCAGGAATGGGCCAGTGTGAGCAGATCTGCCGTCTAGTCCAGGTGCACCCACAGGGCAAATATTATTATTATTATTATTATTATTATTATGAGATGGCATCTCACTCTGTTGCCCAGACTGCAGTGCAGTGGCATGATCCTAGCTCACTGTAACCTCAAATTCCTGGACTCGAGCAATCCTCCCACCTTAGCCTCCTAAGTAGCTAGGACTACAGGTGCGCACCACCATATCCGGCTAATTTTTAAGAATTTTTTGTAGAGACGGGGTCTTGCTATGTTTCCAGGCTGGTCTCAAACTCCAAGCCTCAAGCAATCTTCCCACCTCAGCCTCTCAAAGTGCTGGGATTACAGATATGAGCCACTGCACCCAGCAAGGACATGTTTCAAAACAAGCATTCAAGATGCAGGGGAAGAGAGGCACAGCAAGACCTCACAAGCTGGCAATGTGACTCTCCCACACATAAAAGGACCTAACCTTTTCTGATTCTTGCTAGATCAAATCAGAACCTTAACTCACGGACTCTGAACATCACACAAACAAAATGTATGGGGTCTCCCCACTGGAAGGCCACATGAATGCCACAACCCCTGAAGATTATGGGGACTACATTCTGTCTGCTCAGTGTTTTTCTAATACTCTGTGCTTTGGCAACAGCAACATCTGTTCTGCAAAAAAGCAGCATGTGTCTCAGAGGCACCCCATGAGCAGGTGAAGAGAATCTGTATTCATCTGACCACACATCCCGCTTAGGCGTCAAGGCACATAGAAGATAAGAAATCTCTACGGTGTGTGATCTATGTCTCTTGGTGCCGATATTCTTAATAGAGCTGTCTGTGGCAAGCCTGCAGAGAGTACCAGCAAGCAGAGAACCTTTAAAACCAGAAAAGGAAAGGATGTTAAGAAAAGTACCCAGAGGTGGAGAAAGAAGGGAAGAGGAAAGCCTAGCGAAGGGGTGCAGTCAGACCCCACCTTCACCACATGCTATGGCGCAGACTCACCCTTGGGGGCGACACAGAGCACAGAGAAGGCTCAGCCCCTGCCTTGTAAAATGTCTGGATTTTTTTGAATGCTATTTATGGAGAAACAGGATTTTTAAGTGACTTTTATTTATCTCCTTAATGAGAGAGGGTCTGATAACTAAATCATGCCTCCTGTATTTAAAATAATTTCAAGACGCTGACCCATGAATGCCACGATTTCATCCTGCAGTTTTCTCAATGTGAGTGACTGTGCGCCCTTCATCTGGGTCAGGCGTCTTCTGTTGTCTCATTTTGTTTTTCAGGAAGGATCTGGTCCCAAGGAAATACTCAGAGAAGCAAAAGCAGCAACTTTTCAATCTGCAGGTCAGAACCAACAGGAATAAAACTCTCCAGGGACAGATGGCAACAAAACCTGCCAAGCAACTCTACTCAAGTGACTGAAGCAGGCGCCGCTGCCGGGGAGGAACCGATGGGAGAGAAAGGCCAGGCTGGGCCCTGACACCGCCAGGACTCCCCCTCCAGGAACCAGGGGGCTTCTCCTGGTAAGCGTCTCAATAGCTATGCAGGACCCACCAATGGCAAAGGTTAAGCAGGTATATGTGCATGTGCGTGTGTGTGCGTGTGTGTGTGTGTCAGGGTCTCACTTTGTCACCCAGGCTGGAGTGTGGCAGTGCAATCTCAGCTCACTGCAACCTCTGCCTCCTGATTTCAAGCGATTCTCCTGCCTCAGGCTCCAGAGTAGCTGGGATTACAGGCACACATCACTATGCCCAGCTAATTTTTTATTGTTGGTAGAGACAGTGTTTCACCATGTTGGGTTGGGCCAGACTGGTCTCAAACTCCTGACCTCAAGTGATCCACCCACCTCAGCCTCTCAAAGTGCTAGGATTACAGGTGTGAGCCACCACACCTGGCCACAGGTATACTTTTTGAAGTAAATTATGTTTTTCTTTGCTCTGTGGTTTTAAAATATTAGAATATGAGTAATATTTGAAATGTCGGTGTTGCAGGTGTCTTTTTCTCTCAAAAATAGCCCCCACTTTTTGTTTAAGCCAAAGAAAATAAAAGTAGAATATTTTCCCAGTATGGCATCAACTAGATTTTTAAATATAAAATGCTACCATTTGTTAACCCCTCACATGAGAGGCAGATTCAAGGCCACGTGCAAATCCTCAGCTCTCATTTTGTAAACTAGAATGTTTTATTTCTTGTCGTTGTTTTGAGTGGATATCCTAAAATAAAGTTTTCTTCTTTCCATCAAAATGGCTAAAATAATTTATACATGTTTTAGGAATAGGCATTTTGTGAAAGGCATCCATTTCACTGGACAGTTAGACAGCTTTTGAATTCAAAATTTGTCCAACTCATCTCAAGTAACTCAAGAAAACATTGTGCTAACATTGAGGCTGCTTTGGACAGCATTCTGAGCTCAGAGAGAAAGAGACACCACATTTTCAATGTGTGGCTACAGAGACTTTAGGACAAGTGAAGACAGCACCTGCAGTTACAGTTTTGGGGCCGCATTACCCCGAGGGTGAGTGCCAGTGAGCACAGGGCACCTCCTAGGGCCAGGCTCAGTGTGAAACTCACATCCTTCACTCCCACACCTCCTCCCAGTGTCCCTGTGAGGCAGACACTACCATACACCACATCCGCAGTCAAGAAAATGGACACTCAGGAGCTTCCGTCACTTGCCCAACAGACTCGTAAGTGCTAGGGCTGTGAGCCTAACACTGGGGCCCTGATTCAAAGCCCATTTCCTGAAGCTAAATATGAGGTTCCTAATAAGGTAAATGCAATATTGAGCCTCCCTCAACCCCCACCCTTTTTGAAAAGTAAAGCTCTCAGAAACTTTGGGTGCTAAATCAACTGCTTATGCTGGTTAAATTAATGTTAATGCTTTAAAATGGTAATATGCTAGAATATATGGCAAAATACTTCGGGTTCACCTTTAAAGGTTCCCATCCATTATCTATTTACTCATAGGAATTTCCTTTAAAATATATACATATAAAAAATGCAACGAAAGAGTATATATGGGATGCTGCCAACTCACCCTAAAAAGTCTTTACCACAAATGAAATCCCATCCTAACAAATTCTCAAAGACTATATCCTTCAACGAACTGTTCTGGAGGTAATGCGATATCAAACCCATATTGCTGACTTTTGCTACTGGCTGTGAAGGCTTGTTGGGAGTCGGGAGAGGAAGACTGTAGAAGAATTACAAGAAAAAAAGAACACAGGCACTGGCTCTAATTAGAAGAGCAATGTGTTTTGAAACAACTCCCTGGAAGTACTTTAACCCTGGACAAAAACATAAAATGTAAAATAATTCCACTCTGAGAATTATAACTGGAAATCATTCCTGTTCTTGTGCAGATTCTGGCACTACATAAACGGGAAAAAAGTTAACCACCATCCTTGACCATAAGTTTGACAATGATTTCCACTGAAAGATACTCTACTGTATCTCTTGGATGCTAGATGGCTTCAGTCAACTGAATGGTTAACTTTTAACATTATTCATGGCTTGGAAGCTGTTTTGTTCCACTGTACACTATATACATATTTAACAATGCTACCTTTCAAAGGCTGCAGATATGGAGGGCTAAAAGATTATTAAAATATACCAGGTCTAGGAAAGACAATTTAAGGAAAGACAGTGCACGAAAAAAGCCTTGAAATGCTCTCACACACAAACCCCCAAATTTATTTTATTTTGGAGATAGGGTCTCACTCACTCTGTTGCCCAGGCTGGAGTGCAGTGGGCATGATCACGGCTCACTACAGCCTCAACCTCCCTGGCTCAAATGATCCTCCCACCTCAGCCTCCTGAGTAGCTGAGACCACAGGTTTGGCTAATTTTGGGACCCCTAATACTTGGCTAATTATTTTTTTATTTTTTGGTAGAGAAGGGGTCTCACTACATCGCCCAGGCTAACCCCCAAATTTTAGAAACTGTTTGTGATCTAGTAATACACAAGGAAAATAGGACACTGGAATGTTAAAAATAGGTCTGTTCCAGACAAAGAACTTGCATACCTACTCCATACATAATACACAGGGTAACAGCCACTCTTTCTACAGCCTTTACAAGAAGTATCTTAAACATCTTTCTATGGAGGAAAAAATGGTTCAAAAACTCAGTAAGAACACTTTTTTATGAGAGGCATATTCCCCGCACTTACAAAATAGCACCTACATTTACTGGAAATTAATTTAGTGACAGAAAATCTCATGTTTAGTAACTAAACCTTCATTATTTTTTCATTAAAATAGCTGACTTCACAATATAGAAATAAAACAGCCACAACAAAAACTAAGAATTGCTAGGAAATGTTTGCAAAACTGAAAATAATGTTCACCATTATCTTAAAAGGAAAAAAAAAAAGTCAGGCCATGAAAAGTTTATTCCTCCAGGAATTTTCATATTACCCACTAGATGTTATGTTCAAGTGACAGCAACAGCAGTGAGATCTCCAAAGGCTACATTTACAATAGAGGGCCTGACTGCCTTAAAAAGCTTGTGCTGATACATTGTGTGTATTGAAACATTACTCTGTGATCCATAAACATATATAATTATTATGTATCAATTTTTAAAAGATTTTTTTTAAAAAAAAAAGCTTGTGTGGCAAAACCTTGTCTCTACAAAAAATCAGCCAGATGCCTGTAGTCCCAGCTGCTGGGGAGGCTGAAGTGGGAGGATCACCAAATCCCAGGAGGTTGAGGCAGCAGTGAGCCATGATCACACCACTGCACTCCAGCCTGAGTGATAAGAGTGAGGCCTTGTCTCAAAAAAAAGTTTATGTTGAAACAATGACAAACTAAACTGCTGGGGACCTTGGTTCCCACTCAGCAGGGCAGTCCAGCAGGCATCCATTCTGAAGTTTCACAGTGAATCTAAGCCAGAGGGAAGATTTAACTGGGCCACAGTGAAAGCTGGTGCTGATGGAACCAAGGTAGAAGGCCACAGCAGGTTAACACTGAACTGGCCATGTCCCTGTCTCTATACAGGGGAGGGAAAAACTCTTAGCCTGGGTATTTTCCCAAAGGACAATGGCTACCCTTGGGGCCTCTCTTCATTTAATTATTATAAACTACTGAAAATACCCAATCTCCTGGGCTCGGCGCACAGCCAAATTTACATGGGGTATCATTTGGCAGTGATGAGGGGCTAACTCACTTCTGTGACAGGAGGAACAGAACGCTTTCACAAGTTATCTTAAAAACAACAAACTAGCTGGGCGAGGTGGCTCACGCCTGTAATCCCAACACTTTGGGAGGCTGAGGCAGGTGGATCACCTGAGGTCAGGAGTTCGAGACCAGGCTGACCAACATGGTGAAACCCCATCTCTACCAAAAATACAAAATTAGCTGAGTGTGGTGGTGCATGCCTGTAATCCCAGCTACTTGGGAGGCTGAGGCCAGAGAATCGCTCGAACCCAGGAGGTGGAGGTTGCAGTGAGCCAAGATCACGCCATTGCACTCCAGCCTTGACAACAAGAGCGAAACTCCTCCTAAAAAAAAAACAACAGAAAACCAAAAAAACAAATAGGCCGGGCGCAGTGGTTCACACCTAAAAATTCCCAGCACTTTGAGAGGCCAAGGAGGGTGGATCACATGAGGTCAGGAGTTCAAGACCAGCCTGGCCAACATGGTGAAATCCCATCTCTACTAAAAATACAGAAATTAGCTAGCGTGGTGGCACATGCCTGTAATCCCAGCTACTCAGGAGGCTGAGGCAGGAGAATCGCTTCAACCGGGGAGGCAGAGGTTGCAGTGAGCTGAGACTGCGCCACTTCACTCCAGCCTGGGTGACAGAGTGAGACCCTGTCTCAAAAAACAAAATAAAAGGACAACAGAAAAAAAAAAACAAAACCCAAACCCTTCTTCCTATACTAAAGTCATAATACAGGGGAAGATATGACAAACTATGGTATCTGGTTTATCTTTAATCAAAATTCTTATAGGAGAAGTAGTAAAAAGCTTTACTTTCATTTCAAGAACATTTTTCTTTCCTATTCAATTTCTATGGTCAGGTTTAATTTAATTTAGAAATCTCATATAAAATGTATAAATTATGATGGTTTCATGTTTATAAACATAAGTATTGCCAGGCGTGGTGGCTCACGCCTGTAATCCCAGCACTTTGGGAGGCCTAGGCGGGTGGATCACGAGGTCAGGAGTTTGAGACCAGCCTGGCCATTATGGTGAAACCCTGTCTCTACTAAAAAAATACAAAAATTAGCCGGGCATGGTGGCATGCACCTGGGAGGCTGAGGCAGGAGAATCGCTTGAACCCGGGAGGCGGAGATTGTGGTGAGCCGAGATCGCACCATTGCACTCCAGCCTGAGTTACAGAGCAAGACTCCGTCTCAAAAAAAAAAAAAAAAAAAAGATAAGTATTACATAATTTATAAGAATGTCTTTAAATTAGGCTGTAAGGTTCCATGTTTGGGGCAGAAACCATTTACTGAACCAGTGGAACACACTGCGGCCTGACATACCTCGGCAGTGGCTGCTATTTATTTTGGAAGCATGATGGGTAGAAATAAACTGTACGATGAAAATAAATACAACATCTTTAAAATCCACAGTCAATGTTAACAGTTTTTGTTGGCTCAGAGTTTAAGAACACAAGGATAACTAAAAATGCTGCCTGTTTGAGGCATTATCCAAACAGCATTTGTAAAAATGATGTGGAAAGGCAAGGGACCAGTGTCCAACCTGAGCTCAAATACCAGTCACACGTACATGGTCTTCTGAAAAACAGGAAGTAGGAATAACATGCAACTTTTAATGGAAACCAAGTCAAGATTCATAAACAAGAAAAACAAATACTTTCTAACAATATAAAGCTTGACATGTTACCTATCAATCTTCTTCCCTAAATTCCAGAGAATGATCCTTGCGTGTAATAATTAATTAACTGAAACCTTTTGGTCACTTTTTGCTATTGCTACACCTATTCATGTACCTCTGTAGACTCAAGACAAACAACTACATGATTATCAAATAATGTTATTAGATAAAGATACCTTGTTTTTAATCTATGACATCTTTCCTAAAAATAATTCAGAAACTTTTTTTTTTTTTTGGGAGACACGGTCTCACTCTGTCACCCAGGCTGGAGTGCAACGGGATAATCAGGGCACCACCACATGTGGCTAATTTTTAAGTTTTTTATAGAGATACAGTCTTACTATGTTGCCCAGGCTAGTCTTGAACACCTGGGCTCAAGTGATCCTCTGCCTTGGCCTCCCAAAGTGCTGAGATCACAGGCATGAGCCACTATGCCTGGCCCAGAAACTCACTTCAACAGGTTTAAGTGTATAATCATCAAATTCCTCTTAATTTGTCACTTCTTCTGTTGGAAAGATTAGTCTTATATGCAGAATAATGGCACACAATGAACTTTGAATAAGGCAGAACAGGACGGTGTCTATGTCCAAAGTAAGTATTTGAGATTTTTCATCTCCCTAATAAGGGCAATAACATGAAAATATGCTCAACATCATTAGTCATTAGGGAAATGCAAAGTAAAACTACAGGGAACTAACATTACACACTCATTAAAAGGTAAAAATTAAAACATCTGACCACAGCAAGTATGCCAGAGGCTATATAATAAATGGCTATCATACATTGCTGGTACAACCACTGTGGAAAACAGTTTGGCAGTTTCTTAAAGAGTTACACACTGACAAACTAGAGTGACAGAAGGCGTATCGGCAATTGCCAGAGATGTGGATGGAAAGAAAGAGGATAAAAAGGAGCATAAGAACACTTTGAAGAGTGAGGGAAATGCTTGTTATCTTGATTGCAATGACAGTTTCATGGGTGTGTATATGTAGTTTAGTGTATTTCAATAAAGTTGGGGGGGAGAATTACAACACCCTAAATTGTATCTGTTGTTCTTTTAGGAAGCTTAAAGGAAAAAATACTTAAATTATGGTAATAAGAATGCACCTGGAGCTCAAGATATGAGCCAGCTTCGAGCCACAAAGTCTGGACTTGTCGTGAGGGCAGTCATTTGCATCTTCATTTTTCTTTACTTAAGGAATCCAACTCCTGCAGAATCAGAAGAAGAACCTGCCCAACCAGAAGTAGTAGAATGTGGCTTTTACCCAGATGAACTGTGTTCCGCTTTATTTGAAGGGAAAGGGGCGGCCCCCTAAATTGCAAAATTTTGCAAAACCCCTCATAAATCTGAAATACATGCTCATTTACACACACCAGGAAACTGCTCCAGGATTTCTCGGGGGCTGCATTTCATAACCAGACCCCTGTCTGCAGAAGAGGGCGATTTCTCTTTGGCATATATTATAACTATTCATAAGGAGCTGGCCATGTTTGTGCAGCTTCTCAGAGCTATTTATGTACCTCAAAATGTTTATTGTATTCATGTTGATGAAAAGGCCCCAATGAAGTATAAGACTGCTGTGCAAACCTTGGTTAACTGTTTTGAAAACGTTTTTATTTCCTCCAAGACAGAGAAGGTGGCTTATGCTGGCTTTACAAGACTACAGGCAGATATTAATTGTATGAAAGTTCTAGTGCATTCTAAATTTCAATGGAACTATGTCATCAATCTTTGTGGACAGGATTTTCCCATCAAAACCAACAGAGAAATCATACACTACATCAGAAGCAAATGGAGTGATAAAAATATTACTCCTGGAGTAATCCAACCATTGCACATTAAATCCAAGACAAGTCAAAGTCATCTCGAATTCGTTCCTAAAGGAAGTATCTATGCACCTCCAAATAACAGATTCAAAGACAAACCACCCCATAACTTAACCATTTATTTTGGAAGTGCTTACTATGTACTTACAAGGAAGTTTGTAGAGTTCATACTGACTGACATCCATGCAAAAGACATGCTTCAGTGGTCCAAAGACATCCGCAGCCCAGAGCAACACTACTGGGTGACCCTGAACCGACTAAAAGGTAAGAAAGACCCACCGATATGGATGCCTGTGCAGTCAGCAGCAACAGCAGCAGATAGATTGATTGATTGATTGATTGACTGACTGATTTTGAGACGGAGTCTCACACGGTCACCGAGGCTGGAGTGCAGTGGCGCGATCTCGGCTCACTGCAAGCTCCACCTCCCGGGTTCACGCGATTCTCCCACCTCAGCCTCCCCAGTAGCTGGGATTACAGGCGCCCACCACCATGCCCAGCTAATTTTTGTATTTTTAGTAGAGACAGTGTTTGTCTATGTTCGTCAGGCTGGTCTGGAACTCCCGATCTCAGGTGATCCGCCTGCCTCGGCCTCCCAAAGTGCTGGGATTACAGGTGTGAGCCACCACGCCCGGCCATAAGATTTATTGAAAAAATTGAACATTTTTTCAATTCAGCTATGTTTCTTTGGCCTTGTAAATGTTCTACATTTTGCAAGACCTTCCACTTAGGGAAACAGGAAGTTCTCTGATTTTAGGGGTCTGAAGTTAGCTGAAAGATGTTCCCAAACCAGTCTGGCTGCTTTTGTTCCCTCTCTAGAAAGAAGTACTGGCATTTTGCATCTCCTGAGACTTTGGAAAATTCTGAGTATAAATCTTTAGAAAGTTCTTCATTTATTTTATAAATACTACTGGATACCTACTGGTGTCAGGCATTGTGCTAAGGGCTCTCTGTAAGATGGAAAATGTTAAAGCTAGTAATGATTTTGTGGCAAATCTGATACTTCAGATGGGTTCTCTGAGAGGTAGAGGGAAATCAGATACCATCCTTAAGTGGACTTCAGTATTTTCTCTTTGTAAAAGGTGGACTGGCTTCTATAGGGAGTGTGGCTTCAAGCCTGAACAACTAAGCTAATCAGCCTAGACAGTGGTGTACGATGAGTCCAGTAGACATTGGTTGGGGTTTTTTTAATATAATTTCATGTCCACTGCAAGTTTGATTTTCAAATAATCTCCGAGGGCTGTTACAGAGAAAACAATCCAAAGAACCCCAAGAGAATCACAAAGAGTACTCTGCATACAGCAAGGGAGTAACAAGGGGTGGAGAAAGGGCTGAAAAATGAAACCCAAGTACAAAGATGGGGATCCCCAACCTTGGTCCACCTGGATGCTACTGCCAGCGTAGTACATGCTCCCACCCCCAAAAGCACTAGCCTTTGATCCGATGTTACAAGTGAAACATCTCAAGGAAGGTTGGACTTTCCCCTCTACTTTTCTCATTGACTACCTCATCTAGAGGAAATGGAAATGATAGCACAGAAGAACTTGTACTAAAAGAACTGGGAAGCAGATTCCACACTGAATGCTGGTTTTGTTTTCCTCTTAGATGCTCCAGGTGCTACACCAAACGCTGGCTGGGAAGGAAATGTTCGAGCCATTAAGCGGAAAAGTGAGGAAGGAAATGTTCATGATGGATGTAAAGGTAAAAAGAAAAACAAAACAAAACAAAAAAGGCTTCAAATTTTACAACAACTATAAAACTGCTGCCTCAATCCTAGTGGGCAAGACGGAGGATCATGTTTAAAGTAATCTGGAATTAGTGATGATCCAATTAGTATAGGTTGAGTCAATTTTTTAAAAAAACTTTTTATATAAGATTCATACAGAAAAGTACACAAATCACAAAAAATACAGGTTGATAAAATTTCCCAAAGTAAATATACCCTCTGCACCAACAGCTAGGCCCTGCCATATGTCTCCACACAGCTTCCTACCCAGTGGCAGGAACTACTGCACAGAGATACAATAACTGATTTTAACAGTGATTTTGGGTAGAGACCTTGGGTTTGAATACAGTAGACTAGATATTAAAAATAAACTAGGTTTACCCAGTTTTTCAGCTGTTTAAAAGACTGGCCTAAAATAAACAGATTGGAGACAAACAAAAAATGTAAATCAAATACCAGACTAGTTCAAAGACAAGTAAATCCTGCTGCCAATGTGCACAGCCACCCTCCTGAAGCAGAGGGACCAGGTTAGAGAGCTGGAACAATTTTCTAGTGAAGGGGTTTTTTCAAAAGCAGATATGATTCAATTAGGGATCCATTCACATGGTAGAAAGGTGACAGGTAAACAACAGGTTAACAAGAGCTCTGCCCTTTCTTTAGAAAGCAGGGGCTCCCTGTCATTACACACTTGGGTTTGTCAGGACTAGTCAGTAAATGCTCAGAAAAAGCAGGGGGCTCAGATTCTTCCTGAAAACAGGAGCCCCTCAGGTGTGCACATGGTATAAGAAGTCATAAAGGGTTGATACTATCAATAATAAAGTAATGATTCAGAATTCTCAATGAAATCAGAATGTTTCAACAATGTTTGAAAAAAACCCTAGTTAGTATAAATCCTAACAAAGTCCTCATTCCCTAAAAGTAAATACTTCAGAAAGTTCTTAACATCACTAGCTTCAGTATGAAAACGGTACTCACAGTTAGGCAGTAGCGTGGCCATCCATGGCCAGCATTCAGAGTCAGCACCCTAAGTAGGCCAAGCCCTGGTGTGTAGGGAGGTGGTAAATCTTCCGGGTCCGAGCTTTGGGCCTGCACTCAATCCTCACAACAATTCTCAGGTAGAAACAATCATTATTCACCCTTTACTGATGTGGAACCCAAGGCTCAGGTAAGTGAAGTCACTCCCACAGGCACAGGGAGGAGGGGCAGGGCTGGGGCTCAGACTGGGAGCAACCGCCTGCCACCACTACAATGGGCAAGCTCCCAGTCCGACTCTGCATGCAGAAGAACAGCTATCCCATTAGAACCAGCAACAAAGGGTTTATTTTTAATCACTCAAATATCATTAACACAGCTCTGAAAATGGTCCATTTATTTGTATTCCCTTCTAGTTCAACTTCATCTGTGTCTAAATGGCACAGCTGTATCATTATAATCAAGGTGTAGCTGAGTTGCTTTTCACTTATGTCCTAAGTTTCTCCCACTGATAGTCTTCATATTTGTAGTCTTTTTTTTTTTTTTTTGAGACAGGGTCTCGCTCTGTCACCCAGGCTGGAGTGCAGGTGGTATGATCATAGCTCACTGCAGCCTCCACTTTCTGGGCTCAAGTGATTTTCTCACTTCAGTCTCCCAAGTAGCTGGGAATACAGGTGTAAGCCACCAAACCCAGCTAATTTTTTATCTTTGTAGATATGGGGTCTCACTATGCTGCCCAGGCTGGCCCTCAACTCCTGGGCTGAAGTGATCCTACCACTTTGGCCTCCCAAAGTGCTGAGATTACAGACATGAACCACTGCATCTGGCCCATACTTATAATATTAAAGTAGTTAAATGTAACTCTACTGAGATTCTAGCACATTGTAGCAAATATGTCTATCAGGTAAAATTTGTTAAATCATGGTAACAGCTGCCACTTACATAGTCTTAGAAACAACACTGGACATTTTGTGCATACATCCCCCTGCCCCTTTTAAAAACAGTATTTCCTTAAGATAGGTTTTTTTTGGAGATGGAGTCTTGCTTTGTCACCAGGCTGGAGGGCAGTGGTGCAATCTCGGCTCACTGCAACCTCTGACTCCCTGGTTCAAGCGATTCTCCTGCCTCAGCCTCCTGAGTGGCTGGGATTACAGGCACGCACCACCACACCCAGCTAATTTTTGTATTTTTAGTAGAGACGAGGTGTCACCATGTTGGCCAGGATGGTCTTGATCTCCTGCCCTCGTGATCCACCCGCCTCGGCCTCCCAAAGTGCTGGGATTACAGGTGTCACCCACTGCGCCCAGCCAAGATACGTTTTTTTAAAAGTAGGATTACTGGGCTGGTGTGAGGAAAGAGAGCAGGAAGGAGCTGGGCAGAGAAAGAGCAACGTTTCTGAAATAAACAGACCTCCTTCCCTCTCACACATACGCTGAGGCCTCACTTCGCTAATCTGTTTCCTCCCTTGCAAAATGGGAATGATGATGGAATCCACTTCAGAGTGTTACTGTGAGAATTAAAAGCAAGAGCAGAAAGAGCCAAACACGGTTGTCAAAAGCACATAAAAAGTGTCACTGAGTCTCCAAGGAATCCAGTCACCACTGGATTCCAACTCTAATTCCCACTTTAAAAAAAATTTTTTTTTAAATTACAGACGAGATCTCACTCTATTGCCCAGGCTGGTCTCAGACTTCTGGGCTCAAGTCATTCTCCCGCCTCGGCCTCCCAAAGTGCTGGGATTACAGGTGTGAGCCACCGTGCCTGGCCTGTAATTCCCACCTCAATGTTTGTATCAAATGTTCACTCTGAAAAACAAATAAAAAGCAGTGCCAGGCACAGTGGCTCACACCTGTAATCCCAGCACTTTGGGAGGCCGAGGTGGGAAGATCACTTGAGCCCTGGAGTTTGAGACCAGCCTGACCAACATGGCGAAATCCCGTTTCTATAAAAAATACAAAAATTAGCTGGGCATGGTGGTGCATGTCTGGGGTCCCCAAAAAATATAGAAGCAATGACTTATTTAAAATCCATACCATTCTTATGAACTACTTACAACCAATGAAAAGACTTAGAAGTTCATGGAACTCAGAATCTATCGGAACTGAGATTTTAGCAGGCAAATGAGCGCTAGCTTATCTCTCGTGTGCGCGTGGTGAGTTAAATCCCATGGTATTCACCTAAAGCAGTAACTAACAAAGATTTCAGAAATCACTAAAAGAATGAAAGTGCGCCTTTCCACCGTAAGTTCAAAATTCAACATAAAAGCCCCTGTCAAGGCAATCATGGAAATGCTGTTTGATGTGAACTCTGGTGAAGCTGAGGCTCACCACTGACACCGGACGGAGCATGCGCCACTTTCTGTGTGTGAATAAAATGGGTGAGGAAACAAAGGCAGCTAGGTTTTTGTGTTTCTTTCTGCAGGCCGCTACGTCGAAGACATCTGCGTATACGGACCAGGAGACCTGCCGTGGCTCATTCAGTCGCCTTCTCTGTTTGCCAACAAATTCGAACCCTCGACAGACCCGCTTGTGGTTACCTGCTTAGAGCGGCGGCACAGACTTCAAGTGCTGAGGCAGGCAGAAGTTCCTATAGAGCCACACTGGCATTTTCAACAGCAGAGTCATTTCAATATGAGACTGAACCGCTAGGGAGTGTTTGCTTTCTTACTGGTATCATTCTGTTTCCTTGACTTGAAACAAGAGAACATTGAACCAAAGAAGTGGGAAAATGATTCCTTGATACAAACTATTCCTAAAATGAATTCAGAAACATGCTATTGACAAGACTTTACTATTGATTACAGGCCACTTTTATAGCTTTGGGAAAGAAATCACAAGACAAAAAAACTCAAGCTACCACTGGTGACATATAGCAATGCACTTAGAAGGCCAAATGCTTCAGTAAAAAGCTGCTGAAAACCCAAATTCTCCAAACACCTGGATCCAGGCTCAAGCTGGAATAAGAACGACACAGCCTGTTTTGAAGACCCAGATACTACTGTGTATGAGATACTAAGAAAGAACAGACTCCCAGTGAAAATGAAAATATGCTTATCTGAAACAGTCCTCATTGGCTGCAAGCAATGTAACCCTATTCTGGCGGTCCTAGAAAAATAATGAAGAGTGTATTTCTCTGGGTAAAACAGAGCTCATCTGGAGTAGAAAACACAGCTTGTTAAAAAGGGTGCCCCAAGTGTCTGCGGTCTTGACATGTCGTCTCCTAGCACCTTCTGTGATGGTGGACATTCCACAGCTGAGCTGTCTAACTGCTCACCACAGCCACAGGGGCTCCTGGGCATTGGAAACATGGCTGGAGCGACTACAAAAGTGAATCTTTATTTTTATTTAATTTTTAAAAATTAAGTTACCTTTATTTATTTATTTATTTGAGACGGAGTTTTACTCTTGTTGCCCAGGCTGGAGTGCAATGGCACGATCTCGGCTCACCGCAATCTCTGCCTCCCAGGTTCAAGCCATTCTCCTGCCTTAGCCTGCCGACTAGCTGGAATTACAGGCATGCACCACCACGCCTGGCTAATTTTTTTGTATTTTTACTAGAGACGCGGTGTCTCCATGTTGGTCAGGCTGATCTCGAACTCCCGACCTCAGGTGATCCGCCTGCCTTGGCCTCCCAAAGTGCTGGGATCACAGGCGTGAGCCACCGCACCCGGCCTTAAGTTACCTTTAAATAGGCACATGTGGCTAATTGTACCATGCTGAACAGCACAGATCTGAGACATGAATGGCCATGATTATCTCTATTCACAGATCTGGGTCTCCTCCCTTAGAAAGTCCACGACTTTGCTGCTGCCGCTGCTGTTGTGGAGAACTTTATATATATCCTCCTTCTCTAAAAGAGTTCATACAGCATCATATGAAACTGAAGTGCGTGACAATTAAACAGCACAACATACAAGAGATTTAAAGATGGGAACACAGGAACCAGAGGAGAGGAAATTAAAGAAACATAATTCCAACGCAAAGTGTAAGCACCTCAGTAAATGGAAGCTTCCCACGCATAGAAATGAAGTCAAGTCACTGTGTGAAATAGCCCTGGGAAAACATCATTGCTAGACAGAAGGAAAAGGGATTTGGAAGACAGATCCCACAAATCAAACATCAAGGAACCACAGAAAAGTAACACCTTTGTTTAAACAAATCTTTCTTCCCCTTGGATATCTAATCCAAGGAAAGCACATATGGAAAATATTAAGACTTTCAAAAAGAACACAAGAGCCCCATGACAGCCCACCACCACCTTCCCACACATTTCTACAGGCAAACACGGCGCCCCCAAAGGCGATAGCTGGCTACATGCTGACAGGCTGTTCATTCAGAAAGCTCAGATTAGCCACGATTATGTCCCCGGTATTTTATAACTCAATAGCAACTGAATGTAAACCCCATTAAAGGAACAATAAAAAAGATTACATCTTTCAAGTTACTTAAAACATAAGCCTGCCTTCACTTCATTCCAATGTCAACCCGTGGTACACCCAGTCACATACCGTGAAGGGGGCCCTGTAAAAGCATCCGCCCACCAGCACCGTTAGGAGGACATGGGTGCTCCTGGGTGGGGAAGTGCTCAGAAGAATGGCTGACACTTTTAACGGATGAGAAAATCGAGGCACAGGGAGATGATGGGATGTTCCTGGGACCACACAGCTGGGAAAGTGGGGCTGGGATTTGGACCAGGCAGCTACACTCTGCAGTGTGACTACTGAGTCCCAGGTAGCTACATGACCTTACGTCACACAAAGAAGCACAAATTGAAACAAACACCTGCCCCCAACAGGCTTAATGCTATAATGAAGACATGTCCTGAACAAATCATTTCAGTATGGCCAGGCGTGGTGGCTCATGCCTGTAATCCCAGCACTTTGGAAGGCTGAGGCGGGTGGATCACGAGGTCAGGAGTTTCAGACCAGCCTGGCCAATATGGTGAAACCCTGCCTCTACTAAAAATACAAAAAAAAAAAAAAAATAACCAGGCATGGTGGTGGGCGCCTGTAGTCCCAGCTACTCGGGTGGCTAAGGCAGGAGAATCACTTGAACCTGGGAGGCAGAGGTTATAGTGAGCCAAGATTGCACCACTGCACCCCAGCCTGGGCAACAGAGCAAGACTCCATCTAAAAAAAAAAATCATTTCAGTAACAGCAGGATAAAGCAGAATAATAAAAGTACACTAAATGCATGTGGAATGTAAAAGCCTGAGACTGGGCTTCAGTGGAGAGTGGGGACAGCAATGGAAAACAAGGCCAAGAGTCAGAGAGGTGGGGAGGCCGAGAGGCAGGGAGGCTTGAGAGGCAGGGAGGCCGAGAGGCAGGGAGGCTGAGACAGGCAGCTGCGACAGGCCAGGGAGGCCAAGGGAAAGCAGCAGCTTCCGTGAGCATGAGAACAAGAAGCCTAGGCTCACTCTCTCCTTATCAGACCCTCAGTCTGTTGATGGGTAGAGTGAAAGAACAAAATGAACATGTGAAAGTTTAAGGCTGCCTATGCTGTGTCTTATCTGATTCCTTGAGGCTAAATATTCACAAAGACTATAAAGATGGCAGAAACCTAAGATACTCTGAAGAAGGCCAAAGCCTGAAAACCAGAATCAGCTGCACTGACCACTTCTGACGACACTCCTTTTCCCTAACTTAACTTTTTCTCTTTCTACTCCACCCCCTCCATGAAAAGCAGGTAGACAGTGTGAGTATATATATTTTTGACTTCTAACTTTAAAACATCCACACACCCCATTCACCTATCTACAAAGCCTACATAAATGAAGCCACAGAGGTAGCAAGTCCAATGCTACGGATCACAACTCCAGTACTCTACATTGGCACTTTTTTTTTTTGAGACAGAGTCTAGCTCTGTCGCCCAGGCTGGAGTGCAGTGGCGTGATCTTGGCTCACTGCAACTTCCACCTCCCAGGTTCAAGCAATTCTCCTGCCTCAGTCTCCTAAGTAGTTCGGACTACAGGCATGCACCACCAAGCCCAGCTAATTTTTGTATTTTTAGTAGAGACGGGGTTTCATTATGTTGGCCAGGCTGTTCTCGAACTCCTGACCTCAAGTGATCCAACCACCTCAGCCTCCCAAAGTGTTGAGATTACAGGCGTGAGCCACCATGTCTGGCCCCACGCTCTATGATTTTATTTTCTAAATTGTGTATTATGGGTTGAATTATGCCCCCCTGCAAAATCCATATGTTGAAGTCCAAGCCCTAGTACCTCAAAATGTGACCTTATTGGGAAACACAGTCAATGCAGATGTAATTAGTTAAGATGAGGCCATTAAGTTGGGCCCTAATCCAGTACCGGGACTGGTGTCCTAATAAGGGAAAATGTGGACACAAAGACAGACATGATAGAGGGAAGATGATGTGAACAGGGCGAAGGCCGTCTAGAAGCCAATGAGAGGCCTGGACCAGATCCTTCCCTCAGAAGAAACTAACCCTGATGACACCTTGATTTTGGACGTTAGTCTCCAGAACTATAAGACAATGACTTTCCGGTAAGTCATCCGGCTTGGGTACTTAATTACAGCAGCCCCAACAAACTAGCACAGAGTATTCAACACAGTTCTGCAAAGGCAACTCTGATGTACAGTATAAAAGTAAAAATAATTCATTATCTCGTTCATTCTTTGTTGGCAACAGATGTATCTTTAAGACAATTTCCTGAGGTATTCCTGAATTTCAACCAGTGCCCTGTCATAACTGCAGAAAGTCGCAACAGCCAAGGTGGCCTCCACGAGGAGCCGGGAGGAGCCTACGCTCGCTCCTGTTCGTCACCTGGTCTCTACTGTCCCTTGTGCAATCCTGACGTGGCTCTGTTCCTCTTTCCTCCTGCTTCCTTCCCTTCTCTTGAAGTGCAAGGTACAGACTGTTGAAAGCTTACTAGCTTTCAGTAAAACTTCCCAAGCACCAACGATATAATCTCAGAGTTCCCTTGTAACGCTGTATTTCCATGCAACAGAATCAGCTTCTCTGTGAAGCTCGGCAGACAGTGAGGTTTTACTGCATACGTGTCATCATGGTTATTAGTATGATTGTTTTAGGCCAACCAACGCAAAGGACAACTGTGCACCCATCTAACAGATGGGTACTATTATGGGCGTAAGAAAAAACTGGATTGCTTTAGATCAGTAGGTCCCCCAAACCTGGTGACCCATTAAAATGATTCTGAGAACTCTTAAGAACTAGAACTCCTGCTCCTCCTTCTGGCATTCGAAGGTTTCCCCAATCCAGTCCGACTCACACCTCGGCCTCTCTCCCTGCTCCTGTACCCCACCCCACAGTCCTGACAGGACCAGGCCTCGATCACACCTGCCACTCATCTCAGTATGGCTGCCCGGCTGCTTCTGCCCCATGAGCACTGCTGCTGCCTTTCTTTCCCCCACTAACCAATCACAGTCCCAGCAGGACTTACAACAGTGTTTTGCAAACTTCAGCCATTCCCCTGCCAACTGTACTGTCAATATCTTAATATTTTTATTTAAATCTACCCATTGTTTCTGCTTAATTTTAACTGCTAACTTTATTTTTTATTTATTTATTTATTTTTTTGAGATGGAGTCTCACTCTGTCACCCAGGCTGGAATGCAGTGGCACAATCTTGGGTCACTGTAACCTCCAGCTCCCAGGTTCAAGCAATTCTCCTGCCTCAGCCTCCCGAGCAGCCAGGATTACAGGCGCGTGCCACCACACCCAGCTAATTTTTGTATTTTTAGGAGAGACAGGGTTTTACTATGTTGGCCAGGCTGGTCTTGAACTCCTGACCTCAGGTGATCCACCCGCCTTGGCCTCCCAAAGTGCTGGGATTACAGGCATGAGCCACTGTGCCCAACCTAACAGTTAACTTTATATTCCTAGGCTAAATATAGAGAAACAGTACTCTTTGCCATAAATATCAAGTTACCATAAAAATGCAGAGAATACCAAACAGTTTTGCTAGATCCTGCCTGCCAAAGCTCTGAGCTTAAAGTCTACTTTCTTAGGCAGTTAAGAGAGTGTTACAAACGTACGAAGATTAAAGGGAGACTTTCTCCTGAAAGCAAGCAGAAGGTCTGAAGGACAGCAAAATGGGCGTCACTGTCCTGCCAGACAACGCCTTACAGAGATACCCAGTACCTGGCTGTGCGCCTCCCCAGAGCAGCACCGCTACCACCAGCAATCTCTCCATCCCCGGGAGTGCAACCAATAACCATGCTCTTCCTTTGAGGCCCAGAACAAATGCCCCTCCCTTTATAAAGCCATTTCTTACCAGTAGACAAAAAAAAGTTCTCTGGCCCCTTAGTGCCAATATCTTTACCATCTGTTTGGTACCTGGCCTCAAAAAGCAAAATAGAGTGTGATGTCTCACATAACATGATTCCTGCAGGACTGCAATCTCCGTGAGTGCAGGAACCATGTCATCCAAATCTTATTTTCCCTTGGAATCTATGCCATCATCTTAATACGGGAGCCACAATAAATACTTCTGGCTGAATATCAACCAATTCCCAAATGTTTTATTTGAATTTCTTTTCTTAAAAGAAAGCTTAATAAGACAGACTCCTCATTCTATGAAGGCTTTATTCATAGTCACCCCAAACTGGACATAACTCACCGCCCCCACTGACCTCTTCCCCACTCACCTCTGCCTGCCTCCGGGCCTAGGTAACGGGAGCCACCCAGTCCTCCTCCACGTCTAGGATTTTTAGAACAAAATTAATGCACATCCCATCCGGCTTACAGCTGCCTTCTGGCTTCCTGCTGCTCTTCGAATAACATCCATAAGCCCCAGTGTGGCCCCCAGGCCTTGCATGAGATGACCCCTGCCTAACTCTTTAATCTCATCTACTCCCCTCACCAGCCCTCCACTCTCACACTTTCTGTTCACTGAACTCGCAAAGTCCTCTGTCACTTCTGAGCTTTTGCACATGCTGTTCCTGCTGCCGAAGAGGCTGCTACTCAGGCTGTGCACAGCTGGCTCCCTCGTGCCCTTCGGGTCTCAGCTCAAACCTCCAGATATGCCTCTGCCGACCACCACTACGCCAGCCTCTCTCCCTCCATCACATGGCCTCATGTGTTTCCTTCCTAGCATCGGTCACAATCGATTCTGCCTTGCTCATCTACTTGAGGGTCTCTCTCTCCAATCAGAATGTGGGATGCAGGAGGGCAAGGGCCTTCATGGATCTTATTCAGTATGCTTTCCCACAGATCAGTGCCTAGAAGAGACGATGGCCCCTAACCATCACTCAGTGAAAGCTGCTGGCTTTCACAACAGGGAGCAACAACACAGTGGGGAGGGGAATGAAATACAAACAGGGTTGATACAGGAAAATACAGTCAGAAGCTGCCGGCATCCATGACGTTAAATGAAGCAGCACGCTTTCGATGGGCCAGCAGTACACCCAAGACACACACACATTCTGGCTTCAGCAGCAGCAGCGCCATTAAAGCAAAGCATCAGTATTTCCTCCACGTGAGCTGAGGCTAGCTCTCATGTCTAGTTACTCGCCACCCATGCGAGCATTTACTGAGGGCACGCTACGTGCTCTGGAGAGAATATGCCCTGCGGATAAAGAGATGAACAAGCCTTGTTTCCTACCCTCAAAAACTAAGTCCGGTGGGGAAGCAGACACATACATACGCAATTACATTACGATGGGAGGAGTGAGAAAACAAGGTGCTTGGGGAATGTGGAAGGAGGTTTAGCACCAGGGAGTCACGGAAGAAGTAAGAACTATGGAATGGGGGCTCATGGGGGAGCAGGCCCTCCAGGACAGCAGGTCTGCTAGAGGAAACTGAGGCAGCAGCACATTCAGGAAACAGCCCTCGTGTGGTCTGACCTGGACTGGCAGGCAGTGGTCAGGTGACAAGAGGCCAGTGGATTCTGCACTTCCAGCAACCAAGAGCCATGGAAGCAGAAAAGCAACTTATGAGAGCTGATTTCAGAAAGAACAAATGGAGGGAAAGGACCCTAAACCATCTGATTTCCTCAGCTACAGAGAAGGAACAAATGGTACATGTCAGGAACTCACCGTGTGGCAAACTTCCGCTTTTATCTCTTTCAAGGCTCGCTCAGAAAACACACAGCCGCAGCACCGAAGGAAGCAGAACCTGGAGAAATAACCCAGTGGGGGAAGGACTGTATTAATCACATGATCAATTCACATTTATTCGGTTGATACAAAGGCCAAGAACCACAAAGATTAAAATAGTTACATTTTACTCTATTAAAAAAATCAGTACGTTCTCATAGAAAAGGGGCAGGAAAAAAAGAAATAAATCAGTTATATCCAAAATAAAAAAAAGATCAAAACTGAAACCACAAACATCAAAAGTCAAAAGAACAGGAACTCAGGGAGGAAATATTTTCAATAAATATAAGATTCAGAGCTTATTTTATGAATATTCAAAAAGGTCTTATACAGCAATAGTCAACACTATAATAGAAAAATGGCCAAAGAGGACTAACATGCAGTTCGTACAAAAAATATATAAAGACCAAAGGATTCTTAACCTCAAATGCTAAAAGAAATGCCTTTTGAAACCAGGACACATCATTTTTTACCTATCGGGCAGTAATTCAGGAGATTGGGGCTGGGCACAGTGGCTCACACTTGTAAATTCCAGTGCTTTGGGAGGTCAAAATGGGAGGATCACTTGAGGCCAGGAGTCTGAGATTAGCCTGGGCAACATACTGAGAACCTATCTCTAAAAAAAAATCTTTTTAAAAACTTAGCCAAGTGTGATGGTGGGTCCCTGCAGTCCCAGCTACTAGGGAGGCTGAGGTGGGAGGATGGCCTGAGCTATGATAGCGCCACTGCACTCCAGCCTAGGTAACTGGGACAGATTCTGTCGCTTGTCGCTTTAAAAAAAAAAAAAAGAGATTGAAAGTATCCAATTGGAAACTGAGGATACAGGCACATTTGTTGTCAGGTGGATACAACACAGTACAATACTTTAGGAAGATAATTTGGCAGTATCAAGTAAAGTGTGACTTTTAAGAGTTTCTTCTTACAGAAACATGCCCACAAGTGTGCAAATGTACAAATGTGTGCTCAGGAAGTTGTGTAGTATAGCAAGGTAAAAAGGAAAGGAAGGAGGCCACCTACATGTTCCTCAGTAGGGAAATGGTCAAATAAATTATAAACACCCAAACGGCTATTAAAAAGAAGGTAAATCTGTATTCAAGGTTGTGAAAATATGTCCAAGGTGGACAGAACAGAAAGAAAAAAAGAGGTTATTAAATACATATAATGTGACCCCATGAGAGTTTGGGAAGAATACGTGTCGATTTCTACGTCTATATGCAGAGGCGTGGAGAAGCGTGGATATGGGTGTGTGGTGTGGGGGAGGGAGCATTAAACATCAAACAACGAATAATGCCTCCACCGCGGCTGGAGAGCAGCATAAAGCACTTTCATATTTCACTTTAGGCATTCCTTGAAAAATGCCAAAGGACAAATTTTCTCTAATTTCCCAGGGATTATAGCAGACGCAGATTGGCCTAACCAAAATCCAGTTCATAACACTGCACTAAATTCACTGAATGTTGTTTAGAATTTTTAAAATCCTATTTTATAGATACTTACAAATTATTAGGAAGCTATTTTTCTTTTTACAAAGGCCCAATGTTTTTATTACACTAACAGTTTATTTCCATTTTTCTATATATTTAAATCTTTATTATACAAACTTTACTAAATACAGCTGGCCCTCTATATCCTCTATATCCATGCGTTCCGCATCTATCAATTCAACCAAACCGGATCAAAAATATTTGGGAGGAAAAATGAATGCATTTATATTGAACATGCACAGACTTTTTTGTCATTATTCCTTAAACAATACAGTATAACAACTATTTACACAGCATTTATATTGTATTAGGTATCATATGTAATCCTGAGTTGATTTAAAGTATACAGGAGGATGTGTGTAGGTTATATGCAAATACTGTACCATTTTATATCAGAGACCTGAGCATCCATGGATTTTGGTATCCACAGGGGGTCTTGGAACCAATCTCCCACACATATCAAGGGATGACCATACACAAACTAATCCAATCATCAATTTCAAGTGTGGAGGCTCTTATCAATAACAGATGGACAAAGTCAAAATAAGCAAAGCTCAATTCACTGGGTAAGAGAAAAAGGAGAAGAGACTGACCAGCAAACCAAAGGAGAAACAACAGGGGAAGCCACAATCAGAGCAACAGGCTGCAGGGGACTCCTACTCGAGACCCCATTGTGGAGCTCGTTTCTGCTAAGTTCCTCTTCTGGGGTGAGCTAGTTTTCTTAAAAGCAAGTGGGAAGCCAAACACGAAAGGTTACATATTGTATGATTCTATGCATATGAAATATCCAGAAGAGGTAAATCCATTGAGACAGAAACAGACTGGCAATGGGGAGTACCTATGTAATGGGCAGAGGATTTTCCTTTTGGGGTGATAAAAATGTTCTGGAACCAGATAGAGGTGGTGACCGTACAACACTGTGAATGTACTAAATGCCACTGAAACATACACTTTAAAATGGCCAATTTTATGTGACTTTCACCTGAAATACAAACATATACATACGTGTGTGTATATGTGTGTGTATATATATATGCAAACACACACACATACACACACATATACAGAAGTGGGACATGGTTAGGTAAATGAGTCTGGTTCCCCAGAATATGTCTTACTTGACCCCAATGGTGGTTTAAAAGAGAGCCCTAAGCGGTTTAAATTCAGATTATTTGAAGAAGAGTGTAATATTTAAAAGCAAAAGGTCCTTGGACCCTAAACTGTACTTCTCTCCAAATCCATGAAGCCCCTCGTTGTTCCATTTCAGAACAGGACAGTTAGTTCCCCTCGCACAGTCTGCCACACGCAACACGGCCTGGCACACTGAGAGGGTGTCCATGTACACCTGTTAAATAAACAGACGCCAATGTGCCAGAATGCTCAGGATTAAATACTGCTGTTTAAAGTTCAATGAAACCATTTTTACTTACTCGAGATGCTTTGCCCCACCCCTTTCCTGAATGAAAGTAATAAAAAATGCTACCTTTCAGTATGTTGTGTGTTTAACAGAAGATTCCAGAGGGCAGTCTGGACTACCAGCTATTAAGGATATAGGCATACCTTGTTTTATTGCGCTTTGCAGATATTGTGATTATTTTAGACTGAAGGTTCACGGCAATCCTGCATCTGGCAGGTGTGTCAGCATCTTCCCAGCAGCATGTGCTCACGTCATGTCTCTGTGTCACATTTTGGTAATTCTCAAATATTTCAAATGATTTCATGATTACTACATCTGTTACGGTGATCTGTGCTCAGTGACGTTTGATGTTACTTTTGTAATTGTTTTGGGGTGCCAGGAACAACACTCTTATAAGATGGTAAACTCAATTAATAAATGTGTGTGTTTTGACTGCTCCATGAACTGGCCATTCCCCCATCTCTCTCCTTCTCAGTTCTCCCTATTCTCTGTGACACAACAATATTGAAATTAGGCCAATTGAGAACCCTACAATGGCCTTTAAGTGTCCAAGTAAAAGAAGAATTGCATGTCTCTCACTTTAAATCAAAAGCTAGAAATGATTAAGCTTAGGGAGGAAGGCAGGCCCAAAGCCAAAACAGGCCAAAATCCAGCCTCTCAAATCAAACACTTAGCCAGGCTGTGGATGCAAAGGAAAAGTTCTTGAAGGAAATTAAAAGTGCCACTCTATAAACAGATGAATGGTAAGAAAGTGAAACAACCGTATTGCTGATATGAAGAAAGTTTTAGTGGCCTGGACAGAAGATCAAACTAGCCACAGTGACAGATCCTTAAGCCAAAGCCTAACCCAGAGCAAGGCCCTAACTCTCTTCAATTCTATGAAGGCTGACAGAGGCAAGAAAGCTGCAGAGGAAGAGGTGGAAACTGGAAGAAGTTGGTTCATGAGGTTTAGGGAAAGAAGGCGTCTCCATAACATAAAAGTGCAAGGTGAAGCAGCAAGTGCTGATGGAGAAGCTGCATTAAGTTCTCCAGAAAATCTAGCTAAAATCATTAATAAAGATGGGTACACTAGACAACAGATTTTTAGTGTAGATAAAATAGCCCTGTGTTGAAAGAAGATGCTATCCAGGACTTCTACTGCTAAAAAGGAGAAGTAATGCCTGGATTCAAAGCATCAGGACAGGCCGACTCTCACTAAGGTCTAACGTGCCTGGTGACTTTCAGTTGGGCCAATGTTCATTTACCGTTTGGAAACCCTAGGGTTCTTAAGAATGATGGTAAGTCTACTCTGCCTGTACTCTCGAAATGGAAGAACCAAGCCTGAATGAGAGCACATCTGTCTATAACATGGCTTACGGAATATTTTAAGCCCAGCGTTGAGACTTACTGCTCAAAAAAAAAAAAAAAAAAGATTCCTTTCAAAATATCACCGCTCATTGATAATGCACCTAGGTCACGCAAGAGCTCTGATGGAGATGTACAAGATTAAAGTTGTTTTCATGGCTGCTAACACAACAACCATTCTGCAGCCCATGGATCAAGGTGGAACTTTGACTTTAAAGTCTTATTTAAAAATACATTTCATAAGGCTATAGCTGCCATAGGCTTCCTCTGCCATTCCTCTGATGGATCTGGGCAAAGTAAATTGAAAACCTTCTGGAAAGAATTCACCATTCTAGATGTCATTAAGAACATCTGTGATTTGGCCCGCTGTGGTGGCTCACACCTGTAATCCCAGCACTTTGGGAGGCTGAGGCAGGCAGATCATCTGAGGTCAGGAGTTTGAGACCAGCCCGGCCAATATGGTAAACCCTGTCTCTACTAAAAATATAAACATTAGCTGGGCACGGTGGCGGGCACCTGTAATCCCAGCTACTCGGGACGCTGAGGCAGCAGAATTACTTGAACCCAGGAGGTGGGGGTTGCAGTGAGCCGAGATTGTGCCACTGCACTCCAGACGGGGCAACAGAGCTGGACTCCGTCTCAAAAAAACAAAAAAACAAAAAACAAACAAAAAAAATCTGTGATTCATGAGAGGAGGGCAGAATATCAACATTAATAGGAGTTTGGAAGAAGCTGATTCCACCCCTCATGGACGACTTGGAGGGGTTCAATGCTTTAGTGGAGGAAGTAACGCAAATGTGGTAGAATGGCAAGAGAATGAGAAAAGTGGAGCCTGAAGATGACTGAATTACTGCAATCTCACGATAAAACCCAAATGGATGAAGAGTTGCTTCTTATGGATGAGCAAAGAAAGTGGTTTCTTGAGACAGAATCTGCCCATGGTGAAGATGCTGTGAATATTGTTATGATAGATTTGAAATATTACATAAGCTTAATTGATAAAGCAGTTGCAGGGTTTAAGACAACTGATTCCAATTTTGAAAGAAGGTCTACTGTGGGTAAAATGCTATTAAACAGCATCACATGCTACATACAGAGAAATCTTTCATGAAAGAGTCAATCAATGCAGCAAATTCTATTGCTGTCTTACTGTAATACACTGCTACAGCCACCCGAACCTTCAGCAACCACCATCCTGATCAGTTAGCAGCCATCGACATCAAGGCAACATCAAGGCTCCACCAGCAAAAAGATGATGACTCGCTGAAGGTTCAGGTGATTGCTAGCATTCTTTAGCAATAATTTTTAATTAAGATAGGTACTTTGTTTTTAGACATAATGCTATTGCACACTTAAAAGACTAGACTATAGTATAAACATAACTTTCTTTTTTGAGACAGGGTCCCACTCTGTCACCCAGGCTCTGCAGTGGCATGATCATACCTCACTGCAGCCTTGAATTCCTGGGCTCAAGCAATCCTCCTGCCTCAGCCTCCCAAGTAGCGAGGTCTATAGGTACATGCCACCATGGCTGGCTAATTAAAAAAAAATTTTGTTTCGTAAAGACAGGGTCTCACTATGTTACCCAGGCTGGTCTCTAACTCCTAGCCTCTAGCAATCCTCCTGTCTCGGCCTCCCAAAGTGCTGGGATTATAGGTGGGAGCCACTGTGAGCTGCTAAAGGCAACTTTTATATGTACTAAGAAACCAAAATTTTGTGTGACTTGCTTTCCAGTAATATTTGTTTTATTGTGGTAGTCTGGAATAGAACCCACAATATCTCCGAGGTATGACTGTACTTCTCAAAAGTGGGGGAAAGGGCTTAACGCTTTTGCTTAGTGAGACATCCTATGAAAAAGCATGTACTAACCCATTCAACCGTCCGTATTTTTTAAAGAGGAAAATATACAGGTTGCTTACATTTGCTACACACATCTCAACCATAAGATTCCCAGTGCTACAGCCAGAGAATCTGTTAGCTACAAATTCAAGGCAAATTACCATGTTTTTGAGCCTTTGGTTGACTGATTAACCACAGGTTCTATAACTCTGCCTGTTACTGCATAACTTTTGGCATTTGTAATCAGGTGCAGTGGCTCCCACATGTTATCCCAGCGCTTTGGGAGGATCGTTAAAGGCCAGGAATTTGAATCCAGCCTGGGCAACATAGGGAGACCCTATCTCTACAAAAATAAAAATTAGTGGCCGGGCGTGGTGGCTTACGCCTACAATCCCAGCACTTTGGGATGCTGAGGCAGGAGGATCGCTTGAGGCCAGGAATTCAAGACCAGCCTGGGCAACAAAGTGAGACCTTATTTCTACTTAAAAAAAAAGGATAAAAATAAAACTATAAAACATAATAAAAATTAAAAATTAGTAACAGGAAGGAAATGGGATTTGCTTGATAGGAAACATTTGCTCTTTGCTTTCTGTCCCACAGGAAAAGATGATCTAAGAACTAAACTCAGGTTTCATAAGCGTCACATGAGAACTTTTCAGAATCCCACTTCACTTCAGGTTTTGTTTCCCCACCTCAAGAACGGAAGGCCGCAGACCAGGCTGGATCTCGCTGGAAGTCCCGTAGCAATGGCTGACGGAAATGAACGTGCTCATGACCAAGCACCATTTCCTCCAAGGCGCCACCAAACCCAAGGACACCAGAAAGCAAGCCACATGACTGCTAAGCTCCGGCACCACTGCCACCAAAACCGGCAGTATTCCTCCAGCCTCCCACATCATCTGTCCCAGGTCCGTCACTAACCTGTGTCGGCCGTTCATCTCCAGGCCCACAACGGGGCAGATGAAACGCGCCCGCTGGAGGTCATCGTGCTTGTCACCTTTAGTGTTTCCTTTATCCCCTTCCCAGGCAGGATTATCAGAAAGCTTCAGCTCTGTCACATTCTGGGAAAAACCATTAATATTTTAACAATTCATTTGATAAACAGATCATCCTTTGCCTTAACCACGTAAGTCAACAAATTGTTATTCCAGCCCTTCCCATCAAAACCTCTCCCTCACAGTTACTTTCCTCTGGTCCATAAGAAACATGGATATAATATTAAACCATATATAGAAAACAGAAAACAAGGCCGGGTGTGGTGGCTCATGCCTGTAATCCCAGCACTTTGGGAGGCCGAGGCAGGCGGATCACCTGAGGTCAGGAGTTCAAGACCAGCCTGACCAACATGGAGAAACCCCGTCTCTACTAAAAATACAAAATTAGCTGGGTGTGGTGGAACATGCCTGTAATCCCAGCTACTCGGGAGGCTGAGGCAGGAGAATCGCTTGAACCCGGGAGGAGGAGGTTGCAGTGAGCTGAGATCGTGCCACTGCACTCCAGCCTGGACAACAAGAGCAAAACTCCGTCTCAAAAAAAAAAAAAAGAAAACAGAAAACAAGATTTTTTTCAATTCACTGACTAGCAAGTAAATCAGTTATTTCTACTATCCACATCTTTTTAACTTAAGGAAAAGTACCCTCTTACATAAAAAATTACTCCACTAACAGAAAGCTCTGCATGAGTTCCACCCAGAAGGGAATGCTTTCTCCCTGTGATGAATCCTCTCTGAGGCTGCTTCATGTTACTGACTATCTACATTTATTTAATCGTTGAAAAAAGCAAAAACAAAAAAATATATATATAAAATCATTGAATAGACAGTAAAATCTGAGGCCACGGTCTAACGAGCTAAGGCAGAATATTAGCCAGAAAATACTGTCACACTCCAAGACACAGCTATTCAGGTTTTCAAGAATTCCCAACTTTATAAGGAATTTGATACAGTAACTCTACTTTTGCATTCGAGGCATTTCTTCATATTTAATGAGACCATTTTGACTTCAATACTCTAGAGAGCAGGTGAGTGTCTTGAAAGGCAAATCACCATTCATACGATCAGCTTCCTGGTCGAGAATGAGCACGTCTCACTGAGTTCTCTGCTCCGAGTATTTGTGGACTATCAATTGACGGTAATGACAATCTTATGTATTAGCATTGTTTTATTTGTATGCTTTTTTTCTTTACTGTTCTAATTTCTTGGAGTTTTTTTCCATTAAATATTCAACCACATAAAACTGAATATTACAAGTATTTTAAGTATAGAACTGTATGAATTAATTTCAATAACTGTTTTTTTTTCTCATCAGATGGGTAATGTGCTGATGTCACAACAAGGCTTGAGAGAGGCACATCTTACATGTGCACATGGAAACCCAATCATAGCATTATGAACTACTAAAGAATCGTTTATCACATTTTTGATGTAAGATGATTCATACTACCACAGGTTTTTCAGGAATAAATTCTCTTCCACAAGGTAAAAGACCACTAAAATCAGAATAATTTCTAGAGCACTATCATTAGCTACATTTCAGAATTATGAATTTGCCTGAAATGAACATATCCTATAATCAACCCCAAGCATTTGAACAAAAAGCCTAATAATACGAAAGAAAGAAAGAAAAAGAAGGCAAAACCTAGAGCCTTAGACTGGGAGTTAGGGGATCTGGTTCTGGTTTAAGTACTTCGCTAGCCATGGGGCCTCAAGTGAGTCATTTACAGTGAGATGAAGGGTTTGACTAGCCTGATGGTTCTCAAATTCTTCATTACCTTTCCAAGTTTTTTTCCCCACTGACCATATTTAAAAAGTTGTGTCCTCTCAAGAAATTTCCCTTATTAAAAAAACTTGTTTTTTCAACTTTTATGAAAGAACTTTAACTGCCAATCAGAACCTCTAATCACCAGATGGTAGCCACGTGATTTAACAGTGATCCATAAAATTATCTAATTCACAAAAGTATCTTCCAAATCCAAAATCCAAGTAGGTGAATCTTAATTACAAAAATAATGCCTCCTAACATTAATAGAGAACATCAAAATTTTCAAAGCACAACACACAGGTGAAATTACAACAGATTTATAATGTAGGAAGTATGCATGGTGGAACTCGTGGCTTGAGATTTAAGTGACCTCTCAAGATCATACCTGTATTAGATGGCCATGTGGGAATGGAATCCCAAATTTCTGAGTTCAGTCTTTAAGGCGTATAAATTCTATAAAATAAACCTCAGCCACTGTTCAGACCCTCACAGCACTTCAGAATCACTCGTGTTACCTTAATGCTTTTAATGTGAGATGCTGCCTTCCCAAGAGCCTTTTCTGCAGATTTGTCCAAGAGAAATTCAATGACGGCATCTTTGTTATAAAGTCTGCAATAGTAAGTATTAGAATATTATGTCAACAAGCGACTTTCAAATAACCAAAGAAGGAAGAATAAACTGAACACAATCCAAAAGTCGTTTACATTTGATAAGAGAAATACCCTGAATTATTAAAAAGTAAATTTAACCCTGTTTCAACTATTTCCAGAGCATACAAAGAAGGAAATTATTTATTTATTTATTTGAGAGAGAGTTTCACTCTTGTCACCCCGGCTGGAGTGCAATGGTGCAATCTCAGCTCACTGCAACCTCCGCCTCCCGGATTCAAGCAATTCTCCTGCCTCAGCCTCCCGAGCAGCTGGGATTACAGGCGCCTGCCACCATGCCTGGCTAATTTTCATATTTTTAGTAGAGACAGGGTTTCACCATATTGGCCAGGCTGGTCTCAAACTCCTGACCTCAGGTGATCCACCCACCTCAGCCTCCCAAAGTGCTGGGATCACAGGCATGAGCCAATGGGTCCAGCCAGAAATTAGTTTAAATCAAAGGTGGCAAACTGGCAGTCAGAAGGCTGAATGTAACCTGAACAAGGCTTTTTTTAATTGGGAAATTTAACGTATAAGTACGTATTTCTTCTTTTTTTAAAAAAATTAAAACCAGAAGGTGTGGAATCACTAGGCCAACACCATTGAGCTGTAAAAACTGGCTGGAACTGAGTGGCAGCTCCCGCTTTGGACAGCACATGGACCCTCCAGTATTCTCCATTCCCTGCCATTCTCTCCTGTTCCTCACATGGCTCCTTCATGTGTTTATGCTTATAATTTAGCTTCTATTGGCCCCTGAGTTTGCTATTTTTTTTGCACAGGCTGGGGTGCAGTGGTGGAATTATAGCTTACTACAGCTTCAACCTCCCAGACTCACAGGATCCTCCTGCCTCAGCCTCCTGAACAGCTGGGACTACAGGATCATGCCAGCCACCAGGTGCCTGGCTAATTTAATTTTTTTGTAGAGGTGGGGTTTCACCACATTGCCCAGACTGGTCTTGAACTCCTAGACTTAAGTGACCCTTCCTCCTCAGCCTCCCAAAGTGGTGGGATTACAGGTGTGAGCCACTGCGCTCAGCCCAGCCCCTCAGTTTTCAAACCATGGATTAAATAAACCAAACTGACTAGAAGAGTACAGAACTATGTTCAGAGACAGGGAACGACAGCCTATGCCTCACAAATTTGCTTGGGATAATCCACGCTTGATGAATGGAAAACTGCATTTACACATCAAAATTCTCAAAATCACTTAACAAACTCATCTTGATTAAGTGTAAAAACCATACCTGCCAAGTTCACAGGCAACTATTGGTCGTCTTAATATTTCCTGACTTAGAGTACAATAGTTCCATTGGGCCACTAATTCAGCATCTTTGTCGACCTAATAAAAAACAAAAAATTCAATTAATTTTCAACTCTGAAAGACACATGGTTCACAATTCTACATATAAAAGTATATTCAGTAATACCGCACTGTAATGATTTTTGTTTTTTAAATCAAAGATAATGACATAGGAAGTTGGGTTTTTGGTTTGTTGTTTGTTTGTTTTTGAGACGGGGTCTCACTCTGTTGCCCAGGCTGGAGTGTAGTGGCGCAATCTTCACTCACTGCAACCTCCACCTCCTGGACTGAAGCAAACCTTCCACCTCAGCCTCTGGAGTAGCTGGGACTATGGGTGCACACCACCAGGGCTGGCTAATTTTTGTATTTTTTGTAGAGACGTGGTTTTGCCATGCTGCCCCCAAACTCCTGGACTCAAATGATCCGCCCATCTCAGCCACCCAAACTGCTGGTATTGAAAGCATGAGCAACTGTGCCTGGCTGAAGTCAGGATTTTAAAAGTCACAAGTAATTAATACTACATCAAATAAACGCCCATCTAAATATGACATGTACAAAGAAAAAGAAGATTATATAAAATTATTAAACTGTTTATGCAAGCCACATACAAATATTAACATCTGAATCTTAATAATAACTTAGGGAGGCCATACAAAAGAGAAAAAAAAAAGTGTGTTAGATTAATTTCTAACAATGGGAAAGCCTGCTAAGTTGCGGCAGAATTTAAAGACTTAAGAACTGAGAAGACAAGCATTTTTTTTTTAAAGTTCAGAACAAAGACTACATAATTCTTTATAAAATGTTCAATTTAACAGAAATAAGTGTTTTGGGGCTTATTCACTAAGGGATACATCAAACTTTATCCCCAGTATGAAAATCCAGACATAAGACCCTCCCTGGCCCTCGAATGACATTTTCACATACATCATATTCCATGTCCCACTCCTTCCCGTTCTTGTTTTTTCCTTCACTGTGTAGACTGCACCACTCTTTCCCATTCTTCAAATGCCAAATCTGAATAATTTAACAGGACAGCACATTTGGAAGAAAATAGGAAGAGAAAAGAAAAAAAGAAGACAAAAACAATCCTGCTGAATTTATTTTATTAATTTATTTTTTGAGACAGGGTCTTGCTCTGTTGCCCAGACTGGGCTGCAGTGGCACAATCACAGCTCACTGCAGCCTCAATTCTCCTGGGCTCAAGCAATCCTCCCCCTTAGCCTCCCAAGTAGCTAGGACTACAAGCAAGCGCCAATTCCCAGCTAATTTTATTTTATTTTTGTTAAGAGGTCTCCCTGTGTTGCCCAGGCTGTTCTCCAACTGCTGAGCTCAAGTGATTCTCCTGCCTCGATCTCCCAAAGGGCTGAGTTTACAGGCGTAAGCCAACACACCTGGCCCTCTGAATTTAATTTTTAAAGTAAAAACTGCTTAAGTGCTTACTGTGTGCCAGGCACTGTGCTAAGCAGTTTCCATAACTTTTTAATCCTCAGAAAAACTCTATGAGTTAGTATTTTTACTTTTGAAGATGAGGAAAGTGAGGCACCAAGAGATTAGGTTATATTCAAAAAGCACCTCAGAGAGTTGGGGACAGGGAGAAAAGTGACAAATCACTCCTTATCCAGGGCTTTGAAAATTGTTTCCCCCGAAAAAGCAGTAAAAAATGTGTTTACCAGGGTCTCTCTTCTTTCCTAGGGTCTTTCTTCTTTTAAGTTTTTACATATCTGTACTGGAAAGACAAGTACAAGTGGTTTTGTTTTGTTTTGTTTTTTTTTGAGACGGAGTCTTGCTCTGTCGCCCAGGCTGGAGTGCAGTGGCGCTATCTTGGCTCACTGCAAGCTCTGCCTCCTGGGTTCACGCCATTCTCCTGCCTCAGCCTCCCGAGTAGCTGGGACTACAGGCACCTGCCACCATGCCCGGCAACTTTTTTGTATTTTTAGTGGAGACAGGGTTTCACTGTGTTAGCCAGGATGGTCTCGATCTCCTGACCTCATGATCCGCCTGCTTCAGCCTCCCAAAGTGCTGGGATTACAGGCGTGAGCCACCGCGCCTGGCCAGACAAGTGTTTTTTCTATACTTTCACTCACAACACTCAATACTTCCAGAACACTTCGGACAAAATGTATGGGATTTTCCCCACACCAACCAATTCTCTGATAGCAGCCAGGTGTCTTACAATTAAACTCAATTCTGATACCACCTATTTGGATATGGCCTCAGATCCCAAAGGTTAAGGGCTCAGTCCCATAATACTGTCCCTACCCCGACTTTAGATGCCAATCACAAGTTCAAGTTGTCACCTGCACTTCTGACTGTCTATAAATCAAAGGCTACCACGATCCCCCCGCCCAGTTTGATGATTTGCTAGTGTCTCACAGATATGGGGAAAGAGTTTAGTTACCATTGCTGATTTATTACAAATACATTTTAAAGGATACAAATAAATAGCCAGATAAAGAAGTAATCTGGAAGGGTCCCAAGTGCAGGGCTGTCCTCATGGAGTTGGGGTAACTCTCCTGGCATGTGGATGTTGTCGGCAACCCAGAAAATCTCCAAACCCTCAACTTCAGGGATCTTTATGGAGACCCCACCACGTAGGCATGATGGATTATTAACTCCATGTCCAATTCCTCTTCTCCTCCCTGAAGGATGGGGGTGAGGTGGGGCTGAAAGTTCCAGGCTTCTAATCTTGGCTTGGTGTTTCTGGTGACCAGGCCCCATCCAGGAGCCCACCAATAATTGCCTTATTAGAACAAAAGATGATCCCGTCACCCAGGAAATTACAAGGAATTTAGGTGCTCTGCGTTAGGAACCAGGGCAGATTTCACAATATTGATCCGAAATGTAAGCTCCACCAGGGCTAGACTCTGCCTTGTTCACTGCTATATCCCTGGGGCCTACAACAATGTATATATGGTAACCACTTATTAAGCATTTGTTGTGTGAATAGTTATAATAAAAATCCATCCTGCCTAGGCATTCTGGCTTTTTTGAATCGCTCTTCCTTCTTTTCTACCCTCTTCCGACACCTGTTTCTTGTCAAGCCTTTCATTAAGCTACTCCTTTTCAGCCCTGGGCACAAGAAAACAAAACTGAGCTAAACACTTTTTTGGTGAAAGCCAAAAAACCACTCATGAATGCTAATTATCCAGCAT
Organism: Homo sapiens; assembly: GCF_000001405.40. Lineage (NCBI taxonomy): Eukaryota > Metazoa > Chordata > Mammalia > Primates > Hominidae > Homo > Homo sapiens. The sequence continues at coordinate 56,470,187 of NC_000020.11, read as the reverse complement.
TCGCCTGTTTACATGTACGTATGATCAGAGGGTACACTTCATCCTCTTGGGTATTCATTCATTCCCATATTCACACATACTTATTAGGTGTCTATTATGTGGCTGACACATGGTAGGGGTTACAGAGGTAAGACACACAAGGTTCCTGTCTACGTGGGAAAGAGACAATAAACAACACAGTGGTAGGCACTGTTAAGAAGAGAAGAGAGAATATTGGAAGTGAGGCACATTTCAGTTACAGTGGACAGATGACATTTGAGTAAAAAACTGAATGAAGTAAAGAAACTCATCATGTGACAATCTCAGTGAAGAGTATTTCAGATTGATGAACTCACACTCCAGGTTGAAGAACAAGAGGCCTGTTTAGCTAGAACAGTATGAAAGAGGTGGAGAGGGGCAGAAGATGAGGTCAGAAACATAGGCAAGGTCTGCTCAAGGGTCTGACGAGATTTTATTCTTAATGTGATGGGAAGCCACTGGAATGCTTCAAATACAATAGTGACTTAAGGGGTTTACCTTTTAAACAAGCTCTCCAGCTCCTGAATCAGAATACATGAAGTCTCCACGTGTGCTTTACAAATATTTTTGTAAAGAAGTCTCTACTAGGTGCTTTACAAATATTTTATCATTAAAAAGTAATTACTTGTGCTAACTTTGAAATCCCAAATAAGTGGATGGGAATCCTGGCTTCACTACCTACCAGCTGTGTGATCTTAGTCACCTTAATATCCCTGGACTCAATGTCCCCGTCAGTAGCAAAGAAATTATTATAATTTCCTCGATTACTTGTGAGATCAGGGATTATTCACTCATTTGTTTATTCGAAATATTTAGTGTGCCAGGAACCATGCTAGTTGCAGAGAAAAAAAGGGTACAGCCTCTGCTATCAGGAACTTACCGTCTAGCGGGGAAGACTTGATACAAATCAACCACGTACAGCCGTGTGCAGGCTAAGACAGTTTATAAAAGGATGTGGTAAGGGAACAGTTTGGGAAGGCTTCTCTGAGCAAATGAAGTTAGTGTATACAAAACTCAGTATACACTAGGTATTTGTATTATTGCTACTAGTCGCAGGTAGGGTTCAAATCCTGGCTCTGCCATTTACTAGCTTTGCAAATTTCTCCTTTTGAGCCTCAACTTCCATGTCTGAAAATGAGGACAACAGTATGTAGCTATAGGGCTATTGTGATAATTACATGAGATACCCCCTGTTAAGATTACTGTCCAGTGAATGGCAATAGTCAGCACCCATTGAATGTCCACTCTTAATACTGTTGTTAATTTTGAGTCCTCTGAATGGAATAAAAGACCGCAGCCAGGTCTGGAACTCCGCTGGCTCCCCCTTCTTACTTCCTCTCGTTTTCTGGGGTCGTCAAATTCCCACCACCCCCGGTCGCCAAGAGCCGGCCCACATCACTGACCTTCTCAACCTTCTTCGGCCCCTTCACCAGTTCATGCCTCTTGGGGATTGTTCCCCCGTCGCAACCCATCGCAGGACGGGAGTCAGAGCCAGCAGCAAACCCCCAAAGCTGTCACTTCCGGGATTTCCGGCGAAATCCGCAGCCACTTCCGGCGCACCGCCGTGACGCAGCACGCTGGTCGTGGCGTAGCGGGGCGGGGCGGGGCGGCACGCTAGGCGCGGCGTAGCGGGGCAGGGCGAGGCCGTTACCAAGTGCCGGTTGTCATGGAGAGCGTCGCTTGGAGGCTGGGCGTGGGCGGGTTTCCTCGTTCCCGTGAGACCCTGGGTTTCTGCTGCACAATCGGAATCACTCGCCCACGCTCCGGGAGGGCAGCGAGGGCGTGGGCGGCCCGTGCGCATCCACCGCTCTTTGACCCTATCCCACGCCAGCTTGTGTGGCTGCGGAGCGGGCACATCCCTGGACTGAGAGCGCCTTGAGGAAAAGGGCCGCCCTCCTGTTTCTGCGATTAAGGATGCCTATGAACGGAATCTGCTGTATCAATGGACATTTTTGTGTTTAAAAGGAGAACGCATCTTTCTTGAGCGCCAACTGTGACTCAAGCACTCACAACAAATCTTGTGAAGTGATGTTACAACAGATTCTAGGAAGTAAGACCCTCCCTTAAGGCCTGGAACTTTCTGGTGTTGCCATGCATATTGTAGATGGCATGTGTGTGAAATTTTGCATACAGTTTGTGCGTGTGTGTATTTCATTCACAGTTTCCTGAAGCCCAGGCTAAAAAAATTTTATTAACAATCAAGTATCATTAATAGACGATATAATAGTTCTTATAAAATATACACTGATGTTGCCATGCCCGTTCCAAGAGTCAGGCTGTATTTTATCTATAAGAACACAAATCCCTTGCTAAAAATTCATGATTGTCTGTCTGCTCTTAGGCGATTGTCTATCTCTCTGTTTGTTCCTTTAATTATTATAAATATTATGGGAAAGTGCCTATAATCCCAGCACTTTGGGAGGCCGAGACGGGAGGAGCACCTGAGCCCAGGAGTTCCAGGTCAGCCTGGACAACATGGTGAGACACCATCTTGAAAGAAAAAGAAAAATTAGCCAGGCGTTGTGGTAAGCTTTTGTAGTCCTAGCGGCTCCGGAGGCTGAGGGGGTAGGAAGGATTGCCTGAGCCCAGGAATTCAAGGTTGCAGTGAGCTTATGATTATGCCACTGCACTCCAGCCTAGGCAACAGAGCAAGACTCTGTCATTAATATGTATGTATGTATGTATGTATGTATTTGTACATATATATGATGGGAAAATTTCTCCATTGCCAAGAAGGCAGATCTTTATGATTGGATATTACCCTATTGACCTACGTGAAACATAAAAACGCTGAAAATATTTTTTACTTGGGAAGAGTTGCCCAGAAAATACGTGGATGTGGAAACTTCAAGGGCTATATGTAAGCTTGGGGTACTTGTTACTGTGATTAATGAGAATTTTAAAAAATAATCCCTTTAATTAGTTGGTCTCTGATTGATTTATGATTTATTTCTATGCTAACCACAATAACTGTAAGCTCTATGAGGGTAGGGACTTCATTTTGTTTTGTTTTGTTTTAGACAGAGTCTCGATCTGTTGCCCAGACTGGAGTGCAGTGATGTGATCTCGGCTCACTGCAACCTCAACCTCCCAGGATCAAAGCGATTCTCCTGCTTCAGCCTCCCCAGTCGCTGAGATTACAGGCGCCCGCCACCATGCTGGGCTAATTTTTGTATTTTTAGTAGAGACGGGGCTTCACCGTGATGGCCAGGCTGGTCTCAAACTCCTGATCTCAGGTGATCCACCTGCCTCGGCCTCCCAAAGTGCTGGGATTACAGCCGTGAGCCACCAAGCCCGGCCAGGACTTTTATTCCACATTGTATCATCAGTGCCTAGAAGAGTCTTTGGCACACTCAATATATGAGTACATTTCCTCAGTAAACCAAAAGAAAGTACAGATTCATTGAGAAAGGGGTGAAAAGCCTAGTTTTGGCAGATACTAAAACTGGTTAGTACTATTAGAATTCCATTTACTGGTGAGGAAACAGAAGCGTGGAAAGATCAAATGACTCCTTCAAGGTCACATAGGCAGTGAGAGACCCGGGAATGAGTGCTAGGATTAGTTCTTTCTCACAGCAAAGGAAAGAAAGTCAAATACAGAAGAGCAGAAACACCAGCATCTTTAGAAAGACTCAAACCAGTGTTCTTTTCTCATTTGGGGAAGAAAAAACAAAAATAGCGGCTCTTTATTAAGCCATGACCATGCGTGCACTGAGAGATTTGTAGGCATTTTTTCACTTTGGGCTCACAATAACCTTAAGAGTTAGAAGGTATAATCCCTCTTGTTTTACAAATGAAAACCCCAAGACTCAGATGTGCAAGTTGTCTTTGTTCAGAGTCTCATAGCTGCTGAGTAAAAGGAGTATAAGATGAGGGGCTGTCTCCGATGAGGCCCGTCTGACTTAACTGCTTCCCCAAATGCTGCTGATAAAACCCAGCAGTACCGGCTGTGCTGGTGTTCTAGCTCAGGCAGCTGGACTTTTTTCTCTTCCTCATTGGTTTCCTCTTTTAGAATATTGGTCTCTAGGCTACTCTGTGCCTCAGACTATACGCAGCTAGAACTTTTGTGAGGTTTATTATCATTGGTAGCAAATATGTGTTGAGAGCTGGCTGCCATGTCAGGTGCTGTGTTCAGCGCTTTATTGGACTTGAGCCGTTTTATTCTCCCGGCTCTACTGGGAAGCAGATGTCATCATTGTCTGCTTCTTCTTCCACTGCCTTGTTGAATGAACTAATAAAGGTTATTCCCTTACAAGCATCTTCGGAGACAACTTTGTCCTAGCCAAGCCATGGATTTTTGGGGAAGCAGAGGAATGAAATGATAAAAAGGAAAATCATTACCCTCTAGTAAAACCAGTATTTCTTAACCTTTTGGGAGTCATTGGACCTGTTTGAGAATTTGATGAAAACTTTGAACTAAATCTCCAGAAAAGTATTGATTAGCACATAACGACATTTCACATAGCGTATACATGTTTGTATTTTACTCACAGCCTTCTGAACCTCAGGCTAAGAACCAGTACTTTAAATGCTGTTATAGTAAGTCCTTACAGTAGGTCTCAAATATTTCAGACTTCTTTTTTTTATATAATTTTTTTATTTTTGAGATGGAGCCTCACCCTGTTGCCCAGGCTAGAGTGCAGTGGTGCAATCTGGGCTCACTGCAACCTCCATCTCCCATGTTCAAGCGATTCTCCTGCCTCAGCCTCCTGAGTAGCTGCAATTACAGGCACATGCCACCATGCCCGGCTAAGTTTTTGTATTTTTAATAGAGATGGGGTTTCACCATGTTGGTCAGGCTGGTCTCGAACTCCTCACCTCATGGTCCGCCCTCCTTGGCCTCCCAAAGTGGTGGGATTACAGGCGCACACCACCACGCCCAGGTAATTTTTTGTATTTTTAGTAGAGACGGCGTTTCACCATGTTGGCCAGGCTGGTCTCGAACTCCTGACCTTGTGATCCACCCGCCTTGGCCTCCCAAAGTGCTGGGATTTCAGGCGTGAGCCACTGCCCCCGGCCCATTTCAGACTTCTGAGCCATGGCAGGTTTGATTTCCTGGTAGCTCTGCTCATATGCTCTTCCGTAGCTGCAGCTTACCATAACTCATTTTAAGAGTTGGCATTAAACATTTTTTAAACTGTCTGCTATGGTTTGAGTGTGTCCCCCAAATTTCATGTGTTGGAAATCTAATCCCAATGCAACAGTGTTGGGAGCTGGGGCCTAATAAGAGGTGATTAGGTCATGAGGGCTCTGCTCTCATGACTGGATTCATGTTGTTATCTTGGGAGTGAGTTAGTGATCGAGACAGTGGACTTGTTATAACATTGAGTTCGGCCCTCTCTTGCTCTCTTGTCCTTCCACCTTCCACCTTGGGATGATGCAGCACAAAAGCCCTTGCCAGATGCAGGCCCCTTGACCTTGGAGTTCCCAGCCTCCAGAACTGCAAGAAATAAATCTGTTCTTATTCTGTTAATGCTGCAAAAAATGGACTAAGACAGTAGATATGAAAAATGTTTGAAGAACTTTGCAACCATCCTTTAAGGTCATACACAGGAAGGTGTCCCAAAGAAGGTTAAAACAAAGTAGAAAACTGAGGCAAGTCCTGAGATAATTCAAGACAAAAATTACTTTTAATTTGCAGTTTTAGGGAAATATTCAAAATATTCTGGCAATATACAAAGCTTTGAATGAACTGGCCCCTGGCCACCCCTCCCAGCTAATGTTGGCCACTGTTCCTTTCCTTATTAGGTTCCAGCCACACTGGCCACCCTCTTCTCCTACCTCTGTGCACATGTCTTGCTGATCCTTCTCCAGGGACGCGCTTTCTCTTCATGTGTTCCCAGCTGGCCCCCTCAAGGGATCCAGCCCTCTGCTCCTGGGACCCTTCCTTGGAGCCATCTTCCCTGACCTCTCCATCCAAAATAGCACTGCTCTGCCATCACATTACCCCATCTTGCTTTATTTTCTTCTTTGCATTTATCACGCAAATATCATGTTATAAATATAAATTTGGACATTTTGTTCACCATGGAGTTTTTTGCATTGATTTTTATTTCTTAAAAATAATTGCATCAACATATTATTTATCTTGATACACAGTGTTTTGGGCACCGCCTTATAGTTAGCATTCCATAAGAGCTCCTCTCCCACCTCCTGCCTGGTTTTTCATCTCCCTCGACTGGAAAGAAAGCGCCATGCTCCAGAGCTTCTGTTCTGTTTCCTGCAGCATCTCTAGTGATCAGCAAAGGCCTGAACAAGTAGGAGCTGCTCAATGACTATTTGAGAAATGAATGAACGAAAGGAAAAGGGCATCAGCAAGTGGCTTTGATTCACCTCCTTATAAGTGCACATACAAATGGGCAACTTTCAGAGAACTGGGGCGCATACATAGGGAAAACATAACATTTTTAAAAAGATGTTTATAAAAAACATAGTTGCCACCAAACCACAAACACAACTCCCCACAACTTGTCAAACTGGAGGATCGCTAACATGGGCTCTTCACCACTTCCAGCCTCCTGATGAAATTTGACTTAGTTGAGGTCAAGTTGCTACCACCACACCACGCACCATTTCCTCTTCCTTCCTTGGGAGGAAACCATACAGAATTCTAGGCATTAAGCAAAAATACTCAGCACAAAGTTACCAAAAGCTAAAAAATTGTGTTTAATTTTATTTTAAAGTTTTTTTCAGAGGTAATCATCTTATTAATCAGTGGAAATTCACCCTGGAATCACTGTTTCAAAAAAAGGAAGGAAACACATTTAGCTAGCAGCAGCATTTTTCATTATTTTACACCCAGTGGTTTTGTACTTTGTTGACAAAGGTCTTCAATTTGGACTCATCTCAAAAAAAAAAAAAAAAAAGGACTTTTCGTTACCTATTAGAACACCATGAAAGACTCACTTATGAACGACTAAGTTAAAGAATATAAAGCATTAGAACAGTGCTTTAGTAGCAATGTAGTAATAATTTAATAAATATATGCCACTGTTATTAAGCGTAAAACATAATTTTATCCACTGCAATACAAATTTATTGTTGGCCTCCTCACAATAATCCCTCCCCTTTTTAATTTTCTGTTTTTTGAGATGAAGTCGTACTCTGTCATCCAGATTGGAGTGTAGTGGTGTAATCATGGCTCACTCACTGCAGCCTCGAATTCCTGAGCTCAAGAGATCCTCCCACTGTAGCCTCCTGAGTAGCTGAGACTACAGGTGTGTACTATCAGGCACAGCTAATTTTTTTGTATTTTTTGTAGCGACAGCATCTTGCTTTGTTGCCCAGGCTGCTCTCAAACTCCTGGGCTCATGCAACCCTCCTGCCTTAGCCTCCCGAAGTGCTGGGATTTCAGGCATGAGCCACCAAGCCTGGCCTAATCCCTCCTTCTTCCAAGAATATTCCTGACTTTTATTAGGGGATCCTCTCGGGACACAGTTCTCCATAGGTCTCTTGCCTTTCTGCACATATTCAGAGCAGAGGCACCAATGGCATTTTGTTGTGAACCATCTTTTAAAGGATGTTGTTTAACCATCTTCCAACAGCCTTGGAATATAGAGATAGTGTCTCCCTCCAGAGCAGAGGGCAGGTTTGTTTGGTATGCAGTATATTAAAAATGAGGGCTAGGCACGATGGCTCACACCTGTAACCTCAGCAGTTTTGCAGGCTGAGGCAAGAGGATCACTTGAGCCCAGGAGTTTGAGGCTGCAGTGAGCTATGTTTGCACCACTGTATTCCAGCCTGAGTGACAGAGCGAGACCCTATCCGAATATATATATATATATCTCTCACATATATAACATCTATATTACATATCTAACATCTATATTGCATAGCTATAACATATATTACATATATAAATATATAGTAAAGATGATGTCTCCCTCTGAGGCCAAGCCTTGTCAGATTTGCTCCGAGCCCGTTATAAAAAATTGGGGATTCCTATGCTAAGGTTCCTTGTCTTTGACACAAACCTATGTGTTCAGCATCCACCTGAGCCCACCACTGCATCACCCCCTGGGACTTGGAGGACATGGGAAATGATGTGAAGGTGAAGCCAAGTTGCTTGCAATGCCAGGAGAAAGAGTCCTCTGTCTCCATGCACAAAAGGATGAACACTGCAGGCCTGACAAATATCCTTATGAAGGCCTGCCTGCAAGGTTGACCTTCGGTTGGTGCATGGAAACTTGGATTTTGGGAGGGTTCCCACCATTGCCAGAATTTATAAGAATGGCTCATTGTGCCTAAACTGTTTATACAAACAACGTGATTCATACTGAACACCTGCTTTCCTTCTGGGAGTCTGGAAATTTGGTTCATGCCAGACAGAGGCTTCCCACCTGATCAGCCCCCAGTAAAACCCTGGCTGCTGAGGCTCTCATGAGCTTTCTTGGTTGACAACATTTCACACATGTTGGCACAAGTGTTGCTGGGGTGAATTAAGCGTGTCCTGTGTGATTCCACTGGGGGAAAACTCTTGGAAGCTTGTGCCTGGTCTCCCCTAGATTTCACCCCGGGTACCTCTTCCCCTTGCTGATCTCACTTTGCATCTGTTCAATGTAGTAAGTCACAGCTGTGAATATGACTGTATTCTGAGTCCTGTGAATTTTCCTAGTGACTCATTGGACCTGGAGGTGGTCTTGGGGACCACTGACATAGTCTCTGATCCCAGAATCTTAGATCTTCTGTCTGCATCCATGAAATGGTGACAGGTTAACTTGTTAATTTCAAAGATGAAACCTCAGGCCCATCACAGTGCTTGAAAGAGCAATCCCGTTACCTCTCAGGACCCATGGGAGAGTGAGTGTGGGGTGGGTAGGAATTCCAGATCTAAATTAACTTGGGTGTTCCATGCCCTGCTTATCATGGAGCTTTCAGGAGCAGCACCTGATCTAAGCCAGTCCAAGCCGAATGAAGTCCTTTTCTTCTCCTCTGGCCAAGAATCAAGAAGAGTGTAACCTGGGAAAACCACCTTGCAATCATGGGGGTTAACCCAGAGCAAGTGGGACCGAGAAACTGGTCCTGGATCACACTGTTGGAGCCCCTGAAACCAGCCAGCCTTGCGGCTAGTTTGCCTCTGGATGATTTTAAGACATATGAGTTAATAAATTTCCTTTACTGCTTAAGACAGATTGGGTATGATTTTCTATCCCTTGTAAGAGAAGTCCTAACTGATGCAGATCATGGCTGTTCAAAGAATAGGCCCCCTGGAGGGCCTCTGTCCAGTTGTAGAGAACCAAGCCTCACAAAGATGGGATCCTTTTTTTAAGGACCCTGAGACTAACTTAATAAAAATAACCAGCCTCCAGCAGTCAACATTTTACAAGTGCCTACCAAGGAAAGAGTAGCAGATAGGAGTTGGACTTGGTATCATTTCAGGTGACTTACAGCCTGGAGATGCTCTTCCAAGCTGTAGAGGTGTTTATGCATTTAGGAGGCCCAGACCATCACTTAAAATGAAGTGATGATGTAACCATGGCAACGTGAGCTGAGGACTCAGCTACAAGGAGAGGAAGAGGAGGTGGTTTGAGTTGAGGGGAGCTCTGTGCCACTTTCATATCTGTGCCCAATGATGGGCATCCTGTCCACACCACGCCTTCCTGTCTGCACCACCACAGGTGATGGCTTTGTTTTCCAGCACCAATCCGGTGCCTAAGAGCAGGGCCTCTACTCCATCTCTCTGCAGACTTCAGGGAGAAGCACTGGAGTGACAAAAGTAAACATCGGAGGCTTCACTTGGGTGACACAGATCAAAGACTTTTCCAAAAAAAGAATGCTGCAAATGATGTTTAAAGTCATGATTATATTTAATATTATTAGGGTGGTGCAAAAGCAATTGTGGTTTTTGCCATTACTGTCTACGGCAAAAACCGCAATTACTTTTGCACCAACCAATATAAATTGTAACAGATTTGAGACAAAATATAAAATTTTTCAAATTGAGCAGAATTTATCAACCCAGAATCTATAATGTATGAAATAAATTAATAGAGAACCCAACAGATCATGTTATGTTGTAAATATAACATCTATCTTTAGGTTAAAGTAACATAGCAAAAATATATATTTATGGGTGCAAGACACATACATAATTTGTACCAATCTCACAGAACTAATTCAATTCAAAACAACAAAAAACTTACTCTATTATCTAATGGATGCAATAAAAATTAACCATTTGAAGATAAGTTCTCTTGCACTTCCCCTACTTACGTTTTTCCTGGCACCTGCTATACTGTGTATGTATTTCTTCACCGCTTTACTGCCTGACTCCCCTACTAGATCATAAGTTCCAAGAGGGCAAGCCCTCTGAAACACTGCTATGTCTCCAGCACCTAGAACTTGGCATGTAGTAGGCATCCAATACATAAGTGTTAAATGAGTGAATTTAAAACACGTACATGCCAGGAATGGTGGCTCAGGCCTGTAATCCCAGCACTTTGGGAGGCCGAGGCGGGGGATGGCCTGAGGTCAGGAGTTCCAGACCAGCCTGGCTAATATGGTGAAACCCCGACTCTACTAAAAATACAAAAATTAGCTCTTCCTTTCTCTGCCATTGTGGTGTGTGCTTGACTCTGCTTCTTGCCATGTCTTCTCATAAGACTTCCAGGATTAAGTGATTCCTGACCGAGAAATTAAAACAAAATCGCCCCACTCCCCAGTGGATTCAGATGAAAACTGGTAATAAAATCAGGTACAACTCCAAAAGGAGACATTGAAGAAGAACCAAGCTAGCCCTATAAGGAATTGCACATGAGAGGGCACACATATTTATGCTGTCTGAAGGTCACAGTCATGTTACCACATCAAGCTGAAAATGTCACCGCTCTCTGGAGAATTGTACATGTTTTATTGGGAATATATTTTTTCTTTCTGAATCTGTTATGAATGCATTGGTTGGCTGGGTTCAGTAATAAATATGTGAGACCTTTCATTAAAAAAAAATACAAAAATTAGCTGGGCATGGTGGCGCACACCTGTAGTACCAGCTACTCTGGAGGCTGAGGCGGGAGAATTGCTTCAACCCAGAAGGCGGAGGTTGCAGTGAGCTGAGATCGCGCCACTGCACTCCAGCCTGTGTGACAGAGTGAGACTTTGTCTCAAAAAACAAACAAAACATGCACACATTTAATCAATATAAAATATTATTTCTGCGAAGTCACTTCAAGCTGATACTGCATACTCCATATATGCTAAACTTCACAAGGTCTTTACCTCATACCTGACTCTCTTTCCTGACCCCCTGCGGGGTAAGTCAATGCCCTGGGGTTGCTTAGCCACTTGGTACTACCAGCTTTGGGCACCAGGTCTGTTTCAGCTCATTGGTGTATGCCCCGGCTGGCTTTTCCCATAGGGCAGAGTTGCACAAGTTGTGGGTGTGAAGCTGAGAGGTGAGCAGAGGAGGAAGGGAGGTAGACAGTCCTCATCCCAGTGTCCCTCTGAACTGCCGCGTGTGTTGCTCCAGCTTCTCAGCCTCCGCCTGGAGGTGCCCCAGCGCGGCAGGGCTGGGGTACGTGAGCACGGCATTCTTAGTGGCCAGCGCTACGTCCTTGAGCAGGCTGCAGAGGTGACTGCTGCCACGGAGGATCTCGTTGCGCACGTCCCTCTCCTGGGTCTCCATGCACAGCGTGTCCACCAGCTTCTGTCCCACCATGATGACCAGCTTGCTCTGAGTGATGATCTCCGCGGGCTGGCTGCTGCTGAGGCTGCCGTGAAATGCGCTGATGGCTTTGAAGAGCGCCCCAAAGTAGAGCCGGCAGTGTTCAGATAAGCGGGGTTTCCTCTCAGGAGTCTGTTGACTCGAAGGCTGAGGTATAAGAGGGCCAGGATTCTAAAGAAGGGAAGGAAGAAAATAGATAGGAGATTCAATCAATGGGCTGTGGCTGTCTGCCCTTTCCTGTTTTGGCTAGATTTGCAAGACTTTTTATTTTTTTTAAAAAAGCATGGTTTGGTTTGGGAAGCCCAATACTGCAACAGTTGTCTAACAAATTAATGTTTTCAAAGCACTGTAATATATAATATATACAATATTATATTGTAATACATACATATATAATTTTATTCAATCATCTCAATAAACCAACTACAAGAAACCCATTTTAAGAAACACATTGGCAATGACTATATTTATAACTTTTTTTTTTTTTTTTTTTTTTGAGACAGAGTTTTCCTTTATCTTCCAGGCTGGAGTGCAATGGTGCAATCTCAGCTTACTGCAACCTCCACCTTCTGGGTTCAAGCAATTCTCTTGCCTCAGCCTCCTGAGTAGCTGGGATTACAGGCACCTGCCACCATGCCCAATTAATTTTTGTATTTTTAGCAGAAATGGGGTTTCACCATGTTGGCCAGATTGGTTTTGAACCCCTGATCTCAAATGATCTGCCCACCTCAGCCTCCTTAAAGTGCTGGGATTACAGGGGTGAGCCACTGCACCCAGCTAAATTTGTAACTTTTAAAAATGCACAAAAACTTGATGAGATTTAAAATTTTCTCAAAGAACAGATTTAAAAACATTTAAAAAGCCAAAAATCCTCTGATTTCAGTATCAGAGATATATCAGAACTCTCAACATTTCCAGAAGCAACTAAATACCCTGACCTATCTGCCTTAATATTATTTATTTTATTTTTTGCCTTAATATTAAAATATTTATCATATTTGCTAATAAGGTTTCATCAAAATTTTACATTCATGAATTTTATTTTCTGGAAAATGGAACCAACTTCTCCCAAATCCTACATACTCTCAAAGATTTTCAGTACCTAACTTAGTGGCCACAACTCCAGGTAACAATTGAAAGGTGAAGCTCAGAGAAGAGAAAAGGCTGCCTCCGGCTATTCCATTAGCACATGAGAGATCTGGAGCTCTAGGTCTGAAACTTGCTTTCTTTCCATTAAATTTCACACGCTCGCATTTACCTATTATCTCAAAATTCATAGCCCGGAAGCATTCAGACAGATAGGGCATAAAACTGATTTTTTCAGAAGGGGGTTATGTCTCCTAGTAGGGTTGGAGGGGAAGTTAGACAAGGAAGAGGAAGGCATACTTCGAAGAAGCACCTTCATTATTAGAATTGCATATTTGGAAAATGAAAACAATGATTGTCTTTGTCATAGAAAGTGAAGGAAAGATTGAAATGTCAGTTCACATGGACTCTTGGAAGCAGGGAGTATAAGAATGAAGCAGGTTGAGTGCAGTGACCCACACCTGTAATCCCAGCACTTTGGGAGGCCGAGGCAGGAGGATCGCTTAACCCTAGGAGTTTGAGACTAGCCTTGGCAACATACGAAACTCTGTCTCTACCAAAAACAAAACAAAACAAAAATTAGCCAGGTATGGCGGTGCGGGCCTGTAGTCCCAGCTACTTGGGAGGCTGAGGTGGGAGAATCGATTGAACCTGGGTGGTGGAGGCTGCAGTGAGCCATGATCTCACCACTGCACTCTAGCCTCAGCAACAGAGCAAAACACTGTCTCAAAAAAATAAAATAAAAAAGGGAGCTGGGCACGGTGACTCACACCTGTAATCCCAGCACTTTGGGAGGCTGAGGCAGGAGGGTCACTTGAGGTCAGGAATTTGAGATGTGCCTTGCCAACATGGTGACTCCCTGTCTCTGCCAAAAATACAAAAAATTAGCCGGGTGTGGTGGCAGGCGCCTGTAGTCCCAGCTACTCAGGAGGCTGAGGCAGGAGAATCGCCCGAACCTGTGAGGCGGAGATTGCAATGAGCTGAGATCACGCCACTGCACTCCCACCTGGGTGACAGAGCAAGACTTCGTCTCAAAAAAAAAAAGAAGAGTTTAGAAATAACGAGAAGTAATGAGGTAGGCATCAGATTATGAGCATCTTAAGTGAAAATATTAACCGTAGGGAGGTGAAAAATGTACTAAGATTCTTAACATGGGGTGCTGGAAATGTGTGGAGATAGTTTTGGTTATCGCATTGACTAGGGACTTCTATAGGCAGTGAGCGGGCAGGGGTTCTGGGATGCTGAACGGTTCACCACGCAATGGAGAACTGTCCACCCGGTGGCCAACGGTGCCCCGGGCCTCCACTGAGAAGTGCTGTCAGTCTAAAGCGGGGGCTTTCCAAGTGAGGTCCTTGGACCAGAAGCATCAACGTCACCTGCAAACTTGCTAGAAATGCACATTATTATGCTGCACCCCAGACCTACTAGATCAAAAATTCTGAGAGCGGGGCCCAGCCATGCAAGTTTGTTTGTTTTTGTTTGTTTGTTTTCTTGAGACAGAGTCTTGTTCTTGTTGCCCAGGCTGGAGTGCAGTGGTGCGATCTCAGCTCACCGCAACCTCTGCTTTCCGGGTTCAAGCAATTCTCCTGCCTCAGCCTCCCGAGTAGCTGGGATTACAGGTGCCCGCTATCATGCCCAGCTAATTTTTTGTATTTTTAGTAGAAACGGGGTTTCACCATGTTGGTCAGGCTGGTCTCAAACTCCTGACCTCAGGCGATCCACCCGCCTCGGCCTCCCAAAGTGCTGGGATTACAGGCGTGAGCCACCATGCCCGGCCAGCCATGTGAGTTTTAACAAAGATCATAGGTGATTGTGATACACTCAAATGTGAGAACCACTAGTCTAAGGCCTACTTAATGTTGAACAAAATAGCATAACTGTCAGCAATATGGCAGGCCCAAAGACTAGTGTTTGGGGTTCAGGGAGCTGAGCATCAGGAGGCCTGAATTCTTGTCCTAGTTTGCCTCTGAGAAGGTACATGACCTTATCCTATCATTGGACATCCTTTTCTTCCACCCTCTACCCCATCTGCCCTATAACCTAGGTAAGTTTCCCAAGCTCAGTTATTCAGAGACAACCTTTACAACCTTTACAAGTTATACTCTTTCCACCTTCCTCTTAACTTCTACTGGCTTCATTCCTTTCCTTTAAATGGACCCATTGTTTTTACTTACATTAATTTAAAGGAAACTGTGAAAAATGGTAAATGGAAAACTACTGTCATTGACCACAAATAGAAGGAAACCAATAAAAATAAGCACAACGATAACATCTTTGACTTTTTTTTTTTTAAAAAAGGAAGAACATCAAGTGTAAAAGAGGTGTTGAAGATATACAAGCCCCAAATCAAGATTTGCTGTTGTAATCAGAAACATTAAATCAGAATGTCAAAGAGGAACGGAGTCAGTCCTATTTAGCCCTGTCAGTACCACCCACAACAACCTTGCAGAGCCCCTACAGTCATTTCAGTAATGGTTAATGCTTCACTTTCATTCCCTGGGGTTCGTTCATTAGACTCAGTGATCTCCAGGACTCTCTTGCTAAAATAAAGGACAAAGAATCACAAAAACGAACTCTCGCCCATGTGGGTCATGGCTGTAATGTTGAGCTATCCGTAGCATGATGAGACGAATCTAGCAATAGAGCGTATGAATCAGAAGCTTTAGAGAGTGAGTGCTATAGCTTACCATGGTTCCTAAGTCTTTGTTTTCATCTAACCTTTATTCCAAGATAGGTTTATCTTTCTCTTCTAAGTTAGGCAATGTCTGAAAAATAAAATCCCTTCAACTTACCAAATTGAGTGGTGTTTTACACTACAGTGGAACTGTTTAAGTTCACTTTAGACTTGAGCATTCTTTCTCATATTTTCTGTTGATGGTTCTGCCTACTGATTCCTTTTCTCAACCAAAGGAGACTTTGGCCACCCAAAGGCTGAATTTTGCCTATCAACATGGCCTGATATAATGACCCACATGGTTTGTTTAAAGTTATATATATGTGTATGTAAATTTTAAACATCCAAATTTCTAGAACATGTTAAAGCTCCTACACCACCAGGCATTTCAGCAGAACACAAAGGTCGGGGCTGAAAGTAGCAAATTATCTCCTTGACACAGCCCCCAAGTGACTTCTGGGCCTCTTAAGGCTCACAATCCCTGAACTGAAGCATCTCGCTCTATAATGTCTGAACTCATCCAGAAAAGTATTTCTTTCTGTCTTTTGTTTTTTTGTTGTTGTTGTTCTTGAGACAGAGTCTTGCTCTGTGGTCCAGGATGGAGTGCAGTGATGCAATCTCAGCTCACTGCAACCTCTGCCTCCTGGGTTCAAGTGATTCTCCTGCCTCAGCCTCCTGAGTAGCTGGAATTACAGGCGCACACCACCATGCCCAGCTAATTTTTGTATTTTTAGTAGAGATGGGGTTTCATCATGTTGGCCAGGCTGGTCTCAAACTCCTGACTTCAAGTGATCTGCTCGCCTTGGCCTCCCAAAGTGCTGGGTTTACAGGAGTGAGCCACTATATCCCAACTCTTTTTTTTCTTTTCTTTTTTTTAGAGATTAGCTCTTGCTCTGTCACCAAGGCTGGAGTGCAGTGGCACCATCATAGCTCTCTGCAACCCCAAACTCCTGGTCTCAAGGGATACCCCCACTCAGACTCCCAAGTGCATGAGCCACTACACCTGGATATTTAAAAATAAATTTTGTACAGCTGGGGTCTCACTATGTTGCCCAGCCTGGTCTCAAACTCCTGCCTCAAGGGATCCTCCTGCGTTGGCCTCCCAAAGCGTTGGAATTACAGGCATAAGCCACCAGGCCCAGCCTCAGAAAAGTATTTCTAAGAGTAGCTGAAGTCTGGGGGCTGATCAGACCATGGGCAATTTGAAAGAATGTTTCTACTTCCTCTTTCGTTGCTAAGAAACACACTGAGAATGACTAAATTTATAACTTTCAAAAATGCAAGGAGACTTGGTGGTGAGGTTTTAAAAATCTACTCAAATAATAAATTTTTAAGAAATTTAAAAATCCCTTT
Organism: Homo sapiens; assembly: GCF_000001405.40. Classification (NCBI taxonomy): domain Eukaryota; kingdom Metazoa; phylum Chordata; class Mammalia; order Primates; family Hominidae; genus Homo; species Homo sapiens. The sequence continues at coordinate 56,453,397 of NC_000020.11, read as the reverse complement.
TAATTCTAATATGGTAAACTTGAACGCCAAAAGTTTTCGGAAGAAATCCAAATCAACTGACCTATCTGCCTATGCTGACCTATCTTTATCTGACTTGTTAATAAGATTTCATCAAGAATTTTACTTTCATAAATTTTATTTTCTAGAAAATGGAACCAGTGTCTCCCCAAAGCCTATACACTATGGAAAGAGTCTCAGCATCTTAGTAGCCACTACTCCAGGTAACAATTGAAGCCCCTTTTTCGATCACTTGGAACTCTGAACTCACCTGTCCACAGATATTTGCCCTATTTTTCTTTAATAGTTCAGAAGAGTGTTCATCTTCCCTTTGCTTAGTGGAAGGGGTACTCTTTTGGTGTGATTCAGTTTCTCTTTGGGGAGGCTGGATGTATTTTTCACACTTAAATTCTGCATTTGGGGTCAACTGCACAGTCTCTTCCTTTTCACAGTTCCGCTTAAAAAGGAGCCTTCCATTGGCAATGACAATGGAGGCAAACCTCTTGATGTCTTCTGGAAGCATCCGTGCCACCATGACAAACCTCTCAAGGTCATCTGGGCTGTTCTGGACACTGTCAGTCACAAGAACTTCCAGAGGCCAATTGCGATTATCCAAGCTTTCCTTTGTTTCAAGCAGGATGCGGTAGGAGTTGGAGATGGTCTGCATCTGGTCCCGAATTCTGTTCTGAAGGTTACTGTCAGTGAGGTTACAGGCAGTCCCATGGACTCCTCGGGCAAAATCCAGAAATTCTCTTACAGATTCTTCTATGTGATCAGTGGACCTGTGGATTGCATCAATGTTGGCCTCCAGATAGTCTCGGAATCTCCACTTCCTGCTGACAAAGAGCATCAGGCCAGCGACAGAGCTGACCACCTTGTGCTGCAGAGCCATCACTGTCTCCTTGGCCACATCCAGGTCCAAGGAGAGCTCCTTTGCTGACTCCTCCGAGGAAGAGCTGGAGGAGTCGTCGGTGGATGTGGTGGAGCACGAGGAAACGATGCTAGCTCTGCTGTCAGAACTGGAACCTGATAATCTGTCCGGTTCAGGAGATGGGGAAGTTGTCCGTCTGGAGAACCATGAGGAATTATGGCCCGCGGAATTCTCTGACACCTCCTTGGCTTTCTCCAGCTCCTTCCCAGCCTGAGAAACACTCGACGTTGCTTTAGGGATGTCATAAATATTGGGCTTGGTGTTCTGCTGTTCCACTCGGGGAATCAGAAAGCTTGAAGGAACCTTGTAGCTGACATCTTCATCCAAAGGAAATGTGCCTCTGGGTACAAGAAAGCCATAAGAAGGAATTTCTGGAAGGCTGAGTTTTTTCTGCATGGGCACATTGTTATTCAGTTGTGGAGTGAGGGACCTGGATCTGCCACTTGGAGGATTGTAGAAAGTGGAGCTGGAACTGGGGAGAGCGTGGGGCCTTGATTCTTCCGCAAAGCTGGTGAGAGGCGTGTTTCTGACGCTGGCCTTTCCTGGAGACACTGGAGTGTCATAAATCCATTCCGATTTCTGAGGATTTGGTAATGTGCTGTAACCGCCTCTTCTTAAGGTAGTCACTGATATCAGGGGAACACCCTGCCCCTGTGGGAGAACCACACATAGTTGCCGGGTTAGTAGCTTTCCAAAGAGGGCGCGAGTGCGTTGTTTAAATCTCATCGTCACTCCGCCGCTCCTTCAGTGGCTCCCCATTTCTGTTACCACTCAAGGTCCTTCAGGATTCTTTTGAGCCTCATTTCTTTCGACTTCCACCACGCTGACCCCACCTGGTCTGCCACCATCTGCTTACAGGTCCAGCCACCCAAGCTGTTTACTTTCCCCTGAACTCAGAACACTGACTCATGCCAGTGTATTTAATTTTACCCAAACTGGTTTCTCTGCTCTAAATGCCCTTGGCAACCCTTTCTTTTCCATCCACCAAACCCCTATGCATCCCCCTGACACGGCGAAATGCCAGCCTTCTTGTAAGATGTTCCCTAATGACCTTGGGTGTAAGTGTGTCTGTGGGACACATGTGGTAGAATCCAATTATAAACATAGATTACACAGATTTCAGATAAAGTCCTTTGCCCAACACAGATAAAAGTGTACTGTATCACAGCACGCCCCTGAGGTCTGTCGTAAGAAGAAGCCATTACATAATTTCACACCATGCCAGGCACTGTCCCGGGTCCTTTGCAGGATTATCTCACTTAATACTCCCAGCCCATAAAAACAGAGAAGTTAAACGACTTATCCCAACCACGTAATTAGTCCTATTCCTGAACACAAGTGCAATGAGAGGTTTTACCTCAAATGCAACAAGGTCTCTGTTATGAGGAATTTGCATTCTAATTTTTGACCAAGCTAATAACATTTCTTTCTTTCTTTTTTTTTTTTTTTAATTTTTGTATTTTATTAGAGACAGGGTTACACCATGTTGGGCAGACTGGTCTTGAACTCCTGACCTCAAGTGATCTGCCCACCTCAGCCTCCCAAAGTGCTGGGATTACAGGCGCCCACTACCACACCCAGCCAATATTTGTATTTTTAGTAGAGATGGGGTTTTGCCATGTTGGCCAGGCTGGTCTTGAACTCCCAACCTCAGGTGATGCACTCACCTCGGCCTCTCAAAGTGCTGGGATTACAGGCTTCAGCCACCGTGCCTGGCCCCAAGCTAATAACATTTCTGAGAGGATTTTGTGTGTTCATAACACCGCACCTTAGCACCTCTTCATACTTACACTTGCTTGGCTGTCTGGGGGATGGAGTCCTGCCTTCTTGGGGCTGGCTGGTATGTCATATAACTGCTGCTTCTCTGGCTCCTGGGGAAAGACCACAAAGGCAGACAACTTGAATGTTTCTTTCCTAATGGCTACACATCACGAACACTCCCTATTCCAGTGTTTTTTTCCAAAGGAAGACACAAATTCCTGAAGACTTTTCGGTGCTTTTGGTCATGATGCTGTAATGGTAGAAATCTGGGTGACAGGTCTCCCGCCTTCCTTGTCTGAGGCAACGCAGGGGACATCACAGTCCTTTTTCCCATAACAGGGTATACATTCAACAATGGACTTTGTGCTTTAAAAAGAGACTTCTCAGCCGGGCGTGGTGGCTCACGCCTGTAATCCCAACACTTGGGGAGGCTGAGGCAGGAGGATCACCTGAGGTCGGGAGTTCGAGACCAGCCTGGCCAACATGGAGAACTCTATTAAAAATACAAAATTAGCCTGGTATGGTGGCGCATGACTGTAATCCCAGCTACTCGGGAGGCTGAGGCAGGAGAATCTCTTGAACCTGGGAGGTGGAGGTTGCGGTAAGCCAAGATCGCACCATTGTGCTCCAGCCTGGGCAACGGGAGCGAAACTCCATCTCAAAGAAAAAAAAAAAAAGACCTCTCAACCAAAGGTTGGGGGGCAAACAAGAGAGCCTTAACTGCAGTTGCCTAAATTAAAAATGGTAATTTATCTTGAGTTCATCTTAAAATTAAGCCAGAGGATAAATGAGACTGAGACCTAATATGTCTTCTTTCTTTTTCTCAGTAGAAATTTTCCTGTTTTATCATTCATATTTATTCTGCAAATATTCAACGAGTGCCCACTAATGACCAGACACGAAGCTGGATGACACTGTGCACATCACGACAGCAATAAAAACAGGGTATGAGAGACTCATTTGATAAATGTGCATCTTAGCAATGACCTAAGTGCCAGGCACTGTGCTTCCTAAAAATCTTTTTTATTTTATTTTATTTTATTATTTATTTATTTATTATTTTTATCTGTGTAATTAGTTTAATAATTTATGATTATTATTATACTTTAAGTTCTAAGGTACATGTGCACAACGTGGAGGTTTGTTACATATGTATACATCTGCCATGTTGGTGTGCTGCACCCATTAACTCGTCATTTACATTAGGTATATCTCCTAATGCTATCCCTCCCCCTACTCCCCCTACCCCATGACAGGCCCCGGTGTGTGATGTTCCCCACCCTGTGTCCAAGTGTTCTCATTGTTCATTTCCCACCTGTGAGTGAGAACATGCGTTGTTTGGTTTTCTGTCCTTGCAATAGTTTGTGCAGAATGATGGTTTCCAGCTTCATCCATGTTCCTACAAAGGACATGAACTCATCGTTTTTTATGGCTGCATAGTATTCCATGGTGTATATGTGCCACATTTTCTTAATCCAGTCTATCACTGGTGGACATTTGGGTTGGTTCCAAGTCTTTGCTATTGTGAATAGTGCCGCAATAAACATACGTGTGCATGTATCTTTATAGCAGCATGATTTATAATCCTTTGGGTATATACTCAGTAATGGGATGGCTGGGGCAAATGGTATTTCTAGTTCTAGATCCTTGAGGAATCACCACACTGTCTTCCACAATGGTTGAACTAGTTTACAGTCCCACCAACAGTGTAAAAGTGTTCCTATTTCTCCACATCCTCTCCAGCACCTGTTGTTTCCTGACTTTTTAATGATTGCCATTCTAACTGGTGTGAGATGGTAGCTCATGGTGGTTTTGATTTGCATTTCTCTGACGGCCAGTGATGATGTGTGCTTCCTAAAAATCTGATTGTCACTCCCCTGCTCAAACTCCTTCAGTGGCTTGAGATATATATATGACATAACATATTATATATGTAATGTGTACAGTAATTAAAAAACATATATATTAGGATACAAAAAACAGGTTACAAATTCCAAAGCAAGGCAAGAGAGCACCAAAATAGGTTTTGCAAAGAAAGAGAGAAAGAGTTGGATATTGGAAGGGGTTTCTGTAGAGGGAGTTGGGCTGTGAGTCTCCTGAGGGCTCTCCTCAGCTGGGAAATGGGGTGCGGTGTAGCGGGGGTTGCCTTTCACTCCCCAAAAGCAAACCATCAAGTGTTCCCATGGGACCATTCAATGACTTGAGTTGTATCCCCTGAGCTTGGGGTCACAGTGGTTGGGCGCTGACTCTGGCTTGGGAAAGTTGAAAAGAGAGAGGGTGGCAGCCGTGCTGTGGATGGCCTGTTCTCAGGGTCAGGACCAGGGGGAGGAGAGCAAAGCAGTTGCCTTGGGCACAACATTAAGAGGGCACCAAAAAACTCAATCATCATAGTAAATACTATTTAAAATGCAATATTTTTAAAAATCATAATGCAAAAAAATCATGGTGAACAAAATGTCACAGTTTTACATAAAGACAGGGTCTAGTGGGGCTGGGATTAGGGCAAGATGAGTGAAATGAGTCATACAAGTGTGTCTTCATTGATAACTATTTTTTTTTTTTTTTTTGAGACAGAGTCTCACTCTGTCTCCCAGGCTGGAGTGCAGTGGCGCGATCTCTGCTCACTGCAAGCTCCGCCTCCCGGGTTCACGCCACTCTCCTGCCTCAGCCTCCCGAGTAGCTGGGACTACAGGCACCTGCCACCATGCCCGGCTAACTTTTTGTATTTTTAGTAGAGACGGGGTTTCACCGCGTTAGCCAGGGTGGTCTCCACCTCCTGACCTCGTGATCTACCTGCCTCAGCCTCCCAAAGTGCTGGGATTACAGGCGTGAGCCACCGCGCCCGGCCCATTGATAACTTTTACACCCAAGGCAAGCGCCTGTGCTCCTGGAGTCTATCATGGCAAAGGGAGCTTGTGTGTTTGTCATGGACCAGGCATGGCTCACACAAGAGCTGGAGCAAGAGCCAGGGAGGAATGGCTCAGGGAATGTCACGAGGATGTGGCTGGAAATGACCTGCCTGCCCCAGAGCTAAGGGAGGAGCCAGCAGCCAGAGGAGATGCATTTGTCCACCTGGAGGGACTTGCAGGTAAGAGATGCTCAGCAAGGAGGTGAGGGGTAGGAGGTGGGGGGCACTTACAGGAATACCCCAGAAGAGAAAGAATCAGCTTGCCATACTGGCCACTGCTATTAGCACATCTGCCAACAGAACCAGGTGAGCAGGACCTTTGTCCCTGCCTGCCTCTTGCAGCCCTGCAGGAGTCTGAGACCACCCAGTGAGTGAGAAAGGGTAGAAACCTGAGATGGTGAACCAGCAGAGAACTTAGCCAGTCCCTGGAGCCCAGCCCAGCAGGCAGGCCCAAGCTGGGCAGCAGGAGCTTTAGCTTTAAATGAACTAGAAAGTTTGATTATTGCCTGGACAATTAAATTTCTCAACTGAGCCTAGCAAGGCTAAAGTGACTTCTTTTTTTTTTAATTTTTGATTTTGATTTTTTTTTTTTTCAGACAGAGTCTTGCTCTGTCACCCAGGCTGGAGTACAGTGGTGTGATCTCAGCTCATTGCAACCTCCACCTTCCAGGTTCAAGTGATTCTCCCACCTCACCCTCTCTAGTAGCTGGGACTACAGGCGTGAACCACCATGCCCAGCTAATTTTTGTATTTTTAGGAGAGACGGGGTTTCACCATGTTGGCTGGGCTGGTCTCGAACTCCTAGTGTCAAGTGATCCTCCTGCCTTGGCCTCCCAAAATGCTGGGATTATAGGTGTGAGCTGCCGCACCTGGCCAAAAGTGACTTATTACCTGTGAGTGACCAGGAAGTCACAGAGCCTGCTTGAAATTTTATTTAGACTGGAACTGTGGTTCTCAATCCTGGCTGCTCAGTACAATCACCTGAGGGCTTTTAAAAATCCTGATGTTTGGGCCCCATCTAGACCTGATTCAACAGTCTCTGGGGTTGGGGCACAGGCACCAGGATGGCTAAAGCTCTCAGATGCTTTTGCATACAACGAAAGTTGGGAGCTACTGATCCCAATGGTAGGTGGGTGGGGAGAACGCCACCGCAGAGCATTTGGATGGGCTAAGAAAGGAGCAAAGCTATTTTTTGATCACATGAAGCATGTCTTACAAATGTGATATTCCACTTATATACAAACAAGTTAAAAAAAAACAACTAAAATTTCTTCCCCCAGAGATAATCAATGTTAAGATAATCAGTGATAATCCGTGTTAAGACTGTGGTGCATATCCTTCAAAATATCATTTAAAAAAATGTGTGTGTATGTACACACATACATATATTAAATATCTATTATAAATAATGGCTGGGCACGGTGGCTTATGCCCATAATCCCAGCACTTTGGGAGGCTGAGATGGGAGGATTGCTTGAGGCCAGGAGTTCGAGACCAGCCTGGTCAACAAAGCAAGACCCCATCTCAACAAGAAAAAGAAAAAACAATCTATTATAAATGAAAAGTAAAAATTTCAAAATATTCAGAACTCAAGTAGTCATAATGTTTTCTAGAGCAGGACTGGGCTCCATGGGTAAAAAGGAGGTTATGAAGTTGGCCTCTGAGTGGTGATGTGTATTCTGGAGGCTGAGCCCCTGGCCGCCATGGTAATGCTGAAATGCAATGTGGGCATGATCCCAAGAACCCCAGACTCTGGGCGCAGAGGTCTGGGTGATGAGGGGCCCCTGAACAAGGCTCACCTTCAGGACCACGGGGCCCCGGTGCTGGGTAGGCACGTCATACACCTGGGAAGGCAGAGTCGGCAGTGAGGCCCGGACAGGTCTGGGAAGCGTGAGGATGGCCTTGGAGAGAAAGGAGGAGAAAAGAGGAAAAGGAAATGTCACTCTGATGATCACAATCAGGTTCAAAGTCATCTCTCCAAAAGCAGAGACAGCTGGGTGGATACTGCTGAAGGGGTCGCCCGGCACCCCCGCTGGCAGGCTCTTCACTCTCAAGACAGCAGGGCACGGGTGGGAGGCTCCCCGGTGGAGGCAGCCTTCCTCGCACGTGGCCCACGATGTTCTTTACCTGCCTCACCTGGGAAGTTCACCTGAAGCAGGTTAACATGAAGATTCTTGGGCCCACGCGAGTTGGACGGAGTCTCTGGGTGTCGAGGGGGGCCGGGAACCTGCAGTGTTAACAAGCTTGCCAGGTGATTCCGATGTTCTCTAGGGACCAGGAGGCTGTGACTCTGATACTGAGCTATTCGTCTACATTCATCTAGCTAGGCTGAGGCTGGAGAAGTGCACGCAATAGGCAGAGGGGACTTTAAGAATGTAAGGTGGAGGGACCAACAAGGTCTGGGAGGAAACTGAGGTCTGAGAGCTGTCTAAGGACTTGTCACCTGGGCTGAGGCAGGGAAGCAGGAGGTGACCAGTTGAGCTGCAGCTGGCAGCTTTTGCTGGCAGCAGTGGGAGGCAGAAGAGAACCTGGCAATGTGAAAGTGATGGAGAGGAGCGAGGGAGGGGAGGAGGGAGAGGTGGAGTGGGAAAGGTTAACAGGGAGCAGGTCAGTGAAGGAGTTTGAATTTTGTCCTACAAAGGATGGGATTGACCATCCAATTTATATACATATAAACCTTTTTTTTTTTTGAGATGGATCTTCGCTCCTGTTGCCCAGGCTGGAGTGCAATGGCGCGATCTCGGCTCACTGCAAACTCCGCCTCCTGGATTCAAGCGATTCTCCTGCCTCAGCCTCCTGAGTAGCTGGGACTACAGGCACATGCCTCCATGCCAGGCTAATTTTGTGTTTTCAGTAGAGACAGGGTTTCACCATATTGGTCGGGCTGGTCTTGAACTCCCGACCTTAGGTGATCTGCCCACATTGGCCTCCCAAAGTGCTGGGATTACAGGCGTGAGCCACCGCGCCTGGCCCCGATTTATATTTTATTGAGAGCACCTGGCCAGTTATTGCTCAAGGCACTTTGGGAAACATGGTCTCAGCCATGGAACCTGGGTCTGTGAATGGGAACTTCAGATTCAAGTTAATCCTCCAGAGCTCAATGATGTTGGCTCAATGGTGGGTACCACACTGGGTGCCACAGAGCAGCTTCCAAACCCAGCCAGGGATCCGAGTCCCCTGGGGAACTTTAAAATAATACAGCTGCCAAGTCTCCCACCCAGACCTCCTGAACTAGAACGTCTCTAGGAGGGGACTAGGAATGCGCACATTTTTCTAGAGTAGAAGATGCTGTCTACCACGGGCTTAAAGTCTAAGAGGGAAATGAGGTCTGAATATAGGCTGGGCACAGGCTGGTAAGCAAGACAGGGCCTGGAGGAGAGGACAGGGTGAAGCTCCGGAGTCCAGGACAGGGGGAGTGTACTTCCCACTGGCGTCCCAAGGAGCTGTTGCTCAGTAGGGGGCTTTCCAAGTTGGCTCAGGGGATGTTAGGGTTTCAATATGCAGAGCTGAGGGAGGGGAACGCAGGCAGAGGAGCAGTTTCTGAGGACTGGGTCAGGGTCCCTCTATTCATCATGGTGTCCCCGGGATGCAGCACTGGGAATGTACATGCTAGATTTATCTGTTTGTTTTTGGTGAGTGGATGTGTACGGCTTGGATGGTAAACATTAGCACACAGTGTAAAAATCCACCCCGCCATTCATCTGGCTAGACTCACGGATGCAGACAAAGCAGCCGCAATGCGAACAGGATGAACATTTCTTCCAAGGACACGCTGCAGCTGTCACATGTCAAAACAGCCCCCTTCGTTGAGTGACGACTGCTTTCTTACTCCCTGAGAAACTTGGTTCCCTGAAATCCTAGGCTCTCGAAGCCCAGCTTTCCAAAGCGCTCTCAGTAAGAATGAAGCATCCCACTCTCGCCTGGGGGATCTGAGTCATTGACAGAGAAGCAGCCTTGATTCCCAGGCCCTCATGTAGCGCTTCAGACAAGGGGTTTCCGGGTCCAGGACTCCCCCTCTATCTCCGCTTCGTGGTTCCCAAGGGGAGAGCGGCCCTCGTCCAGCCTGCACGCTGCCGTGTTGTGCACAGAGCCTATCAAGACACAGCTTCGCTTAGACTTCACCTAAACCCCGCCTTTCCCCATCCCATCACGATGCTACCTTTTCCTGTTTGTGAGCTGCCTCATGGTTCCTCTGCTCTGTGATCTCCCTCTTTACACTCAGTAAACCTGACTTTGTTCCTGATGGTCTCAGGCTGATTGGTCTAGGTGGACAAGCCCATCAGTGGTTTCCCATTGCATTTTGAATGAAATCCAAGCTTCTTTTTTTTTTTGGAGACGGAGTCTCGCTCTGTCACCCAGGCTAGAGTGCAGTGGTGCCATTTCGGCTTACTGCAACCTCCACCTCCCGGGTTCAAGCGATTCTCCTGCCTCAGCCTCCCGAGTAGCTGGGATTACAGGTGCCCGCCACCACACCCCGCTACTTTTTTGTATTTTTAGTACCACGTTGGCCAGGCTGGTTTTGAACTCCTGACCTCAAGTGATCCACCTGCCTCAGCCTCCCAAAGTGGAAGGATTACAGGCGTGAGCCACCGCGCCAGGCCAGAAATCCAAGCTGCTTACCCGGTCTGACAAGCTATGCACCCGCCACACCCAGGGACCTTGAGTGAGTGTCCCGGACCACTGGCTGTACCGCCAGTGGTACCTCCCAGAAACACACCAAGCTTTCTCCCCCCGCAGACCCTTTCCAAATGCTGTCCCAAGGCCCATTCCTCCCCATGACTTCAGGCCCATTTTATTTTGATGGCTGACTGTGGGATCCCCTTTGCCTATAAGGGCACCTCCACAGAGCAAAGGGACTTTCCTGTGTATGACATTTCAGATGGAAGGAAGCCAGCTCAAAAATGCCCAGTGCTTCTTGGAAAACGTAGGCCCAGTATGGCAATCAGTTAAGGAACATGTTTGAGAAACACAGTTTCGAAAGGTTTAGGGAGACAGAAGGAAACTCCAGTTCAGGAACTAGTGGATCCAAAAGCAGTTTCACCAGGAAATCTGACCCTTTTCTCTTGAAATACAAGAGTCCCTTCTGAATTTAAACTGAAATCAAATATGCTCTTGATGTGGTGGGTTTTTTTTTTAAATTAGGCCAGCACATTATATTAAGGAAGTTGGGATAAAAAGTAAAACAAAGCTCAAGATAGTGGTTACCCTAGTGGGGAAGTGACAGAGAGAAGGCACTGGAGGCTTCTGGGGTGGTAGTTTTGTTGTTTCGTGGTCTGGATATAAGTTACAGAGCTGTAACGTAGCATCTGTAGGTGAAATTTCAGTAAAGTGTTCATCAGAAAGAATAGCGTCAGCCACAGAGTCAGGTGAAAGAAGATCAAGGAATAAGGGCTGTGTTTTGGGGGGTGATGGAAGTCGTACTTCATCAGCTGTGTGGCTGCACGAGCAGTTTCACCTCCCTGGGAATTAATGTCCTCATCTGTAAAATGAAGAGTTGTTCTAATCTAAAGATATGCAGAGATCGCACCCAGCTATAGAGATGTCTGATTCTGACACATAGACGCCTCTCTTAGGACAACTTGAGAAAAATGACATGTTTCCACCTTCTCGGATGTTAATTTGGGGCCACTCTTAGTCTGCAGACTGTCAACACAGATATAGAAAGGAGTCCGTGAAGTGCCTCACAAAGGCTGTGTTCCAAGCCTGTGAATTTGCCATGGGAAAACAGTTCAAAACCCGTGGCTCAGAGTTGCCCCGTCTACCAACAGCCGCTTCCATTTGGAATGTATTTTCTGGGCGGGTTTAGCCTCAGGGTTAATGGCTAGATGACATGAGCAGGGAGGAGACGCCTGCCTTTTCTGTGGATCAGAAAATGTGTAACTGATTGTTAACTGGTCTTCAAGTTCTTCTAGCTCCTTCCTTCTCAGAGTAGAGGAAGAAGAAAGTATTTAGAAAAACCAAAAGGTACATCTGAAGGTGACTTTAGAAAAGATGGGGTCCAACCTTCTCCCTATACAGAGGAGGAAGGAGAAACACAAAGGGTGTTGGGAGGTCCCCAATCACCCAGTGCAACATTGGCTGCCCCAGAAGCCAAATGAGATGGCACTCCTGAGTTGTAAGCCACAGACCACATCTCTTGCTAAGAGACTCCAAGCACAGAGAAGGCAAGAAATTAAAAATTATTATTATTTTTTTGAGACGGAGTTTTCCTCTTGTCACCCAAGCTGGAGTGCAGTGGCGTGATCTCGGCTCACTGCAACTTCCACTTCCCGGGTTCAAGCGATTCTCCTGCCTCAGCCTTCTGAGTAGTTGGGACTACAGATGCATACCACCACACATGGCTAATTTTTGTGTTTTTAGTAGAGACAGGGTTTCACTATGTTGGCCAGGCTGGTCTCAAACTCCTGACCTCAGGTGATCCACCCGCCTTGGCCTCCCAAATTGCTGGGATTACAGGTGTGAGCCACCGCACCCAGCCAATAAATTAAAACAATGTTTAAGTAAATAGGCTGGGCACAGTAGCTCACGCCTGTAATCCCAGCACTTTGGGAGGCTGAGGTGGGCAGATCACCTGAGGTCAGGAGTTCGAGACCAGCCTGGCCAACATGGCGAAACCCTGTCACTACTAAAAAATACAAAAAAAATTTAGCCAGGCGTGGTGGTGGGAGCCTGTGTTCCCAGCTACTTGGGAGGCTGAGGCAGGAGAATCTCTTGAACCCAGGAGGCAGAGGTTGCAGTGAGCCGAGATCACGCCACTGCACTCCAGCCTGGGTGACAGAGCGAGATTCTGCCTCCAAAAAAAAAAAAAAAAATTTTTTTTTTTAAGTAAATAAATAGGAAGGGAGGGAAGGAAGGGAGCAAACTTGTAGGTAGGGCAGACATGGAGGGAACTTAAGGAAGGAAAACAAGGCAGGAAATTCCCCTGGGGGGTTTTACTGTGGCCACCTCAAGAACTCTGCTCAGTGGTTAAAGGGACCCCCCCTGAATTTCCTTGCGGTTTCTGTTGTTTGCCACAGCCTGCACAAGCAAGGCCTCAAATGGTTGATGCACTTAACATCAAGGACAAATCTCATTGCTAATGCCCTGATCATTTTTCAAAGTTAAGTTTCAATAGTAAACTCATCTTTCCTTTCACACGGATGTCAGTCTAGCAGTTGATAGTGGACTCCATGTTTTTGAAACCTTGTGTTGTGTTTGGTCAATTTCATTCATGCAACAGGTATTTACTAAGTACCTTGTAGGAGCCTGTCATTGTATTGAGTGGCATGAGCAGGGAGGAGGTGCCAGCCTTGCCAGCCTTTTCTGTGGATCAGAAAACTTAACTGATTGTGAAGTGGTCTTCGAGGGTCCTCTGGTCAACCAACAGAGGACAGCGCATCTGTTTTCCTTTCAGGGAGAGGAAGGAATTGCTATTGATTTTTTGTTTTTTCTTTTCATGGCTTTGGAAGAAATTCAAGTTAACTTCAGTTAATGTCACTTGTTGTTCTTAGAAGAAACCTCAGCAAAGCTCTGCTCCGAGTCAGCTGCTCAGACAGCAGCTGAGCATGCCAGGCCTAGATCGGGGCCAGTTGTTCCAGAAAAGAGAGTTAGTGTCCACCTCATTGACTGCTTCAGAAGGCGCCACCAGCTTCCTCCTGGTGTTTGTAGCGAGTGCCTGTGCTGGCAGCTGTTCTATGTAACAACTGTCTGGTTCTATGTCTTGTAGCCCAGGGAGTTAGAAAATGTAAAGTATTCAAAATCTTCTAAGGAATCAACACTTTCCTGTTTGAAGACAACCTTGGAAGCTGGTGTGGAGAAGGCCTGAATGGTGAGTAGCACATTCCTGGGGCCCCCACAGCACATGCCTCAGGGAGCTTGGCCTTTCCCTGCACACAGACCTTGCCAAGACCCTCTGCCAGAGCTGTGGCCGGGTGGGATGTGTCATGGGAGCTGAAAGCAAAGCATCTGATGGCAGGAAATGCCTGCAGTGACTGAGGCCTGTGCACATCTGCTCTACATCTCAACACCTCATGAAGGCCAGGGCTTTGAGGGAAATAGCGCATTCTTTTTCTCCTTCCTTACTTTAATTCTTTTCCTTATTAAAAAAAGTTTTCATTCTGCATTTGTTTTATTATTTTTTAAGACAGGGTCCCGGTCAGTCACCCAGGCTGGAGTGCAGGGGCGCCGTAGTAATAATAGCTCTCTGCAGCTTCAATCTCCTGGGCTCAAAGGGTCCTCCTTCCACAGCCTCCTGAGTAGCTGGGACTATAGGTGCCTGCCACCACGCCTGCCTAATTATTTTTTATTATTATTAGTAAAGATGAGGTCTCACTATGTTGCCCAGGCTAGTCTCAAACTCCTGGGCTCAAGCAATCCTCCTGCCTTGGCCTCCCAAACTGCTGGGATTACAGGAATGAGCCACCAAGCCTAGCCCATTCTACATTTAATGAATGCTCTTTTTCCTCTGTTTTTAAAAATTGATACTTTAGGCCAGGCATGGTGGCTCACACCTGTAATCCCAGCACTTTGGGAGGCTGAAGCAGGAGGATTGCTGGAGGCCATGAGTTTGAGGCTGCAGTGAACAGTGATTGCACCACTGCATTCCAGCCTGGGAGACAGAGCGAGACCCAGTCTCAAAAAAACAAAATAATTGATATTTTAAAAAGTTACAGATGTCATACATGTTCAATATGACATAAAAATCAACTTCCTAATTTGTTTGTTTGTCAGATATGTATTGAGCACCTACCCCAGGCCAGGCCTGGTCCCACGTGCTGAGGACACAGGAATGAATAAAATAAAGGCCCCAGCTTACTGCTCCCTTTCTCTTTAACCAGTTCCCCTTCCTTGGGGTAACTATGCCTGGAGCATGTTCTTCTCAGTCTCAGTGTGAGAGCACACATGCACATACACACTCACATACAGAATTCCTTTTTAGAGTTTTTTGTTTGTTTGTTTATTTTTGAGATGGAGTTTCACTCTTGGCGTCCAGGCTGGGGAGCAATGGTGCGATCTCAGCTCACTGCAACCTTCCCCTCCCAGGTTCAAGTGATTCTCCTGCCTCAGTCTCCCGAGTAGCTGGAATTACAGGTGCCTGCCACCATGCCCAGCTAATTTTTTGTATTTTAATAGAGACGGAGTTTCACTATGTTGGCCAGGCTGGTCTCGAACTCCTGACCTTGTGATCTGCCCGCCTCCGCCTCCCAAAGTGCTGGGATTACAGGAATGAGCCATTGCGCCCTGCCTCTTTTTTGAGTTTATATCTGTTTGGTTTTTGTTTAAATAGATCTTTCTTCCCTCTTATAAATGCCTCATTCTTTTTTTAAACAACTGCACAGCAGCTTGTTGTGGTGATATGCCAAGATATGTATAACCAATCCACTGTTAATAAACATTTAGGCCTCTTTGAGTTTTCTATGCCATAATGGCTACAGCCTCCTCATCCAGACATATATTTGCCTGCTTGTATATTTCCATAGCAGTTCTAGAAATAAAATTTCTGCATTGAAGGGGATATACTTTTTTTTTTTTTTGAAAACAGGTTCTCACTGCCACCGAGGCTGGAGTGCAGTGGCACAATCATAGGTCACTGCAGCCTCGACTTCCTGGGCTCAACCGATCCTCCTGCCTCAGCCTCCCACTAAGTAGTTGGGACTACACATGTGTGCTACTATGCTGGCTAATTTTTAAATTTTGGTAGAGACAGGGTCTCACTATGTTGCCCAGGCTGGTCCCGAACTCTGAGTTCAAATGATCCTCCTGTCTCGTCCCCCCAGAGTACTGGGAATATAGATAGGTGTAAGCCACCATGCCCAGCCTGGAATATACATTTTAAATGCGATGTGTAACTTCTTGCCTCTGAACCCATGGAAACCCCACCCTCCCATTTGTCACTGGCAGTCCTGGTGATCCTTCATCCTGTGAAAAGGGTGCCACGAACATCCTCAGTGCCTTCCCACACAGCTCAGCTAAGCATTCCATTTCCCACAGAGTGTGCCCAGCCTTGGAGAGCTGGGGAATCACAGTGGCGCCAAGGGTGTCAACGACAAGGGGGTGGAGGCCGCTGAGTTCTCCATCCCAACCTGGCACACAAGCTCCCCGAGCGTGATTGCCAGCAATCTGGGCTCCCGTTTTGCGTGTTTGATCTGAAGGACACCCATGCCTCAAGAGGTAGTTAGGCCTCTGGGTGTTTCCATACCCCTCAACCCATGTCTAGTAGGTGGAAGTATGCGTACCTGTTTTGGAAAGCTGAGAGTCTTTTCACAGATGATTCTGGCACTGGTGGGAGGGTCGGGGAATTCATAGACTTGGGCAGTAGGGGGCTGGGGCCCCTCCGCCCAACTCCTCATCTGCTCATAAACGGGGCCTGGAGTGGGAGGGCGGGGTAGAGTGGGCACCTGATAGGTCTCCTCTGAGCTGGCAGGAGCTTCTTCCAGGCCTCTCAGGAATGGGGGGCACGGCCTGTCTGCAGCGACCTCCGTGAGGATTTGGAGGCGGTTGGCAGGGGCCAGGCCTTGCCTCCCATGGAGCAAACACTTCCACCAACCCTCGCTTTCTGGCACGTGTTGCTCCAGAATGGTCAGGATGTCCCCTCTGCTGAAAGCCAGCTCGTCAGAGCAGTCAGGGCAGTTGTCATAAAGTGCCCTGGCCAGGAGTGCCTGTGGGTGGAGAGGGGAGAAGAGAATTTGCAGTTAGCACCGTGGCCAGTGACTGCTACTCCAATCCCACTCTCTTAGAAAGCTTCATACAAATTCATCATGCCCTTTCATTTCATTTCTTCCACCCCAGAGGCTCTTGTCCCTGCTCTTTGATTTGTTCCTTCACATCCTTGGGGTCTAAGTGAAATGTCACATCCTCAGGGCAGACTTACCTGTATCCTGAGACGAGGTCGGATGGTCCTAATATGCTTTCATGGCCCTGTTTGTTTTTGGTTTTGAGACAGGGTCTCACTCTGTTGCCCAGGCTGGAGTGCAGCGGTGAAATCTTGGCTCACTGCAGCCTCGACCTCCCGGGCTCAGGCAGTCCTCCCACCCCAGCCTCCCAAGTAGCTGGGACTACACATGCGTGCCGCCACCCCGGGCTAAATTTTGTATTTTTGTAGAGAAGGGGTTTTGCCATTGCCCAGGCTGGTTTCCAACTCCTGGGTCATGGCCCTGTTTTAATTTGTGGAAATTATGACCCTTGTAGTTATGTAGTTCAGTGCAGCATAGCGCACATAGTGGGGTAGAAATTCGTACCTGTGTACCTTTAAGCAAATTAGCTACCCTATTAGAGCCTCAGTTTCCTCATCTGTAAAATGGTAATAATAGTAATACCTACCTCATGGGGTTATTGTGAGAATTAAATGGGTTGAGATATTTATATATATGTATATATACACACACACACTATATATGACGGGTTGATATATATATGTACCCAACATATATCCTATATATATATATATACATATATATATATACACACACACACACACACACACACATATATATAGCAATCCATTATATATTGTGTATACATATGGGTATCTCTCTCTCTGTCATGTACAGGTGCCTGACATTTAGTAAGTACTTGGTACAGGCAGCTGTGACTGTTATTACTATTAGATTGCTTTTTGTCTGGTTTTTGCTATTTTCCTTCTGAATTGGATTGGCAGTTCTGTGACTGCTGGGCCCACACCTCACTTGGCTATTCTGTCCCCAGTGTCAGGCCCAGACCCAGGTACATAGAGTATGCTCAGTAAATGTTCATTAATAAGTGAATGACAAGAGGCTGGGCGCAGTGTTTCACGCCTGTAATCCCAGCACTTTGGGGGGCCGAGGAGGGCAGATCACTTGAGGCCGGGAGTTCAAGACCAGCCTGGCCAACATGGTGAAACCCTGTCTCTAATAAAAATAAAAAAAATTAGCTGGGCAGAGTAGCGCATGCCTGTAGTCCCAGCTACTCGGGAGACTGAGTCAGGAAAGTCGCTTGAACCCTGGAGGCGGAGGTTGCAATGAGCCGAGATCATGCCACTGCACTCCAGCCTGGGCAACAGAGGGAGACTCTGTCTCAAAAACAAAACAAAAGAAAAAAGAAAAACTAGTGAATGACAAAAGACTTAGGGGGTTAGTGACTTGCCTGCGGTCACAAAGCCAGGATCAAACCCAGTCTCCTAATTCTCCAACCCATGCTCTTTCAGTTAGCCACACAGTTCTAAAAAAAGTCGCCTTGTTACCACGGCAGTGATGGCCGAGCCCCCTTCTTATTTGAACTTTCCACTGTAATTACATGAAGGCAACTTGTTTCTTTAGGTTTTAAAGTAATCACCTTTCCCAATCTTTTTATATCAATACATGTTCATTACAGAAAAAGAGAGAAATAAAAGAAGGAAGTGAAAATTACCCATAATCCCACCACTAAAAGATACCAATTCACACCATTTTTGGTATTTATCCTTCCAGTTGTTTTTTATTTTTCTAAATAAATTTAATTACACCTTTTAAACTCATTAACCTTTGTTCATACTTTCATAAATAAAGCAAAAGTGACCAACTCTTCCATTATGTTTGTTGAAAATTATTGTGCTTCTTGCCTAATATCTCTATTCTGTTACAAAAATGGAATTGGAAGACCAATGCTGAAAAATACCATCTTAACCAGACAAGCAGGTCTGTGTGGATTAGGGGAAACACTACTACAAGTCTATCTAAAAAGCGTAAGAAGAATCAGATCCTTCACGCACCCAGAAAGACATTGAACATCCCCCACAAAATCTAATACAGCTGAGATCCCAGGAGATCATGAACAATTTTTGAAAATAAAACATTTTGTTCTTTCTACAAAAGTAATAAAAGTTCATTAAAGAAAAAGTAAAAATAATAATAAGCAAACAGAAGAAAATTAAAATGCCTGCAGTGCTGCCACCACAGGTAACTGCTGTTAATCCTTCGGTTTTTGTGTTTCCAGATCTTTTCTTTTGCATAGTTGTTCACATACACACCTAGAGTCATCATTAAAGTTTTAAAATCTAATGGCATAATATGAAACACACAATTTTATAATCTGCTTTTTTTTCCCACTTAAAAATAAATTGTGGGACCGGGCACAGTGGCTCATGTCTGTAATCCCAGCACTTTGGTAGGCCGAGGGGGCAGATGATGAGGTCAGGAGTTTGAGACCATCCTGGCAAATATGGTGAAACCCCATCTCTACTAAAAATACAAAAAAAAAAAAAAATTAGCTGGGAGTGGTGGCGTGCACCTGTAGACCCAGCTACTTGGGAGGCTGAGGCAGAAGAATCACCTGAACCTGGGAGGCAGAGGTTGCAGTGAGCTGAAATGGTGCCACTGCATTCCAGCCTGGGCAACAGAGTGAGACTCCATCTCAAATAAATAAATAAATAAGTAAATTGTGAGCATCTTTCCGTGTCAATAAACATTTTTCAATATTCTTTAAAACAGTGGCTTGGTTTTCCATTGTACAGATGAAACATAATTTTTCTTCTTGGTTTTGGACATTTTAGCTAATTGCAGGTTTTAGCTATTACAAACAATGCTGAAATGATCATCTTTATAGCTAATATTTGCAACTCCCCTTATTTATTTCCATGGATAAATTCTTCAGTGGGAAGTCGGTGGGTGGAAACCATCAGGGCTCCGGATGCTGTCACGTTGCCCTCCAGCAAAGTTCAATCAATTCACACCTCCACCCACGGTGAATGAGACTGCACAGTTCCTTGTACCCTAATCTACCCTGTGCATTACCTCTTTGTTGGATGATGTATTTGTTTAGAAATCTTTGTCAAGGAAACTTGAAATGTTTCCCAGCACATTCTTAGCAACACCCAGACTACTCAAAACTACAGAATCAGCTGCAGCCCTCATGCCGCTGAGGGAATAACTTGCAGGCAACCCGGGGGATGTGTCACCTCCCTGCTGTACCCACTTTTAACTCATTTTTCCATAGAAAAAAGGTCCCCAAAGGAGTTAGGGGCATGTGTATTGTGAGGGGCATTCCTGCCTGTAGAGATTTCCTCTCTTCTCCATGGTGAAGCAGAAATCCTCAAGTGAGAGGGAAGATATGAAGCTATCACTTGTCTGAGCCCAGTGAGTGTATGAGATGACATTGAAAAGCAGAGAGCTGAGCTACAGCCGATGGACAATGACTGTACTTCCTGGTGTCAGGCATCCCATGGGGTGTCTTTCTGGGTCAGCCAATTGTTCCTTCACAGATTCAGCAAACATTTATGGAATGTTTATTACATATGGCACTGTTGTCGTCCTCGAGTTTTTCAGGGACACAAATTTTGATCATGCCACTCCCCTCTCTACCACCCTTCAGTGGCTCCCTATTACCCTTTGGACAAAGCCCAAACTGTGCCCAAACCATCAAGGCCCTGTGTGATTTTGCCTCTTCCCACACTTCCAGACTCATAGGTATCACTTCCTCACTGGCCTCCAGGGTGTCACCCTTTCTGAGGGCTTGAGTCCCTCCATCATGCTGTTCTCTCTACCCCAAAGCAGTCAGCAGCTTTCCACCCAGTGAAATTCCACACATCCTTTCAGGCTTATCTTAAATGTCACTTCCTTAGAAAAAGGGTCCCTGACACCCTCTTGACCAAACTAGTTCTCCCCATACTTCTGCCCAACACCTTTGCACATCAGTACGTGTCACATTAGGGTTCAACTCATCCAGGGTCTGTCTCCCCATAAGAACGTAAGCTCCAGGAGAGCGAGGGCCACACCCTCTTGTTCTGGACTGCGTCCCATGATCCAGGACAGAGTAGGGGATCTTTAGCTACTTGTTGAATTAATGAATGAAAGAGAGGCGTGACATAACGCCCCCATTTTCAAGTCTTTAAGAGGTAAGAAATCACAAACACCAGGATGAGCGCTCCTATTTCTGTCTGGAGTAGGGTAAGAGGGAAGATTTCTGTGACGCCCCTGCCCACACTTTTGGATGACCTTCGGTAAGAATGACCACCAGCCATGTCCAGAAGATAAACCTCAAGGCGTAACTAGTCTGCACACGGAATCATTATCCCTTGAATGTGTTGGGAGTGGGTTTCACAAGAATGTGGGTGCTGAGCTTGGAGAATCCAGCAGTGATGAAGTATTTAAGGGACTAGAGTTTTAGAGTCTTATAAAGAGTATTGATTAAAGGTCAAGACTTAGGCTGGGTGTGATGGTGCATGCCTGGAATCCCAGCATTTTGGGAGGCCAAAGCGTGTGGATGACTTGAAGCCAGGAGTTCCAGACCAGCCTGGCCAACATGGTGAAACCCCGTCTCTACCAAAAAATACAAAAATTGTCCAGCGTGGTGGTGCACGCCTATAGTCCCAGCTACTGGGGAGGCTGAGGTGAGTGGATGGCTTGAGCCCAGGAGGTGGAGGTTGCAGTGAGCCAAGATCGCGCCACTGCACTACAGCCTGGGTGAGGAAGTGAGACCCTGTCTCTCAAAAAAAAAAAAAAAAAAAAAAAAAAAAGGACTTATGAAACTTACATGCTACTTTGCAGATTTTTTTTCCAGTTAAATAGACAAATAATTGCCGTTCAGTAAAAAACAATAATCTGAAAGCTTTATTATCTGAAAGGTTTATTATCTGAAACAATAATCTGAAAGGTTTATTATCTTGTAGGACTTTAACCAGTTTCATACTTAGCCTTGCAATCACACTCTAATATGCCTTAATTAAATTGCCTATACCTACCTAGCCCCTCAATGATCTCTTTTTAAAAATAAATTCATTCAAGTTGGACAAGTATCCTCAACGATCTTTGACCTAGTTTTAACATTTCATTGATTCCCTATTAATTGATCAAAATTGATTAAAATCTTTGACATGAGTTCATTTTATATTTGCATGAGAGTCATAATTTTGCCTTTTTGAAAACTGTACTTTAACCATCTACATTGGGAACAAAAGGGAAAATAAAAGCCTTTGCAGAGGCTATAATGAAATAATTATGGTATATTTCATCGTAATTCCCATGAAATACATTTAAAGCAATCTTTAAAAACCGATCATCTGAAATGTGCTTGCATTTGTCTAGAAATAAGATAGTGCATATCTTTAGACAGAGCAGTTGTTGCAATATGGCAGCTGCCCTGAAGGGTCCAGATTGAATGCAGCTTAGCTGGCGGATTTGCCTATTGTAAAAGTAAGGACTTTTTCCCAGAGAACAATGGGGTTTTTATGATCATCCACCCCACTGGGCACTCACAGCTGTCCAAGATGAATAGCAGCAGTCTTATTCTTGATATATGATTTATTTTGTAATTTTGACCTGCTGTCTTCAGGACAGCAGACCACATCTTCAAAGGATGTAAACTCCCAGCAAAGGAAAACTCTAAATATGTTGCCATAACACGATTCCCCTCAATATGAATGAAACACTGTATGGCGTTTCATTACAATTGACAGGGGTGTCTCTGGACAGCTCATGCAATCAATTAATTATGCCTCAGCGTTTCAGTAGCAAAGACCATCAATATTAATGTTACAAAAGACGAATGAAATGCATGTGCAAAGTCTTGGGGAGTTCCTTACCTGGAATGGAGGGAAAACAGGGAATTATACTGAATGAGAACCTATTTTGTGTTGGATGCACTGAAGTCATAATATTACCTATTTCTATGAAATCTCAGAGGCAGACTTTCTTATCCCCATTTTACAGATGAGAGAACTGAGGGTCAGAGAGATCAAATGACTTGTCCAAGGTCACTTAAATTCTAATTGGTTCCTCACATCCATTCTTTCACCTTATAATCCACTCTCCAGACACTAGCCAGAATATTTTATTTTATACACATAAAATTGGATCCTGTTGGTCTCTTATTTTAAAAACCTCTAATTGCTTAGAACTGCATTCAGAACAAAAGGTCACCTTCCTAGTGTGGCTTCGAGGCAGGATCAGCCTCCCAGTTTGCAGCTCTACCCTCATTCATTTCCCTCCAGTCACATTGTTTTCTTACTTTTCTCAAATGCCCTGAGGTTGCTTCCACCTCAGACCTTTTCTTTGCTGTTCCTTCTGCCCAGAACTCTCTTCCGCCAGATCCTCCTCCTCTGGGTCTCAGCTCGAGTCACCCCTTTGCAGAGGCTGCCCCTGACCACCCCACTTTTGGCTGGGCTCAGGCTGTTATGGTCAGGCTGGGCGTGCAGGGAGCACTGGACATTGCAATAGCAGCAGCCAGCACTCATCCTGCACCCATGTTCCTGGCGCTGCACTGAGCTCTTTGTGAATAACAGATGGAAGCAGTTGACAGGCCACTCCAAAGGCATCCAGTAACCATTGCAATGGTTGCTGAGGCCACTCACAAGGTATTCTTAAATAGAGTGTTAATTTGGAAATATTTGTGTAGAAATTTCAGAGGTGAAGGAGGATGTATGTTCACATTTTTGTTCCTTGTGGGTACACAAGCAGTTAGATTCTGGGTACAATGGAAGAAATGTTCTTAAACGATTTCCAAAAAGGACATTTCCCCCAAATGCCCATCTTCATACAACAGCTGGGAGAGGGAAAAGGAAAATGAATATGCATTTGGAAGGAAGAACAGGAGGAGGATAGGGAAACAAACGTGAAGAATAAGAGACTCACTGCCTTCATGCTGATGATAACCTCAGTGCAGAGACCTTTCCACAGCTGGCAGGTGCAATGTGCTCATCTAAACCCGAGCAGCCAAGGATACAGTGGTCTTAGCTGCACTTGGAGAAATCTGGGGAGCAATTCATTCATTCATTCATTCACCAAGATTGTATTGAGCATCACGTGTATTCCAGGGGCTCTGCTGGAGGCATCGTGGTGAACAAAACTGTTTCTGATCTCATGCCATGTACATGTTAGTGGAGGAGACAAATTCTAATCAAATCATCACAGAAATAAATACAGGGTTTCCATCTCTTGTAAGTGAGATGGAAAGAAAATACAAGAAGTTATGAGAAATAAAATACAGGAAGTTATAAAAAATACAGGAAGTTATGAAAAAATACAGGAAGTTATGAAAAATTATAAGTGCAGTTGGGAAGTAGTGATGGGTGAGGGCTTAGGGACGTTTACCTGAGAAAGCAGCCATGGAAGCTTCCATCTGGGGGTAAGGAGGAGTTAGATAAGGAGTTAGTCAGATAAAGTGT
This sequence comes from Homo sapiens, assembly GCF_000001405.40. NCBI lineage: Eukaryota > Metazoa > Chordata > Mammalia > Primates > Hominidae > Homo > Homo sapiens. Next base: position 56,429,709 of record NC_000020.11, on the reverse strand, counting down.
TAGTCAGATAAAGAGCATTCAGGCAGAGGAAGAGGAATGTGTGGAGGCCGGAGTGCGTGGGTGAGGGGGCGTGTGTGAGTATGAGTGAGTGTGTATGTATGTGTTGGGGGCGCATGGAAAGTTGGAGGAACTGAAAAATGACCAGGTTGCCTGGAGAGAGATCAACAAAGGCCCTGGCTCCTAATTTCCATAGCGGATGCTGTTTATAGGTGGTTACTGGGTGGAAAATGGGGTGCATGGAGCAAGTGGAAGCCAGAGAGGCGATTCAAAGTCAATTGTCTGGTCCAGCTGGGAGATGCCTGTGGCTTGGCTGAGGGCAGAGGCTGGATTTTGTTAGTTTTGGGGAGGAGCTGGTGAAGGACTGGATGCAACTTGAGGTGATGCTTGGAAGAAGAGCAGGAGCATAACTGCAGAGAAGGGAGGGACGCACTGCTGAATGGGCCAGGGAAAGTAAGAAGAAGAGAGGGAACTGGCCCGCACACTTTCATCATCCATGGTGGTATAAGAGACATCCGCAGGCATGGCAGCTCTAGGCAGGAGCAGCTTAGATGAGCCGGGAGAGAAGCAGCTCCTGCAGCCTCAGTTATGCTGCCTCATTGTCCCTGTTCCTGGGATGGAAATCCCCTCTCTAGGCCGGGGTGGACACACTGCCCGGGTGACTGCACCCACGTGCACTCGCCCACATGCACAGCTTGCTTCTCTGCTTTACCTTCAATTTTCTTTCTCTTTAGTTTACTCAAAAGAGCAAAGCTGCAGAAACTCAAGAATGTCAGGGCTGGGGGGCAGGTCGGGGGGTACACTGATTGCTCTGTTGGCCTCATTTTAGTGCTTTGTGGCACCTAAGACTAGGAGAGATTAATGACCTGCCTCTGGTCATGCAGCAGCAGGTAGCAGAGCAGGGATTCAAACTCGCATCCATCTGACTGAAGCCTGCTATTGCCAATACTCTGCACGGCCTTTCCAAGTCCAAGTCTGTTTCCTACTCTAATCTGCTAACTCTTACATCCAAATGTGTGCAAATCCAGAAAGAGCTGGTTTAAAGACAGCTGTAAGGAGAAGCAGCAAACTCAAAGGATTATAGGAGCTGGGCAAGAAATATACATGAGTGAGACAGGCCAGGCGTAAGACATTTGGGTGTGGTGGAGGCTGTGGCATGCTCAGGCAGATCTTAAAATATCACTCCTTGGGCCCAGTGAAGCATTCTGCTGCTGAGTCCAGCCCGCAGCTGAGGTCTTAGAGACCCCATCCAGATTTCCTTTGCAAACTCAACGTTAATAGTCAGGGGGCCTGGGTGTTCCTGCCCAATGCAGGACTCACTGAATGGGCAATCTTTACCCCAAAGCCCCTGTTGAGTTGTCAAGACTATGTCTAAGCTGCCCCACAGTTTGAGGCTGTCTCTACTCTGTCCAGCTCCTTCTCTCTTTCCTGTCACAGGGGTCAGGGCAGCATCATGGCCCCATCCTGCTTCCTCCTTGTTTTATCTTTCACAGCCCGCCTGACACCAAACACTTATGCTCCTAAAATTAAAACAGTAGTAACTATGGGATAGTAAAGTAGAGATCATGAGACCGTTTCCATCCAAGTAACCTAGAATATCATTCTTTCTTTGGGAAGGTAAATCATACAGTGAGGTCACCAGTCCATAGTGGGAGGTGGTAAATAAGGAAGTTCCCCAAACTAGTGGTGGAGATGGTAACTGTGCAAGAAGCCAGAGCTGTAAGTGATGTCTAGGCCCCTGCTCTGTACAAAGATGTAGATCTCCAAGGCCAAGAAGGACATTTTTCTTCTACTAAGATCCTTCTTTGAAAAATGTCCATGTTTCGCATTTCGGCTTCCTTCTCACTGATTCCATGTCTTACTTCCAAGAATTCTTAGTTACTATTCAGGCGAGGTGATGGAATGCTTCCTACTTCCCCTTTGAGGGCCAGGAAAGGATAGTTAGTTATAGAGAAACCACATTTTAAAAACTGCATATACTATAAATATCACAGATCTTTTGATACATGGGAAATGTGAATCCCTGAAGTTCATGAAGGATTTCCATGGATGTAGGAGCTTTTATGTTGAGATCAGTGACATATTCTGTTATACATTTTTATGAGGTAGCTGTGCCCAGACTCAACATCGAGAGAGTGCAGAATGGAGAAAGGGCTCTTTGATCATCTTTCAAGTAAATAGTCTCCCTTCAAATGTACTTGGAAGTATTTCATTTCATGTAAATTCAAATACAGGCTAGGAAAGATTAATGCAGAGAGAAGGGTATTATCTGTTGGCTTGTGAATGTTTACTTTCCATCATTTTAAAAGGATATTATGTTAAAAAAAAGTTTCCAAGAGCGTAAGAAAAATCCCCTCACCACCTACATTTTTCCCACCTACATTCTCCAAAAAGGGAAGACAGAGAAGGAGGAAGGACAACCTGAGGAAAAATCAAAGTATCTACAGACACTTCTTCTGGGAGGGATTTCTGGTGGGTAACAACATTCTGTGAAGTCACCTCCAGAAGGGTGACAGAGGGTTTTTTTTTTTTTTTTTTTAAGAGACAGGGTCTTGCTATGTTGCCCAGGCTGGAATGCAGTGGCTATTCACAGGCATGATCATGGTGCACTACAGCCTTAAACTCCTGGTCTTAAGCAATCCTCCTGCCTCAGCCTCACAGGTAGCTGGGACTACAGGCACACATCACCATGCCTAGCTTAGGGAGTTACAGCAAAGATGATCTGGAAAGTGTCCTCACTTTGCAAACCCCACATAACAATACAGACTTCTCACACACTGTGTGTGTCAGCTAGTATTATTTTCCTATAACTAACCAAATAAGGGGGAGAAGCTGGCTGGGTGCGGTGGCTCATGCCTGTAATCCCAGCACTTTGGGAGGCTGAGGTGAGCAGATCACTTTGAACTCAGGAGTTTGAGACCAGCCTGGGAAACATGGTGAAACCTCATCTCTACCAAAAATATAAAAATTATCTGGGCATGGTGGCACATGCCTGTAATCCCAGCTACTTGGGAGGCTGAGGCTGGAGGATGGCTTGAACATGGGCTAGGTGGAGATTGCAATGAGCCGGGATTGTGCCACTGCTCTCCAGCCTGGAAGACAGAGTGAGACCTTGTCTTGGCGGGGGAGGGGGAGGCGGAAAGAAGAAGAAGAAGGGGGAAAAAAAAGAAGAAGAAGAAGAGGGAAAAATCCTCTTTAATCTTTTAGATTCAATGTAGCCCCTCACAAAACCATTCTGTTCGCCCTGAAAGGAGTGTCTGTCGCACTCTAACTACGCAGGAACTGTGTCAGTCTTGTCCACTGTTTAGCCAACGCCTCGGGAATCAGGATAGCTCGCGGGTTCTCAACTCTGTGTCAGGCACTGGGATAAGCAGTCAGCACTGATGACCGCATTTGATATTCAAAAACCTTATGAAGCAGGTACTATAACTAACATCTCATTTAGGAGATGAGTAAGCCAAGGCACAGAGAGGGTGAGAAAGTAGCTTAAGGTAGTTCAGCGATCAAGGGCCAACGCCAGGACTGGAATGCAGGCAGTTTTGGGTCTGGAGTGTGCTCTTTTAGCCTACAAACCACTCTGCTTAGCACAGACTCTATCACAAGACGGTGTGGACATCTTAGCAGATACAAGATGGCAAAGTGCCTCCTGGGAGAGGGAGATGAAGCTGAGAAACGGAGACATTTGTATAATGGAGTACAATGTAGCCATTACAAGAATGAGGTAGAGCTTATGTCAATGGAAACGGGACAATCTCCAAAATGTAGTATTAAATTTTTTAAAAAGAGCAAGATGAGCATAGGTCTGCATTGATGCTTTTATAAGTATAGCATCTTTCTGGAAGATTATGTCACTCACTGAGGGTCCCTTCTGGGTAGGAAACAGGGGTCTGGGGAGTTAGAGGTTTGGGATTAGATAAAAACACTTTGAGTCCATGTTCATTTGTACAGTTGGAATTCCTAAAACCATGTGTAAATATTCTTTTTCAATATAAAAATCTAATTTACAAAGGATTCTGTTCTATTGGAAGAAGAGGACTCCTGCGCTGGTGAATTTAAGCAGCTGCTTGTCGTTACCACGCAAGCCCTTTCTACTCCTAGATTAGATAGAAAGGAATTTTGACTTTGAGTCCATCTTAATCTTGGCCAAAAGCAGTTTGCCACATGCAGGAAGACTTCTTACCTCCCTGAACTTCCAGGATGCCAAACATCGTCAACTACTTCTCACTGGCCATCCCTCAAAGGGCCTGGACCGTGTACAGCATGGAGGATGCTGAAAGGTGCTTGAGTGGTTTCTGAGAACTAGCTGATTTTGTGAGCATTTACCTCTTCCTTGAGAGTAGGGCCACAGAGTGGAACCACACAGAGAGGGCAACGAATGACTGTTAAATGGGATCTAACTGCAGGTGCATTAAGAGTCACAGAAGTTTAGACTCAAAGTGTTTTAAAGATTTGTCTGGCCTGGTCCAGGCAAGTTGAGGAGGCACTGAGAGGATCTCAAAGCTCCTGGGGGAGGCTCGCTGCCCTTCCTGCTATCCCAGTGATCCTTGAACTCTCCTTTGGCCAGCTGCAGAATGATCTGAGTACTGTGTACAAAGACCCAGGCCAGAGAGGAGGGCCTCCCATGATGGGACATGTTCCCCAAGGCCAAAGTTAGGATATGCAGTATCAGGACACAGTAGCTGCATGTTGCATGTGTGTGATGTTGGGGAAAACATTCAGAATAACCATGTCCCTACTTTCCTCCTGGAAAACCTCCTACAACTCCTGAAGTTGTGCTGTGAGGTCTGCAGTTGAGAAGGGAGCACCAGGCAACCAGCCACCTCCTCCCTCATCTAACATTCATTTCTCTCTCCCTTCCTCCCTCCATTTTTGCCAGCTCATTCCTGTCTTCTCTTTGTCCCTTGTGCCTCCTTCCCCTTTGACATAGTTACCCAAGAAAGAACCTGTGATTTTTTTTTTTTTTTTTTTTTTTGAGACAGAGTCTCGCTCTGTCATCCAGGCTGGAATGCAGTGGTGCGATCTCTGCTCACTGCAACCTCTGCCACCTGGGATCAAGCAATTCTCCTGCCTCAGCTTCCCGAGTAGCTGGGACTACAGGTGCATGCCACCACACCCGGCAAATTTTTGTATTTTTAGTAGAGACGGGGTTTCCCCATGTTGGCCAGGCTGGTCTCGAACTCCTGACCTCAGATGATCCACCCGCCTTGACCTCCCAAAGTGCTAGGATTACAGGCGTGAGCCACCATGCCTGGCCGAAGCTGTATCTTAACTTTTCTTTTCCCCCATGAATTGCAGTGGCTTTCCATATCAATATTTACATTTAAAAGTAAAATTCCTTAAGTTATGAGGAATTGTCACTTAAAATAGCAAAATGGTATATTTCATAACCAGAACTTGCTTTAAGAATTTGCAGGTAGATTAAACTATCTCTTTAATTTGTCATGCCTAATGTGTGAGAGAATTAGTTTATGAGGTTGTTAAACTTGAGACAGCTTTGCTTCAATAATCTGCATCTCATTATCAGAAATATTTTGAATTCTTTTAATGAGGTGATAGCTAAGTAGTTTCTTGCATCATCTCACATAAAGGACAGTTGTTTCTCTTGGAGCTGTTTAAAAAAAACTTAGCAAAGTAGTTAAGTGAGAGATGCTGAAGGGAAACTGCTGCCTTTTTTTGTGATTAATATTAATTTGCCAAATAGGCTAGGAAAAGAACTGAGTTTCTGCTTCAGCCCCGTTTTTGAAAAAGGTGAAAATTATTGAATGAAAAGCTCCAGAATGTGCAGAAAATGATCTGAAAGTTACTTAACTGGAAGTGTGAATTGAAACTCCCTTTTTCCAACTACTCTTATATTTAAGTAACATTTAAGGCCAGGCGCAGTGGCTCATGTCTGTAATCCCAACACTTTGGGACGCCGAGGTGTGCGGATCACTTGAGGTCAGGAGTTCAAGACCAGCCTGGCCAACATGGTGAAACCCCGACTCTACTAAAAATACAAAAATTAGCCGGGCATGGTGGTGCATGCCTGTAGTCCCAACTACTGGGGAGGCTGAGACAGGATAATTGCTTGAACTTGGGAGGTGGAGGTTGCAGTGAGCTGAGATTGCGCCACTGCATTCCAGCCTGGGCAACAGAGCAACACTCCATCTCAATAAATAAATAAATAAATAAAATAAAGTAATGTTTAAGCTTTAAAACAAAACTTAATAGAATAGAATATAACTTTCTAAACAAAAATATAAGGTCTCCCTTTTTGGTTTCAAAACCTGATGCAACTTTCAATTGTTTCCCATGGTGTGACAGTCATTTGGAAACCATCATTACCTACTTCCTTAATATAGTGGGGAGCATTGGAAATAACAAGCTCTGGACCCCTTTATATAGTCAACTCAGAGTCCCACACAATCAAAGAGTTGTAGGAAATGGATGTCAGAAGACAGAAACTCAGATACTCACATTCACCTTCATCTTGATCCTTTAAAGAAACTATTTTAAAAAGTACTATCCATATCCTGGAAAACACCAGCAGAAGTCGCTTGGGAAGGGAAATCTTTCTGTAGGAGTTTGTGCAGGAATGCTGTGAGGTCTGGGTCTAAACTTTCTCTGCAGCTGTCCTTGCCTGTGGATCTGGCCAGTGGGTCTCTAAGCTCCTGGGGGAGGCTCACTGCCCTTCCTGCCACCCCAGCCATGGGGAAGGATGGGCTGGTTACATAACGCATTCTCTCCCACACTCCCATTGGTTCCCTCCCATCCAAATGGATGCAAATAGCCTTTGTGGCCGGTTTATCCAGAGAAACCAGGGACAAAGAAGTGAATGAACCGGGTGAACTTGGATATGAGGAGGGATATGAGAGAAAAAGAAAAACTTTAATGAAAAGAGAGTTCCTTATTTTCTTAAGACCTCTAAAAATAATCGTGGAGAATGGCACATGCTGTGAATAAACGCAAACTTTAACTGGTTCTCCATGATAACATTGAACTCTGACCCAGCCAGCTTTGAATTCTTCCTGATGATTCAGATGAAAAAGCCACACATTAAAGGAACTTCCGCAGCTGTAGGAGGCACTGCCTACTAACGGGGCTTTGAGGAGGAGGTTGTGGCCAGAAAAAAATTCCAAAGCCACCCAGTGGAAATGAAACATTTGCTTCCCTGATACCTGAATACTGTGCTTTTCCAGCAGGTTTGGGTGTTACCCAGATCGACATGCTTTAATATACTTCCTCTACTCATGGAAACCTTGCTAAGCTGCACTTAAGGCTTCATTGAATTGGCAATTATTTATCAAGCACCTACTGTATGTCTGACAATATACACCGGGGGAACAGGTGACTGGTTTCCTTGATCTAAGCTCAGGATTGAAATGATGCAACAATAAAGGTCTCTCAGGCCTTCACATAATTGATTATCATGGATGTGGCCCAAGATGGGCCCATGTCATACCAGACTGCATTCTCCAACTCAAAGTGCTCCAGAGATCGTAGTGTGTTCATTCACAGCCTTGCCACTGCCTGCCACCGCCAAGTCTATTCCTTGCCAGCTAAGTCCCTGAGTTATTGCTTAAGATATTTGGTTTGGGGAACTGTTGGATCAAGTCAAGGGGCTGACAATTTCACCCTTGCTCATGAAAAACCCACCGAAGGAGGAGGCAAGTAACAGAACTTCTCTGGGTTTCAGTTTCTTCACCTGAAAGTGAGATAGCTTCCCAGGGCAATCGCCAAAGTTCCCATCCAGCTGCAAAATCTACATTTCCCATGAATTCTTCTCTTACTCTTACCTCTTAGTTCATGAAAGCCATCTGAGGGATTACAGAGAAAATAACATGCAGGTGCTTTTCTCTCTAACTTCCTTTCCTTTCCTTCCCTCTTTCCTTTTTTCTTTTTTTAAGGAAAAAAGTGAGGAAAGGCATAAAGAAAGAAGGAGTTTTGTGTTATTTGATGGGTCGTAAGCAATTATGCCGACACCAATTAGAAGAAAACTTTGTCTAAGCCTGTGTTTCTTTTTCTCTTTTCTTTTCTAGAGACAGGGTCTCACTTTGTCACCCAGGCTGGACTGCAGTGACGCGATCACAGCTCACTGCAGCCTCGAACTCCTGGGCTCGAACGATCCTCCCACCTCAGCCTTTCAAGTAGCTAGGACTACAGGCATGAGCCACCAAACCCAGCTACTTTTAAAAATTTTTTGTAGAGATAGTCTCGCTATGTTGCCCAGGCTGGTCTCCAACAGCTGGGCTCAAGCGATCCTCCCACTGCAGCCTCCCAAAGTGCTGGGATTACAGGCGTGGACTACCACACCCAGCCCCCAGCCTGTGTTTCTAAAGGGTTTTGTGTCTAGCAACTGCCTGCTTCCTGTCATATCCACGTGCCACTACAATTTTTTAGGTAAAATAACAAATTGAGTCAATTAAAAAACAACTGTCCCTCAGCGATGTTACCCATGAAATTACAGGTTTGATGAGCTAGTTTTAGTTTGTTTGAATGCAAATCAAGATACACCAGTATTGTACAAAAACTGTTCTGTGCACCACACTTGAAATCCTCTGGCATGCCTGCAGTCAGGGCACTTCCATTTGATTGACCCGGAAGAATTCAAAGCTGGCTCAAGCTGTTTAATGCATGACAGAGAAATGAGTGAAGGTTCAGGCTTGTTCACCAAACTTTTCCATCTTTCTATGGTCATTTTTAGAGGTGCTTCAGGAAAGCAAGGAGCCACTCTTTTGTTTAAGCTTTTCTTCTTTTGTTCTGTTGGTGTGAATTTATTGCAATTCACTAGGTTTGTTCGTTTAGTTGTTAATAATGGACTACACATAAACCCACCCCAGTCCTTATTTGGGATACCCAAAGGGGGCTTACCGAGAATGTCTTATGTAACTGGCCCTGACTCCCAGTGGCTGGCAATTCACCTCACTTTGGGGAACACCAGTGTAAGGAAGGAGCACCTTGAGTTGTTTGTTATTGATTACTGACTCTTGTGCTTCTATTCCCCTTTCAACCGTGGGGAGACTCTCACTTTTGAACCTGGGCCGGGTGTGGTGGCTCACTCCTGTAATCTCAGTGCTTTAGGAGGCTGAGGCAGGAGGACTGCTTGAGGTCAGGAGTTCGAGACAAGCCTGGGCAATATAGGGAGAGCCCCTCATCTCTACAAAAAAAAAAAAAAAAATTAGATGGGCATGGTGGCGTGCACCAGTAGTCTCAGCTACTTGGGAGGCTGAGGCAGGAGGATTGCTTGAGCCCAGGAGTTTGAGGTTGTAGTGAACTATGATAACGCCACTGCACTCCAGTCTGGGTGACAAAGTGAGACCCTGTCTCTAAAAGAAAATTTCTGAACCCAAAGTGAACATTCCACAAAGCACTTTTCACTTACTGTTAACCAGATGGCAAACACCTCCAAGACACAGGGATGACCCTACTGCTCTTTTGCCCCCTGTCCCTCCCTAACCCCACAAAAGACAGACTGCCTGGGCTGTCCAGAACATGTAGAGCAAACAAAAGCTGCTCTTGATGATAAGGTGAAGCAGTTGTTCAAAGGAAAAGAACAATACATTCACTAACATAAACTCGTGGAGAAACTCTCTGAGTGGCCAGGTAGGTGGCCTCAAATTGCCTGTGAATAACTTTTTCACAGTCCACACTCATCTCCTAGAGGAGCTTTCTTTTGTTTGTTTGTTTTTGAGATGGAGTTTTCGCTCTTGTTGCCCAGGCTGGAGTGCAATGGCGTGATTTCGGCTCACCACAACCTCCGCCTCCTGGGTTCAAGCGATTCTCCTGCCTCAGTCTCCTGAGTATTTGGGATTACAGGCGTGCACCACCAAGCCCAGCTAATTTTTGTGTTTTTAGTAGAGATGGGGTTTCTCCATGTTGGTCAGGCTGGTATTGAACTCCCGACCTCAGATGATCCACCTGCCTTGGCCTCCCAAAGTGCTGGGATTACAGGCATGAGCCACTGTGCCTGGCCTCCTAGAGGAGTTTTAAGAGTGCAGAGCCTAGCCGGGCACGGTGGCTCACGCCTGTAATCCCAGCACTTTGGGAAGCTGAGGTGGGCCAATCACTTAAAAACAGGAGTTCGAGACCAGCCTGGGCAACATGGTGAAAAAAAACCCACCTCTACTAAAAATACAAAAATTAGCCGGGCACAGTGGTGCATGCCTGAAGCCCCAGCTACTTGGGAGGCTGAGGTGGGAGGATCACTTAAGCCAGGAGGCTGAGGTTGCACTGAGCTGAGATTGTGCCACTGTACTCCAGCCTGAGCGGGGGTGGTGTGGGGGAAGTGCAGGATCTCCCACACTGAGAGCTGGGGATGCTTTCCCAGGAACAAGAGGCCACGCATATTCTTCTCAGTCTTCTCAGTGTCGACTATGCTTTTCGTAGGTGTGTGTACAAGGCTGCTCTTCCCCTGAACAAACACTTCATAGGCGTTATGTTTGGAAATGGTTCCTAAAAAATGTATTTCCTTTTTTTGCAACTCAAGTTGGAGTGTTCTAATCTCCCCCTCCGTGGCAGCTCTCTTACCAGCCTCCCACCTTCCTCCTTTTAAGCTATTTCCCCTTCAGGCCCCTGTCATTTCCTCCCTTAGTCATCGCAATTCCAAAACGGCCCTGTTTTGATTCTACAGTTGCTTCCCCATTCCATTATCGTGTCGGCCAATGCCTGTCTATTCTCAGACCTTTTAAGTTTTGGGGTGATGGTGGCATTCTCCTTAGCTTTTTTTCCCCCCAAGTGTGCTCTATAGGAAATAAAATGTTCAAAGACTACAGGTGATTAAACAGGGGAACCAATAATGAGTATGTGATGGATTTTTTATTAGTCATAATAATTATTTACTACATATGGAGAAAGGGGACCAGGCACTTGGACTTGGAAGCATTTAGAACAGTGCCTGGTGTGCAGCAGGCATTCAATATTTGTTGACGGAATGAAAGGTACATTGTGTTCCTGAATCAAACGTAACACACATAAATAGAAGCTATCTACTCCTTGATTTACTATTTTTTCTGCTCACAACCACTCCCCACCCGACACGGCGACCAGCGGTCTCAAACATCAAAAGTTCTACTTTTTTAAAGACAGAGTACACGATTCTCCTTCGTGTCCATGGAGAAGAGCAGGGTACCACCCCAGTGGAAAATGAAGCCACCTACACTGAAGTCTCCACGTTTACCAGCTTTTGCTCTTTCCTACTTACAGCCCATCTGTTGCACAGCAGCCTGAGTGATCTAGAAAACATAAATTAGATCATGTCATCTCCTGCTTTAAGTGGGCTGGTGGTTTCCTTTGCAATTAGAATGGCTTCAAAGCTCTTACACGGCCGACCAGGCCCTATGTTATCCTGCTTACACCTCAGATCTCACTTCTGACCCCTCTCTCTCTTGGTTTACTCTTCTTTGACCCCATGGGTCTTTACAGGGGCCCTGTACTATGCTGAATACCTTCCCACTGCAGGCCCTTGGCATCTGCTGTTCCCTCTTCCTGGAAAGCTTTTCCCATCTCTTGGGTGTTCAGAGTGGCCTTTTCCATCCATCGCCTCCATCAGATCCCCCTGTTTTCTCCTCTTTCTGGCAGTTCTCACCACCTGAAACCATGGGTCTATTTACTCACTGTCATGCTCACTCCATTGGAATGTCAGCTCTGTCTTGATCACCCTGAACCCCCGGAGCCCAATAACTATGCATTGGGTGAATGGCTGAGGCATGGATGGTGAGCTGTGTTTTCGAGTTGGGTGTTGTGTCTGGGCTGTTTTGCCTCGTGGAATAGATGAAGGGAGGAAGTTGCTGGGAAATGCTGGAGGGAGGCTACAGGTCTTTGTGACCTTGATTTCAATAGCAACAGCTTGCATCTAAGGCAACATCTGACCATGGACAAGGAGGGGGACAATTGTCAAGAGAACAGGCTGAGTGGCAGCTTAGGCTGACGCCAGGTAGGGGTTAGAGAGCTGAGAGTCAGGAATGACCTCCGTTGCCAAACACCTGCTGACTAGAAAGTAGTGCTGTTCCTATCCTCACAGCGGGGCTGCAGCCAGGGCTCCACCTGCACTCCCTGTAAGCTCCCATTCGTTCACACACTACCACAAAGCATGTATTGAGCAACTACTTTGTGCAGGCACTGTTGTAGGCACCGGAGATGCAGCACTGAGTAAGAAAGCCCAGGTCTGTCCCTCATGGAGTTTCGTTCCCAGAGAGGAAGACAGAGGAACAAACAAAGTGAGATAATTTCAGATCTTAATAAGTGAAGGTAAGATAGATGAGAGTGTTGGCGGTGGGCCTGTGTAGGGGGGAAGTGATTTGCACAGCGTGGTCCAGAGAGGCCTCTGGGTGAGGCGATGCTTGCTAGAGAGAGAAGAATCCAAGGCGGGGAACAGCAGGGGAGAAGGGGAAGGAACTGAGGCAGGAGAGCTGCTCGGAGTGGGATCTAATGGGCCCTGAAGGGCCAGGTCAGCTTTCTGCACACAATCCCATTTGCCCTTCAACAAAGACTGAGTTTGAAATGTCTTGCTCACCACCTCAGAGCTGCTAAAGGTACAAAGAGAACCTAAAACTGCTCTCCACTCACAAACGAAGCCTCACCAGGCTTTCTTGCCCAGAAGCACTGAAGCAAGCCAAGTCCCAGCAAGTGGTACACACTTCCAAGCCAACACATTTTGTCGTGTTTAAACCAACCTTGAGATGTGGAAGATTTTTTAAAAAATTCTACATTTTTACCTTGATCCTTCTTGAGTGGGTCCAAAACCATGCCACTCAGAGTTGAGATGGGAGAGAGACAAAAAAGATTTGCTCTTTAATTGAGGCTGAATTTAAAATGTGAAAGATAATCACATTTAAATGTTCTTACAGTATAAATATTGGACCATCCACTCTTCAGTAACATAGTAAAGATGCTTGCTTGAAAAATGCCTTCAGAAAACTGAATGAGCACATAGCTGTCTTTATAAAAGAAAGTACAGATTGTAGAGAAAATACTGGGGAAAGTAGGTTTAAAATAGAATCAAATATCAGAAATTCTCAGAAAATGATGGAAAATAAGTGCCAAAGCTTATTTCATTCAGTAAAATCCTCTTTCAATTCCTGGACATTTACTCCAGTGAGAAAATCATGTTATTGGGGAAAAAAGGGCTGTGTATGAAGATGCTAATTTCAATATTACCTGTAATGGCATGTGTGCATACACACACACACACACACACACACACACACGGAAGTAAACAGAATTTATAGCAAACAGGACTGAATCACTAAAGTACATTGCAGACTCTATTTTCGTAACTAAGGCATCTTGAAACTACCAAAAATCCAAAATAAGAACTTACGTATAATAAGCCCACTTATCCTCCTTGTCTTTTAGACAATTTTAGTTCTTTTAGAACTAAATTTCTGGCTGGGCGCAGTGGCTCACGCCTGTAATCCCAGCACTTTGGGAGGCTGAGACAGGCAGATAACTTGAGGTCAGGAGTTCGAGACCAGCCTGGCCAATATGGTGAAAACCCGTCTCTACTAAAAATACAGAAATTAGCTGAGCATGGTGGCACATGCCTGTAATCCCAGCTACTTGGGAGGCTGAGGCAGGAGAATTGCTTTAACCTGGGAGGTGGAGGTTGCAGTGAGCCAAGATCATGCCACTGCACTCCAGCCTGGACGACAGAGTGAAACTCCACCTCAAAAAAACCCACGAAAACTAAATTTCTAGTATTTCTTGAATGGAGTTGACTAGTTGGCTAGAGTTCCACAAACCAATGAATGAGGTGTTAAATTTACCACCTTTGAGGCCAGTGTTTCCTATCACTAATATCACGTGTTTTAAAAAAATTTCGCCTTGTTCTATAAAACAATTTTTAAAAAATAGAATAAATCAGTCTGGATATTACACAAAATCTGCCATGCACAAAGGTGAAAGCAGCTCTACTGGCAACGGAGCTACTGGCCAGCAGGTAGAATTAGGAACAGCTTGCGAGAACAGTCCCTGTTTACCATACGATGTACAAAGGCGAACTTCAGGGTCTGAAAGGCTATCTGCGGTGGCCCTGAATGAAAGGCAGGGTTGTTTTAAAGGCGAATGCCCCAAAGCTAAGGACCACTGACATGACATGACCCCTTGAAGCATTGTGCTACCATTTATAAAGCAATTGAGCAACAATGTAGGCATTAAGATTAATGAGATGGATCAACTGCACTAATATGAACTGAACACCAGTACGTATTGGTAGTTGCTAAAGGCAAGAAGCTCAACAGATCTTTACTTACAGCTCCTATTTGTGTAAAACCTTAAAACATGTATCTTATAGATGCATTGATAGTTTCTGTAGGGACACCCAAGAAACAGTTAACTGAGGATGCCTCTGAACTAGGTGTCGACAACTTGGGTGTTTCCTGGTACTGCGTGGGTGGGTGGGGGTGGCCTACGTAAACTGAGATGACATAGGCTGCTACACAAGGGCCTGTGGACCAAATCTAGATGGATGACCCATAAGTGAAGAATGACTGTACATATCTTAAGGACTGCATAAACAAACAACCATATGCAACAGAGATTGTATTTGGCCTGCAAAGCATAAAATACTATCTGACTCTTTATGAAGAGTTTGCCAACCCCTGGTACAAGGGAGAGAATATAATGAGCTAAGAATGGAGCTCTGAGCTTAGTCTGCCTGGGGTTGATTCCTGGCATTGCCACCTACTAGCTGTATGGCCTTGGGCAAGTCAGCGAGGCCTCGTTTCCTCGTCTGTGACAGGGGAATAATACCTCTGCTTCATGAGGATGTTGTGAGGATGTAATAGTGAGAAAATGCAAGTAGAGCACTCAGCACAGGGCCTCACATGTAGACAATCGGTAAGGGTTGGCTACTATTTATATATATATATAAAGCAATTCTCCTGCCTCAGCCTCCCGAGTAGCTGGGAATACAGACGTGCACCACTATGCCCAGCTAATTTTTTTGTATTTTTACTAGAGATGGGGTTTCACCATTTTGGCCAGGCTAATCCCCTGACCTCAGGTGATCCACACGCTTCAGCCTCTGAAAGTGGTGGGATTACAGGCATGAGCCACCGCTCCCGGCCTATCTGTATAATATTAATAGCAGAATTTCATGGGGATGCTGGGAATATCAATTATATGTTCTATGCAAACATGCATGTTATTTACAAATTGCAGTGGGGCTCGGTGGTGTGCACCTGTAATCCTGTACTTGGGAGGCTGAGGCAGAAGAATCACCTGAGTTCAGGAATTTGAGTCCAGCTTGGACAACAGAGTGATACCCCCATTGCTAAAAATATTTTTTTTAAATAACAAAACCCCACCCAATTGTAAAGCGCTACATAAATTATTTAGGCAGAATAAGCAGTACATAAAAAGAAGTCTAAATCATAAAAAATCTAGGCTGTTTAGAAAAAAGGTCAATGTTATGAAAGAGAAAAAGGTAGTAGATTGTTCTAGATTAAGAACTGAGAATTGACAAACACCACCTGGATCAGAAAGACAAACACACACACAAACAACAACAGCCAGAAAAGCTAAAAAGGATAATTTTGGAAAATGTGAATGTGGACTGAATAGTAGAATGGCATTATTAAATCAACGTGAATTAGACTGAATAGTAGAAAGGCATTATTAAATAAATGTGAAATGTTCTTGGGTATGATGATATGTAGATATTCTTCTACGTTCTGTAGATGAATGTCCTTGTTCTTAGGAGACACATAATGAAGTTTAGGGGTGGAGCGTCATTGTATTGGCCATTTATTTTCAAAGAGTTTAACAACAACAATAAAAATGAAGTGTGTTCCAGTGTCTAAATATACACAAATAAATGCACACAAATATGACAAAGTACCAGAAACCAATGATCTAGGTGAAGGATATGCAGGGATTTACTGAATAACCCCCACGCTTCCCATATTTTTCCAATGGTTTGAAATTTTTCAAAGTAAGTAGTTGGGGACAAAATTCTAGGGTAGCTAAGATATTTACATATAATCTATACAAGAGAGACTGTCATGGGTTACTCAGTCACAAATTCCACTAGTGACTTTTTTTTTTTTTTTTTTTTTTTTTTTGAGACAGAGTCTTGCTCTGTCACCCAGGCCGGAATGCAGTGGTATAATCTCAGCTCACTGCAACCTCTGCCTCCCAGGCTCAAGCGATTCTTGTGCCTCAGCCTCCCGAGTAGCTGGGATCACGGGCATGCGCCACCACGCTCAGCTAATTGTTGTATTTTTGGTAGATATGGGGTTTTTTCATGTTGATCAGGCTGGTCTCAAACTCCTGGCCTCAAGTGATCCACCTGCCTTGGCCTCCCAAAGTGCTGGGATTACAGGTGTGAGCCACCGCAGACAGCCACACTAGTCACTTTTATTATAATGAAAAATAAGCATTGATTTTTATAAGCAAGCTCCCCATTTACTGCTTGTTTCATTTCTTTTTTCCTGTTCTACTTAAAATTTAAAAAGGGCATAGCAAGATGAAAACACAACCTTGAGCTTCACTTTCTTTATGTCTGGGTAAATTTTTTTTTAATATGGTAGCCATTTTAACTTTTCTTTTCTTTTTTTTTTTTTTAAGATGGGGTCTCGCTATGTTGCCCAGGCTGGACTCAAACTTCTGGGCTGAATTAATCTTCTCACCTCAGCCTCTCCGGTAGCTGGAGTACAGGTATGTACCACCGTGCCTGGCTTCTTTCACCTTTCTAAATAGTGAATCTTTTTTGATTCATGACAGGCATGAAGTCTGTCTGAAAGCTCCAGCTTTGCTCACATAATGCACAAGTTAACATGAAAATAACATGTAAGTGCCCACTGTGGGCTCAGCACGGGAGGCTGCAGGCAAGGGTCTGGGCTCTGCTGTTGGGAGGTGAGCACAGAAACCAAATAGGACAGTTAGAGTGGCACTGAGTGTCTTTGGGGTCCAGAGAAAGAAGGAATTAGCGGGGGCTGAGGCAGACTCGCATCTTGCTTCAGGAGTTTGCTGGACGCAAAATGATGGACGGCGCTGTCAACCAAGTAAGCTGATTTCTACTACAAAGTCATTTTCACCCATCTTGGATGCAAACTGGTAAGGAGCTTTACAACACATCTATTTCCCACACTTAAACTTATGTTAAACTTTCCCATCTCCAACTCACACGTCACTGGTATTCAACCTTTATTAGAAAGTCACAACTAAAGCTGGTCAACACCCTTAATCATCACAGCTTGCTCCCCGCCAGAGCCCATTCAAACAGCCCCACATCACTCACCTTGGGCGCACAGTCCATGATGCCTGTTCCCTTCATGTCGGTGATGTGGAGCAGCTCCCCTGAGCTCTGCAGCTAGTATCTCCAGCTTCAGAGGCAGATTGTGCAATGTCACTGCATGCTTCTGGCTGGTTCTCAGAAACTGAATTCTATGGAGCTATCTGACAACACATGGGAAACGATCAAAAAGACTCTCCCAGCAGGCAAACTTTCTGGAAAGCACGATAAGAGTAAAATGAAAGCAGTGAAGCAGGGGAGGACCAGAAATACAAGCCACACTCACGTCTCAATGCCTGACGTCTCACTTTGTCTGTAAGTAGAGACTGTCACTCATTTGCTATGTGAAACCACAAAAGAAGAAGAAGAAGAAAAAAACACCACTCTTCTGCTTTATAGGGCGAAGTTCCTACTTCGAAGAGCTCAGTGTATGAACACACAGCATTCTTGTCCTTTGAACTCTGTGGAACAACTCCAACCGAACAGACCAAGCTCATTTCCCTGATGAGAGGCCACTAGGCCAAATTTCTGATAGCGGTCAGCATTTCTTCCTTCCTGCTCCCTAAAACTTGCCTTATGACAGCCAGGATAAAAGCAGTCAAACAGGCTGCCTTAAAGGACACAGTCTCCACTCTACCCACCCTGTCAGTTGTGCATTCACCCTGCTCGGAACCCCATGCTCATCTCCTGGTCTTTGCTCATGGTACCTAATGAATAACATCTTCTGGGTACTGGCTCTGCACTGAGGGCTATGCTGAGCCCCGCACCTGTATTCTCTCTCTTAAATCAAATAAACTTATCGTGTGTGTTGTACTTGAAACCCCTGCTAGCTCATGCAGTTTATCATCACTTGCCAACTCTTTTTACTTTTCCTAAATTCAGATCCAATCTCTAGAGAGGACCTACAGCATAGCAGACACTGAGCAAAATAAGTCTGCATTTTTTTTTTTTTTTGAGACGGAGTCTTTCTCTGTCACTCAGGTGGGAGCGCAGTGGCGCAATCTCGGCTCACTGCAACCTCCACCTCCCGGGTTCAAGTGATTCTCCTGCCTCAGCCTCCAGAGCAGCTGGGATTACAGGCACCCGCCACCACGCCTGGCTAATTTTTGTATTTTCAGTAGAGACAGGACTTCACCATGTTGGCCAGGCTGGTCTCAAACTCCTGACCTCAAGTGATCCACCCACCTCAGCCTCTCAAAATGCTGGGATTACAGGCGTGAGCCACAACGCCTGGCCCCGGCCTGCATTTTTATTTAGACAAAATGGTGCCCATTCTTCCAAGCCAGGCTCAAGTTCTATCCCCAACCAGCTGTGGGGGATAGCTTACCGCTATCTTCTTGTCAGACAGCATTTTTTAATTTTTTATTTTTAAATTTTCTTTTCTTTTACCACACCTCTGAGGCAAGTTCAACAGATAGCACTTAGCGTCTTGTCCTCTGGTTGTCCCATGTGTCGTCCCCACAAGTCTGGGCACCAGGATGTATTTACCCATTGAAGTAGCTGACTGATTTCTGGCTGAGACAGTCCACATTTTTAAATGTTATCATTGTTAGAAATTAACTTCAGGGCCAAGTAATTGGCATGCTGCAGGCGATAGCAGATAACAGGGAGGGAACAATGACCCCACGCAATGAACAGTTTGGTTCAAGGAGGAGATCCATAGAGATATTAAGATATAAATTATATTAATAATAATATATTAATATTATATTAAGATATAATTCAGGTACCATAAAATTCACCTTTATTTATTTATTTTTTTTGAGACGGAGTCTTGCTCTGTCACCAGGCTGGAGTGCAGTGGTGTAATCTCGGCTCACTGCAACCTCCACCTCCAGGTTTCAAGAGATTCTCCTGCCTCAGCCTCCCAAGTAGCTGGGATTATAGGTGCGTGCCACCATGCCCGGCTAATTTTTTTGTATTTTAGTAGAGACAGGGTTTCACCATGTTGGCCAGGATGGTCTTGATCTCCTGACCTCGTCATTCACCTGCCTTAGCCTCCCAAAGTGCTGGGATTATAGGTGTGAGCCACCGCACCTGGCCAATGCACCTTTTTGAAGTATACAATTCAGTGGTTTTTAGTACATTCAGAGTTGTGCAACCACCATTTCAAAAAGTAATCCTCTTTCAATTCCTGGACATTTACCCCATTAGCAGTTACTTGTTCTTCCCCCAGCCCCTGGAAACCACTGTTTCTGCTGTATTGTTGACTTTTATGTCTGAAATTCTCTGTAATGAAAAGGAAGGATGGATAAACTTGCCCAAGGTCACAGAGTAAAGTAACAGACCCAGAAACTGAATTCAAGTCTCTTAGAAAAGACTCCACAGTAACTCAAGTTCAGATGGTTTCCATCAACTTGGCAGACTCCCGGCAGTGATTCTTCCCTATACTGAAGAGCCTGCCCTTAAGCTCATAATACAGATCAGAATGCTATAATTCACAAGTTGTTTTTTCTAGGGAAAACAACCTCAACTAGAAAAGTAAGACACAAAAGTAATAGGCTTTGGCCCTGAAATTATATCAACTAGCTCCTACATAGATACCTAGTTTGATATTTTGTGAATAAGGAACTTGACCTCTCGGTCTGTTATTTGAGCCCTCTATGGTTTTTCTGAATGAAAGGTGTGAGAAACTGCCTTAGACATTTTGCTGCAATCCATTAGTATTTTAAGGCAAATGAGCCTTTAATGTGGACAAACATTGCAAGAACTATTAGTCTAGGAAACTGGGTGCTTGCATAATATCCGGTTGTCTGAAGGCTGAAACAGCTGGAGTTCAAGGGAACTACGTCAGAAGGACTCTAGTGAGGTAATCTTAATGCTCTTGGCAAATGTGCTATCAAGAACAGTAGTTTGGACCGAATTTTCTTTTCTGAGACAAGTGAGTCTGACCAATTCACTTCTATAGTGCCTTATACATGCGTAGGGAGGAAAATTGCTTTTGCATGTTTTTCTGTATGCTTTTATGTTGTTTTCATGTGAATATCAAGCTCCCTGACTGGTAGTAGTGAAACACTGGGCACTCGATATTTGAATTATAAAGGACAGCTGAACACCAGACTTACAATGTTCAAAACATTAAAGGCTTGGCGGGAAGTTTCAGGCTGTAATCTCATGAAGATTACTCATAAAAATAGCTCTTTTGACCAAAGCAGAATTTCATGAATTGGCTGGGCAAGACAGCTCAGGTCTGTAATCCCAGAACTTTGGGAGGCTGAGGCAGGCAGATCATTTGAGGCCAGGCCTGGCTAACATGGCGAAGCCCCATCTCTACAAAAAATACAAAAATTGGCCGAGCGTGGTGGTGCATGCCTATAATCCCAGCTACTTGGGAGGCTGAGGCACAAGAATCATTTGAACCCGGGAGGTGGAGGCTGCAGTAGAGTGGAGATCGCACCGCTGCACTCCAGCCTGGGCGAGAGTGAGACTGTCTTAAAGAAAAAAGAAAAAAAAGAATTTCATGAATTGCCCACAAATTCACCAAATATTCTGCTGCAGGGATAATACTGGGAGGGCTGGGGAATCTGCAGCCACTCTAGTTATTAGTGATTAGTTTTATCACCCAAGTTTTGACCCCCAGGTTGGGAGGGAAAAGGAATTAGGGCAAGAATTGAAAACAAGGATGCAAAGGAAATGCTCTGGGGACAGAGTGGGGACAGGAAGCTGGAGGGAAAGGCTGAATGCCGGCAGGAGAGCAAGAAAAAGCCAGAGAGAAAATGATGCCCCAGGCAAGCGGTCGTTACTGGGGAGCAGACAGAGTGGCGAGGAGTTGCTTGGCCAAAAGACGCCTGTGAAAGAGGCTTCATAGAGTCAAATATCCAGTCAGGGAGCAGGAAGGCCAACAGTTAAGAGCTCCAGGGAAAGGCCAAAGCAATTCACGATGAAAACTAGAGAAACATTCCAATAGGAGGTTTTCCACAAGTCTTATTCTTTAATTCAAACCTGCCCAGTCCCTTGTGCAAGTTTTTTTTTTTTTTTTTTTAGATGGAGTCTCGCTCTTGTTGCCCAGGCTGAAGTGCAATGGTGCGATCTCGGCTCATCGCAACCTCTGCCTCCCGGGTTCAAGCGATGCTCCTGCCTCAGCCTCCTGAGTAGCTGGGATTACAGGCATGTGCCACCACACCCGGCTAATGTTTTTGTATTTTTAGTAGAGATGGGGTTTCTCCATGTTGGTCAGGCTGGTCTTGAACTCCTGGCCTCAGGTGATCCGCCGGTCTCAGCCTCCCAAAGTTCTGAGATTACAGGTGTGAGCCACGGCGCCTGGCCTTGTGCAAGTTTTTTAATCCTTGGTCCCATTTTTATTTTGATACAGAGGCTCGCTCTGTTGCCCAAGCTGCAGTGCAGTGGCTTGATCCTGGCTCACTGCAACCTCCATCTCCCTGGCTCAAGCGATTCTCATGCCTCAGCTTCCTGAGTAGCTGGGACTACAAGTGTGCGCCACTACACCCGGCTAATATTTTTGTATTTTTGGTAGAGATGAGGTTTTGCCCTATTGCCCAGGCTGGTCTCGAACTCCTGACCTCAAGCCATCTCACAGCCTCGGCCTTCCAAAGTGTGGAATTCCAGGCGTGAGCCACCACGCCCGCCCCTTGGTCCCATTTTAGTTACTGTTTTAGTTCTCTGAATTTAATCTGTGTCTGGTAATTCCACTAGGTCCTTGCAAGTCTGATTATGTTATTTTTGCTGATTCTTATCAGGGTGGCTTGTTTCCTCACGTACCTGACTGTGAGTTCATGATCCTCAGAGGTTTATCTGGGATAGAGGGAGGACTGGGGTTAAGACGTGTTCTTGCACAGAAAATTCGTGCTGGCCTCTGCCAGATACTTGTGGCCACCATCAGTTGGAGACTGCTTTAAGATCCCCATTTGATTTTCTCTGAGCAGTACAGGTAGCGTAAATTGTTCCAAACCTGCATGAGGAACAGTGCGTGGACCGAATTCTCAGGAGACCCTCCCTTGTGCCAACACCAGACACCCTCTCTCCGAAAACCCCTGAGCCAGCACCAAGCAGGCAGATTTCTCGTCTTTCTCTGAGGCAGGTTTTTGTCAAGTTCATCCTTTTACTGAAGGGGCACCTTTGGGGTTCCAGGCTTTCTGGGTCTTGACCAAAGTTCCTCCTCCATGAAGACTCAGAGCTTTGACTTCTGCTCAGAGATGAGTAGGTTACAGGAACTGACCTACTCAGTGCTCCAGCACTGCGAATCCTCTGGATTTGTGCTTTGTTCTGCCCCTCAGGAATTCCTTCTTTCTTGCTGTCTCAGCTAACTATTAGAGATTTAAAAAAAGTTCTATCCAGGTTTGAATTGAAAGGGCTCTGGAAATATCTGGTTTGTTACCTTTTTAGAAACAGATGTCTCCCGCTTAGGAACAATGGCTTCCTCCCTCCCTGAAGTCTGTTTGTATCATCAGGCATGAAAACAAAGAGCTTTACAGGTTGAAGTGCATGCTGGAGATTTTTTTCATTAAGCCCTTTAATCGCAGAAAAGGAAGCTGTATCCCAGAAAAATGACTTGCCCTATTACTTACCAAGTCAGTAACAGAGCTGAGACTGGACTCTCTCACATTGCTCTTCCTAAGGAAAACCAAAGTGTAAGCAAAGATAGCGTTCTCTGAATAAGCCAAAAAACTGAATTATACTCAAGTTCTTTAACTTCACAGAGAGCGGCCGGGCACGGTGGCTCACGTCTGTAATCCCAGCACTTTGGGAGGCCAAGGTGGGCAGATCAGAAGGTCAGGAGTTCAAGACCAGCCTGGCCAACATGGCGAAACCCTGTCTCTCCTAAAGATAGAAAAAATTAGCCAGGCATGGTGGCACGCGCCTGTAATCTCAGCTACTCAGGGGGCTAAGGCAGGAGAATCGCTTGAACCTGGGAGGCGGAGGTTGCGGTGAACCGAGATCGCGCCATTGCACTCCAGCCTGGGCGGCAGGGTGAGAATTCGTTTCAAAAAAAGAAAAATTCATAGAGAGCAGAGGAGCAAAGATAAAGAGCTAAAGGTGATCCAGCTATAAAAACCTGACTTCTGGAACAAAGCACTAAAGAAAGGGTGAACAGTACCAAAGTCATAACTGCTGTTTGAGAACAGATGTTCAAATGTGGGAAATGTTCAAAGTAAGTTCCAAAAAAAATAAACTAGCTTATCATTGTATATAAAGTTTATTTCAGAAATCACGTATCTTAAAAAAAAAAAACACACAGAGGGTATAAGTTCGTATCCTGACCAGATATTCATTATTTGAATGGCAGAGTGTTGTGTGGTACAATTAACGAGATGCAGATACTAAGTCCATATAATATTCCTGGCATTTACACCAGGCTCACAACACTGTGACCTTTAAAAAGCAAAAAAACCAAAAACCAACCAACCAAACAAACACAAAAAAAACAAACCCACAAAAAATGAAAAAACAGCTACTTCTGAAACACATAAAAGTATCTTGATCTTTTAAAAACAGGTCCTGAAACTACAGATCCATTGCTGAGACTACTCGAAAAACTGTAAAACATGGGCATTATTTTAATTCGTGAACAACTGAAAAGATTCAATGGAGTGCCATGTGGTCATTTTAGTATGTGAGTCAAAGCAGAATAATAGGGAAACATTAAATCTCTCCTTTACAGTTTAAGAGGTTGAAAGCAAAAGGAAAGTCTGAAAAAAGAACAGGGGAGGTTTGGTTGGTAATGTTTTTGGTAGAACTGGTTATCCTTGTTCGTATTTAGTAGGTGCCTTTTAGTCTTACGAGAGTAGCACCCACAGATGGCCAAGTTCAAATATCAAAGAATCAGAATGCAAAGTACAACTGGAAATTCACACTGGAATTCAACTGGAAATATGCATCAAAAAATATGGCTCTTTGGAAATCTGAGCTAAAACCCTGTGATGTAACATGTTAAGATGCTTAAGACAGTTTTACAGATCAAGGAGTTAAAACGATCCTCAAGGATGACTAAAACAGAATGTTTACGCAATAACTTCAGTAACTTCGTATGATGGGGCCGCGCGTGGTGGCTCACGCCTGTAATCCTAGCACTTTGGGAGGCTGAGGCGGGCGGATTACCTGAGGTTGGGAGTTCGAGACCAGCCTGACCAACATGGAGAAACCCCGTCTCTACTAAAAAAAATACAAAATTAGCCGGGCATGGTGGCGCACGCCTGTAATCCTAGTTACTCGGGAGCCTGAGGCAGGAGAATCGTTTGAACCCAGGTGGCGGAGGCTGCGGTGAGCCGAGATCGCGCCATTGCACTAAAGCCTGGGGGACAAGAGCGAAACTCCGTCTCAAAAACAAAACAAACAAAACAAAACAAAACAAAACTTCCTATAATATAAAGCAATGACTTTTACTTCAATCTATTTACTATTTTTATCAAATGATCCCAGATTATATTTCTAGGTACTCCTATGCAGATCATAAGGTATTTGTTTTTTGGGATAAATATAAAGCAAAGTTTATGTTTGTACAAGGGGAGTTCAGAGTTCTCTGACTCTGCTAGTGCTGAATCCAGAGAAGTACTGTCATGTTCTAAAAAGCTTCAGGAAGGCTGGGCGCGGTGGCTCACGCCTGTAATCCCAAAACTTTGGGAGGCTGAGGCAGGCGGATCACGAGGTCAGGAGATAGAGACCATCCTGGCTAACATGGTGAAACCCTGGCTCTACTAAAAATACAAAAAAAAAAAAAAAAAAAAAAAAAATTAGCCGGGCGTGGTGGTGGGTGCCTGTAGTCCCAGCTACTTGGGAGGCTGAGGCAGGAAAATGGTGTGAAACCAGGAGGCGGAGCTTGCAGTGAGCTGAGATCACGCCACTGCACTCCAACCTGGGTGACAGAGCAAGACTGTGCCTCAATTAAAAAAAAAAAAATTCAAGAAAAAGAAAACTTGTATCAATTGGTTAACTGCATAAATCTTCTGAGAATGCAGTTACTATGTGCCTCCATGATGAGAAGTTAGTTCATGCTGACGAGAACTGAAGACTTAAAACCACCTAAGAAAGAGGTCAATCGATACTAATCATTCGTGAAGACAGGCAACACCTGAGAGCAATAGCAGGCTGACCTAATTTAATTAGATCGGATATATTTTCAATTGTTTCTCATGAAATCATAATCTTACCAGAAATACAGTTACTAAAGACAAGTATTGCAGATATTGAAGGATAATGTAGGGAGTATGTTGAAAGATACTGTTCCTATAAATTGTCAGGAAAAACTGGCCATTAATTTTACAGAAGTGAAAAATATATAACAATAAAGTTGCAGATCTGAGCTTTATTATCAGAATAACATCATTTCAGGATAGAATTGAGGGATTCTTGAAAATGCTTTTGATAATGGCATAAAACTCAGGAGTCTCAGAGCTGCATGCCTGCTTATCTGTTCAAATATACCTGGAAGGGAAATACACAGAGGGTTCAGCAGAATAAGCAAGAAAGTTGACAGAAGAACCAAATGAAAATTCCTCATGTCAAAAGCACTTTAATGCCCTATCCTCCTTCAATCAAGAGATCAAAAGAAACGGCAAGTCCTGTACTTACAAAACCGATGAAAATCACACTGTAATAATCAGTGAATGTAGAACTGCACAGATCTGTGTTTCCAACTTTTTCCACCATGATTCTACATCAAGGTAAAAAAAGATTCTTTTATACAAATCCAAGAAGAATGTGGACAGAGGTGGCAGCAAAACGTCAAGGATGGTGCACGGACTTACGACTGCAGCTGAGACAGGACGTGGGGGAGGAGGGTAGAGTCCTCGAGAAAGAACCCTACGGAGAGGGTGGCTCAGTCAGTGGTCGATCTCCGGTACCAAAACCGCGCTCTGAAGTCATCGCTGCACGTCATGAACCCGGGGTTGGTGGGGGAGTGCACTATGCAGCGTACAATATTGTTGTGCCCCAACGACAGCAGGTTTCTCCGCTCGGCTGTCCTCGAGTCCCAGCAGCAAAGACTGATCGTCCTCTCGTCGGGCAGCAACACATAGTCCTCGGTGTGGTTAAACACAGCCTGTGTCCGGTGCACCTGGCGTCCACTTAAACCCGCGCCTGCCACAGAGAGCAAGAGGGATAGCTTTCTAAGTCCACATCTTAGACCCTCAGAACGTTCTAGCATTCAATGTAAAAGCATTTTAAACCTGTTGCAGTGATACACCTTGTACACTTTCAGAAACTCTAAAAAAGTACAAAAAAGAAAATCAAACCAGGCACAGTGGCTCACGTCTGTAATCCCAGTACTTTGGGAGGCTGAGGAAGGAGGGCTGCTTGAGCCCAGGAGTTCAAGACCAGTCTGGGCAACAGGCAACAGAGCAAGAGCAAGACTGCATCAGGAA
Organism: Homo sapiens; assembly: GCF_000001405.40. NCBI lineage: Eukaryota > Metazoa > Chordata > Mammalia > Primates > Hominidae > Homo > Homo sapiens. The sequence continues at coordinate 56,403,183 of NC_000020.11, read as the reverse complement.
AAAAAAAAAGGAGATCACCAGATCACCTGAAGCAATACTGTTACTGTCCTAATGTACTTTGAGGCATAAAAAAACACATTTTAAAAATACATATAAAATTGTTGCCACTATATTTTTCTATTATAGTTTTAACCAACTTTATGCTGAGTACATTTTTCCATGTTTTTTACTAGATGCAAAGTGCCTCATGTTTAGAAGCCCCATTACTTATTTAACAATTCTTTTGTGTGTGATCTTTTTTTTTTTTTTTTAGACAGAGTCTCACTCTGTCGCCAGGCTGGAGTGCAGTGGCGTGATCTCGGCTCACTGCAACCTCCGCCTCCTGGGTTCGAGTGATTCTCCCGCCTCAGCCTCCCAAGTAGCTGGGACTACAGGTGGACACCACCACACCCAGCCAATTTTTGTATTTTTAGTAAAGACAGGGTTTCACCAGGTTGGCCAGGATGGTCTTTATCTCCTGACCTTGTGATCCACCTGCTTCGGCCTCCCAAAGTGCTGGGATTACAGGTGTGAGCCACCATGCCCGGCCTGTTTAACAATTCTTTTACTTCCTGACATTTAGTTTATATCAATTATAAGTAATGTTGTAATGAACATCCTTTGTACAGAAAGCTTTATTTCCTTAGGAGTAAATTCCTAGAGACAGAATTACTGAGACAAAGTATATGAATATCTACTTTCCAAAAGGAAGCCTTTTTATGACTATAAATTACATATTTTATGTTTAAAAGTACCAAATAAAGTATAAAAAGGAAAATAAAAACTGCCTAATAATTGCACCCATCAGAGGTAACAGTCAATACTTTGGTGAATACTCTTTCGAAATATCTAAGTGTTATGTGCTCACTTGTAAATTCTCTCTTTTTTTTTTTTTTTTGAGATAGAGTCTTACTCTGTTGCCCAGGCTGGAGTGCAATGGTGTGATCTCGGCTCACTGCAACCTCTGCCTCCTGGGTTCAAGAGATTCTCCTGCCTCAGCCTCCTGAGTAGCTGGGATTACAGGCATGTGCCACCACACTCAACTAATTTTTGTATTTTTAGTAGAGATGGGGTTTCACCATGTTGGCCAGGCTGGTCTCAAACTCCTGACCTCAGATGATCTGCCCACCTTGGCCTCCCAAAGTGCTGGGATAATAGGTGTGAGCCACAGTCCCTGGCTTCATTTGTAACTTCTTTAAGTCAGAGCATTTGTCATATACTATTAATATTCAAGCATATGTAGTGCAGATCTGTAAAGACAGAATACAGCTTAGTGGATAAAAACACAAAGTCTGTGTGGTCAGATGTGGGTTCAACACTAATGTGACCCTGGGCAAATTACTTAACATTCCTCAGCCTTAATTTTCTCATCTGTTCCATGGAGTAGTTACAGAACCTACCCCATAAGGCTGTGAGGATTAAGAATAAGAGAATGCAAAGGAGGCTCTGGAGTGCGAGTGCTCAGCCCATGTTAGCATGCATACTTATTTTTAAAGGTGTATGTTGTCCATGGATGCGTAACAGATTTCCTCAGTGCTTCTTATTGGACATTTATGCTGTTTCTAACTTTCAGCCACTCCAAATGATGTTGGGACACACATCCTTTTATGGGCATGTGCATGTCTGTCCAATTACCTCTTTAGGTTGAATTTCTAAGAGTAGATATAGTGGGTCAAAAAGCGTGTATTTAAAATTTTGATATGACACCAAACTGTGCTGAAATATTTTACCAGCTGACTCTGACCAACAAAATATGATTTCCCGAAATCTCTATCAATAGTAGATAATATAAATCTTTAAGACTCCTGAAATCTGATTAACAAAACCAGGTCCCCATATTCATTTCTTGGGTCTGCAGCAAGGCTGGCCACCTTTTCTTACATTTCCTGACCATTTTTCTCTTCTGCAGCCCCCTGTCCTTTGGCTCCTTTTTTCTCGAGTTTGGACTCATCTTTTTCCCATATGAGTTCTCTTTATAGATTAAGGATGTTAACTCAATGTCTAACATCTGTATATATGCTATAACCATTTTCTCCCAGTCCTGTATGTTATTTATATTGTTTTTAATTTTTTGCATCCCAATTTCTAAAGTTTTGATAGTTTTTCCTTTTTCATCATTTCAAAAACCCTCTGAATTCTAACTAATTATTATTATTATCATTTTTTGAGACGGAGTCTTACTCTGTCGCCCAGGCTGGAGTACAGCAGCGCAATCTCGGCTCACTGCAACCTCCACCTCCCAGGTTCAAGCTATTCTCCTGCCTCAGCCTCCCAAGTAGCTGGGACTACAGGCGCCCGCCACCAAGCCCAGCTAATTTTTGTATTTTTCATAGAGACGGGGTTTCACCATATTGGCCAGGCTGGTCTCAAACTCCTGACCTTGTGATCTGCCCACCTCGGCCTCCCAAAGTGCTGGGATTACAGGTGTGAGCCACCGCGCCTGGCCCAAATTCTAACTAATTATTAAAACTGGGAACAGAAATCTTAACATGCTGACATGACAGGCGCTTGACCTGTGAAATGAGAAAAAAGGAAAAGGGGAATCTGTGCATAAATTCAGCATAATCACATTTTTGAAAAACCACACTGCTATTCCCCACTAAAACAAGCCAATCAACCTCATACTATTATAAAACACCCAAAACATTCCTAGAGCAAATATATAAGCTATTGTCAGTAGGCTGGTGTGTATCTGTCCAGATACAGCACACTCCTTAAAACAGTTATAACTTCTATAGGGGGAGTACTTTCACATTTACCCTGATCACTTTTTTATCTTCTTTTTGCAACAAACACAACTATTATAAAGTAGTTCTTTATAATAAATACTTTTCAGAACAACTTTATACAAGTGTTTCAATGAAGTCACCAAGAATTATGATAAAAATGGCTCTTCCTAAGATTTGCTAGTGGTACCAGAAGCCAGAAAGATGGCTGGGGAAGGGAACTTTGGTTACAATGAGACAAATCTAAGGCAAGTTATGCTGCCCCCTAGTGGGTCAGATGTCACTGACTCTTCAATGCAAACTTAAACACAATCCAGTCCCTTCCAATACTGTTTTCTTGTGATTTTTTTTGAGTTATGCTCATGCCAATTTTAGTGTATGATACAAACATATCTCACAATGGAAGAAACAATCAGAAATTTTCTGGAGGTTTTCTACCAAACAACAGTCTTTGCTGCTACAAGGAACAGAAGACAGTGTTTTAACATTCATTATCAAATAACCAGACTTGGGCCCTACTAGTGATAGGATAAATTTAAATGGATTTCATTATAAAAAGACTCCACAGGCACTACTGTTACCAATGAGACCAACATACATAAATGAGAATTCAGTGGATGCAATTTTTTTCTGTCTGCTGAGCCTACTTTATATCTGCATTCAGAATTAACGTGGTTTCCTTTGCGGGCTAGGTCTGCTCTCTTAGGAATGGGATAAGATCTTCCCTCTCAGCCATTCTTTCATGAATACATATATTAATAATACTGAGATCTACTATTGGAAACTTTTCTCTGGATTGCTTTCACATTTCTGTGGGAAGAGGGCATGCCAGTCTACAAATGGATCACCAGGTTCTCAAATGTTACTTGCATGGAATCCAGCCCTAGTCCACGGTGTGAGGTGCTCAGAAGAGCAAAGAAAGCACCGTTCTATTTCCAAGTCGTGTAGCCTTGGCTAAATGACTTAACCTGTAAGTCTTGGTTTCCTCTTATCTAAGAAAGGGTAACATCTGCCTTGCTCAATGCATAGATATTGTGTTGCTCTATTGTGAGGTCTTAAAAGAGAGTTCTGGAAAGTGTAAACACTACAGAAATGTTAAGTAACATCAACGTCTCACATACCCGTGTATCTGACCAGTGTTCGTCCCGTTGATATTTCCCAAAGTTTAGCTACAGAGTCTTTTCCACTTGAGAGAATGTATTTAGAATTTTTGGAAAAAATGGCAGAACAAACTTCAGCACCGTCATGTGCTTTCTCAAAAGTTGTGATGCATCGATTTGAAACACCATCCCATAATTTGATGCAGCCGTCCTTGCTTCCAGTTACGTACATATTGGCACTAGAATTGTAATTAACGGAACATATAGCATCGGTGTGTTGATCTTGAGGATTGCAAGAGACAAAACATTGAAAGGTGTTGATATCATAAAGGCGAAGAGTAGGATGCTGAGTTCCGACAAGTATAAAGTCTCCAGAAGGATGAAAAGAGATGGAACGTAACATTTCAGCTTCCTGTTGGGACAGAGACATTAATACAAGTGACCAACTGGTGAACAATTAAATCCAGAGGAAATGTGGAAAATATCTGGCTGATGAAAAGAATCTATAAAACAATTATTAGATATTACACAGGTATCATAAGAAAAAAAGTGCTTTCTGGAACATATGAAAGTATTTTTTGAATAGATTTCCAAAACTAAATATTTACTGGTTATATTATTCCAAAAACTACAGAAGTGAGCTTCATTATTTACAAATGAACACTGAGTAAACTAAGGATGGAGTATTATCAGACAATGACACATTCATGCATGGTTAACTGAAGTACAACTTGTACCTAAGAGCTTCTTTAATTTGCTCTAGGGCTGCAAATATTGAGTGAAAAATTAAGTTTATTATTATTTTTTTCAGACAGGGTCTTGCTCTGTCGCCCAGGCTGGAGTGCAGCGGCATGGTCACAGCTCACTGCAGGCTCAACCTCTTGGGCTCAAATGATCATCCTTGCCTCCGCCTCCTGAGTAGCTGGGACTATCGGCGCGTGCCACCATGCCCAGCTGATTAAAAGAATTTTTTGTAGAGATGAGGTCTCACTACATTGCTCAGGCTGACCATAAACTTCTGGGCTCAAGTGATCCTCCCACTTTGGCTTCTCAAAGTGCTGGGATTACAGACATGAGCCACTGCAACCAGCCTAGTTTAATTATCAAACAGACAGAAGCCACAACTAAAACATTAGTATTTCTGCAATGCATATTCAAAATAGGGTACCGAATGTCACCTTGCCAGGAAATACTTAATACTTTCAAATGAACTTTTTTTTTATTCCTCTAAGTTATATATTAGTGAAGCTGGTCGTGTTTTGTTTATAACAGGGATCTACAACCTTTAGAGAGTGATATGGATTCCAAACCCTCCAAAGGGTCAGATTATAAACTCTGACCAGCCAGAGGGAGCAGGTACATGATAGCATGTGATCTATGTGCCAACAAAATCTGATCCATGTGCCATCGGGCATGCATCCTGGTCTGTACGCATCTTACAGGATGATCACTGAGACTACTTTTAAAAAGAGAATAGTTGTACAATAGCTCATTGTATTTAAGAAAAAATGTAAAGCTCCTTTCTAAAGATTCCTACCTGAATGTATTTGAAGGCTCTTTTTGCTGATGGTTTGGAATAATCAAATAATTTAAGAGTATAATCCCTTGAACCAGAAGCCAGGATCTGTTCTGTTGGGTGGAAAGCAAGGCACGTGACTTCATCCACATGGTCATAAAGAGTTCGAATCACTGGGTGGTTTTCCATATTTTGTTGTGCGGTCTCATTCATCATGACCTAGACCAACAAGAAGAGATGCTCAAGGCACAGAATGTGTCTGAATCCAAGTGCACAATCCACAACTGTAGCAAACTAAAGCTGGTTTCAACCATACTCTCATTTTTCCAAAAATGAAAAACAGAAGGCAATCAATAAGTATGTGACTGGAATTTTTACCTCTATTGGCATGGCACTTTTGGCCAACATCCTCTCTGTGTCAAGTATCTTTATCGAAGCATCAGCAGACCCAGTAGCTATTAACTGTCCATCTCTACTATAGGTAGCTACACGGCATGGTCCTTTATGTGATGTGACATAGCATGTTTCGTACTCAGAAGCCTCTGGGGACATAGTCTGAACATCTGCATCAAATTCCAGGTCAATCCCTGTGCCAGGGGCAACAGTATCTGAACGACCAATTGCATACTGAACTGCGGTGTCATCGTTTTCCATTCCTGAAAGAAATCAAAATTAAGGGCGTAACAAAACAAGTGTTTTTTCTTAAAAAGGCCAAGATAAAATTCTAGATCCAAACTGGAAAGATGCTCACCAGTGTCAACCTCCTATTTCTTGGAGCCGCGTGACACCTAACACTTTACAAAACTGTGTATTTTGCCCATGCTATTCAAAGTTCACCACGCTGTGAGGCCACATGGGTTGCTGGAAGGTTAGGCTCCAATAGACAAAGTCATTTCCCCAGGTTCTTGCCTCCAGAGTTTACTACTTTATCTACAACTACAGAAACTCAAAAAATAGCAGTTCTGTAGTTAAATTATCCATTTTTTTCCATTCCAAATTTTAATATTTTTAGGGTTGAGATATATTAGCAGCTCTGATGCTCGTTAAGTTAGCTACATTGTTAACATGAATGCTAGTGAAATGTTTTTGAAATAAAGTTATTTAAAAAAAACTGGTTTATCAAGAATATGCATTTAAAATTTATAAATAACTTGACAAATCAAATAATATGTTGATTAGTAGAGGAAAAATTAACACTATGGATGAACAAGAAAATAAAAATGACCTTGAATTTTACCACCCAGAGATAATAACTGTTAACGTATCGGTATAAATTCTTAGGGATCCTTCCCCGTGCACGGCTGTTTTATTTTTCAAAACAGTAATAGAGCAATGCTGTGTAACATGTTGTGACTCACTTGTTCACTTAATCAAGCAGAACAAAAGTGTATCTTGGCTAATAAATATTCATCTATATAATTATGTTATAGTATTCACTTTTATGGATATTTAAAAATTTACAGCTAATTCCATGTTGTTGGCATTGCAGTTTGTCCATTTTATTTCCCCAGGAGAAATGCTCACAATTGGCACTGCCAAGTCAAAGGGTATTAACATGTTTGGTAATTCAATATTTTATTGAGTGCTTTCTATTATTAGCCAGGTAGGCTCCAGGATATACTGCTGAATAATACAAGGTCCTGATCCTTACTCAACTTGTAGTCTTTTTTGACAAGGGGGCAGCAGTAGGTGGGAAGTGTGGAGGTAAGGATCCCATGGGAAACAGCCCAAATGATAAAGGAAATTTCAAAACAACTGTTATAAAACAAATGGGATCGCTATGGCAGGGTAACCGGGAAAATGCACGAAAGGGTCGGATTATTTTAGGAGGAGTTAAGAGAACTCAGATGACATTTGATGTAAAATCTGAAGGAAGTCAGTAATATGTCTGACAGAGTGTTCCAGATAATGTGTACAAAGACCCTCAGGCCAGAACCAGCTTAAGGTCTTCATAATCTGAACTTTGCTTTACCCCTTACTTACTGAGCTACTTCCTGAACTCATGCTGAACTACTTACTTACTGAAGTACCCGGCTCATACTAGGTACTGAAACAAAACAAGAATAATCTTGAAAAATTCTGCCATATGAAAATATCTAAAACCTTGCCATGGGACGTATGGATTTGTGTTCACAATCTACCGAGTTTGATGAGATGCAGGAGCTGCTCCGAGGGTGCACACACAGACTGAGGCTTGATTTCATTGATGAGGCCATTGGCGATGCTGATGTAGCCGTCATATAGCAGCTGGCTAATGATCAGCTTGTAGAGCTGCTGGCGGTCCTTCAAGCCCACTTTGGTTCTGTACATCTTGGAGAAAAGGAAGACAGTTTCCCTGCCAGCTGCAAAAACGGAAAATGGACGGTGAAGGGTACAGGCTCTAGTAAATCACAGAAGCAACATAGGACTCTTTGGTCAGACTTAATCTTGCAGGACTCAAATCCCATCTCTACTAGCTGCATTATCTTTGGTCAGTGACCTCATTTCTCTAAGCCTGAGGTTCTTCAGCTGTTAAGTTACTGGAAGTTAAACACGGTGGTGCATATAAAGCCCTGAGCACAGTGCCTGGCATACAGAAATTGTTCAAGTCATGTTAGCCAGTGTTTACGGTACAATCTCTCACCAACTTTTCTTCTCCACCAAACTAGCTACCTATGATTTTTGTTCTTTATTGTTATCCCAGAATCTTCCATTACTTCTGTTAATTAAACATTGACTGGTACCTGCAATATGCAAGATAGCTGCTATTTTGTCAAGATCTAGACTGCTGGTTCCACTAGCTGAGCTGTATGTTTACTAATCTTTTATGCTCATTCTCAAAACCTGTTTTAAGGCAACTGAGCTTGTTACTGTAATTATATAATCTAATTAGACAGTAAATCAAAATATGAAGCAAAAAAAAGCAACTGTACTACAAAAACTCCAACCGAGTTAAATGCGTTAGAAAGGCTCAAAGGTGAGCTGCCCAATAAAATATTGCCAATCAAGGTCAAAACAATAAAAATGAAAAAAAAAACAGTAATAATCGGGAAGGATTGTGCATGCACTGACTTACAAGTGTCTAAGTTTTCCTTCAGTCTTAAGAGACAAAAAACTGTAAATGGTTTCTGGCTTATTCAAAAAAGAACTCCAACTGTTCAACATGATAATTTGCTTACCAAAAATCAATGCCTTTATGTATGTGTATGTTTGGACCAAGATTAAAAGGCTACAGGTGTCTGGGGACAGCAATAAAGAATAAAAGTGACCTCAGAGCCTGATTTCTTTTTTCTTTTTGAGACGGAGTCTCGCTCTGTCGCCCAGGCTTGAGGGCAGTGGCGCGATCTCGGCTCACTGCAACCTCCGCCTCCTGGGTTCAAGCTATTCTCCTGTCTCAGCCTCCCGAGTAGCTAAGACTACAGGCGCCCGCCACCACACCAGGCTAATTTTTGTATTTTTAGTAGAGACGGGGTTTCACCATATTGGCCAGGCTGGTCTCGAAACTCCTGACCTCAGGTGATCTGCCTGCCTCCGCCTCCCAAAGTGCTGGGATTACGGGCGCGAGCCACTGCGCCTGGCCCAGAGCCTGATTTCTTACACACTGTATGACACTGATGGTGTTAATAATAACCAATAACATTAAGCACTTCCTGCATGCCAGATACCGTCATGCTAAGTACTTTGTAAGCATCAGTTCACTGAATAAAATCATTCAATGTATTCAAGTATATGAAGTAGTACATGAACATAGTAGGTCTATGCTTGAGTAGAAAATCCTGGGACACAAATAAAGATGATGAAATGGGTTCAAGGAGGTCAGGACACCTACTCAACGTAAAAAGTGGCTGAGTTACTTGTCCAAGGTTAAAGCACACCAGAATTGCCAACTCCAGATCCCTGAGCTTAACCACTGAAGGAGTTCAGGAAATGCCAGCCCAAAACAAGATGCTTTGGCGGGCTGATTACCTTGAACTGAGGGCACCTGGAGAACAGCAGGCGGGAAGAGGCTTTCCCTGTGCTTTCCTTACCTGCCTAAAGTCTGACCCTCCAAAAATACCTCAATTGTCACGAATCCTTATAAACCAGGGAAGATTAACTCGGATCACATGAGAGATTAGAGGCTGACACCACCCAGAAGATCACCTATTCTGTCTGCATAACAAACTTGATTCACCATACATTTCCTCCGTTCACCGTCCCATAACTTGTGTTAGAGCTGCTTCCCGCCCCCCGCCCCCAATTCTCTATTCATTCCTTTCAGTAGCTCAGGATGCCATGTAGGCTTTAATCATCTGACTTCAACTTTTAGTCTCGTATTTTGTGGGACTCCTGTACGTAATTAAATATCGTTTTTCTCCCATGGACAATGTTCAGTTACCCGAAAAAAATGGGAGATTCTTAAGTACCAATAAAGAATGAAAATCACAAGTGGGTAGTCTGGCAAAGAAAAGTTGATGAGAGATTCTACTGTTAACGTTGGGTTAATATGACTCGAATAATTTCCGTATGCTAGCTCAATGCTTTACATGCACATCCTGTTTACCCTGCAGTAATCTGTTAATTCGTCTTATGTGAATTTAACTCTTAGTCCTAATAAGGTACCTGGAAGGATGGAGGGAAGCCATTTTTGGTTCCCCTACACCACTGTTCTATCCGGTCTCTTCACTTCTGCTGAGCACATCCCGGGTGTACATACACACACACACACACACATATGTGTGTGTATATATATGTATATGTGTGTGTGTGTGTATATATATATATATTTTAAGTGGCCCACCCCTAACTTCTCAACTCCCACAGAACGTTCACTCGCCAGGTAAACAGAAGCCTAATTATCCCCAATTTGCAGGTGAGCACACGAGGACAAGAACCCGATCCAGGACCGGATACATCGCAGTTGGAAAGGCTAGAACACAGATGCCCCCTCACTATATGCGCCGCGACCATCTGGATGCAGAGGCGAACTAAGGACTGGGTGGGAATGGAAGCGAGGCCCTTCGAGAAGAGGAAGGGGTGCAGGCCAAGCCGGGCAACTTAGGAAACGCAAAGTAGAGGCGCATGCCACCTTGCTAACTCTCGACTCTTCCAGTCTCGCCCCAGTCGTTTCTGTGGTTTTCTCTAAATGCCCCAGCCGACCGCACCAGCTACTCTCCCCGTGTCCCAGTACCAGCTGGTCCGGTTCTCTTGGTATCCCGCTCTCTCCTGGAAAAATGGAGGCGCGAATCCTGCCCAATCTACCGCTCCGAGCGCACGTTCACTGCGCACGCTGAAAGGGCGCCAAGCCGACCGCTGCGCTATCGATCGGTCCCACTCTCTCTTGCTTTTCTCGCCATCTTACTTACTGGCACGTTCAAAGGTTAGTTCACCTCCTTGGACTTTATCTCCAATGCGTCAAGCTTGACGTCAAGGGGCTGTTGCTTCACCGATAAATGGCCGACCGCGGAGAGCACCCTGGGGCTGGGACTGCCACAGGTCTGGCTGGCCGTTGGCTCCACCACTTCCGGGTTCTTAGGGAGCAAGTGCGCCTGCGCGCGGTGTGCGCCCTTAAACGCGACTCAAGGCGTCGGGTTTGTTGTCAACCAATCACAAGGCAGCCTCGCTCGAGCGCAGGCCAATCGGCTTTCTAGCTAGAGGGTTTAACTCCTATTTAAAAAGAAGAACCTTTGAATTCTAACGGCTGAGCTCTTGGAAGACTTGGGTCCTTGGGTCGCAGGTGGGAGCCGACGGGTGGGTAGACCGTGGGGGATATCTCAGTGGCGGACGAGGACGGCGGGGACAAGGGGCGGCTGGTCGGAGTGGCGGAGCGTCAAGTCCCCTGTCGGTTCCTCCGTCCCTGAGTGTCCTTGGCGCTGCCTTGTGCCCGCCCAGCGCCTTTGCATCCGCTCCTGGGCACCGAGGCGCCCTGTAGGATACTGCTTGTTACTTATTACAGCTAGAGGTACAAGGGGTTTGTTGAGTGGTGTTGACATGCGCGGGAGGGGTGGGTGGGCTTCAGATTGGATTTTGTCCTCCGAGATCACCTGGGTAAGAAAAGCACAGAAGGTCTCTGCTGTGTTGGAGTTCACGTTCTAGTGGGTGGGGAGACAGACGGTAAGCGTACGGAGAACTTGCAGCTGGGGTGGGTGTTACAGAGGAAAAGCAGGAGTGCGGTTTAACGGGGGCCGCTTTAGATAGAATAGCCTAAGAAGGCCCTTGTCCTGGCTGGATGAGTGGGTGAATTGATGAATGAGAACCTCCTTGCAGAGGCCTTCCCGGTCCGTACTTCTCAGACCGTAGACCTTGGAGCAGTTGTACCGGGATAACTTGCAGTGCTTGTTAAACATATAGCTCCACCGAGAGCCCGGTAAATCAGAATCTCTGAGGGGTAGGACCCAGGTGTCTAGTTATTAACAAACTCTCCAGATGATTCTTAGGTTTCATTGAGAACTAGGGATGCAGACCGGTGCATACAAATCGTCTGGGGACGTTAAAATGCAGAATCTGTTTTTTTAGACCTGGGGTTAGGCCTCAGAGTCTCCATTTCTAAGAACCATCCGGCTGAGGTAGACGTAGCCACTGTCCTTAACTCTCGTAATGTCTCTTCCTCTTCCGTAACCTTCCTTGTCCCTTGAATTAAACGTTTTTCAGCAACCTACTCAGTTCGTCCTTCCCTTCATCTCTGCAGACATGCACAGGTCTGAGGGAGGAAGGAATAAACCGTATAAACCTCCTGCGCTATTAGCCTAACAGCTTTTCTATTCAAAATAGTAGGACTTCTGGTTTGAACTGAATGGATCCTGTGAAAGTCATCTGGTTCTTCAATCTGGTTGCAGATTAGAGTCACCTGAAGGGCAGTCTCCTTGGCGTTGTCTCCAGAATTCTGGATTAGAATCTTATTCCATTCTGCTTGTTATTCAATTTCCCTAGAAAGAAAGGTAGAATAAATTGGAGCAAATGCCTGTAGCTTCTGTCAGAAGAATGTTGAATAAATGTTGTTAGGCCTATGTGATCTCATTAGACTGCTACTTAGAATTGTAAGGGAAGTAAAGCATTAGAGCATGTGTGAAATTAAATATTTGATTAACACAAGTGTGCATTTCCTTGTTGCTGTTTATCAACTTTTACTTACCCACTGTTTTTTTATAAGGGCTGCAGCCTGTAGTCTGGGCCTGGCTTCATCATGGAATTATTTGCTTAATTGTAAAATGGTAATCTTAATTTTTTTTTTTGAGACAGGGTCTCACTCCATTGCCCAGGCCAGAGTGCGGGGATATTTGATAAGAAACTTCAGTGAAGGCCGGGCGCGGTGGCTCATGCCCGTAATCCCAGCATTTTCGGAGGCCGAGGTGGGTGGATCACCTGAGGTCGGGAGTTCCAGACCAGCCCTACCAACATAGAGAAACCCTGTCTCTACTAAAAATACAAAATCAGCTGGGCGTGGTGGTGCATGTCTGTAATCCCAGCTACTCTGGAGGCTGAGGCAGGAGAATTGCTTGAACCCAGGAGGTGGAGGTTGCGGGTGAGCCGAGATTGCGCCATTGCACTCCAGCCTGGGCAACAAGAGCAAACTCTATCTCAAAAAAAAAAAAAAAGAAACCTCAGTGAAATGAAAGACTGAACTACACACCTGGGGGAAAAGCGTAATAAAGGGAGCAAGAAGTGCAAATGCTTATGGCAGGGGACTTATTTGCAGAAAGAAAGCCTTGTGTGGCTGGTACACGGTTGACAAGAAGAGGAGATGAAGTCAGAGAGGTAGTTAGGGTCCATGTTCTGTGAGACTTCAATAGGCCTGTCTATGCAGGTTAGGAGTTTGCATTGTTTTGATTGAGTTGGGAGCCATGGGGGTCTTCTGAACTGAGGATCAACACATCTGATTTGTTAATGAGATTGCCGGCCTCAGTGTTAAGAATGGACCATGACAGGGTAAGGGTGGAAGTGGGGAGGCCATTGGGAGGCTGTTGGAAAAAACTCAAGGGAGAGAGAATAATGGTTTGACCAGGTGGTAGTAGTAGAGGTGGTGAGCAGTGATCTTGAAGGCAGAGCCTACAGAATATGCTGGTGGATTAAATGAAGGGTTTGCGAGAGAGAACCTCGTAAAGGGTTATTATGCCAAGGCTTTTGGCCTGAGCAACTGACAGGATGGGTTTGCCATGCACTGAGATGAGGATGTCTAGAGACTAGATTTGGGGAGGTGAGAGTGGGGAGAGATTAGGACTTCTGTTTGGGACATGTTAGAATGGAGATGCCGCTCAGATAATCAGGTGCAGATGTTGCATAGAAAGTAGAAAATGTAGATCAAGAGTTCAGGGGAGAGGTCTGGGCTGAAGAATGAATATTTGGGAGTCCTCAGCCTGTAGATGGTACTGAAAGCAAAGAGACTGGATGTACTCGGCTAGGGAGTAATTGGAGATGGAGAAGTCATTCTAGGCCTGAGCTCAGGGCACACCCATGAACAGGGAGGTGAGAAGTGGAGAAGGGAAGAGGTTCAGTTTTGGATATGTTAGGATTGAGGTGCCTGGCAGACATTTTTGGGAGATCCTGGGCAAATCCTTGGATATCCAAGTCTGACAGTCCAAGGAGAGACTAGGGCAGAAGACGCACTTTGAGTGGTCCTCATGAAGGCATTTAGAGCTGAGGCACTGGGTGATATGGATCCCTGGTGAAGGTGTAGATGGAGAAGTGGAGGGTCCAGGGACTCGTTCTTGAGTCACCCCAGACCCTTGATCTGGCAAAAATGAGACTGACCCAGCAAGGAGGGAAAGACAGGACGACTAGGTGGTAGATAAACCTGGAAGTGAAGTGAAGAAAAAAGTGTAAGATGTGATCAACCTTGTCAGATTCTGCTGAGGATGCAAGTACGGGGAAGGTGGAATTGACCCTTGGGTTTGGCAGCAGTAGGTGTCAGCCATGAGCCTGACAATGTGGTGGAGACAAAAAAGCCAGGTGGGGATGGGCTCAGGGGAGGGGAGAGGAGCAGTAGAGGTGGCAAGTGTGGACGGTTCTTCTGGAGCTTTGCTGTTGGAGAGGAGGGGGTCATTGTTAGCAACGATAATAGAATAAAGAGGACTTTTATTTTATTTTATTGTTTTGAGACGAAGTCTCGCTCTTTTCCCATAGGCTGGAGTGCAATGGTGTGATCTCAGCTCACTGCAACCTCTGCTTCCTGGGTTTAAGTGATTCTCCTGCCTCAGCCTCCCGAGTAGCTGGGATTACAGGTGACTGCCACCACGCTCAGCTAAGTTTTGTATTTTTAGTAGAGACGGGGTTTCACCATGTTGGCCAGGCTGGTCTCGAACTCTTGACCTCAGGTGATCCGCCCACCTCGGCCTCCCAAAATGCTGGGATTACAGGTGTAAGCCACCATGCCCGGCCTAAAGAGGACTTTTTTAAGGTAGCAGGTATGCCAGTAGGCTGCACAGGGATGGAAGTGATCCATTAGAGGAGAGATGATGGAGCAGCAAGACCATCAGGAGTGAAGACTCCGTGACAGAGGATGGGACGCAGTGCCCAAGGGGAGGTTGGCCTTGCAGGGAAAGCACATGCCTGTCCCTCCCTCATTAGCTTCATTTGGACAAAACATGTAAAATCCGGTGTGTTGTGGAGGCCTTTTGATTGGGGAACTGTAACGCTGCCTATCGAGCAACAGCACTTTAAGCAGGTGGCTTTGTTCAAATTAAAGGTTCTTCTTTTTCTTTTCAGGCATCATGGACCGATCTAAAGAAAACTGCATTTCAGGACCTGTTAAGGTAAATTGAATAATCTGTAATCTCATTCACATTTATAAACCCACATGGAGGTTGGTCTTGTCGGGAATTCTTTCCGCCTTTACTTTGGATTTAAATTTAGATCCCTTACTGTGATCCTGGATATGAATTAGTCACTTTTCTCGTGTTCAGTAACATTTTGCTGCTTCTTAGAGTAGCTTTTTTGTTCTGCTTTGTCTTATAATCGGCTGCTTAAGTTTCTATATCCCTCCACTGTATGCAGGATAATAGTAATAATGCATCTGGCAGGAGTTCAAAACTTTTAAAATTGGCCATAAATATAAAATAATTAGAAAAAGGCTACCTTGAATTACTGTATTTGATTCTAAGTTCCTATGATAACGGCCATTTAAAAAATTGCTCTATATTTAAAATGTTTCTTTTTATTTGTCTTTGTCTGAATGCCTGCTGCGTTGTGGACAGTGTGCTAATTTCAGGAGTAACTGACTTTGTATTTGGAAGTCTTAACACCCTCTCTTTGTAGAGCACTCATACCGTTGAGCTGGGGATGGACTTTGAGGCTTTCATTTCTAGCACTTGTCCCTCACTTACAATGAGCTGTTGAAGCTGAAGGAAATCTCATCCCTCCTACCCCTTTTAGTTTGATTAGCTGAGGGTGTTAGAGTTAACTTAACAATTTAAGGTTGTAATACAGTACTTACAGGCGTATAAATAATACATTTCAAGGCTGGGCGCGGTGGCTCACGCCTGTAATCCCAGCACTTTGGGAGACCAAGGAGAGTGGATCACAAGGTCAGGAGTTCAAGACCGGCCTGGCCAAGATGGTGAAACCCTGTTTCTACTAAAAATACAAAAAATTAGCCAGGCGTGGTGGCAGGCGCCTGTCGTCCCAGCTGCTTGGGAGGCTGAGGCAGAGAATTGCTTGAACCTGGGAGGCAGAGGTTGCAGTGAGCCGAGATCATGCCACTGCACTCCAGTCTGGGTGACAGAGCAAGACTCCATCTCAAAAATAATAATAATAATACATTTTAGTAGTAACTTTGTGAAGTGTCTACATTTGTTTCCTCTTTGTCAGTTTTTTGCTCAATTCCATTTTGTCAATACTTGGAAAATGAAACATTGGTTAATCAATAGTACAGTAATAAGCTTATTGTGGAAAATCTTCGATATATGAAAACTTAGACTCTTCTAAAACTTCATGAAGATAATACCACTGTTGAACGTTTTGACGTATTTTTTTTTGGTCTTTTTCTTAAACGTATATTATCAAAGAAATTTCAATGGAACTGAGATTTTGGCATAAAGTTTTTGTATCATAGCTTTTTGCCAAATAGCAATGTAGTGTCTATTTCCAAATTATTGAGAAATTTTAGAAAGTGTCTCCTTCATTAATGGATATTTGTTAATAAAGCATGATTTTTAGGGGTGAGGAATTGGAGGGGATAGAAGGTATCATTCAGGTATTCTTAGCCACATACTAACTATCCTCTGGAGGTACTGATTAAAATACCTTTTCACCTTCCATCTCTTATCAGTGA
Organism: Homo sapiens; assembly: GCF_000001405.40. Taxonomy (NCBI): domain Eukaryota; kingdom Metazoa; phylum Chordata; class Mammalia; order Primates; family Hominidae; genus Homo; species Homo sapiens. Next base: position 56,386,638 of record NC_000020.11, on the reverse strand, counting down.
CATTCATTATTTTGCTATACTAGAGAACAAACTTTGTGAAATTCTCAATATATTCATCTTTTGCTTTCATGAATGCCAGAAAGTTTATTTTCTCTTCCATTCTAGGCTACAGCTCCAGTTGGAGGTCCAAAACGTGTTCTCGTGACTCAGCAATTTCCTTGTCAGAATCCATTACCTGTAAATAGTGGCCAGGCTCAGCGGGTCTTGTGTCCTTCAAATTCTTCCCAGCGCATTCCTTTGCAAGCACAAAAGCTTGTCTCCAGTCACAAGCCGGTTCAGAATCAGAAGCAGAAGCAATTGCAGGCAACCAGTGTACCTCATCCTGTCTCCAGGCCACTGAATAACACCCAAAAGAGCAAGCAGCCCCTGCCATCGGCACCTGGTAAACTAGCTTTTGAGACTCATTGGATAGTCCTTCTTTGTCGTCGTTGCTAAAAAAGCCAGTGTATATACTTGCACTTATTGTTTGGAGCCTTAGCTTTTATATCTGTTGAGGATGGGGAGAAAATATGGTGTCTGGGTTGAAGTAACAGTGTCTGCCCATGGGCCAGACCTATGCTAAAAATACAGACCTGATTCTCACCCTCTTGGAAGAGTTGGGCACCCAGGGAGGACACAGCATAAATTGGTGTCCTTTTGATTGCTTGTTACTGAGTCTGGATGTAGGGTGCTTGCAGTAAGTGACTTGAAGGGACTGAGATCTAAAGTGTGGGGGAAATCCAGAGAAGTGGGTGAACTGAGGCAGGCTGCGGTGAGGTCACCATGGGCATTGCTGGCCATGTTAAGGAATGGGGCCTCATCTCTAGGGCATTTGGAAGCTACTGAAGCTTTTTTGAACTCAGAAGGGAACTCTGCCTTTTAGAAAGTTTACTGTGGAAGGCCAGGCGCAGTGGCTCACGCCTGTAATCCCAGCGCTTTGGGAGACCGAGGCAGGTGGATCACCTGAGGTCAGGAGTTGGAGACCAGTCTGACCAACATGGAGAAACCCTGTCTCTACTAAAAATACAAAATTAGCCAGGCGTGGTGGTGCACGCCTGTAATCCCAGCTACTCAGGAGGCTGAGGCAGGAGAATGGCTTGAACCCAGGAGGTGGAGGTTGTGGTGAGCCGAGATTGTGCCATTGCATTCTAGCCTGGGCAACAAGAGCAAAATTCTATCTCAAAAAAAAAAAAAAAATTTACTGTGGAAGTACTGAATAAATTGGAGTAGAACGCTGGATTTAGGAGTACCAGACAGGAAGGAGGTTGAGGTCAGAGATGGCAATAACCTGCTCTGTGTGGAGCAGAGTGGATGCAATTATTTACCAACTGTTGAGTGCTCATTCCCTGCAGGCTCTGAGATAAGTGCGTGCTTCATCCACGTCATCTCTTTCAATCTTCGTAACCACTTCATGAAGGTAGCCAGTTATTAACTCAGTTTTACAGAGGAGGAAGCTAAGACTCAGAAGCAGTTAACTTATCCAAAGACAAGCCAGGATGGAGAGGTGCACACAAATTTGAGAGCTCATTTACGATGCAGACTCATTAGAACTGGGCAATAAATTGTACCTGAAAGATGAATAAAGAGGAGTTAGGGATGGTGATTAGATTGATATTAATTGAGTGAGTGTCCTGGGGGTTGAGGGGTGCACATGTGACAGGGGCATCTGGAGGAAGAGTTTGGACCAGCATCCAGATATCTGAGCAGAGCATTGTGTGCTGTTCGAGTTTGCTATGTTGGAGACAGACCAGTGGAAATGTTTCATATGTCCTTGTGGCTGATGAAATAGTTACCCCAGTCCTCTGCTGCACAACTGTTCATTGTGCATTTTGCTGAATTGGTGGCTTTTATTTTTATATTTCCCCTTGGCAGCTAATATAAATGGAGGGTGGCTGGCTTATGTTTTGCTACATGTTGGTGATAATTCGTATGTAGGGTATGGACTGTTGGCTGGCCCACCTAGTAAGGGGAAAAAGGTGACGAGTTGGCAGCTCGTCATGCATGGGAAGATTGGTACTTCTGCCACAAAAGCTCTTCTTTGGAAACTGAGGCTTCAGAAGAGCCTGCATAGTCTGCCTTTAATTTATCAGAGAAGGGCCTGTCTATATATACGTCTGCTCATCTTTAGAAATTCTATAAAGGCTTCACATGATGGAAGTCAGGGTGTAGTAGTCCTTTTTTTCTATAAGGAAAACTTTAAAAAAAAAAAACAGATTTATCATTCTTGACATACCATTAATATTTTGGTGACCAATTCTTTGATTCACCTCTATTCACAGCTTAGCTTATCCTATATAGTTATTCTAAAAACAGGTTTTTAACTTATTCCATATAGAAAATAATCCTGAGGAGGAACTGGCATCAAAACAGAAAAATGAAGAATCAAAAAAGTAAGCTTTCTTATTTACAAAGTTCTGTACTGTTCTACTAGAATATATTATTTCGTTGCAAATTTCGTTGTGGGAACTCTGGGGAAAAAAATGAGGCCTTTATTTGCATTTAGAGGATATAAATGTTTCCAGATTTCCAATCTTAAAAAAAATGGAATTTTGTGTAATGAGGTATTTTACTAGGAACTCAAGTGCTTTAAAAAATGGCTTTCAAATTTAGAAAAAGCTTGTATGAATCTTTTATAGAAATGTGTGGAAGTTCCTCTCTGTCCTTAGAAATAACCACTACATATGGTTTATGCGTCTGTACTTTTTTATTGTACAAAAGTGCAAGTTTTTAAAAAATAGAATATGTTGCAGAACTATATACTCATATATGACTGAGGGTTTTGACAGTATTATAGTTTTAGTTCTTTATTGTAAAGGTTGGCTGTAATGTCTTCCCCAGGGCTTTTCTAAAAGCCTCCTCTCAGTCTCTGAACTATCTGGACTCTAGAATGTACCGGGAGGAGCGAGGAATGAACCCACAGACTCTTTTGCTTTTAGCGGTCTAACAGAGGCTAAGAGTCTAAATCCACTGGTTCTCATGCCCCAGCTAGCCTGTGGGCTCCATCCCGCTTCCATTAGTAACAGTGGCTCTGTCTCCACCACCAGAGTGGTTCTCCACCCAGAGAGAATTAGCACCTCTGGGACTGGAGGGAGCAGCTGGGGTTAGTTTGAAACATGCCCCCAGATGGTCTGGAAGCATTCCTCCCTCTCTGGTCACTTATCCTTTTTGTGGTCTTCAGCGTTGTCATGGCCCTGTTCCTCTGAGCATAGTACGGGCTTGGGACATTTCCCATAGAGTGCTTCAGGTCTAAAACCCGAGACTGCTCCTTGTCACTGACTCTCACACCTGACGGCAGCTAGGGACGTCAGGGTTTCATGTCGTGGCAGCTCTTTGATAGTGGTTATTGCCTTGGTTCTTGCTGAGGATGCATATTGAGTGAAGTTGGAATACGAAATTATTTGTAGAATGTGTCTGCTACTCATTGAAAATTTGTTAGAAAAGCTTTGTTTTCTTCACATTCTAAAGTGTTCAAATTCCTCCTAGGAGGCAGTGGGCTTTGGAAGACTTTGAAATTGGTCGCCCTCTGGGTAAAGGAAAGTTTGGTAATGTTTATTTGGCAAGAGAAAAGCAAAGCAAGTTTATTCTGGCTCTTAAAGTGTTATTTAAAGCTCAGCTGGAGAAAGCCGGAGTGGAGCATCAGCTCAGAAGAGAAGTAGAAATACAGTCCCACCTTCGGTGAGTTTTCAGGTTCATGTTCAAAAGAATGTTCACCAATGCTGCACCCCTCCCCCTCCTGTAATGTCAGCCTCCCACTGCCCAGGTCCCTTCACTCCCTCTTACGAGGCACTGCCTTCAAATGCATGGCCCCGTTCCTCACCTCCCCCTCCCCTATGAAAAAGATTAGATAAGCTTCTGTACTGCACTGGGTTATAAGCATTCTCCTGTGATTCTCCCATGCTCTGCATGTTAAAATAAAATTGTATTCCTTTTTTTTTTTTTAAGTATAAATTTATTTTTTAGAGGGCCTGCTTTTCATAGTACCACAAAAAATGATTAAATTTGTCATCTTTCAAAGAGCACTTAAGTGCTCTGATCCTGGAAAAATCACTTGAGGATTTAATGTTTTGTTAATAGAATAGTTTATATGGGCAAGTCTTTCTGGTGGACAGTGAAGGGGAATGGCACCCCTTATTCTGAGGTATGCAGGAATTGCGAGCAGCTACCTGCAGGTTGACTACGGCTGGTGGGTTTTTGTTTTTCCTTTTTTTCTTTCAGTGTTTTTCAAATTTGAATCAGATGCTAATACTTCAAGTCTGGCCACATCAGGCCTGGTGTGTCTCTGCCTGGCAACACCTGGCTGGGGCTGGGAGGGGCAGGCATCTCACATGGGCTGTGCTTCCCATTGCCTGCTTCCCGCTGGCCACAGTCTGCACCTGCCCAGTCTGCTCAGCACCCATCTACTGCCATTACTGATCACTGCTTTTATCTGTCACAGTGTCTGGGTGTCAAACTACTGTGGCAATGCCATGTCCTTTTTTTTTTTCCTTTTTTTTTTTGAGATGGAGTCTCGCTCTGTTGCCCAGACTGGAGTGCAGTGGCGCAATCTCAGCTCACTGCAACCTCTGCCTCCCAGGTTAAAGCGATTCTCCTGCCTCAGCCTCCTGAGTAGCTAGGATTGCAGGCATGCACCAACAAGCCTAGCTAATTTTTGTATTTTTAGTAGAGACGAGGTTTCACCATGTTGGCCAGGCTGGTCTTGAACTCCTGACCTCGCGATCCTCCCGCCTCGGCCTCCCAAAGTGCTGGGATTACAGGCGTGAGCCACTGTGCCCGGCCATGTCCTTTTTTTAATATGTAGATAATTAATATTCAGCTGAATTTTCCTCCTAAGAATAAAGGTGCCTAAAGGAAGGAAATAGTCTTAACTAAACCAGAGGTCCATTAATACTGTGAAGTGCTTTTAAAATGATATGTGGGTGTATGTATTTTTCTTGGAGTGGGTTTATAGTTTCAGATTCTAAAGTGGGGTTTGGAGTGTGGTTTCATGTGAAACACCACTGGTTTTACATGAAGAGTTTGTTTGACATTTTGTACATAGTCTTCTGTGAGCTCCAAACCAAGTGTTAGAATGTTTATCCTTTGTTGCAGGCATCCTAATATTCTTAGACTGTATGGTTATTTCCATGATGCTACCAGAGTCTACCTAATTCTGGAATATGCACCACTTGGAACAGTTTATAGAGAACTTCAGAAACTTTCAAAGTTTGATGAGCAGAGAACTGCTACTGTAAGTGTTCATTTATTGTCCAGGCTAATTGTGTTTCCTTTATACCTGTCCTCCATAGCAATGTACCTTTCATCATAGTAGAGTGGGTTTTGTCTTGACGTAAGGATAGCTTAATATCAAATATTTGAAGTGGAAAAATCAAAATAGCTTAGTTGTACCATATGTACAGATAAAGTCTAGAACCAGGTAGAATGTTGTATCTGCTTTTGTGCCTAGTTTGCACAGCTGTTTTCTATGGAAATGTATATAATGTATATAGATAGTCACCCTCATTTTCTTTAATAGATGTTTTATTTTAGAATAATTTTTATTTTATTTTATTTTTTTTAAAGGGACAGGGTCTTGTTATGTTGCCCAGGCTGGACTCAAGTGATTCTCCACCTCAGCCTCCCGAGTAGCTGGGACTACAGGTGCACACCATTGTACCTGGCTAGGATAGTTTTAGATTTACAGAAATTGTGAAGGCAGTACAGAGAGTTCCCATATACCCCACACTGAATTTCCTACTAATTCTCCTACTAACATCTTGCATTAATATGGCACATTTGTCACATTCAATGAACCAATATTGATATATAACTATTAACTCAAGTCCACATTTTATTCAGATTTTCTTAGTTTTTCTCATGATTAAATTGGGCTTATGGGTTTTTGAGAGGGAGATCAGAGGTAAAGTGCATTCTTATCACATACCAGGGATGTAAACTCTTATGACTTTTAACTGTGGATGTCAGCTTGATCTTCTGACTCAGAGAGTGTTTGTCTGGTTTCTCCACTGTAAAGTTACTATTTTTTCCCCTTTCCGTGCTGTATTTCTTCAAAGGAAGTTACTATGAATAGCCCACACTTAAGGAGTAGAGAGTGGATGGAGTATTGCCATAAATTATCTGGAATTCTGTGCCAGAGATAAGGCTGTTCTCCCTTATTTATTTAATCATTTATTTATTTAAAGATGTAGACTCCTGGGTATTTATTTTATCTCTTGAGCTATAATGCAATACTTTATTTTGTGGTTCAGATCATTGCAACTTTGGCCACTGGGAACTTTTTTTCTTTCTTTTTTTTTTTTTTTCTTTTTGAGACGGAGTCTCACTCTGTCGCCCAGGCTGGAGTGCAGTGGCGCTATCTTGGCTCACTGCAACCTCAGCCTCCCAGGTTGAAGCGATTCTTCTGCCTCAGCCTCCCAAGTAGCTGGAAGTACAGGCACCCACCACCACACCTGGCTAATTTTTGTATTTTTAGTAGAGACGGGGTTTCACCATATTGGCCAGGCTGGTCTTGAACTCCTGACCTTGTGATCCACCCACCTCAGCCTCCCAAAGTGCTGGGATTACAGGCATGAGCCACCGTGCCCGGCCTGCTCTTTTTGTTTTACCAGGTTCCTGGGAAAATCATTGCAGTTTTGTCTTGCGTGTGTGTGGTTTTTTTTTGGTTTGTTTTTACACTTCCTTTTTTTTTTTTTCTTTTTTTGAGATGGAATCTCACTCTGTCGCCCAGGCTGGAGTGCAGTGGCATAATCTTGGCTCACTGCAGCCTTCACCTCCTGGGTTCAAGCGATTCTCCTGCCTCAGCCTCCTGAGTAGCTAGGATTAACAGGCATGCACCACCACACCCGGCTCATTTTTGTATTTTTAGTAGAGATGGGGTTTTGCCATGTTGGCCAGGCTGGTCTCTAACCCCTGACCTCAGGTAATCTGCCCGCCTCAGCCTCCCAAAGTGCTAGGATTACAGGTGTGAGCCACCACGCCTGGCCTTGTACTTCCTTACTTTCTGATACAAGATGCTCAGGCCTCATCGTGTATATTTCCTGCTCCAGTCCTAGAATCGAACCACTTCTCCAAGGAGCCCTGTTTCCTTTTCTTGGAGAATGTTATTAGAAACCAAGCTCTGGGCACTTGGTGTACTCATTGCTACTATGGTGTCACTACTTTTAGGCTTTCAGCTGACACAGCAAGGGAATATATGTGGATAGTAATCTGTGTATAGATTTATCCATCTATCTCTTCATTAAGCATACCATGAATTCATACTGATGTCTTCAACTTGAATCCATTACCACGTTTCATTCTAACTTCCTCCTGTTTACCTGTAAACTCCCACTCCAAAAGTGTGAAACCTGGATTTCACCGCCCACCATCCTTTTACTTATTCAATTCCAATATACATGTATAATGGTATCAGAATTGTTAACCAGCTGCCACGTGGGAACCAACTTTATCAATTAGAGTGCTTATGTGCACTTCCTTTGGCCTTTGTCTTATAGATTCCACTCATTTCCAAAGCTGCTTGGATCAACACTTTACCCTCATGCCCTTTAGTAAGGTGGTTTCCTACATTTGTAATGCAATGAGATTTTTTTGTCACAATCTGCATGCCCAGGATGGAATCATTTACATTTTCATATCCTGAGATTGATTTTTGTGTGTTTGCTGTAAAGTTCTATGAATTTCGACAAATACACAATGCCATGTATCCACCATTATGATATAGAGAATAGTTTCGCTGCTCTTAAGAAAAAAAAAATCCTGTGTCTCAACTACTCATCCCTTCCAACCCTTCCATCTCTGGCAACCACTGATCTGTTTACTGTCTCTATTGCCTTTTCCAGAATATCATGTAATTGGAATCATAACAGTATGTAGCTTTTTTAGGTGGGCTTCTTCCACTTAGCAATATGCATTGAAGATTCATCTGTGTATTTTTGGAGGCATGAGAGCTTGTTCATTTCTGTTTATCACAAAATCATATTCCATTATTTCATTATATGGAAGTACCTCAGTTTATTCGTCTACTGAAGGGTATCTTGGCTGCTTCTGGTTTTTGGCAGTTATCATGTTTTGGCTGTCAACATTTGCATGCAGGTTTTTGCGAAACAAGTCTTCAAATTAGTTGGGCACATATATAGGAGTGCTATTGCCAGCTCATACGGTAAGACTATATTTTGCTTTGTGAGGAACTGTCAGTCTTCCAAAGTGATTTTTACATTATATTTTACATTGCATTACAAATGTAGGAAATCACCTTACTAAAGGGCATGAGGGTAAAGTGTTGATCCAAGCAGCTTTGGAGATGAGTGGAGTCTATAAGACAAAGGCCAAAGGAAGTGCACATAAGCACTCTAATTGATAAAGTTGGTTTCCGTGGGGCAGCTGGTTAACAATTCTGATACCATTATACAACGGTAATGTGGTATCGGAACCAATGAATTGAGGTCCTCTTGCTTCTCATAGTTGCCAACATTTGATGTCAGTGTTTTGGATTTTTGTTTGTTTGTTTTGAGACAAGGTCTCACTGTCGCCCAGACTGGAGTGCAATGGCATGATCACCCACCTCAAACTCCCTGGCTCAAGCAATCCTCCCATCTCAGCCTCCCAAGTAGCTAGGACTACAGGCATGTGCTCTCGTGCCTGGCTAATTTTTGTATTTTTTTGTAGAGACAAGGTTTTGCCTTGTTGCCCAGGTCGGTTTCGAAATCCTGGTCTCAAGTAATTCATGCCTCCCAAAATATTGGGATTACAGGAGTGAGCCACTATACCTGGCCTCTTGTTTTGCATTTTAGTTATTCTAATCGGCATGTGGTGGTATCTCATTGTTTTGATTTCTAGTTTCCTAATGACATTTGATGTTGAACGTCTCTTTTTTTTTTTGAGACGGAGTCTCGCTCTGTCACCAGGCTAGAGTGTAGTGGTGCGATTTTGGCTCACTGCAACCTCCGCCTCTTGGGTTCAAGCGATTCTCCTGCCTCAGACTCCTGAGTAGCTGGGACTACAGGCACGTGCCACCATGCCCAGCTAATTTTTGTACTTTTAGTAGAGATGGGGTTTCGCCATGTTGGCCAGGATGGTCTTGATCTCTTGACCTTGTGATCCACCTGCCTCGGCCTCCCAAAGTGCTGGGATTATAGGCGTGAGCCACTGCGCCCGGCCTTGAACATCTTTTTATGTGTTTATTTGCCATCTGTGTATCGTCTTTGAGGCACCTGTTGAAATCTTTTGCTCTTTTTTTTTTTGAGTTTTGAGTTTTAAGAGTTCTTTGTATATTTTGGATGCAGGTCATCTGTCACACATGTTTTGCAAATATTTTCTCCCAATCCGTGCCTTGTATTTTTGTTCTCTTATCTGTGTCTTTCACAAGGCTGTTTTTTATTTATTTTTTTGAGAAAGGGTTTCACTCTGTCAGCCAGGCTGGGGTGCAGTGGTGCGATCTCTGCTCACTGCAGCCTCTGCCTGTTGAGCTCAAGTGATCCTCCTGAGTAGGTGAGACTACAGGTGGGTACCACCACGCCCAGCTAATTTTTGTATTTTTTGTATAGACACGGTCTCATCATGTTGCCCAGGTTGTTTTTTTTGAGGCATTCTTGCTTTGTCACCCAGGCTGGAGGGCAGTGACGTGATCTTGGTTCTCAGCTCACTGCAACTTCTACCTCCTGTGTTCAAGCAGTTCTCCTGCCTCAGCCTCCTGAGTAGCTGGGATTACAGGCATGAGCCACCACGCCCAGCTAATTTTTGTATTTTTAGTAGAGACAGGGTTTCATCATGTTGGCCAGTCTGGTCTTGAACTCCTGACCTCAGGTGATTTGCCCACCTCGGCCTCCCAGAGTGTTGGGATTGCAGGCATGAGCCACTGTACCCGGCCTCCCAGGCTGTATTTTTAATAAAAGTCCAAATGTGTCAGTTTTTTCTTTCATGATTGTGCTTTTTTGCTTCTCCTTTTTTATGTGATTAAAATTACTTGTTTTAAGAAGTTGAAGAGTCTTAGTTTGGGCCGTTTCTTATTGGATTGGCAGCTTGATAAAGCATGTTGAATGGTGGTTACTTTGATTTTTTTCTGTTTCTTGGTGGAGATCTCCGGGTAGTGTGGACATTAGTTCTCTTTTTGGCATTGATGTAAATGGCATTTAAATTCAAGTAATTTTACTTTCAGTATCTGATGAAATCATGCTACTATGGACAAATGGCTCTTTGGTCTTGTCTCTGCAACAATGACATGCTGTTTTAAAGACTTAATCTTAAATGTTTGTGCTTCTCCTAAGTAGAAATAGATCTCTAATTTGCTTTTTTAAATATTAGCTAAACAAATCAGCTTCTTATTTAATTGGCAATTAATATTTCTTTGAGTTCATCTTTTGGGCCAACTTTCTCTTACAGATCAATAAGTAAATCTATGCTCATTAATGGTAGTGACTCTACCTCAGGTACTCACATTTTACCCTTGGTTTTTTTCCTGGTAATCTTGCTTATGGTGGGTTGTAGTTTGTTGTTTCAGGTCAGTTAATCTTTTTCTTCAGTTTCTGATATTGATATCCTACTTTAAAAGATTCACCTTATACCAACACTACAAAATTACACATTATACTACTTCTCTGTTTTCTCTCCTTACACCCAAGGCTTCAATCTAGATGGAGTTTTGGTGTAAGCAGATAGCTGTTTGAAAGAAAATGAAAGATCATTTCTGTCTAGATTCCTTAGCAGTTAGAATGAATACACATGTACCTGTTTTCCTTTTCAGATGAATTCAAATAAAACTAATTGTAGTGACATGTCAGTGACCTATCCATATCTGCAATCTAACAACATGTGAGGTGTGGAGGAAGTGGCAGTGCCAGAGGGCTATCATGAAACTAATAGCTTCTTGTCTGGAAGTGATTTGAGGAGTGAAATCCATTGCCCTCTCAAACTTTAATGTGTGCAATTAAAGCATCAGCAACTCAAAGTTGGTGGTCAGAAGAGCAGCTTTCTTTGTATTTGCCTTCAGTTTATTGTGGTCTGAATTTTGATCTCCGGTTTTGGGCTGAAAGAATGAAAAGTGTTTATTCTGACAGTGACATTTGGTTTTTACTCATCTGTTTAGTAAACCTTTTTGATGTAAAATAATGTTCAATCCTGTCTAGAAATTGCTGTAGAAAGCAAACTCTTCTCAAACTTTAGGCAGAGCTAAATATATTTTTTCAATATTCAAACAGTTATCTGTATGTTAAAATAAATTCTGGGCCAGGCATGGTAGCTCACGCTTGTAATCTCAGCACTTGGAGAGGCCAAGGTGGGAGGATCACTTGAGGTCAGGAATTAGCGACCAGCGTAGGCAACATGGGGAGACTGTCTCTACAAAAAAAAAAAAAAAAAAAAGAAAGATTAAAAATTAGCTGGGCATGGTGGCACACACCTGTAGTCCCAGCTACTCGGAAGGAGGCTGAGGTGGGAGGATTGCTTACGGCCAGGAGTTCAAGGCTGCAGTGAGGTATGATCATGCCATAGCAATCCAGGCTGGGTGACAGAGTGAGACCCTGTCTCTTAAAAATAAATAAGTAAATACATACATACTGGACTTGTTTGCTAAATCTTAGCGATAGGGACTGTAAAACTTTTCTTTTTCTTGCTTTTTTTTGAGACGGAATTTTACTCTTGTTGCCCAGGCTGGAGTGCAATGGCATGATCTCGGCTCACTGCAACCTCTACCTCCTGGGTTCAACCAATTCTCCTGCCTCAGCCTCCCGAGTAGCTGCGATTATAGGCATGCACCACTACACTTGGCTAATTTTTGTATTTTTAGTAAAGACAGGGTTTCACCATGTTGGTCAGGCCGGTCTCGAACTCCTGACTTCAGGTGATCCACCTGTCTTGGCCTCCCAAAGTGCTGGGATTACAGGTATGAACCACTGCACCTGGCCAGGAAAACTTTTCTTACAAGATGGTAATTCGGTCGGGTGCAGTGGCTCATGTCTGTAATCCTAGCACGTTGTGAGGCTGAGATGGGAGGATCACTTGAGGCCAGGAGTTTGAGACCAGCCTGGTCAACATAGTGAGACCCCCATCTCTATTAAAAAAAAAAAAGATAGTAACTTAAGGAAATAAAATTAACAAAAGGACTGATTTCTTATGTACTTCTATGCTGACTTAGTGTAACCCAAAATTTAACATGCTATTTAATATGTCAGTGCAACTGCTTTTTAGTTTCTGTTTATTGTTCAGGATAATTTTTTCTCCTGATATTCTTGAAGTAAATTTTTAGCTTTAAACAAATTCTTCTGTCACAGAATGACCTTGGTTTTAAAAAAGGGAATTGACTATACTTGCAAAGTTCATTTTTTTTTTCTAAAAAAGAAAAAGGCAGTATTTACACATCTGAATCCTTAATTTGTACCAGTTCTTCAGCACTGTCTTACTTCCTGGCTGCAGGGCCATTTGTTGCCGTATGGTGTTGTAACTTTAGGTTGGTGCAAAAGTAACTGTGTTTTGCATTGACATGGCACCAGCCTAAGAGCTAGCTCTAACTGGCTGAATGTCTTTTCTGACTTTCAACATCACACCAGCTGTATTAGCAGAGATGACTAAGCATTGGGTAATTTCACTTCATGCTAACCACTATAAATTGGTTCAGTTGATGTGTGTGTGTGTGTGTGTGTGTGTGTGTGTGTGTAGACTCCTATATAATTTCTACAATCCTTGCTTTAAAACCTGCAAAATGTATTTTTTGTTTTGTCTTTTCCTTTTTGAGACAGGGTCTCCTTCTGTCACCCAGGCTGAAGTGTGATCATGGCTCACTGCAGCTTTGACCTCCTGGTCTCAAGCAATCCTCCTGCCTCAGCCTCCCAAGTAGCTGGGACTACAGGCATGCACCATCACGCTCAGCTAATTTTTAAATTTTTGTAGAGATGGAGTCTTGCTATGTTTCCCAGGCTGGTCTTGAACCCCTGGGCTCAAGTGATCCTCCCACCTCAGTCCCCCAAAGTGTTGGGATTATAGGTGTGAGCCACTGTGCCTGGCCAAAACCTGCAAACCATGTTAAATCTATGTTGTGTTCCTTTCGGAAGAGATGTCTAATATTAACTTGTGTTATATAAAATCTAAAACATAGGCTTTCAATATTGTTTTAACAGTATATAACAGAATTGGCAAATGCCCTGTCTTACTGTCATTCGAAGAGAGTTATTCATAGAGACATTAAGCCAGAGAACTTACTTCTTGGATCAGCTGGAGAGCTTAAAATTGCAGATTTTGGGTGGTCAGTACATGCTCCATCTTCCAGGTATGTAACTTTAGAGGTGGAAGTTGTTTGGTTTACCAAAGCCCTGGGAGCTAACCGTGAGCTAAATGTAAAATATTTCAGTGTAGATTTTGTGCTGTAAGAGGGGTAGGTGGCTAACCCAGAAGTACTTTGGAGTAATTTAGGCTTAATAATAAACTAGGGTTTGCAAGAAAGTGTTATTCTGTGGAGATTTGGGGCTATTAGCAGTGTTCTAGGCCTAGGGTTGAAGATGCTTAATGTCCTTAGAGGCTAATGAAGGGATGAATGAGTCAACAGATAGGACACGTATATGACAGAGGTGAAGTGCCCACATGTTGAGTGGGAGGAACTCTTCACCTCTGCTGCTTCCTGGATGAGGAGATGGGGAGATGGTTCAGAGGACAGCACTGACAAAGATCTAGAGCTCAGAGTGCAGGCCATATCAGGGAACTTGAAACACTAAATTAGTTTGGTGGTGCTTTGAGGGCAGTGGTGAGAGATTCTCTTCAGTCTGCCTCTGTCAATAGTAGGGATAGTCCTTTCTTATCCCCTGTCACAGCTGAAGCAGAGATGTCAGTCTCAAAACAATTCAAATCTTAGCTTTCCAAGTGAACTACAATATCTTTACTGTTTTAAATTTGAGTTTAAATAAGCTTTGAAACTTCACATGAAGTGGGGCATTTTAAAACATATATCTACCGATGAAGTTTTGTCAACTTTGGAGGAGGACTCAAATTATAGCCAAATGACTTAAAAATCAAGCTAGTTAAAAAAAAAGTATAGCCTAAAATAGAATATGAGGGAGAAAACCTTTGCTTTTGTTACAGAGCACTTCTAATTGTTCCAGCAATGCACTGAATCTGCTATTGCAGTCTTTTTTTTTTTTTTTTTTTTTAAACTGGTTGTCATTAGTGGGAGCTGTTATCTGGTGAGACAAACCAGAATAAAGACTTACAGGCTTCATGGAATCGCAGAGTTAAACTGTATCTTAACCGGTTGAATTGTGATAGAAAAGATGGCTTCTTGCTTTTTGAAAAGATTACTTACATAACCGATAGTCACTTCACTCCAAATCCCAGATGTTAATCATCATCATTTCCTGGTTATTGCCTCAGTTTGAGAACCCCCGATTCAGTCCGTCGGTGCTGATGGAGGGGTTAGATGACCAGAGTGGTAGCTTCTTAATCCTACGTCACAATTCAGTGGTGAGTGACTGTTTGTGTGCTCAGTGGGTGCCAGGCCTGGCTGAACACAGCACCAGGGCTGTGACCACGTAAGCCTCCATGGTGAAGAGCAGCTGATAACAAAGCAACACGAACCCACACAGACTGTTCTGGCTTGCTGTCTGCTGTTCCCAGCTTTTTTCCAACCTTCGTTAAAAAAACCTAAACCGATAAAAATGCGGAATTGGTAGTTGATGGCATACCTGTCTATACAGTGCCTACGTTCAGCAGTTTTTCCCATTTAGTCAGAAGGGCTGCATCTGCTTTTTTAGTGAACACTTGAAAATACGTTGCAAACATCATGATGCTTCAACCTTAAGCACTATAATAGAATGCATTTCCTAAATAAGGATATTCTCCTATATAACTAGAACCATGATCACTCCTAAGAAAATTAACAGCATTGTCAGTATCTAATATTTAGTCCACATTCAGATTTCTCCTATTGTCCATGACATCTTATAGCTGGTTTGTAAAATCAGAACTCAACCAAAGCCCATGCTTTGTATTGGACTGTCTATGTGGTTGGATTGTCTCTGTGGTTGGACTGTCTCTGTGGTTGGACTGTCTCTGTGGTTGGATTGTCTCTGTGGTCTAAAGCCAGACCAGTCTCCCACTTTAAAGAGGACTTTTCTGATTGTGTTGCCACTTAACTTGGACCTTTATTCCCCGTATTTGCTGAAAACTGGAATGTAGGTCTCAGGTCCTGAAGAGATTCAGGTTAAGAAAATTTTTTTTTTTTTTTGAGACAGAGTCTCGCTCTGTCACCCAGGCTGGAGTGCAGTGGTGCGATCTTGGCTCACTACAAGCTCGCCTCCCGGGTTCACGCCATTCTTCTGCCTCAGCCTCCTGAGTAGCTAGGACTACAGGCGCACACCACCACACCCGGCTAATTTTTTGTATTTTTAGTAGATACGGCGTTTCACCATGTTAGCCAGGATGGTCTCGATCTCCTGACCTCGTGATCCGCCTCCCTCGGCCTCCCAAAGTGCTGGCATTACAGGCATGAGCCACTGCACCCAGCCAGGTTAAATATTTTTGGCAAGAGTACTTCATAGGCCACCCTCAAAATTTCAGCATCACTCGTACCAAGTATCTATCACAAGGCAGCATGTGTCTACATCTCCACCCCAGTGCTGTTACAGTGGGACAGTTTCTAGTGTATTGTCATTGCGACCAGGCTTTTAAGATTCTTAGCATATCTGTAATATCCACATGCAGATGTAGAATCCAAATCGTATTTACAGAGAACTTTGCATGGCAGCTTTTATATGGTAGTGATACATTCAGTTTCTTACATTCTAGATTATTCAGGGAGGTTCTGGAGTTGGACAGATTTGGGGTTAAGCCTGATGGCTAGCTGTGTGACCTTACACACCTCGCTTCATCTGTTTCCTATGGGAATTTATAATAGTAGCTACTTCCTAGGGCACAGGATCTGGCCCAGGGGAAGACCTCAGTGTTAGTGGACTCTTTAATGATTGTTAGCAGCTGTTGTGATCATAAAACGAGAAGCACATCAACCTGAGCCTCCCTCCGTTTTCAGGAGGACCACTCTCTGTGGCACCCTGGACTACCTGCCCCCTGAAATGATTGAAGGTCGGATGCATGATGAGAAGGTGGATCTCTGGAGCCTTGGAGTTCTTTGCTATGAATTTTTAGTTGGGAAGCCTCCTTTTGAGGCAAACACATACCAAGAGACCTACAAAAGAATATCACGGGTAAGACGCAACTGAAAAGGACCCAGCACATCTGCTGGAATTCTTTCCTTATCAGCCTGAACTGCAGGCCAAGATCCGAACATCTATACTATTTGATCTCTCTAACCTGTGTTTTGTGATATTTTATCATTTGTTGTACTCCAGGTTGAATTCACATTCCCTGACTTTGTAACAGAGGGAGCCAGGGACCTCATTTCAAGACTGTTGAAGCATAATCCCAGCCAGAGGCCAATGCTCAGAGAAGTACTTGAACACCCCTGGATCACAGCAAATTCATCAAAACCATCAAATTGCCAAAACAAAGAATCAGCTAGCAAACAGTCTTAGGAATCGTGCAGGGGGAGAAATCCTTGAGCCAGGGCTGCCATATAACCTGACAGGAACATGCTACTGAAGTTTATTTTACCATTGACTGCTGCCCTCAATCTAGAACGCTACACAAGAAATATTTGTTTTACTCAGCAGGTGTGCCTTAACCTCCCTATTCAGAAAGCTCCACATCAATAAACATGACACTCTGAAGTGAAAGTAGCCACGAGAATTGTGCTACTTATACTGGTTCATAATCTGGAGGCAAGGTTCGACTGCAGCCGCCCCGTCAGCCTGTGCTAGGCATGGTGTCTTCACAGGAGGCAAATCCAGAGCCTGGCTGTGGGGAAAGTGACCACTCTGCCCTGACCCCGATCAGTTAAGGAGCTGTGCAATAACCTTCCTAGTACCTGAGTGAGTGTGTAACTTATTGGGTTGGCGAAGCCTGGTAAAGCTGTTGGAATGAGTATGTGATTCTTTTTAAGTATGAAAATAAAGATATATGTACAGACTTGTATTTTTTCTCTGGTGGCATTCCTTTAGGAATGCTGTGTGTCTGTCCGGCACCCCGGTAGGCCTGATTGGGTTTCTAGTCCTCCTTAACCACTTATCTCCCATATGAGAGTGTGAAAAATAGGAACACGTGCTCTACCTCCATTTAGGGATTTGCTTGGGATACAGAAGAGGCCATGTGTCTCAGAGCTGTTAAGGGCTTATTTTTTTAAAACATTGGAGTCATAGCATGTGTGTAAACTTTAAATATGCAAATAAATAAGTATCTATGTCTGTGTGGAGTGCTGTGTAATTCTTTCCACCATCTGTTCATTGTTGGCCTGGAAATGAGCAGGGGCTGAGAGGAGCAGGTCTCGCCCTCATCTAGTCCTGCCTCTTCTGGTCTCTCCTGTTGGGTGTACTCCTAATACTTCATTATATATATTGTTTATATATTTGTCATATCTTTGTCATCTGTCCATCGACTAAAGATACGGTGAAAGTGACTGTGATGAAGGAAAAGTAGAAGTGTTGAACTTAGAGCTAGTAGAGAAATCTGCTTGCATGGCCAATGCTCAGTGCAAGAAACTGGACAGCAGGTATGTCAGGATATGTCATAACAAAGTGGCCAATATAGAGAAACTTAAAAACATGACTCAGTAAAACTGCAGCTGCCAGCCCCCTTGGGACAAAGGGGCTTCTGGTTCTCATAGTCTTGAGCTGAACTGACTTTGACCTTCCCAAATAGTTCATGTGCCACCCTCCCAAGCTATAGTTATTATCACGTGACTGACTTTCCCAGTGACACCAGTGAGACTTGGGACGTTTCCCCAGACAATCCCACACAAGCAAAGAAAAAGCTCATTGTAGTAGCACATTAATACACTGGTCACAGTGCCACTTCATCATCAGCAACAACCATGGCTTACCAGAAGGAATATAAAAAAGTTCATAAACTATAAAGATGTTTCACAGAATTTAAGCTGCTCACTTTGTCAGATAAATTAGAGAAACAATGGCTTTCATTTTTAAAATAGATGTTTTATTCTGCTAGTTCCATAAAAACAATGTAAACACAGGCGTTCTGTACATCTTGCTGGTGAATTCACATAATGCTTAGTTCCCTGATCCTTTGACCTCCTTGTCTTCTCCGGTTATTTTCTGTTTGGACCCCTGGCCACAGGAGTGGAGTGGGGTTGGGGCTTAGGAGAGAGCAATGTGGCTTTTTGGTATGATTTGTTTTATTGCTTGCCCGCTCAGCACGCTCCTGTTACTCCTAACAAAGTTTGAGATTTAAGCCCTTAAACCTGTAGGTTTCACCATCAGTTTTTCTTTTTTTTCTTTTTTTTTTTTTGCATAGGCATTACTAGGGACATAAATGGGAGACTGGCATAGAAAGTGGTGAGGAGCCGAAGCCAAGGAATTGCTTTAAACACAAGATGAAAATACTCTGTTCTGTCCAAAGCATCACCTAATGGTGTGAGGCATCTCACTTAGCTGTGGAGAAGTCCTTGGAATTAGATCTCAGAAAGACAGCTTTAAGACAGTAAAACCTTTTGGCAATGGGCTAATTGCCTTAAAAGAAGAGTTCTACCTGAAAGACCTTGCAGGTGGAGAAATTGTCCTACAAAGATTCTTGGATATGTTAGTGGAGATAACTGACATGGGTAGCTGTGGGTCAACCAGGAACTGTCAACAACCTGATCTCTGCAAAACCAGGATGGCCAGTTAATGGTTTATTCAGTTCTCTGATGGTCACAAATGTAATTTTATTTAGCCTTGTGGAGGTTCTGCAACAAATGTAATTTTAAAGGAATTAGGAGCCAGAAAGATAAATGCAACTCCTTCAACTACGTGACAGGGCAGACTGGTGAATCTGGGTTCCCAGAGTGTGGAGCAAGTGCCCTGCATCAGAGAATGGCCCAGGGGGAACGTGCATGATGCTGAACCCCGCAGGACAGAATTACTTCAATCGCCTGCTCCTGACTACTATAAGGACGAAGCCTCAGTGTCTCAGTTTGGATCTACGCTGGGATTTCTTTCTTTTGGAGACAGTGTCTCCCTCTGTCGCCCAGGCTGGAGTGCAGTGGTGTGATCTTGGCTCACTGCAACCTCCACCTCCTGGGTTCAAGCAATGCTGCCTCAGCCTCCCCAGTAGCTGGGACTACAGGCGTGTGCCACCACACCCGGCTAATTTTTGTATTTGTAGTAGAGACGGGGTTTCATCATGTTGGCCAGGCTGGTCTCGAACTCCTGGCCTCAAGTGACACGCCTGCCTCAACCTCCCAAAGTGCTGGGATTACAGGCGTGAGCCACCGCACCTGGCCTCTATGCTCGAATTTCTACTCTTAGCTAATCTCTCTAACACATATGCCCTTCATTGGGTAAAGCTGGCTCAGCAGACTAATTACACCTGTCATGTAATACAAGCCTCTCCCTGGCTTGTATTATCTCATGGTTGCCTTCTATTTGTGACAAGTGCTATGAATATTCCTTTTTAAGAAGTGATACAAAATCTTTTTTTTTCTTGAACAGGATTTTTAACTCAGACAGTGTAAACATCATGACAATTCTGGAATGTCTGAAGTTTGAGATAGAAGATTGTCTAAGAAAAGCTGAGATTGTCTTAGCTGTTTGTGGTATCCGAATTCCTCTGGAACATGGGCATCAGGAACCAAGCGATGCCACTGCTACTGGGCAGGGTTTTTATATTTTACCTAAACAGAGACAAATGACGCTGACCTACCTTAATGAAATTTCAGAAAAACCATCTGGAATCAGCCCCATCATGTCCAGATTGGAAGGTATCTGGGGATCAATGAAACATACCAGAACTACTTTTCTTCCCCCAAACCAATGTAATGAATGTCAAAGTATTGATGCTAATTTAGATTGTGATTACATATTAAGTTTTGCTTCATTAATTGTAGCACTGGCAGCTGTTTTGTGAACGCTGCATATTAAACTGTAGGCAGCTGACAACAAATATCAGCGGAAGGGGATATTTAAAAGCCAGTTAAATTAATCAATGCTTTTTAGGAAACTGAGCCAAGATTAACCCCCTGGTGCTTTTACCCACAGACCCTCGCCAAAGTCTCCCACAAGGAACATTTGTAGGCTATTTTGTTTTGAGATGTTAACCCATCTCCGATGCCTTGCTGACATTTTAGATTATATATACAAGCCCTATAATGAATAGCATTCACAAAATTTATGAGGCAAAAAATTAAAATTGTTCAAAAGCCTGATTTTTGCTGGCAAAGTTTATCCATGAGAACATAGCAATTAGCCCCCTACCTCTCCAAAAGAAACCCTACAACCCTAAAACCCTAAAACCAATCCAAATCATGTAATTTAGAAGAAATAGGTTTTCAGTGTGTACGACTGAAGAGTTCATTAAGGTTTTGCAGCTGGAGGTTTAAAAAATCCCACTTTTCGAAAATATCTGACAATCAAGGGCACAGAGACTAGCGTAATGCTGATTCTCACTGGCGCAAACAGCTTGTGGATTGCATAGGCCACCACGAAGGTACTTGTGCCTGCTGCCATTTTTGACTGTACCAGGGACTCTTTAAATCCGAGTTTCAGCAGGATTGCAGGCATGTCCACACCACTAGGGGGGAAGAAGCAAAGAAAACAATTATTACAGCAAGGGATTAAATGAAGAAATTGATTTGGCTATAAGATTTACAGTATTTTAAAAAATGTAATGAAGTAGCTGAATGAATAAAAGTCTTAGTGGCCAGGTGCAGTGGCTCACGCCTGTAATCCTAGCACTTTGGGAGGCCGAGGTGGGAGGATCGCTTGAGCTCAGGAGTTCAAGACCAGCCTGGGCAGCATAGCAAGACTCTTGTCTCAACACAACAAAAAAACATACAATCGGCCTGACGCGGGGGCTCACACCTGTAATCTCAGCACTTTGGGAGGCCGAGGGGGCGGATCACTAGGTCAAGAGATTGAGACCATCCTGGCCAACAGGGTGAAACCCTGGCTCTACTAAAAAGACAAAAATTAGCCAGGCTTGGTGGCATGCGACTGTAGTCCCAGCTACTCGGGAGGCTGAGGCAGGAGAACCACTTGAACCCGGGAGGCAGAGCTTGCAGTGAGCCGAGATCACGCCACTGCACTCCAGTCTGGCAACAGAGCGAGAGTCCGTCCCCCAAAACAAACAAACAAACAAATCAGCTGGGTGCAGTGGTGCATGCCTGTAGTGTCAGCTACTTGGGAGGCTGAGGTGGGAGGATCACTTGAGCCCAGGGAGGTCGAGACTGCAGTGAGCTGTGATCATGCCACTGCACTCCAGCCTGGGCAGTGGAGTGAGACCCTGTCTTAAAAAAAAAGTCTTAGCAAACACGTTCTTATTCACATAGAATCTTACATGACAGTAAAAAACAAATATTAATTACTGTCAAAAATCTTACCTTGACACAACCATGTAAAATATGCCCAAGGAAATTAATGAGATTCCAATGTGCAATGACACGCCAACAGTGCCATACTCTTGAAAAATCTTTTTCAGTTGCTGTGACTTGCTTTGCTTTTTCTCCTCTGTGCAGCTGACGCTGCTGCCTGTTGTCCCCGTGGCCTGGCTGGGGTCCTGTGTACAAATCAGAGAAGAGGAGGTGCTTTAGGGCAGGCACGGGCAGTCATTACCGGCTTTTATACACGCATGCAATGTTATACTCTTTCCTGCTGGATGAGAGATCAGTTACCCCTTTCCTTTTTCTTTTGAGACAGAGTCTCACTCTGTCATCCAGGCTGGAGTGCAGTGGCATGATTGTGGCTCATTGCAACCTCCACCTCCCTGGTTCAAAGGATTCTTTTGCCTCAGCCTCTCAAGTAGCTGGGATTACAGGTGTGTGCCACCACACCCAGCTAATTTTTTGTATTTTTAGTAGAGATGGGGTTTCACTGTGTTAGCCAGGTTGGTCTTGATCTCCTGACCTGGTGATCCACCCGCCTTGGCCTCCCAAAGTGCTAGGATTACAGGCGTGGATCAGTTACCCCTTTCCTACTCAGTGAGCCGAGTTTGAGCCAACTTAGTCACTAAGTGCAATGCAAGCCTGGAACTAGGTATGGCTGGCAGAATGATGACTCCAAAGATGTCCCAATCCCAGGATCTGTGAATATGTCACCTTACATGGCAGAAGAACTTTGCAGATGTGATTAAGGGTCTTGAGATAGGGAGATGATCCCGGATTACCTGGGCTACATTATTACCAACGTCATCACAAGGGTCCTTATAAGTGAAGAGAGGGAGGCAGGAAACTCAGTGTCGGGGAGGGGGTTGTGAGGACAGAAGCAGAGTGAGAGAGCTGAAGATGCGGTGCTACTGGCTTATGGAGGCAAGGGCCATGAGCCAAGGAATGCAAGCGGCTTTAAGCTGGAAAAGGCAGGACATGGATTCGAGCCCCTAGAAGGACCCATCTCTGCTGAGACCTTGACTTTAGTGCATTAAGACCCATTTTGGACTTCTGACCTCTAGAAGTGTAAGATAATAAATGTGGATTGTTTTAAACCACCAGGTTATGTGCTCATCTGTTACAGCAGCAATAGTAACTAAAACACCAGGGCTCACAAGCTTGGGGACAATGATCCTTTATCAAGCATTTTCTCTGAGCCAGGTGGTCCTCCAACCCTTTCTCCTTCCATCCTCATGCCAACCTTCAGAGGTAGATACTACTGCTTTTCCCACTTTGCAAAGGAGCAACACAGGCTTGCTGAGGTGAGGTCATTGGCCTGATGTCACCAAGATTAGAACCCAGGCCCTCCAAGGCCACAGCCTGAGCATGTGACAACCATGTTATATGCCATCAAAAAAGGACGGTGCGCACAAAATTAATGCAGCAAAAGCGATGGCAGATTTACTCCTAGAATCAAGATTTACACCTGACATCTGAAACACACAAAGTGGGGGCGATTTTTGCACAGTGCCCTACCAGGACTTGTACAGAAATCATGGATTGCATGGGACATCTGCTAACAGTTACTGAGCACCTACCAAGCCTGGAATGTGTGGGAGAAACAAAAATACCAACCTCACCCACATTAGGGGAGGGAAAAAAACCACTTCTCAATAACAGAGCACTTTAATCAAAAGACTTCTCTAAGGACAGTCCTGGGGCTTGTCCCGGCAGGTGATGCGCACCTGGCTGGAGGTCAGCTCTTGTTATGGGCTCTGCAGCTGGCCCACTTTTACCCTGTTATTTTTAGAGGCATAAGATTTTTTAGAACATTTGAGGAAAACCCTCAGTGTCCCGATGACAGGTCCCTTCTGCTGAGCCAGGAGTTGAGCTTCCACTTCAAAGGCGTCATTTCATAAATCCCTCACTGCCTCATGACCCAGGAACCTTTGTCGCTCCTGTTTTGACAGATGGATGACTGAGGCTCAGGAGGGAGGGACGGCTAACTGGCAGCATGGACTGGTGACTGGGCTGGTGACCACCAGGCCTCAGCCTCTGTGGTACTCAGCAGGCTCCCCTTTCCTGTCCTGCCAGAATGACCATTCTTAAAGGAAGACACTTTTCCAGAATGTCCAGGCTCTGGAGGGGAGGAGGGAAGATGTCATCAGCCCCCCTTTCTTTGGCCAGCACATGTGACCTCCCGTTTCCTTGAAGCCTTCTGACTAGTCCTGCCACCCCCGGCCAGGATGGCTGTGGAGGGCATCGGTTCTTCCTGATAAACAAGCCCCACCCACCTCCAGCTGCTGAGGGAGGCTGCAGAGGGGACAGCAGCCAGGTGGTGGGGACTGATAGGAGGCCACCTACAGCCCCTCGCAGGGCCAAACACCCATGCCCTTGACACCTGGCCCCATTCTGTCCAATCACTGGACCGACTGCAGCTGTCTCTGCGAGGGCCCTCTTCTTTATAGTCTTTATTTTGGCAAAAGGACTTTTGGCCAAAAAATAAAAATAAAAAGGCAGCCAGGATTCCAGCTATAGAACTGAGCAGAATCTACTGCAAGACTGTGGTAGGGCCAAGACATTCAGACACAGGGACAATCTCGGGTTAGCTGGCACCACGGTTGGCTTCTGACATTCTAGAGAACACCCAGTTACTGGACAATTTTATTCCTTTTGTTTTGATAAAAACACCCATCTATAAGCACTGTGAGCCACGCATTTTTCTTCCTAACCTTTGGGGAGACTAAAGAAGCTGAAATAAAAGAATTTATGAGGGCGTGACTTGCAGGCAATGGAAAATTTTTAGACATTCATTTCTTCGTGAAACATTGCCGTAAGTACCCGGGATGTGTTAGGCACTGTCCTGAATGCACAGGACGGCGTGACACATCTTCTGTCTGTACTCAGCATGCATGCACATGTGTGTGAGAGTGTGTGTGAGACAGTGTGTGTGTGAGATGCCCCTTCTGCCTCTCCCCAACATTTTTTAAAGTACAAAAACCTGTAATAGAGAGGGGGTAGGAAGGTTTAAAGAATGAGCCAAGGACCTTGCCAAGCCGATCGCAGTGTTTGGAGTGACACCTGTTTTCTTCCACTTGAGAAATCATATTAATAATAAACACTATATTGTGTATATTCTGTACTAGGCACTGTTCTGAGTACTTTGAAAATATTGGCTGGGCACGGTGACTCATGCTTGTAATCCTAACACTTTGGGAAGCTGAGGTGTAGGAGGATTGCTTGAGGCCAGAAGTTCAAGACCAAGCTGGCCAACATATCTTTTATTTTATTATTTTATATTTTTGAGACAGATTCGTGCTCTGTCGTCCAGGCTGGAGTGGAGTGATACGACCTTGGCTCACTGCAACCTCCGCCTCCCGGGTTCAAGCGATTCTCCTGCCTCAGCCTCCCGAGAAGCTGGGACTACAGGCACGTGCCACTATGCCCGGCTAATATTTGTATTTTTAGTAGAGACGGGGCTTCATTATGTTAGCCAGGCTGGTCTCGAGCTTCTGACGTCAGGTGATCCACCCACCTTGGCCTCCCAAAGTGCTGGGATTACAGGCG
This sequence comes from Homo sapiens, assembly GCF_000001405.40. Taxonomy (NCBI): domain Eukaryota; kingdom Metazoa; phylum Chordata; class Mammalia; order Primates; family Hominidae; genus Homo; species Homo sapiens. The sequence goes on along the minus strand of NC_000020.11, from coordinate 56,361,713 downwards.
TGAGCCACCGCGCCCGGCCTCATCTCTAATTTTAAAAAAAGGAAATATTAATGCATATAATCCTCACAACAACCTTGACTACTGTCAACCCCACTTAACAGAAGAGGATCTGAGAAGCCCAGAGAGGTTGAGTAATTTACCAAGGATCACACAGGGATTACTGTCAGAGCTGGGATCCAAACTCGCTGAGTCTGGGTCCAGGGCCTTTGCTCTGAACAACCATGCTATGTTACTCCTCGTGTATTCATGAGTGTCTCCTCTGTGCCAGGCACTGTTCTCAGTGTAGGGGACAGAGCAATGGAAAAAACTGACAAAACCCCACCCTCGATGAGCTTATGGTCTTATGGGAAGGCAGGGACAATAAACAGAAGAGTAAAATACCAGGGCTGCTACCTGTGACAAGTGCCATAGAGAAACACCAATGGGGCGGGAGACAGGGAGTAGGAGGAATGTTAAATAAGGCCATCAGGGAAGGTCTCCCTGAAAAGGTGCCACTGGAACCAGAACTGACGGAGACAAAAGGACACTGGGGCTCTGGGAGAGCAAGTCATCTGCCTGAACTCCCCCTACGTCCCTGGAAGGAATAAGTGGCACAGGCAGGCGGGGCTGCTAGGCGGTTTACAGGACATGGAATCATGTTAAGACAAAAAGGCAGGTCTCTTCTGTGGCTTTCCCTACCCCTCTTACAGAGACCCCCTGCCAAGGCAGCGTGGGTGGGCCTCTTTGGCTCTTAATTAAACACCTGGCAAATTTGGAGAGCCCAGCTGGGCAGCACACTCCTACCTCCCGACGAGGGTGGGCGGCCAGAACAGACGACAGGGGAGGTTCTGGGCTCTGGCCAAGCCCAGACCCTCCCTGCACTGCTCCCAGGCCCTGCTGGGGACGCGTTTTCTCAGGCAGATGAGTTATCTTTTGTCCTAATCTCCTTTGAGGTTCTGATCCCACTTGGGTTTCTGCCGATTTTACCACGGTGCAGAAGAAACAAGGACAGCTCACGGGGCCCTGGGGCCTTGTGACTGTATATATTTACTGCAATTATAGTCATTTCTAACCTTAATTTAGGACACACCAGATGCCAGGTATGAACATATCTCATTTTACATTCATATTCTATGAAGTCTGAATTATTAACGTCCCATTTTACAGATGAGGGGCCTGAGATAGAGAGAAGGGAATTTGATCAAAGTCAACAACAAGTGAGTAGAGAGAGGAATCCAGGGAGTCTGAGGCCAACTCTTTGCCACTGTATACACACACACCGCTCCAGTGCCAGGGCCTGAGCTGGGGACAAGGTCAATGTGGCTGACAGGCAGGACAAGAGGCCATTCCAGATGAGTGCAGAGAAGACCCACAGCCATGGGGTGGAAGCAGGCCCAGTGGAGGCATCCGAGACCTCACAGGTCGTTAGAGAGGGCTTCCCGGAGGAAGGAACAGCTGGGCTGGGCCCTGAAGAATCATCAGGAGGCGGCACGGTGTGTGCAGAAGGTGCCACTCTGGAGAGGATCCCCAAGACCTGTGTGCCACCTGTCGGACTGGAGAAGGCAAGGAAGGAAGTTGATCTGGGCAGGAGGCATGATGAAAGCCTGGGTCCAATCCCCATCCGCTCCTTACTGAAAAGCTAGGAAACGGTCAGGAGATGTTCGCTGGGCCGGCGGCACTCCGCTGAGGCCTGCACCAGCTCATGGAGTTGTCTCCCAAACTCTTGCTGGGAAGGTGCTATTTTTGGCCCTCTAAAGGTCAGAAAACAAGCTCAAAAGCCTTCAGGACTCGGTCTGAGGTCACCGGGCGATGAATGGAGGGGCCCTGTCTGCACCCAGGCAAACAAAGAGGCTCCAGACTGCCAGGCCGGATGCGCTCCGGGCTGGACGCCGGCTCCGCGTGTCTGGGCTTGCCATTCCTGGACCGCCAGACTTCATTTACTACTATTTTTATTTAAAAAGACTCACTTGGAAGAAAGTGATAGATTTCTTGAAAGGAAAGCTGGTATGACTGCTCTGAAGGAAAACCAGTTTTCACTTAGCACCAATGGAAAGTGACGGAAATGAAACATAACAAACAGCACTGTGGGTTTCTTGCCCGCGGCTTCCCTGAGGACGCCTGCTCTTCCACTCAGAAGAAAAGGGAGGAGCAGCGAGCGTCGGGAGGTGTTCAAAACACAGCGAGACCCAGCCAGAAGGCCTGGACAACAACTCCGCAGGCAACGTGTGGAAGTTCAGACCAAGTCAGTCGGCTGCGCCCCAGCCTGGCTGAGGCTCTGCAGACCCGGGGCTCGGCCGAAGACTGCGCGACCTTGGGCAGAGCGCCACACCTTCCCGAGCCTCAGTTTCTCTGGCTGTCAACTAGGAGGATCGCTTCCTTGGCTTGCAGGGATTTGGGGTTTCGGGGACCCTGGAAGAGCTCGGTCCCGGGCAGCTACAAGTGCAAAGGCGTCCTTGGCGGAGGCGGCCGGACCCCGGCGCGGCCCTGCGGACGTCTGGGGACCTGGACACCGCCCGGGATCAGGGTCGGGGTGGGGTGCTTACCTGGTGGCCGCGGCAGTCCCCGCGCGCCGTGCGGAGCAGCCGGGCGTCTAGCCTGGGCGGGAGCAGGGCCAGGGCCAGGGGCGGCGGGGCGCAGGGGGCGGTGGCGCCCAGGAGCCAGGTGGCGCGAGGCCGGACCCGGGCGCCCACCCTGCCTGCCGGACCCAGCAACGCCAGCAACCCGGCCATGGTGCGCAGCTAGGCGCAGCACCCGCGCCGCTGACCCGGGAGGCGGGCGGAGGCCGGGGAGGGTGGGCGGAGCTGACCCGGCGAGGGCCCTCCCCGGCCCCGCCCGCCGGCTTCGCCGCCGCGCGCGCGCGCTGGGCGGGACTGAGGAGGCCTGTGCACATCCCCTTGGCTCACCCGCTAGCTCCGCTCCTCGGGAGCCGGAGTCCAGGGCTGGTGGGCGGGGCTGAAGGAGCGCGCCCCGCCTCCTCTCCGCCCACCAGCCCCGCCCCTTTGGGGGTGGGTGCAGGTCTTTTCAGGGTCTTGGGCTTTCTAACTGTGGTGTGTAGTTGGCGGGTTTCCTTATTCTGCGGGCACAAAGGTGGGCGTAGGGCCGTGGCTTATGAGCTTTTCTCCCTGCAGAAATGGGTGAAATCTGAAAAAAAATTATAGATATGTTTACGTGTTAGCTCCAAAGAAGAAAATAAATATGAGAATTGATATTAGTACATGTTTAATAAAAAGTCCTCTGACCCTCATAGATTGTTGGCGTGAATGTAAAGCGAAAGATGGTGTGGCAGTTTCTTGAAAAGTTAGACATACACTAACCATACAACCCAGCAACTCCACTCCTCGGTAGCTTCTCAAGAGAAACAAAGGCTCGACACTCAAAGACTAAAATGTGAAGACACCAATGTTTGTAGAGATCTTATAAATATTAGTCAACAATTAGGAATGCCCATAAACTGGGACGTACTGTGGCACAAGTCTTCAATGGGACGCAATGCAACAATTAAAGGGAACAGACTACTGATACATGCACAACATAAATGAATCTCAAAGCTCTTATGCCAATTGAAAAAATCTAGGCACAAAAGTCACACACTGGAGGATTCCAGCTACATGAAGTGCCCAGAATAGGCAAAATCACAGAGACCTAAAACAGATCCGTGGTGGCCTAGGGCTGGGAGTGGGAAATGAGATTGACTGCCAAGGAGTGGGAGGAACGTCTTGGGGTGAGGGAAGGATCCTAAACCCAGATTGTAGGGATGGTGACAGCTGTGTAACTAAAACTCGTGGGACTGTACACTTAACATGGATGAATTTTATGCTGTGTAAATTATACTTCAATAAAGATGTTCTGGCTGGGTGGAATGGCTCATGCCTATAATCCAAGCACGTTGGGAGGCTGAGGTGGGAGGATTACTTGAGCTCAGGAGTTCAAGACCAGCCTGAGCAACATAGCGAAACCCTGTCACTACAAAAATAAAAATAAATTAGCCTGGTGTGGTGGCATGCACCTGTAGTCCCAACTACTCGGGAGGCTGACGCAGAATTGCTTGAGCTCAGGAGGTCCAGGTTTCAGGGAGCCACGATGGTGCTACTGCACTCCAGCCTGGGTGACAGAGCGAGACCCTGTCTCTCTAGAAAAAGAAAAAGAAATATATTTTACAAAAGATGTAATATTCTATTAGTCAACTGCAATTCAACTCAACCAAGCTCTTACACAGGCACAGAAATGATATTAAACACATATGCATTAAAAAATATTTATTACATAAGATGGAGTTATAGCTGTGAAAGTAACAGGGTCTGTTGGAGGGAGGTCCTAAAGTGCCCCTGGATGGGAATCCTTCCATTTAAGTGTCTGCAAGAAGCTGGGGAAGAGTGCTTAAGGGTGCAGATTGTCTGTCAGGTTGGCCCTAGAAGTCCAGCTGTGTGATTTGGAAGTAGTGACTCAACTTCTCTGAGCCTTGGTCTTTTCATGTGTAAAATGAAGATAATAATAGTTTCCCCCATGAGATTGTTGAGATAATTCTTTGACACAGTTCTTGGAAAGGGCTTCACTCAGTGCCTGGTGCACAGAGAGGGCACACACGTTAGCTGGGATGTTGTAGAGATGCCTTGCCTGAAGCCCCTCTGTCACCCGGTGACAGTGCCACCTCCAGATGGCATCTGATCTCGACTTCCTCATGGTTCCCATGATTTTCTTTCTTTTTTTTTTTTTTTTGGAGATGGAGTCTCGCTTTGTCGCCCAGGCTGGAGTGCAGTGGCGCGGTCTCAGCTCACTGCAACCTCAGCCTCCCGGGTTCATGCCATTCTCCTGCCTCAGCCTCCCAAGTAGCTGGGACTACAGGCGCCCGCCACCACGCCTGGCTAATTTTTTGTATTTTTAGTAGAGACGGGGTTTCACTATGTTAGCCAGGATGGTCTCGATCTCCTGACCTCGTGATCCTCCTGCCTCGGCCTCCCAAAGCGCCCGTGATTTTCTTGTCACCAGGCCTTCTTCATTCATTTAAGTTTCCTGCCCAGGCTTCATGGGCAGTTGAGTTTGTGATTCATGCTATATGCTTATTAGAGAAGAGAAAAAGGTAATTTTGTTTTTCCCTTTAAATTTGACAGTAAATATAATACTGTAATTATAGACTTTAGGTTCTTTTTTTCTTCTTCTAAAAGTGAAGAAACTTTTGCTTTTAACAAAATGTATTGGAGCTGCTGCCTGCCTGAACTTGTGACAGTTTTGTTTTTTTCTTATTGTGTCAGCTCTCTTTGTCTCTCTAGAGCAGCAGCTCATGCATGAACTATATTTATTTTAATTTCTTCATTTTCATGAATAGATAATGTGTTCTCACGGTTCAGATTTTTAAAGGTACAAAAAGTCTACACAATGACAAGCTTCCTTCCTATCCCAGTGACCAGTTCTCCTCATTTTTTTCTCCCTAGAGACAAACACTGTTACCCGTTGCTTGTGCATATCCTTCTAGAAAATTTTACATGTGTGCAGGCAAATTCCTATGAACGGTTTTCATTGCTGTTTTTACCCAAGTGGGGCATAGTATACACAGTGTTCTTCACCTGGACTTTTTTTGCTTCCATTATATTTTAGAGTTTTCTGAATATGTACACAAAAATCTTCCTTATTCTTAAAATCTGCTTAGCATTCCAGTGTATTCCAGGGTGCTGTAATGCTTTAACCAATCCCTTGTGGGTGGACCATTAGGGTATTTAGGGTATTTTCCAGTCCTTGTGATCATAAACCATGCTGTGATGAACCAGCGGGTATTTCTGTCACTTGCCGTGTTTAAGTATGCCTGTGTAATAAATTCCTCAAAGTGAAATTGCTTAGTGAGAAGATATGTGTATTTGTAAATTTGAATAAATGGCAAAATTTCACTCCATAAAGGTTGCAGAGTACAGCAAATGAGAGTTTTTTGTTTGTTTGTTTGTTTTGAGATGGAATCTTGCTCTGTCACCCAGGCTGGAGTGCAGTGGTGTGATCTCAGCTCACTGCAGCCTCTGTCTCCCAAGCTCAAGTGATCCTCCTGCCTCAGCCTCCTGAGTAGCTGGGACCTCAGGAGTGCACCACCACGCCTGGCTAATTTTTGTATTTTTAGTAGAGACGGGGTTTCACCATGTTGGCCAGGCTGGTCTCAAACTCCTGGCCTCAGGTGATCCGCCCGCCTCGGCCTCCCAAAGTGCTGGACTTACAGGCATGAGCCACTGCGCCTGGCCAAGAGTGTCTATTTACCCCGACTCTAAATGGTGTCTTTAGCAGAGAAATGTAGGACTGACTTTTATGATCTTAACTTGAGAATCTGACATTAAAGGCAGCCATATAAGGCCAGGCGCGGTGGCTCACGCCTGTAATCTCAGCACTTTGGAAGGCCAAGGCAGGCTGATCACCTGAGGTCAGAAGTTCGAGGCCCGCCTGGCCAACATGGTGAATCTCAGTCTCTACTAAAAATACAAAAAATTAGCCGGGTGTGGTGGTACATGCCTGTAATCCCAGCTACTCAGGAGGTTGAGGCAGGAGGTTGAGGAGGAGGTTGAGGCCCCTTGAACCCAAGAGGCGGAGGTTGTGGTGAGCCGAGATCGTGCCACTGCACTCCAGCCTGGGCAACAAGAGTGAAACTCCATCTTAAGAAAAAAAAAAAAGGTCTTCATCCTTGTCATCTTTGCATTGAGCTGGCTGAGGAGGAAAAGGAAGAGGAAAGGTTGTTCTTGCTGTCTCAGGGGTGACAGCGCCTATAGTGACAGCTACTCCGGAGGCTGAAGTGGAAGGATTGCTTGAGCCCAGGAGGCAGAGATTGCAGTGAACTATGATCACACCCCTGCACTCCAGCCTGGGCGACAGTGAGACCCAGTCTCAAAATAAAATAAAATAGTAAAATAAAAAATAATAATTAAAAAAGCAGGCAAGAAGTGCCTTTCAAGGTATTAAAATATGAAGCTGTTTTCTTCTTTTCGTAATCTCTCTCCCTTGAGTTGTCATGGTGATTTTTACTGCCTATTTAACAGTGTCCTTCTATTTTTTTTTTTTCTGAGACAGAGTCTTTCTTTGTTGTCCAGGCTAGAGTGCAGTGGCATGATCATGGCTCACTGCAACCTCAACCACCAAGGCTCAAGCAATCCTCCTGCCTCAGCCTCCTGAATAGCTGGAATTACAGGCGCATGCCACCATATCCTGCTAATTTTTTTAGTTTTTATAGAGATGGGTGCTATGTTGCCCAGGCTGGTCTTGAACTCTTAGCCTCAAGCGATCCTTCTGACTTGACTTCCTAAAGTGTTGGAATTACAGGAGTAAGCCACTGTGCCAGGCCAAAAGGAACTTTTTGAAGGTCACAGGGTTCCATCTGCAACCTTCATTCCTTTGCCTTGTAACATGACACATTCGCAGTTTCTGTGGATTGGGACGTGCACATCTTTTGTTAGGGGAAAGTTATTCTGTCTACCATACTTGATTACTTATGTACTTGAATCTTTTTGTATATTTCTTGGCCATTTGGATTTATTTTTCTGTGAAATTTCTGCTGAAATACTTCGTGCATTTGTAAAGGTTTTTTCTTGTCAGTTCTAAGACTTATACTGACACATGCCATGAAAAAGCCTTATTTGTTAGGTAGTCATTTAGTCTCTTGTTTTTGAGACAGGGTCTTGTTCTGTCACCCATGCTGGGGTGCAGTGGTACAATCTTGGCTCACTGCAACCTCTGCCTCCCAGATTCAAGCGATTCTCATGCCTCAGCCTCCCAAGTAGCTGGAATTACAGGCACGTGCCACCATGTCCAGCTAATTTTTGTATTTTTAGTAGAGACGGGGTTTCACCATGTTGGCCAGGCTGGTCTCAAACTCCTGGCCTCAAGCGATCTTCCCGCCTTAGCCTCCCAAAGTGCTGGGATTACAGGGGTGAGCCACCTTGCCCAGCCTAGTCTTTTATATTGTCTAAGTTTTCAGTTTTGAGCTTCTTTGTGTTCTGGAGCTAAAAGCAGAAGTTGCTTACAGATGGTCCCTCTTGCTATCTTTTGCAGCAGTTTAAGCAAATTGAGGAGAATACTCCAGATGTCTTGGAAGGAGAAAGCCAGAGAGGGCAGTGCCTTTGGGGAATGAGAAGCAGGAGCAGCAGGAGGGGGTGGGTTCCTCCAGTTTAAGGCAGGGACAGTGGTGGGAAGTGGCTTATTCACTTCTTAGAGCTGAATCTCCGGGGGTGTGCAGGGGCACGTGTGTGTGCGTGGGTGTGTGCATGCATGTGTGCGGGCACCTGCTGAGGGGCACAGTGGTGGGACTCTGAGGACCTAGATGGGATAATAGGTTTTGAAATAGTAACTGATCTTAAAATTTTAACATTTTATGATGCAGTTTTAAAAAAACAAATAATGTATAGCATATGTGTATACTTAAGATATACGTAATAACAAAATAGACACCTATTAGCTCCCCCATATCTCAAATCACCCCTTGGTGCCACCATTACTGGTGTAGAGTCCAGACAGAATCATTCTAGAATCTTCTGTCCAGCATGAAACCCCAACATCTTTGCTTGACCCATGGAGGGTGGTGCATGGTACAGGGATGGAATTTTTGGCCATTACAGATTAGATGACTGTGATTTAATTTAGTTTCAAAAAAAAAAAAAATCCTGACTGCTCATACACCACGAAGCTGGTCAATTAGACTTCATGCCCATAACACCCACATGTGCCATTTCATCTCTCTGCACCCTGTAGTGGGCATCTGTAATTGATCTGTAATTGATGTGTGATCAATGCCTGTGGTGGTTAAGAACTATTGCTGTGGTGGTTAAGAACTATATCCCGTAATTTTGTGTGTGTCTTATTTTGTCTGTATCTGGAAGTGTGTTATCCACGTGGCTCTTGGGCTTTTATGTGTCATCCTGGAAAAAATGTAGGAAAATACTATGAGATTTCTGCAGCTGCCCAGCATCTGGTCCAACATAGACTCAGAGAGGAAGGTGAAGTAAGGAGGAAATAAAGAACTACTGACCCAAACTGAGGTGTAGGCAGTACATGTAGCTCGCTTGGGAAGACTTTTAGAGGTGAAAGGCAAAAGAAGCATATGAAAATAGCATCACTAAAGTCTCATGCTTAAGCTCGTTTTTACTTGAAATGGAAACTGAAATATAATTTCTAGAAAGCCACTTTTAAAACCCTCTAATGGCCAAGTAATGAGGTGACAGCATTTTACAAATGAGAAGCACACTTGCGTGGCAGTGAGAGAATAATGTGTCATCAAAGAAAATTAGCTCCATGTCACAAATGCAATTGAGCAATGGCTGAGAGTGGTAATCAACTTTCTTTCTTACAGAAGCAACATGAAAACTTCATTAGAGAAAATCATTTTCCCAAGTCAGACAATCAGCACCAGGAAGTCAGGGAGTCTGGCTTGGCTTGAACTCTCAGATGGACTCTCAGTGGTATTCAAAGGGGGACCATTGACTCTCACCCACTCAAGGCTAATGCCAAATCCAGGGCCCGGCAGAGCTCTCTGGCAGGCAACCTAAAGCTGGTGACTCTCAGCTCCTGGTGTTCATGTACCTGTGTAATCTCCTTCTCTTGGGTCAAGGTTGGGCCTAGATCTTTGCATCTGATAAATAAAATACAGAAAAGTGATGGAATGCCACTACTGTGATGAGGTTACAAAAGATTGTGGCTCCTCCAGTCTTGGGCACCCCCTTTGGTTCTCTTGTCCATGATCTGCCCCATGGAGAGCCCCATGTGGCAAGGAACAGAGAGCAGCTTCCGGGCAATAGCCCGCAAGGACCGGAGGCCTGCTAGCCGCTTCAGGTGAGCTGCTAATCAGATTAACCCTCCCCTCAACCATGTGAGCCTTGAGATAACCACAGTCCTAGCCAACACCTTGATTGCAACCCTGTGAGAGACCCTGGGCCACAGGCACCCAGCTAAGCCATGCCTGGATTCCTGACTCCCAGAAGCTGAGATTATAAATGTCATTTCAAGCTGCTAAGTTGGGAGAGAGGACAGAGTCTTGCTCTGTTGCCCAGGCTGGAGTGCAATGGTGCGATGTTGGCTCACTGCAACCTCTGCCTCCCAGGTTCAAGCGATTCTCCTGCCTCAGCCTCCTGAGCGTAGCTGGGACTACAGGCACATGCCACCACGCCTGCCTAATTTTTGTGTTTTTAGCAGAGATGGGGTTTCCCCATGTTGGGCAGGCTGGTCTCCAACTCCTGACCTCAAGTGATCCATCCGCCTGGGCCTCCCAAAGTGCTGGGATTACAGGTGTGAGCCACCGCGTCCGGCCACTGTTTTCATTTTAAAGATCACGAATGTGTTTCCTGTCAAAACCGTAATTGTGGAACATTATTTTAAAATCTGTAGAGCATTTTGTCATATGGATACACCATGATTAATCTAATCTCCTGGAGATGGATATATAGGTGATTTCCTCAGGTTTTTTTTTTTTTTTGCTACTGTAAGTTGAAATTAACTGTCAAATCTACTAGACTTTGTCCAGTCTCCATTTTTCATGACGTTTTGTAATAACAAATCCTGTTAGTAATCCTCTTCTTGAAATATTCTTGTTCACTCATTTATTCATTCATTCACCACATACTTGCTGTGTGCTGATCATGTGTGTGGTTTGTGTCCATCACGCAGTACCTACTCATTCTTCTCCCTCTGTGGTTAACTGGCAGGGTCTTTGGAGGCAAACGGGTCAGAGTTGCCTTCCAGAGGGCATAACTACTGGCTGAGTGGCCAGAGGGAAATGATGTAAACTCCTTGAACCTCAGATTTCTTACTCTGTAATATACAAATAATGACAAATGCCTCAGTGGCTTCCTGCAAGGATTAAAAGCAACCATATGTGTGCAGGACAGGCAGGATATCAGCACTCACAAGGCTTTCCTCCTTGACCCACTTCATCCTTCTCCACACAAATGACCTTGTAGGCCACATGGAAAGGAGGAGGGCAGAGGAGGACACCTGGATTCCAGGCCCCTTCAGACCACTTCTCAGTTGGCCACTGTGGAAGCACCAGCTATAGGTCTCTTGTAGAAGGGAACATGTACATTTATTCCTTTGTTCGGCAACTATTTTAAAAATTTTTTTTCACCTCCTTGTGGTCAGTGTGCAATTCAGCAACTATTAATTGAGCATCTGCAAGGCGCTGGGCACAAAAGAAGACAGAGCAGGAACACAGGCCGGTGGCCCTTGTCCGCGAGATGGCATACAAAAAGAACCCTTGAGCTTCTCCATTGCCAGGACAGAGGACTCACTCTGCCCCTTAAGCTGGTGTGGAGAACATCACCAGTGATAACTACCACCGCCCACTTCAGGACAACCCCTTTCTCCTCGCAGCCTGCCTTGGGGGAGCTCTGTCCCTGTTTGAACTTGGACCGATTTGGATGGTCATTTGTGTTTTCCTTCATTGCTTTGGGAGAGTTGCGGCTAAGAACATTGGCCACAGGGACAGACCTGAATTGGATTCTGCCTTAGCCACTAACTCACTGTGATGCCCTAGTAGATCCCTTTCCCTTGCTCAGCTTCGTAGCCCCCTCTCTGCAATGACGATGGTTATAGTACACACCTCTCAGTGCTGTTGCGTGGCTCGCATTGGGTGACATCTTTAGTGTGTGTAGGCTAATGCTTGGCACTTGGTAGGAACTCAGAAAATGTGACTTAGACAAATTCTGATTCCTCTTGGCCAGGTTCCTGCCTGGTTGAGTTTTTTCTTTTTTGTTTCCTTGCTTTGGGGCTAAGGGCATTTTATGGCTTTGGATTAAGAGCTGAGACTTTGGGGTCAAGGCCATCTAGAGTGTGTCCCCACTTTAGCCTCCAATAACTATGTGACTAGGCAAGTCACTCAACATCTTGGAGCCTCCGTTTTCTCATCTGTAAACTGGGGATATTAATAGTACCCAACTCATGGGGTGGTTGTGAGAATTAAGCGAGTTAATGCACCTAAGGTGCTTGGTACAGGGCCTGGTGTGCACACTGCCTTCTGGAAACTAACCATAGAATGTGCTATGACCATTTTTGGTTTTCTTCATCCACTCATTCTGAGAAGAGTGTGGAAGGCTTTGGGATGGGTGCAGGGGTGCAGTGCACAGGACCTGAGCTGTCCAATCTGATGAGACCACTCAGGGAGAGATGCTACTTATAAAAACACCACTGTGGCCCAGGCGCAGTGCCTCATGCCTGTTATCCCAGCACTTTGGGAGACTGAGGTGGGCAGATCGCTTGAGCTCAGGAGTTTGAAACCAGCCTGGACAACATGACGGGACCCCGTCTCTACCAAATATACAAAAAATTAGTCTGGCGTGGTGGCAGGCGCCTATAATCCCCAGCTATTCACTACTTGGGAGGCTGAGATGGGAGCATCACTTAAGCCTGAGAGGCAGAGGCTTCAGTGAGCCGGGGCAGCGCTACTGGCCACTTCGCTCCACTTTGCTCCAGCCCTGGGGTGACAGAGCGAGGCTCCATCTCAAAAAAAAAAAAACAACAACAAAAAAAAAAAACAAAAAAAACACAAAGAATCCCAAAAACAAAAAAAACAAAAACAAAACAAACAAACAAACAAACAAAAACAAAAAAACAACCCATCACTGTGAAAATTGAAAATTGGTAGCTTATTGGAGGATTGAGGTGCTGATACTGAACATTCTGAGAATCTTCTCTGCAGTGCTTTTGAGATAGAAAGGGATAAATTCTCAGTACTTAGAAAGGACCTAGGTAACTGGGAGTGTGAGTTCTGAAGGTATTCTTTATTTTGCATGATGTCTGCAGAGGCTGCTAATGACAATGTCTGAAGTAGTTACTAATAACGATCTGAAGCATACTGACTCGTGTCTGAGAAGCATGGGGATTAACAGGAAATGAAATCCTGATCTGTAAAGCAAACCAGTTCCTGTTCTATTAGCAATTGTAGAGTTTTTAAAAGCTCAATTTTTTTTATTATAATAAGTGAGACTTGCTCATTGTTAAAGAAAAAATTCAAACGACATTGGGAGTTGGTTTATTTATTTATTCCATAAACATGTTTTGAATGCCTACTCAATGCCAGGCACAATGCTGGGGACGGCTGTGAACAAGAAGGACAAAAAGCCTATGGATCTTATGCTGTACTAAGGAAGAGATGTTGAGGAAATATAATGAAAGACAAAATCCCCTGCCAAGCCAGGAAGCCATTCCACAAAAGTAGAAAAGAAAGAACACAGTGTTATCAGTGAGTAAATATTAAGCCAGAATGCAATGCACGTCACTGGCAATCTGCTCAAAAGCTGCAAAGACAGCAAGAAATCTCACCCTTTCATGTAGCCAAGCAGATACGACCCATTACATCCGTGTTCCCGAGATCAACAATATGCAACCCTCAAGCAAGGGGATTTGACAGCACATTTATCACACATAGTTTATCTTACATTCACTTGGTAATTGGGGTGGCTGATTTGTGCTTCTTAATTGTCGTTATTCAAAGGAATAACAAACTTCTTATATCTCTGTGACAAGGACATAGTTATAACTTGCAGCTAGTCACCTAAATTTAATTCTCATCTAGACTGGAAGATAGGAGGACGACCTTCCTTGATGTTCACATTTCAAAGTGAAGGCTCTTAGACCCGTAAGAAAAACATTCCTGGGTTGTAAAACCTGCAAGAGGCTTATCTAGCCTTTAAAGAGATTTACATCTCAAAAGGCCAGAGGAAGAATGGATAATTACATGTTTTCTCAAGGAAATGCTCTAACAGAAAGAGGGGGTCTTTTTCTCTTTTTACATCAGAGAAAATTTTATTTTTCTTTCGCAATTTGTATTCACCCTTACAGAGACAGGAATTAAACAAATAAATATGTGCTATAATGAGGAAGCTGAGCAAAGGCCCGGAGCGTGACAGGAGATGTTCTGAAGGGCAGTCGGGGTCTCACTGAAGAGCGAGCACCACTTGCCCAGAGCCTGGAGGGAGGGTCCAGGGGAGGCCGCAGCAGTGGCCAGTCAGCCGCTTGCGGTGTGTGTTTCCAGCCATGTTGCTACGTATGAACAATCATACCTGGTTGTTGCTTTGTTTGATTTTTCCCCCAAATGGGATTAAAACATGTTGATCTCTATTCGCTTATTCACCCACTGTCCTATCGGGATATCTGTCCATGCTGGTAAAGGCAGAGGGGCTTAATCTTTCTTCCTTTCTTTTTTTTTTTGAGATGGAGCCTTGCTCTGTCGCCCAGGCTGGAGTGCAGGGGCGCGATCTTGGCTCACTGCAACCTCCACCTCCTGGGTTTAAGAGATTCTGCTGCCTCAGCCTCCCGAGTAGCTGGGGTTACAGGCGCGCACCACCATGGCTGGCTATATATATATATACACACACACACGTATATATATATACACGTATATATACGTGTATATATATATATACACACACATATATATACACACACACACGTATATATATACACACATATACGTATATATGTATATACGTATATATACTTATATACACATATATACATATATACGTGTGTATGTGTGTGTGTGTGTATATATACACATATATATGTGTGTGTGTGTATATATATATATATATATATATATATGTAGTATTTTCAGTAGAAATGGGGTTTCACCATGTTGGCCAGGCTGGTCTTGAACTCCTGACCTCAAGTGGTCCACCCGCCTCGGCCTCCCAAAGTGCTGGGATTACAGGCGTGAGCCACTGTGCCCGGCAGCTTAATCTTTCTTTACATGGCTGCACTGCATTGTGCTAGAGTTGGTTCACCCCTTTCGTTAGTGGATGAACATTTAGGCACTGTTGCCTAGAGGCTGAGGGCATGAACACTGGAGTGAAGCTCGGGCTGAAACTCAAGTTGCACCACCTGCTTGCTGTGTGACACTGGGCCTGTTACTTAACCTGTGCCTCAATTTCCTTACATGTGTGAACGCCTTTAATCCCCCCAATAACCCCATCATGTACCCAGCACCCCATATCCAAGGTGGGTATAGTAATACTGGGTACATGATGGGGTTATTGGGAGGGTTAAATGCATTTACACATGTAAAGTGCTTAGGGTAGTGCCTGGCTCAGAGCAGGCCTACATTGGTGTTGGCTATTATTATTATAAAATATATTAAGAATTATTGATTGTCAGCACGTATGATTCTCCTATAAGGGCTTGTAGCTGTTGTATCATTAGTTCGCTCCTCAAGTATTTATAGAGTCTGTTAATTTGCCCAGCGCTATGCCAGGCGCTGGGTGATGGGGTGGACAGCTTGGCCCTTGCTCTTATGGAGCTTAGAGTTGGGTGTGGGTGATGCACAACAAACTAACAGCCAAGTGAGGAAAGCATCATGAATTGTGGTGGCATTGGGTGATCAGAAAGGCCTCATCCAGAAGGATGCACTTGCTGTGTGCAGCGGGAGAAGGAGCGCACAGGGGTTGCAGTGGGAAGAGGCTGCCAAGAATGGGGATGGCATGGCGCATTTCCAAAGGAAGAAGAGAACTTGGCGTATTGGGAGGTGGGGGCAGCACTCTGGGAAGACCAGCGTGGCAATGATGCAAGAAGCATGAGACAGCTTGGAAAAACTGCCAGAAGCCTGATCTGCAGGGCCTCATGGCCATGTGGATTTCAGCCTAGCTGCAGGGGGTAACTGTTGAGGGGTTTTAATCAGGGGAATGACACAATCCAATGACGCTTGCTGGGTAGAGAATGAGTTGGAGGAGGCAACACAGGAAATGGGAGACCCATTGAGAGGGTTGTGCAGAATTCTGGGTGAGAGAGGATGTGACTTGGGCTCTAGTGGTGACAATGTTGATGGCCTGGAGGTGGGACGAGGAAAGGAGGACCCACGGAGGCCCTAGAGACTTCACGTCCGAGCACCCAGCTGGATGGTCAGGCATTTATGGGAATTGCTGCCATATGGAAGTAAATCAAGATTGTCCCTTTGGACAAGTTGTATTCCAGGGTTGGTGTGAGACATCAGCGGACGTGTCAGGAGGCAGCTAACAGGTGAGAACCCAGGGCTCCAATCTTCTCTAAAATCACATCCTAGTCAGCTCCTCAACACTGTGGGCCAATGCTCAGACACAGGGACATTGTAAGGTGATGTTGATTCTCAGATGACCAGGGAGTGGTGTATATCTGTGTGTGTGTGCATGTGTGTGTGTGTGTATGCCCTGTCTCCCATTTATCCTTCAGCAATTTGGAAGCATTGCTCAGCAACCTCCCTCAGTCAGCCTCACAAGGTTGCAAAGGGCAATACCTTGGAAAGCATCAGGTTTGATCACAAGGGTTGTGACCCAGGTCTGTGTTGGGGAGAGAGATGGCTTGGAGCTCTGGATTCCAGCTCGACCCCCACCACTCCCCAACAACTTACTGATTTCTGGGTGTGGCAAGTGAGTGATCTGAACTCCTTAGCCCCACTCAGCTTCTCCATGTTCTCTCTATAAGATGGGGACAAATACCCAGGGCCACCCTGCCAGCGTGGCAATGAGGAACGTCATGGAAGGGTGTTGGCGGGAGTGGTGGGACAGGTGGAGAAGAAACAAAGCCACTTGATTAGTTTAGTTTCTCCTTTTTAATAGATAACCAAGAAAAATGGCAGGAAGTGGGGAGAGATTTGGTCTGCCAATATGTATCCAAGAAGAAAACCTGGCATTTGAGTTCTGGTCCTCCTGCTTGCTTGCTAGTTGACCTTGGATTAATTACTTAATATCTCTGAGTTTATTTTCTTATCAGTGAAATGGAGGTAACACTGTTCTTGAATTTATGGGAATGCTTGACATTTAAAAACGTTCCAGCCGGGCACGGTGGCTCACGCCTGTAATCCTAGCACTTTGGGAGGCAGGCGGATCACTTGAGGTCAGGAGTTTGAGACCAGCCTGGCTAACATGGTGAAACTCCATCTCTATTACAAATACAAAAATTAGCCAGGAGCGGTGGTGCATGCCTGTAATCCCACCTATTGGGGAGGCTGAGGCAGGAGGACTGCTTGAACCTGGAAGCCGGAAGTTGCAGTGAGCTGAGATTGTGCCACTGCACTCCAGCCTGGGTGACAGGGCAAGACTCCGTCTCAAAAAAACAAAACAAACAAAAAACATTCCATACACGGAAGAGTCTTAGTGCTTGGGAGATAATAAGTGCATAGCCCATGTACCTGCTACCATTTACTATGATGACAGTGAAGACTACTATTTGTTATTATTGTTATTACATTACTATTATTACATTACTATTATGCAGAGGAGTTTCAGGCCTAATTAATAAGAAGAGCTGCACTTTCTATGCCAGGCTCTGAGTGCTTGGTGCAGATGGTCACACCCCTATTGGTGTTGGAATTATCACCATTTCGATTTTGCAGATGAAGGAACTGAGGCTTGGGGAAGTTAAGGGAGGATGGGGGCAAGGGTGGATTCCTGGGATTCTACCCGACGTGGGAGGCTTCCTGAGCCACGGCTGGCCTGGGAGCTGAGTTTCTTGCAGACCCGTGCCCGGTCATTCAAACGGTTCCCATCAGCATTTCCAGCACGCTCCGAGGCTGAGAGTTGCGCGCTCGTGCAGGAAGGCAATCTGGATCTGATGGTTGCAGGGGGCTGCAGAGCTCGGCCTCGGAAGCGGGCGTTAGGGGATCAGGGCTCCGCGGGCGTCCAGCTTGGAGGTGAGCGGGGGTCCTGGCGGGGCGAGGAGCGGGTCCCGGCACCGGATGACCTTGCACCAGGCGGCCTCGCCCACGAGGTGGCGCCGCAGGCTCTGCCAAGGCTCCGACCGCGCAAGGGGAGGCGCAGCCCAAGACTTCGAGGTTTCGCGGAGTCCCAAAGGCAGCTCCTCAAGACAGCCTCGGGCAACTGAGCCTCTAGACCCTCCGCAAGCCGCAATTGCCTTTTTTGGAAGCTTGTCGTAAATTCATCAGGCTTGGGCGCTGCAGAGCTAAACAGGCAACTGACATTAACTACTCTTCTATTTTCTTTTTTTCTTAATTTTTTCCATTACATCAAAATGAGTCCCCATTTATGCACTACGTACGACTTGACACAATATCTTCAAAGAGGAATATGGCAACACAGCAGGTAGTTTTACAGATGGGGAAACTGAGAGATTATGAGTGGAGTGGAACCAACATGGAACCCAAGGCTGTTTGGCTCCCAAACTGCCCTTTTTCTAAATCCTCAGGTTATTGAATAACCTCTCCCTACTCCTCCCGCAGATTCTTCCACCAGCTATTGGCAGGGGAAGGAAATAGGGGAAGTAGAGGGAGAGATTTTCTGAGAAGTGAAAAGTGATTTCTGGGTATGGCACAACAATTGCGTTCATGGCTGGGCATGGCTTTGGGATACATTGAGGAGGGAGATCATTCTGGGATCAGGAATGGCAAGCCCTCCCTTGCCCACGGGGCCAGATGGTCGTATAAATGAGTGAAGCAGCGAGGACAAGGCTTGTGCAGGAGAAACACACCCGTCTAAGGAAGGAAGCTGCTTCTGGGCTCTAGCACATGGATACCGCTGGCCATGTGGCCTAAGGTGGCCACATCCACTGATCTCTTAAGATAACTGTATGGTAGATTGCAAAAATGGCCACAAATTCTTTCCCTCCCATCCAGGGTGGAGTCTCTTTCTCCACCCCTTGAGTCTGGGCTGGCCTAACACTTGCTCTGGCTAATAGAATACAGCAGAAATGATGGCATGTGCGTTTGAGCCCAGCCCTCAAAATGTCTTGCACCCTTTGGCTTTTGTCTTTAGAAACTAGTCCACTGTAAGATGAGACCACGTACAGCATCTCAGCCGAGGACACCCTTGGCCAGCCTGCCTCATCTGATCTGGCAGCTGACTACAAACCCATGGACAAGCCCAGCTGAGATCAGCCAGGCTGGCCCTGGCCAGCAGAACCATCTGGCTGAGCCCAGCCCAAATTGCTGAATGACAAAAACAAGAGAGAGTAAATGGTTGGTTGTTACACAGAAAATGCTAACTGATCCAAGCTGAATATCTGGGTTTTAAGAATGTAAAATCTCCTGATTTTTAAATGTTGGCAGTGAGTTTAAAAAGAAAATCCACAGGTCAAACCAAATATTTCTGAATGCTGCATGGGGCCCTGGCAATCACCAGTTTGCAAACAATGCTATAAAGCGGGGGTGTCCAATCTTTTGGCTTCTCTGGGCCACGCTGGAAGAATTGTCATGGGCCATACATTAAATACACTAACACTAACAACAGCTGATGAGTTAAAAATAATCACAAGAAAACTCATAATGTTTTAAGAAAGTTTATGAATTTGTGTTGGGCTGCATTCAAAGCCCATGCAGCCCTCAGGCTGTGGGTTGGACAAGCTTGCTATAAAGTCTATAGAATGGAATGAATCTCGTTTGGCTGCTTGCAGCAATCTTGGCATATGTAAGTCTTAGTAAATGAATAAATACTAATAGAATGTGAGTGTATGGAATGATTTCTTACACCTTATACAAAAATTAATTCAAGATGCCAAAGTGCATCAGTGTATTTATGCTTTCCTCTTGAGATATGTACCAGTGGGTGAGTTCCTTTGTTCAAGATGATCTCTGGTCCTGTTTAAAAATAGAATCTTCTCCAGGTGTGGTAGCTCATGCCTGTAATCCTAGCAATTTGGGAGGCTGAGGCAGGTGGATCACTTGAGGTCAGAAGTTCGAGACCAGCCTGGGCAACATGGTGAAACCCCGTCTCTACTAAAAATACAAAAATTAGTCAGGCATGGTGGCAGGCACCTGTAATCCCAGCTACTCAGGAGGCTGAGGCAGGAGCATTGCTTGAACTGGAGAGGCAGAGGTTGCAGTGAACCAAGATCTCCCATTCTGTGGGTTACCTGTTCACCTGATAGTAGTTTCTTTTGCTGTGCAGAAGCTCTTTAGTTTAATTAGATCCCATTTGTCTATTTTGGCTTTTGTTGCCATTGCTTTTAGTGTTTTAGTCATGAAGTCCTTGCCCATGCCTATGTCCTGAATGGTATTGCCTAGGTTTTCTTCTAGGGTTTTTACGGTTTTAGGTCTAACAGTTAAGTCTTTAATCCATCTTGAATTAATTTTTGTATAAGGTGTAAGGAAGGGATCCAGTTTCAGCTTTCTGCATATGGCTAGCCAGTTTTCCCAGCACCATTTATTAAATAGGGAATCTTTTCCCCATTTCTTGTTTTTGTCAGGTTTGTCAAAGATCAGATGGTTGTAGATGTGTGGTGTTATTTCTGAGGCCTCTGTTCTGTTCGATTGGTCTATATATCTGTTTTGGTACCAGTACTATGCTGTTTTGGTTACTGTAGCCTTGTAGTGTAGTTTGAAGTCAGGTAGTGTGATGCCTCCAGCTTTGTTCTTTCTGCTTAGGATTGTCTTGGCAATGCGGGCTCTTTTTTGGTTCCATATGAACTTTAAAGTAGTTTTTTCCAATTCTGTGAAGAAAGTCATTGATAGCTTGCTGAGGATGGCATTGAATCTATAAATCACCTTGGGCAGTATGGCCATTTTCACGATATCGATTCTTCCTATCCTTGAGCATGGAATGTTCTTCCATTTGTTTGTGTTCTCTTTTATTTCATTGAGCAGTGGTTTGTAGTTCTCTTTGAAGACATACTTCACGTCCCTTGTAAGTTGGATTCCTAGGTATTTTATTCTCTTTGTAGCAATTGTGAATGGGAGTTCACTCATGATTTGGCTCTCTGTTTGTCTGTTATTGGTGTAAAGGAATGCTTCTGATTTTTATCCTGAGAGTTTGCTGAAGTTGCTTATCAGCTTAAGGAGATTTTGGGCTGACACAATGGGGTTTTCTAAATATACAATCATGTCATCTGCAAACAGGGACAGTTTGACTTCCTCTCTTCCTAATTGAATACTCTTTATTTCTTTCTCTTGCCTGATTGCCCCAGCCAGAACTTCCAATACCATGTTGAATAGGAGTTGTGAGAAAGGGTATCCTTGTCGTGTGCTGGTTTTCAAATGGAATGCGTCCAGTTTTTGCCCATTCAGTATGATATTGGCTGTGGTTTTGTCATAAATAGCTTTTATTATTTTGAGGTATGTTCCATCAATACCTAGTTTATTTAGAATTTTTAGCATGAAGGGCTGTTGAATTTTGTCGAAGGCCTTTTCTGCATCTATTGAGATAATCATGTGGTTTTTGTTATTGGTTCTGTTGATGTGATGGATTACGTGTATTGATTTGCGTACGTTGAACCAGCCTTGCATCCCAGGGATGAAGCCCACTTGATCATGGTGGATAAGCTTTTTGATGTGCTGCTGGATTCGGTTTGCCAGTATTTTATTGAGGATTTTCACATCGATGTTCACCAGGGATATTGGTCTAAAATTCTCTTTTTTTGTTGTGTCTCTGCCAGGCTTTGGTATCAGGATGATGCTGGCCTCATAAAATGAGTTAGAGAGGATTCCCTCTTTTTCTATTGATTGGAATAGTTTCAGAAGGAGTGGTATCACCTCCTCTTTGTACCTCTTGTAGAATTCGGCTGTGAATCCATCTGGTCCTGGACTTTTTTTGGTTGGTAGCCTATTAATTATTGACTCAATTTCAGAGCCTGTTGTTGGTCTATTCAGAGATTCAACTTCTTCCTGGTTTAGTCTTGGGTGGATGTATGTGTCCGGGAATTTATGCATTTCTTTTAGATTTTCTAGTTTATTTGCATGGAGATGTTTATAGTATTCTCTGATAGTAGTTTGTATTTCTGTGGGATTGGTGGTGATATCCCCTTTATCATTTTTTATTGCATCTATTTGATTCTTCTCTCTTTTCTTCATTAGTCTGGCTAGCGGTCTATCTATTTTATTGTTTCAAAAAACGAGCTCCTGGATTCACTGATTTTTTGAAGGGTTTTTTGTGTCTCTATCTCTTTCAGTTCTGCTGTGATCTTAGTTATTTCTTGTCTTCTGCTAGCTTTTGAATTTGTTTGCTCTTGCTTCTCTGGTTCTTTTAATTGTGATGTTAGGGCGTTGATTTCAGATCTTTCCTGCTTTCTCTTGTGGGCATTTAGTGCTATGAGTTTCCCTCCACACACTGCTTTAAATGTGTCCCAGAGATTCTGGTACATTGTGTGTTTGTTCTCACTGGTTTCAAAGAACATCTTTATTTCTGCCTTCATTTTGTTATTTACCCAGTAGTCATTCAGGAGCAGGTTGTTCAGTTTCCATGTAGTTGTGCTATTTTGAGTGACTTTCTTAATCCTGGTTCTAATTTGATTGCACTGTGGTCTGAGAGACAGTTTGTTGTGATTTCTGTTCTTTTACGTTTGCTGAGGAGTGCTTTACTTCCAATTATGTGGTCAATTTTAGAATAAGTGCAATGTGGTGCTGAGAAGAATGAATATTCTGTTAATTCAGGGTGGAGAGTTCTGTAGATGTCTGGTAGGTCTGCTTGGTGCAGAGCTGAGTTCAAGTCTGGTATATCCTTGTTAACCTTCTGTCTCATTAA
Source organism: Homo sapiens (assembly GCF_000001405.40). Taxonomy (NCBI): domain Eukaryota; kingdom Metazoa; phylum Chordata; class Mammalia; order Primates; family Hominidae; genus Homo; species Homo sapiens. Next base: position 56,339,352 of record NC_000020.11, on the reverse strand, counting down.
TCTGTCGAATATTGACAGTGGGGTGTTAACATCTCCCATTATTCTTGTGTGGGAGTCTAAGTCTCTTTGTAGGTCTCTAAGGACTTGCTTTATGAATCTGGGTGCTCCTGTATTGGGTGCATATATATTTAGGATATTTAGTTCTTCTTGTTGAATCGATCCCTTTACCATTATGTAATGGCCTTCTTTGTCTCTTTTGATCCTTGTTGGTTTAAAGTCTGTTTTATCAGAGACTAGGATTGCAACCCCTGTTTTTTTTTACTTTCCATTTGCTTGGTAGATCTTCCTCCATCACTTTATTTTGAGCCTATGTGTGTCTCTGCATGTGAGATGGGTCTCCTGAATACAGCACACTAATGGGTCTTGGCTCTTTATCCAATTTGCCAGTCTGTGTCTTTTAATTGGGGGCATTTAGTCCATTTACATTAAAGGTTGATATTGTTATGTGTGGCTGGGCACAGTGGCTCACACCTGTAATCCCAGCACTTTGGAAGGCTGAGGTGGGTGGATCACGAGGTCAGGAGATCGAGACCATCCTGCCTAACACGGTGAAACCCTGTCTCTACTAAAACTACAAAAAATTAGCCAGGTGTGGTGGTGGGCACCTGTAGTCCCAGCTACTCGGGAGGCTGAGGCAGGAGAATGGTGTGAACCTGGGAGGCAGAGCTTGCAGTGAGCCGAGATTGCACCACTGCAATCCAGCCTGGGTGACAGAGTGAGACTCCGTCTCAAAAAAAAAATATATTGTTATGTGTGAATTTATTCCTGTCATTATGAGGTTAGCTGGTTTTTTTGCCCATTAATTTATGCAGTTTCTTCATAACATCAATGGTCTTTACAATTTGGCATGTTTTTGCAGTGGTGGGTACCGGTTGTTTCTTTCCATGTTTAGTGCTTCCTTCAGGAGCTCTTGTAAGGCAGGTCTGGTGGTGACACAATCTCTCAGCATTTGCTTGCCTGTAAAGGATTTTATTTTTCCTTCACTTATGAAGCTTAGTTTGGCTGGATATTAAATTCTGGGTTGAAAATTCTTTCCTTTAAGAATGTTGAATATTGGCCACCACTCTCTTCTGGCTTGTAGGGCTTCTGCCAAGAGATCCGCTGTTAGTCTGATGGGCTTCCCTTTGTGGGTAACCCAACCTTTCTCTCTGGCTGCCATTAACATTTTTTCCTTCATTTCAACCTTGGTGAATCTGATAATTTTGTGTCTTGGGGTTGCTCTTCTCAAGGAGTATCTTTGTGGTGTTCTCTGTATTTCCTGAATTTGAACGTTGGCCTGCCTTGCTAGGTTGGGGAAGTTCTCCTGGATAATATCCTGAATAGTGCTTTCCAGCTTGGTTCTGTTCTCCCCACCACTCTCAGGTACACCTGTCAAACATAGATTTGGTCTTTTCACATAGTCCCATATTTTCTGGAGGCTTTGTTCTTTTCTTTTTCCTCTTTTTCCTCTAACCTTGTCTGCTTGCCTTATTTCATTAATTTGATCTTCAATCACTGATACCTGTTCTTCTACTTGATTGAATCGGCTATTGAAGCTTGTGCATGCATCATGAAATTCTCATGCCATGGTTTTCAGCTCTGTCAGGTCACTTAAGGTCTTTTCTACACTGTTTATTGTAGTTAGCCATTCATCTAACCTTTTTTCAAGGTTTTTAGCCTGTGTGCGATGGGTTTGAACATGCTCCTTTAGCTTGGAGAAGTTTGTTATTACCGATCTTCTGAAGCCTACTTCTGTCAGCTTGCCAAAGTCATTCTCTGGGCTGGCAAGGAGCTGCAATCCTTTGGAGGAGAAGAGGCCCTCTGGTTTTTAGAATTTTCAACTTTTCTGTTCTGGTTTCTCCCCATCTTTGTGGTTTTATCTACCTTTGGTCTTTGATGTTGGTGACCTACAGATAGGGTTTTGGTATAGATGTCCTTTTTGTTGATGTTGGTGCTATTCCTTTCTGTTTGTTAGTTTTCCTTCTAATAGTCAGGTCCCTCAGCTGCAGGTCTGTTGGAGTTTGCTGGAGGTCCACTCCAGACCCTGTTTGCCTGGGTATCACCAGTGGAGGCTGCAGAACAGCAAATATTGCAGAACAGCAAAGATTCCTGCCTGATCCTTCCTCTGGAAGCTTCGTCTCAGAGGGGCAGCCGCCTATATGAGGTGTCTGTCAGCCCCTACTGGCAGGTATCTCCCAGTTAGGCTACACGGGGGTCAGGGACCCACTTGAGGAGGCAGTCTGTCTGTTCTCAGAGCTCAAATGCCATGCTGAGAGTACCACTGCTCTCTTCAGAGCTGTCAGACAGGGACGTTTAAGTCTGCAGAAGCTGTCTGCTGCCTTTTGTCCATCTATGCCCTGCCCACAGAGGTGGAGTCTATAGAGGCAGTAGGCCTTACAAAGCTGTGGTGGGCTCCGTCCAGTTCAAGCTTCCGGGCTGCTTTGTTTACCTACTCAAGCCTCAGCAATGGCGGATGCCCCTCCCCCAGCCAGGCTGCCACCTCGCAGTTTGATCTCAGACTGCTGCGCTAGCAGTGAGCAAGGCTCCATGGGCATGGGACCTGCCAAGCCAGGCACAGGAGAGAATCTCCTTGTCTGCCGATTGCTAAGACCTTGGGAAAGGTGCAGTATTTGGGCAGAGTGTCTTGTTTTTCCACGTACAGTCTGTCACGGCTTCCCTTGGCTAGGAACGGGAAATCCCCTGACCCCTTGCACTTCCCAGGTGAGGCGATGCCCTGCCCTGCTTTGACTCACCATCTGTGGGCTGCACTCACTGTCCAACCAGGCCCAGTGAGATGAACCAGGTACCTGTGTTGGAAATGCAGAAATCACCCATATTCTGCATCGATCATGCTGGGAGCTGCAGACCAGAGCTGTTCCTATTTGGCCACTTTCTCTGTTTTTTTTTTTTTTTTTTTTTTTTTGAGATATGGTCTCACTCTGTTGCTCACGCTGGAGTGCAATCATAGCTCACTGCATCCTCAACCTCCCAGGCTCAAGCAATCCTCCTGCCTCAGCCTCTTGAGTAGCTGGGTCTGCAGGTGTGTGCCACCATGCCCAGCTAATTTTTGTATTTTTTTTTTGTAGAGATGAGGTCTTGCCATGTTGCCAAGGCTGGTCTTGAACTCCTGAGCCCAAGTGATCCACCCACCTTGGCCTTTTAAAGTGCTGAAATGATAAGAATGAGCCACCATGCCTGGCCAAGAGAAACCCATCTCTTTATCTCGCTTAGGATACTACTATTTGGAACTATCCATGCACTATGAAATACAGCCCTTCCCCAGGGTGGCTGACTCCACAGTAATAAAACTGCCTTTGCAAAAATTGTAACAGTGAGAAAATTATGAGCATGAAAGACATCTGATCTAACCAAGTCTATCTTGTCTTTAAGCTCCAAACTGCCCTTGGTCATCCCTGGGTGTGGGCCAAGCTAATTTTGGGAGAAATTTGTTTATAATTTAAATGATAATGGTCCTTCCCAAAACTAAACTGCCTTTATAAAACCATTAGAAGGCCACAAAGTTAGGATTTTGAGAGGGGCCTGAATTCTGGTAAGATGTAGGTGTAGTTAAAGGATAACCAGCCATTGTTCCAGAGGTCACAAGATTTGTAACTTCCTATCATCACTATTGTAGAACCTAAGATTGGCCTTTTAAGATGTCTTTTCAGACTTCTGCATTTCTGACAACCAGATGACTTCTGTGATTCCACAACCAATCAACAGCACCCATTCTCTAGCCCCCTGAGCACCAAACTATCTTTAAAAAAACCCTGGCTTCTAAATTTTTGGGGAGGCTGACTTGAGTAATAATTAAACCCTGGTCTCCTATTTAGCCAACTCTACATGTATTAAACTCTCTCTCTCTTACAATTCCCCTGTCTTTGGCTGTATCCAAGCAGTAGGCGAGATGAACATGTTAGGTGGTTCCAGTAAACTGCCATAGTTATTGATTTCTGTGTAACAAATTACCTTACCTTACCATGACTTAAAATAATCCTGGCCAGGTGCAGTGGTTCATGCCTGTAATCCCAGCACTTTGGGAGGCCGAGGCGGGCGGATCACGAGGTCAGGAGATTGAGATCATAGTGAAACCCCGTCTCTACTAAAAATACAAAAAATTAGCCGGGTGTGGTGGCGGGTGCCCGGAGTCCCAGCTACTCGGGAGGCTGAGGCAGAAGAATGGCATGAACCCGGGAGGCAGAGCTTACATTGAGCTGAGATAGCACCACTGCACTCCAGTCTGGGTGACAGAGTGAGACTCCATCTCAAAAAAAAAAAAATTCGAAACATTTATCATAATTTACATATTTCTGTGGGTCAGGAATTCAGAAACAGCTTAACTGGGTGGTTCTGCTTCCAGATTTTTCATGAGGTTGCAGTCAACCTGTGGACTAGGGCTACAGTTGCCAGAAGCTTTGACTGGGGGTGGATGACTCACTTCCAAGGTGGCTTCATTTATATGGTGGGTCAGCTTACTTGATCCCAGCAGGTGGAAGCTGCAGTGAGCTGTGATCATGCCACAGCACTCTAGCCTGGGCAATAGAACAAGACCCTATCTCAAAAAAAATACTGTTTAGAAACATAAAAGCAAAGGACTTATTTCAATAGAAGTTGTGAAGTGAGTAGAGAAGTGGAGAGAAAGGAATGAGAGTTAGAAGGCACCTTACCAAGACTGAGAGTCCAGAGATGCTGTGGAAAGTTGATGGAACAAGAAATAGAAGGTAGAAAGTATCATCTCGAATTCTAAGGTAATCACAAAGAAAGACTTGGGGTGGGATGGGAACCACCTGAGGGGAAGGGGATAGGAGAAAATATGGGAAGGATGGGGGAAGAGGTTGAAGGCTCTGCAAGAATGAGGCCAACTCTGACAGGATTTGAAGAATAGCAACTTTATTTTATTTTATTTTTTTTGGGACAGCGTCTCCCTCGTTGCCCTGGCTGGAGTGCAGTGGTGTGGCGTGGCGCGATCTCGGCTCACTGCAACCTCTGCCTCCTGGGTTCAAACGATTCTCCTGCCTCAGTCTACTGAGTAGGTGGGACTACAGGTGCATGCCACCTTGCCTGGCTAATTTTTGTATTTTTAGTAGAGATGGGGTTTCACCATGTTGGCCAGGCTGGTCTCGAACTCCTGACCTCAAGTGATCCACCCACCTCAGCCTTCGAAAGTGCTGGGATTACAGACATGAGCCACCACCTGTAATAGCCCGGCCTGAAGAATAGCAACTTTAGAATCTAAGGTAGTTTATTGTTTTTGCAATTCATTTGAATTTCTTTTAATGAACACTCTCTTAGCATTTAAACAGGCATGCCCTAAGTGCTCTTCAAAAAAATGTTTAAAGATCTAATTCATATACCATAAAAATCACCCTTTTAAAATGTACAGTTTAGTGATTTTAGTATACAGAAACTTGTGCAACCATCACTGCTATCTAATTTCAGAACATTTTTATCGCTCTAAAAAAATCTCATACTCATTAACAGTAATTCCCCAGGTAGTGAAATATTTATGTACTTAATATTCATTACAACTCTTTAAGGTAGGGACAATAATTATCTATCTCTTCATGAGGAGGAACTGGCCTCAGAGTTCGTAGGATGTGGAATTTGGGTTTGAAACCAGGTCATCTGGCTCCAGAGCCCATGGGTCTATAAAAAACATAGCCCACTATGTTTTTTTTTGCCACAATAAGAATTCATTTAGGCAAAACAAATAAAGGCATGTCACAGGAGAAGGAGATTCAATATGGTCAAAGGCAACATTAGTTGGCAAACAAGAAAACAAGCTTATGCAATTTAACCACTATGGGCTGGGCGTAGTGGCTCACGCCTGTAATCCTAGCACTTTGGGAGGCTGAGGTGGGTGGATTGCCTGAGCTCAGGAGTTCGAGCCCAGCCTGGGCAACACGGTGAAACCCTGTCTCTACTAAAATACAAAAATTAGCCAGGTGTGACGGCGTGCACCTGTGGTCCCAGCTACTTGGGAGGCTGAGGCAGGAGAATTGCTTGAACCTAGGGGGCGGAGGTTGCAGTGAACCAAGGTTGCATGACCGCACTCCAGCCTGGGTGACAGAGCGGGACTCCATCTCAAAAAAAAAAAAAAAAAAAAAAATTAACCACTATGTGTTGTTGCCTCTTGTTTCTCTCCTGTCTCACCCTTGATTTTTAGAAAGACCTTTTGATTTCCAATCCAGTTTTAAGCTCTCCTTCCTGTACTGTGTTAGTCCACTTTGCATTGGTATAAGAGAATACCTGAAACTAGGTAATTTATAAGGAAAAGAGGTTTATTTGGCTGCAGGTTGTACAAGCATGGCAGCAGCAGTGCTTCTAGTCAGGGCTTCAGGAAGCTTCCACTCATGGCAGAAGGTGAGGAGGGAGCAGGCGTGTCATATGGAGAGGTAGGGAGCAAGAGAGAAAGGAGGAGGAGCCAGGCTCCTTTAAACAAGCAGCTTTTGCATGAACTAACAGAGTAAGAACTCACTCATCACCAAGGGTATGGCACCAAGCCATTCATGAGGGGTTCCCCCCATGACCCAAACACCTCCCACCAGGCCCCGCCTCCAACATTGGGGATCACATTTTCAACATGAGATTTGGAGGGGACAAATACCCAAACTACATCATCTAGTCTTCTCCATCTCTATAAACACCACCTTCAATTACCTGGTTTCTCAGTTCAAAGACAGGAGTTCTATTGATTCTTTCCTTTTCCTGTCCCTAACATCCAATCCACTGCACGTCTTGTTGACACTGCCTCCAAGTATCTTTAATCTCTTCTTCCCATCAGCACTGCTACTACCTTAATCCAAGCCATCACCACCTTGCACCTGGGTTTCAGCAAAAGCTTCTCACCTAGTCTTTCTGCTTCCATTCTCACCCCTATCCACCCCAGCCCCTCAGTCTGTTCTCTGACAGCAGCCAGAACAAACTTCGAAAAGGCAAAGGCCACCCATTCTGCTTAAAACTCATACATAAGATATGGGAGGAGGGAAATTTTAGGATCACAGGCTCTGAGATGGAATCCACAGAATCCACTCCAGCCTGCTTAGATTAAGGCATTTTGTAAAGGATGTTAGGAGGTACCCAGAGCCTTTGGGAGATGACGGATCTGAAGAAACAGGTGTAGGGCTAGGCTTCCAGGAGTTCTGGAGAACTACCTTGATAGAGAAAAACTGCTCATAGCCACACCCAGGCTGCCAGAAAATTCATGTTTCTGCAGTGCCTCTCGCTGCCACTGCTACCACCATCTGCACTAGCAAAGTAGTTGGGCCATGTGCAGCCTATTTCCTCACACTGCAGACTTCTGAATCAGAATCTCACGTATGTTAACCTGCCCCAGCTGCAACAGAAGCAGGGTAGGTGGATGCTACCATGGGAAGGCAGGGCTTTCAGTGTAATTGCCTGATGGATTCCCCTCGCCCACTGCACAGGCAGAGCTGATTTGCTGACAGAAGTATTGCAGTAAAGAAAGAGTTTAATTAATGCAAAGTTAGCCACGTGAAAGGACAAGGGTTTATTACTTGAATCAGTCTCTCTGAAAATTTAGAGACCGGACTTTTAAAGGATGATTTGGTGGGCAGGGGACTAGGGAATGGGTGCAGCTGATTGGATCGGGATGAAATCACAGGGGTGTGGAAGGCGGTCCTTTTGTCCTGAGTCAGCCTCTAGGTAGGGACCACAGGACTAGTTGAGTCAGGAGTCCTAGATCTGGGGTGAGGTCATTCGTTTGGAGAAATGCAGAAGTCTGAAAAAATCTCAAAATACCAATCTTAGGTTCTACAATAGTGATATTATCTATAGGAGTGATTGGAGAAGTTACAAATCTTGTGACCTCCAGAACAATGGCTGGTTATCATTTATGCCTACATCTTGACAGAATTCAGGCCCCTCTCATAATCCTATTCTTGTGGCCTTTAGTTAGTTTTTTTTTTTTTTTAACAAAGGCAGTTTTAGTCTTGAACAAGGTTGGGGGTAGTTTTGGGAAAGGCTATTGTCATCTTTGCTTTAAGATGAAACTATGGACTAAATTCCTCCCAAAGTTAGGTTGGCCTATGCCCAGGAATGAACAAGGGCAGCTTAGAGGTTAGAATCAAGATGGAGTCAGTTATGTCAGGTTTCTCTTATTGTCATAATTTTTAAAGGCAGTTTCATCGATGCAGCCTGAAACCACCAAAAGGTGAAAACTAAAATTTTGCCTTGCCACCATTACAAATATGTGTGCAAATCATATTCCATGGCCAACAAGCAAACATATTGCACCAGAAAACAAACCAATATACCAGGTAACCCTGTTTAGTTTTAGCACTCAAAATAAATGGAACTTTGAGGATTTTACATAGGTTATTGACTCCCTAACAAGACATTTTTATCATTGATTTTTGTAAGGCTGATATGGGAAGATATGTCACAACCTTTAGAGGTATAATAATCACCTGAGAAAGGTGCTATTTTTTTATTTTACTACAAAGAAACTAATTGTAAACTTGAAAATCTTGATTATCTTGTGCGGTTTTTTATTTTAAATACTTGCTGTGTTTTTACTTGATGAGCTGGAACTCCCAAATCTTAGATTCCTTTGCAACTTATTTGCAAGTTAATTTTTCTTCTCTGCTTTTGGTTCGAGACTTGCTTTCACAGTAAGGAAGTAGTCTCAAGATATTGGGCAGTCAAAGTAGACAGATATTCATTACATCCCTACCCCTGAGGGTCCTTCATGCCTTGCTTCTCCCTTATTGCCTCTCTGTTTTTACTTTGCAGGTTCTCTAATAGGCTTTTTTTTTTTTTTTTTTTTGAGACAGAGTCTCACTCTGTCGCCCAGGCTGGAGTGCAATGGTACAATCTCGGCTCACTGCAGCCTCTACCTTCTGGAATCAACCGATTTTCCTGCCTCAGCCTCCTGAGTAGCTGGGATTACAGGTGCATGCCACCACGCCCAGCTAATTTTGTATTTTTAGTAGAGATGGGGTTTCACCATGTTGGTCAGCTGGTCTCGAACTCCTGACCTTTGACCCACCCGCCTTGACCTCCCAAAGTGCTGGGATTACAGGTGTGAGCCACCATGCCTGGCCATAGGCTTTCACCTTTAAGGGAAGGTGGAGGTGTGATTCAGGCAGGAAATTGAAGAGTAAATGCAAACAGATAGGGACTATCCAAGCCTTGAGGTTTATTGCTTCTTCAGTTATAACAAAAAGTTAATTCTGGCTTGGTTAAAAGAGTATGAGCTGAAATCTTGCCTTTTGTGTCTTAATAACACAGAAGAAAGGTTCTTGGTTACTGTAGTCCAGTTGAAGTGTATTTTCCTATTGAAAACAATCAGCATTTCATTAAGTATTCTCCCAGACCTCCCCAGCCTGAAGATACAACTGAGATCACATTAATACCAATATACAGATAACAAAACTCCCAGGTCCTGCTGAAATGCAGGACACCAACCTTTGTAGCAGGTTAGGAATATGTCCTAGAAAAGGTCCCTTATTTTGTCTTTCAGCTTTGACCTTGGTTATTTCTCTCCTGAACACCCACCTCAGCCTTACTGATCTCCTTATCTCCCTCCCTGTTATTCCTCACACAGAAAGTTCTTTTTTTAAACTCTTTGCCTTGTCATTTATGTCACTGATTAAAAAGTCTCTAGTAGCTTCCCATTGCCTATGGCATAAAGCTCTAATATTTTAGTATAGCATACATGGCACTCTGTGATCTGGCCTTGGTGTACCTCTTCAACCTCCTCACTTATTATTCTCCTTTTGCATATTCTACACCGAGCCTTCAGAACTAATGTAACATGTCAAATGTGCCATTCTGTGTTCTGCCTTTACATTTCTGCATATACCGTTTGCACTGCCTGAAATGCTCTTCTTCATCTCTCATCTACTTGGTAAATTCTTTTTTTTTTTTTTTTTTTTTTGAGACAGAGTCTCACTCTGTCTCCCAGCCTGGAGTGCAGTGGTGTGATCTCAGCCCACTGCAACCTCTGCCTCCTGAGTTCAAGTGATTCTTGTCCCTCAGCCTCCTGAGTAGCTGGTATTACAGTCACATGCCATCATGCCTGGCTAATTTTTGTATTTTTAGTAGAGATGGGATTTTACAACGTTGGCCAGGCTGGTCTCAAACTCCTGACTTCAAGTGATCTGCCCGCCTCAGCCTACTGAAGTGCTGGGATTACAGGCGTGAGCCGCCATGCCTGGCTGACTTGGCAAATTCTTTCTGTACCTTCAAGACTCCTCTGATGTCTTATTCTGGCATAACATTTGAAGGCAGAGGCTGTGATGCCTCATGCCACATCTCCTCAACCCAGATGATTTCAGCACCTCTGTGACGGACAGTTCCCTGCAAAAGAAGTCATGCACTGGGCGTGTTGGCTTTAGTCTTCCAGGGAATGCAAATAAAAACCAAACCCACTTTATACCCACTAGAGTGTTTATAATATAAAAGATGAACAATGACAAGTGTTGGCAAGGATATGGAGAAATGGAAGCCCTCATGCCTTGCTGGTGGGAATATAAAATGGTGCAGTCATTTTGAAAAACAGTTTGGGATTTCTTCAAAAAGTTATAGACGTAGAGTTATCATATGATCCAGAAGTTCCACACCTAGATATATGCCCAAAAGAACTGAAGAAATATGTCCACATAACAACCTGTACACAAATTTTCCTAGTAGCATTTTTCATAATAGTAAAAAAGTGGAAAAAATCCCTACATGTCTAGCAATTAGTGAATGGATTAAAAATGTGCTATATCCATACAATTGTTTAGCCAAAAAAGGACTAAAGTATGGACACACATTACAAGACAGGTAAACACTGAAAATATTATGGCAAGTGAAAATGACCAGACATAAAAGGCTAAATAGTTCATGATTCTATTTACATACAAAGTTTAGAATAAGCAACTCCATTAAAGACTGAAAGTAGATTAATGGTTCACAGGAGTTGGGGGAAAAGGAACATAGAGACTCACCACGAATGAGCATGAGGTTGTTTTTTCTTTTCTTCTTTCTTCCTTCCTTCCTTCCTTCCTTCCTTCCTTCCTTCCTTCCTTCCTTCCTTCCTTCCTTCCTTTCTTTCTCTTTCTTTCTTTCTTTCTTTCTTTCTTTCTTTCTTTCTTTCTTTCTTTCTTTCTTTCTTTCTTTCTTTCTTTCTCTCTCTCTCTCTCTCTCTTTCTCTTCCTTTCTTCCTTTCTGACAGAGTCTCACTGTCACCTAGGCTGGAGTGCAGTGGCACGATCTTGGCTCACTGAAACCTCCACCTCCCGGGTTCAAGCGATTCTCCCACCTCAGCCTCATGAGTAGCTGGGACTACAGGTCCACACCCCCACGCCTGGCTAATTTTTGTGTCTTTAGCAGAGACAGGGCTTTACCAAGTTGGCTAGGCTGGTATTGATCTCCTGACCTCAAGTGATCCACCTGCCTCAGCCTCCCAAAGTGCTGGGACTACAGGCATAAGCCACCGCCCCCAGCCATGAGGTTTCTTTTTGTTGTGAGGAGAATGTTCTAGAGTTAGATAGTGCTGATGGTTGCACAACTTAGTGAATATTCTAAAAACCAATGAATCGTACATGTTAAAAGGGTGAATTCGATGCTAAATGAATTATATTTAATAAAAAAAGTACTCTTTCTTACCTTTTTTACTTTGACCCTTGCTTTTCAGCATGCTTCACTTTCCTGAATTGCTGAGGCTCTTATTCACATGAGTTTTCCAAAGGAGCTGGGCATGCCCCAGTGTTGGAGTGGGCACACCTGCAATACCTTCAACTACTCTGATCTCTTAGCTTCTTTCTGCAGAGAACAGCCTTTGTCCCAGGTGCAGCTAAGATCTAAGACACAGAGATGTGTTGTACCTGGAAGGAGGAGAGGTGCCTGGCATCATTGTAAAGGAAGTACCTATTTCACTTTGTTCCCACACCCTAAATGATACCTGGGGCTCCTGGGCCAAACAATAGAATTTTTCTCTGCAAAACCTTGGAGGGAGAAATGAAGCTTGTACGCAGTCCACTATGACTCTGGGCAATTAGGAGCAGGAAAATGATGTAAAACTCAAAATATGGACATTGCAAAATTGAAACCTCAGATAATGAGGGTACAATTGCTATATGCTGTAGTGGTGAGTTCAGGCTTTGAGACCATGGAGACTTATGTTCAGGTTCTAGCTTTCCTATGTGATTTCACTTAGCCTCAGTTCTGTTGTTAGGAAAAATGCTACTTACCTTGGGAGATCTAGGAGGATTAGAGACAATGTATAGAGCATGCATATCACAAAGCTGGCCCTCAATTAATAGTAGTCATGCTTAATATAAAATATGAAGTTACAATGACCTCATGGATCTGATCTATTAAACCTTGGACTGGAATTAATTTGGAATTTGGTAGAAAGCAAAACAAGAAAATTTCATGGTCTAAAGAACCATTTAATGAAAGGGAACTCCCTAACCTGTGATACTGTGAGGCCGGGGAAACTCAGTGCAGGGTAAATAGGCTTTTTGCAGAAAAACATGAAAACCCTCTTAACATTTAAATGGTACAAAGCAATACATTTTGTCTCTCAGACAACCAACAAGCTAGATTCCACTTCTATGTAGAAAAAAATGTGAATGTTCTTCAGGGAAGGCTTGACCTTAATGCACTGGCATATCAAGGACCACATTTTTTACCCCCAAATCCAAACCAAGCACTTTGAAATGCAGATAGATTAAAAAACCCGAGTTTAGTAACCACAGTTCAAAAACCATTGCTAAACATGTACCTTATGCTGGACAGTGCCGTGAGGCTGAGCACAAAGCCTGTGGGTAGCCTGAGTGCCCCTTCAAACATGACTCAGGTGTGCCGGTGATAAACCTTGACTTTGTTCTGATTCCACTTAATTTCTAGTTTAAGACCCATTGGTACCAATGTGGTAGAACATTGATCTCTTCTGATGTTGTGTCTGTGTTTCTGGGGGCTTACACAGCACTGAGCAATTAAACTTTGCAGCTATCTGGCTCTTGATGCCATTGTTCATTTGGGTGCCCTCTGAGACTCCCATTGCCCTTGTTCTGGTCTCCAGGCACTGATGCACACAGGTCACTGTTGTGCTATTCCTCACATCTGGCTGCCAGGCTTCTTGAAATCTCTTCTAACCTCAATGCCACCCTTGAAGGTTTGGTGCTCAATATGGTGTTTATGTGTCACTTTGGGGTACCAAAATGGCTGCACTTCCAGATACCCCATATGCCCAGATGGCCCAGGAACCAGTCCTTCCCTGCTCTCTGAGGCTGTTCAGATATGAGCGCCAGGCACCTGCCCCTAACATTTGTGTGGCCATTTGAGTAAGACATTTGTCTAGAGTATAAATGGAGATCCACATTCTGTACATCTACGTGTTTAATGGTCATGCATCAATCTGACAGAGTGCTAAATAGCACCATCTGGGCCTTCTACTTTCACGAATACACCTCCATAATGACCTAGTACGTAAAGTTTAAATTTAGAGTTCTTGGACTCCTCAGAGTTTCACCTCAGACCTTGGCAGTGTGAGGAGGGCTGGCCCCTACTCTTGGCTCACCCCGTTTATCTTTTTTTTTTTTTTTTTTGAGACGGAGTCTCGCTCTGTCGCCCAGGCTGGAGTGCAGTGGTGCGATCTTGGCTCACTGCAAGTTCTGCCTCCTGGGTTCGCGCCATTCTCCTGCCTCAGCCTCCCGAGTAGTTGGGACTACAGGTGCCTGCCACCACGCCCGGATTTTTTTTGTATTTTTAGTAGAGACAGGGTTTCACTGTGTTAGCCAGGATGGTCTAGATCTCCAGACCTCGTGATCTGCCTGCCTCGGCCTCCCAAAGTGCTGGGATTACAGGCGTGAGCCATTGCACCTGGCCACACCCTGTTTATCTTCCTGCTCTGTTCTGCATCATGGGCAAGCTTGGACATGCACGTGTAAATACCTGGATCAGCAGGTACAGCCAAGCTTCATCCATACCCCATAAAAATAGCCACCCCTTTGTCACCTTACACATTAGCATGTATCAAACCCAGGAAAGAGACCCAGTCAGTCTTTGGAAGTTGGTGTGGGTCATTTGGCAGGCAATTCTGGACCCAAGTAACTAGAGGGGATTCTTGAAGAGGGCTCTGGGCCCTGGGTGGGTACATCCTTTTTGTTGCATGGACACCTCTAGTGGAAAGGGGAATATGGGGAGGGTGGAGGAAGATGAGAGCCAGGCTTTCTAAAGCACTGGGATTGTGGCAGAGGTTCCTTTTGCCCAAGTCTTCCCTAAATGGAGGACACACAGCCACCAGCCTTAATTTTTAGTTGCCACAACTTGGGAGTTGGATGCTACTGAACATCCTATAATGCACAAGACAGCTCCCACAAAAGAGAAATATCTGGGCCAAAATGTTGATTGTGCAATAGTTCCAAGGTTGGGAACAGGTTCCCTGTCTTAGGCAAATTATAGAGATGACTATCTTGCAAATGCACATGACTGCAAATACCTTTGTGATCTGTAATTTTCACACACACAGCCAGGTACACATCTAAACAGTTTTTTCACAGAACTTTGGAATTGGAGGTGAAGTCATCACCTAGTGATGTGGTTATAAAGAGGGCCTTCAATGTGTTGAGAATCCCTCCACTGCCCCCACATACCTACCACTTGCTTCCCTGGGTCCTTTCATCTTGCTGCAAAATTATAGCGACAATTTAGGGAAGGGTCAAGCCCATTCCTTAGCCATTCCTTGGAAGACCCACTGAAAAGGGCTTAACTGAGAAGAATGAATGAAGGACCTATGCACAGTGCTATGGGCTGGGTTGAGGGAACCAATATAGGATGTCCCTCCCAGGGACTCTTTATAGGAAACTTTCAAAATGCTTCACTCGGGGGTGGAGGAAGAAATGGAGAACCGTCTCCACGAGCAGGGCCTGCTTGGCAGATACTGTATCTGTGGGGGGTGTGGCCACTGTCAGGTCAGAGCCTAGGAAGGTGGGAAAGGGGAGTGATGGAATGAACGGTGTCCCCTCAGATTTATATGTTGAAGTCCTAGCCCTCTGTCCTTCAGAATGTGACTGTATTTAGAGATAGGGTCTTTAACAAAGTGACAGAATTAAAAGAAGGCTGTTAGGGTGGACTCTAATCCAATTTGCCTAGCATCCTTATAAGAAGCGAAAGAGGCACCGTAGACAGAGGATGACCCTGTGAAGGGGCAGCAAGAGACATCCACCTGCAAGCCAAGGGGAGGGGTCTCAGAGGAAACAAACCATGCCAGCAACTTAATACTGAACTTCCAGCCTCTTGAATCATGAGAAAATACACTTCTGTTGTTGAAGTCCCATGGTCCATGGTGCTTTGAGCAGACCAATGTGTGGGGAAGAAATACCGTGGCCACTCTTTCCTCCAGCTGCTGCCTCCCATTGGCCACTCCCAGCTGGAAACCAGGGTTAAAGGGAGCTTGGGTAAGACAGTTCTTAGAGGTCAGCTCCTAGGGCACAGAGCAGGGTGGAGAAGGCGAGAAGGGGATGGGAGCGGGAGGGCGAGTAGACAGCTGCTAGCTCGAGATGCAGGGAGGGTCACTTGCAAGTCCGTGGAGCAACCAAACACCAAAGGAAAAACCTCAGATCCCAGAGCAGAGAGCTCCAGGTTATTTTGGTGCATGTGCTGAGGTTTTGGAACAGTGGCAGGCTGAGCATTGGATTCTAGACATTCCATTTCTCTGAAAAAGGCTCCTTTTATTTCTTCTTTTTACTGAGTATCTATGTAACATTTTGTCTGAAGAAAATGTCCTGTGCCTTGGAAATATATTTTAAAAAGGACCTTCTAGAGTACTCTCTAACCCCTGCATGCTCCCTTGCCTGTAAGGTATAGGTCACATTCAAGCAAAATGCTCCATGAACACCAACCTGAACTTTCCTTTCACAATCTGGAATTGAACATTCTCTTGTGATTGACCTTTCCTCTGATATTCTGTCAAGGAGCAGGATGAGGAATGCCACGGAGCAGATGTGACATTTAAGATCAAAACACCCTTGTTCCTCTTTGTGTTTGAAAGAGGGGAGGAAGGGTGAATGTGAGAGGCTGTTTTGAACTCAAGGCCCTCACTGACTTCTGTGCTGTTCCTTGTAGTTCATTAGGAAGGTGGACTTGTTTCTGCTGAACACGTGTATTTGAAGAGAAAATTCTGAGAAGAATCTCTCTTGGGGGAATGAGATTCTAAGTGTACAGGGGCTTGCTTCACTGTGCCATTTACAAAATTCTTTGATGTCTGTAGGCTCTCTTCACTGCTTGTTCCTTGTTAATATCACACACATACAAAGTAAGAGAAACCATGATCTTTATTTTTCTTTAATTCAGTAATATTTTTGATGAAAGAAGCATTCTTTCCTCTCCAGCCTTTTGTAACGACAAAAATGGTGTGGCTTACTCCTGTTCCAGCAACTTTCATTTAAAATGTTAAATACTGTGGTTTAGACTGGAATTGGTTTTGCATCCCAGGGTGAGAGAAGACAGCCCTCATTTCAGATCAAATCCAGATGTTACCACAGCCATACACTTGGAAAAATGCACTTGGCAAGTTTTGCAGAAATCAACATGGCTTGAACTTCAAGGCCTTTTCCCAGCCCCAGTGGTGCCTGGAGCCAGAATCACCTCGTGGTAAGCTGCAGAGTCCTCCTGCCTCCTTCTCGTTTCTCCTGAAACGGAGCTGATCAATTTCATACAGGAAAGGAAGGCAAGCAGAGCATCCTGGTGCACACTTCCTTGTTCCAGCAAAAGTCTCTGAGGCTCTCAGACCATGTTTTAACATGGATTAGGCACTGCTGTGTGGGACTCGGTGGCTCTCACTGTGTGAGCGTGGAGAGGAAGAGAAGGTGATTTTGTCCCACAGTAGACATTTTGGAAAAGTCTGGAGACCCATGTAGTTGGTACAACTTGCAGAGGTCGTTGTACTGGCATCTAGAGAATAGAAGCCAGGGATGCTGTTAACACCCCATGACGCACAGGACAGTCCCCACTGTAGGGGATGATCGGCCCCAGATGTCAATAGTGCCCAGGTTGAGACACCCTAATAGGACTGCCAGTGTGACAAGCATGCTTTTGCAAGTTGGAATTCCACTCGAGGGGAGATCCTTGCTATGCCCATACCTATAATCTCCTAGTATTTTAGTTTAAATATTTAGTTCTTTCAGCAAATATTTCTTGAATGCCCATTGTGTACTGGGCACTATTCTTAGTGCTGAAGACACAGCAGTGAACAAGACAAGGTCCCTGTCCACACGGAGCCCATGGTCTGCTGGGGAGCACTTTTTGTCTAGTGGGGCCTCCCTCTTGCAAGCTGCCTCAGGTTCCTATCAGCCAGATGTCCCTGACCCTCTTCTCTACCTGGGCTGGGCATGGACTAGATGCTGTGAAAACTGAGAATATTTGATTTCTTAAGAAGCCTTTTCATATGTATTTTAATTTTTTATTTATTTTTCCATAAGTTATTGGGGTACAGATGGTATTTGATTACTTAAGTAAGTTCTTTAGTGGTGATTTGTGAGATTTTGGTGCACCCTTCACCCGAGCAGTATGTATACACTGCACAATATTTGTGATCTTTTATCCCTTGCCCCACTCCTACTCTTCCCCATAAGTTCCCAAAGTCCATTGTATCATTTTTATGCCATTGCATCCTCGTAGCTTAGCTCCCACATATCAGTGAAGACATATGATGTTTGGTTTTCCATTCCTGAGTTACTTCACTTAGAATAATAGTCTCCAATCTCATCCAGGTCACTGCAAATGCTGTTAATTCATTCATTTTTATGGCTGCATAGCATTGTACTGTTATATATATTCTATATATATATTCTCTTTCTCTCTGTATATAGATATATCTATATATCTATATATAGCTATCTCTCTCTCTATATATATATACATACCACAGTTTCTTCATCCACTTGTTGATTGATGAGCCTTTGGGTTGGTTCCACGATTTTGCTATTGTGAACTGTGCTGCTATAAACATGCATATGCTAGTATCTTTTTCAAATAATGACTTCTTTTCCTCTGGGTAGATACCCAGTAGTGGGGTTGCTGGATCAAATGGTAGTTCTACTTTTAGTTCTTTCAAGAATCTCCAGACTGTTTCCCATAGTGGCTGTACTAGTTTACATTCCCACCAGCAGTGTAGAAGCGTTCCCTGTACGCCGCATCCATGCCAACATCTACTGTTTTTTGATTTTTTGAATATGGCCATTCTTGCAGGAGTAAGGTGATATCACATTGTGGTTTTGATTTGAATTTCCCTGATAGTTAGTGATGTTGAGCATTTTTTCATATGTTTGTTTGCCATTTGTATATCTTCTTTTGAGAATTGTCTATTCACGTCCTTAGCACACTTTTTGATGGGATTATTTGTTTTTTTTTATTGATTTGTTTGAGTTTGTTGTAGATTCTGGATATTAGTCCTTTGTCAGATGTACAGATTCTGAAGATTTTCTTCTACTGTGTGGGTTGTCTGTTTACTTTGCTGACTGTTCCTTTTGCTGTGCAAAAGCTCTTTAGTTTAATTAGGTCCCAGCTATTTATCTTTGTTTTTATTGCATTTGATTTTGGGTTCCTGGTCATGAAATCCTTGCCTAAGCCAATGTCTAGAAGGGTTTTTCCAATGTTGTCTTCTAGAATTTTTATAGTTACAGGTCTTAGGTTTAAGCCCTTAATCCACCTTGAGTTAATTTTTGTATATGATGAGAGATGAGGGTCCAGTTTCATTCTCCTACATGTGGCTTGCCAATTATCCCAGCACCGTTTGTTGAAAAGGGTGTCCTTTCCTCACTTTATATTTTTGTTTGCTTTGTTGAAGATCAGTTGGCTGTAAGTATTTGGGTTTATTTCTGGGTTCTCTATTCTGTTCCATTGGTCTATGTGCCTATTTTTATACCAGTATCACGCTATTTTGGTGACTATGGCCTCATAGTATAGTTTGAAATCAGATAGTGTGATGCCTCCAGATTTATTCTTTTTGCTTAGTCTTGCTTTGGCTATGCGGGCTCTTTTTTTGGTTCCATATAAATTTTAGAATTGTTTTTTCTAATTCTGTGAAGAATGATGGTGGTATTTTGATGGGGATTGTGTTGAACTTGTAGATTGCTTTTGGCATTGTGGTCATTTTCACAATATTGATTCTACCCATCCATAAGCATGGGATGTGTTTCCACTTGTTTGTGTCATCTATGATTTCTTTCAGCAGTGTTTTGTAGTTTTCCTTGTAGAGGTCTTTCGACTGGTTGGTTAGGTATGTTTCTAAGTATTTTATTTTATTTTATTTTTTGCAGCTATTGTAAAAAAGGTTGAGTTCTTGATTTGATTCTCTGTTTTTGGTATTAGGGTGGTGCTGGCTTCATAAAATGAATTAGGGAGGATTCTTTCTTTCTCTATATTGTGGAATAGTGTCAAAAGGACTGGTACCAATTCTTTGAATGTCTGGTAGAATTCTGTTCTGAACCATCTGGTCCTGGAATTTTTTTTGTTGGTAATTTTAAAATTGCCATTTCAATCTCACTGCTTGTTATGGGTCTGTTCAGGGTATCTAATTCTTCCTGATTTAAGCTAGGAGGGTTGTATTTTTCCAGGAATTTATCCATCTCTTCTAGGTTTTCTAGCTTATTTGCATAGAGGTGTTCATAGTAGCCTTGAATGATCTTTTGAGTTTCAATGGTGTCAGTTGTAACATCTCCTGTTTCATTTCTTAGTGAGGTTATTTGGATTTTCTCTCTTCTTTTATTGGTTAATCTTGCTAATGGTCTATCAATTTTATTTATCTTTTCAAAGAACCAGCTTTTTGTTTCATTTATCTTACGTATTCTGTTTGTTGTTGTTGTTTCAATTTCATTTAGTTCTGGTCTGATCTTGGTCATTTCCTTTCTTCTGCTGGGTTTGGGTTTGGTTTGTTCTTGTTTCTCTAGTTCCTTGTGGTGTGACCTTAGAATGTCAGTTTGTGCTCTTTCAGTCGTTTTGATGTAGGCACTTAGGGCTAGGAACTTTCCTCTTAACACTACCTTTGCTGTATCTCAGAGGTTTTGATAGGTTGTGTCATTATTGTCATTCAGTTCGAAGGTTTTTAAAATTTCCATCTTGATTTTGTTTTTGACCTAATGTTCATTCAGGAGCAGATTATTTAATTTCCATGTATTTGCACGGTTCTGAAGGTTCCTTTTGGAGTTGATTTCCAGGTTTATTCCACTGTGGTCAGAGAGAGTGCTTGATATAATTTCAATTTCCTTAACTTTATTGAGGCTCGTTTTATGGCCTATCATATGATCTATCTTGGAGAAAGTTCCATGTGCTGTTGAATACAATGTATATTCTACAGTTATTGGATGAAATGGTCTGTACATATTTGTTAAGTCTATTTGTTCCAAGGTATGCTTTAAATCCATTGTTTCTTTGTTGACTTTCTGTCTTGATGACCTGTCAGTGGAGTATTGAAGTCCCCCACTATTATTGCGTTGCTGTCTACTTCATTTCTTAGGTCTATTAGTAATTATTTTATAAATTTGGGAGCTCCAGCGTTAGGTGCGTATATGTTTAGAATTGTGATATTTTCCTGTTGGAGAAGGCCTTTTACCGTTATATAATGTACCATCCCTCTTTGTCTCTTTTAACTGCTGTTGCTTTAAAATTTGTTTTTTCTCTTGCTTTTGGTGTCCAATTTGTATGAAATGCCTGTTTCCTCTCCTTTATTTTAGTTTATGTGAGTCCTTATGTGATAGGTGAGTCTCCTGAAGGCAGCTGATGGTTGGTGAGTTCTTAGCCATTCTGTGGTTCTGTATCTTTTTTTTTTTTTTTTTTTGAGACGGAGTCTCACTCTGCCGCCCAGGCTGGAGTGCAGTGGCGCGATTTCCGCTCACTACAAGCTCCACCTCCCAGGTTCACACCATTCTCTTATACTCCCGAGTAGCTGGGAGTACAGTCACCTGCCATCATGCCCGAATAATTTTTTGTATTTTTAGTAGAGATGGGGTTTCACCGTGTTAGCCAGGATGATCTCAATCTCCTGACCTCGTGATCCACCCACCTCAGCCTCCCAAAGTGCTGGGATTACAGGCATGAGCCACCATGCCAGGCCAGTTCTGTATCTTTTAAGTGGAACATTTAGGCCATTTACATTCAATGTTAGTATTGAAACGTGAGGTACCGTTGCATTCATCATGCTTTTCGTTGCCTGTGTACTGTGGTTTTTTGTTTTTGTGTTTTAGCTTTTTAACATATATTTTTGTTTTATAGGTCCTGTGTGATTTATGCTTTAAAGAGGTTCTGTTTTGATGTGTTTCCATGATTTGTTTCAAGATTTAGAGCTCCTTTTAGCAGTTCTTGTAATGGTGGCTTGGTAATGGCAAATTCTCTCAGCATTTGTTTGTCTGAAAACAACTGTATCTTTCCTTCATATATGATGCTTAGTTTTGGGGGCTACAAAATTCTTGGCTGATAATTGTTTTGTTTGCGAAGGCTGAAGATAGGGCCGCAATCCCTTCTAGCTTGTAGGGTTTCTGCTGAGAAATCTGCTGTGAATCTGATAGGTTTTCCTTTATAGGTTACCTGGTGCTTCTGTCTCATAGCTCTTAAGATTCTTTCCTTTGTCTTAACTTTGGATAACCTGATGACGATGTGCCTAGGTGACGATCTTTCTGTGATGAATTTTCCATGTGTTCTTTGTGCTTCTTGTAGTTGGATGTCCAGGTCTCTAAAAAGGCTGGGGAAGTTTTCCTTGATTATTCCCCAGAATATGCTTTCCAAGCTGTTAGAATTCTCTTCTTTCTCAGGAACATCAATTATTCTTAAGTTTGGTAGTTTAACATAATCCCAGACTTCTTGGAGACTTTGTCCATATTTTCTTATTCTTTTTCCTTTGTCTTTGTTGGATTGGATTAATTCAAAGACCTTGTCTTTGAGCTCTGAATTTCTTTCTTCCACTTGTTCAATTCTATTACTGAGACTTTCCAGAGCATTTCACATTTCTAAAAAGTGTGTCCAAAGTTTCCTGAATTTATGTTGTTTTTTTATTTAAGCATCTATTTCCTTGGATATTTCTCCCTTCACTTCTTGTATCATTTTTTGGATTTCCTTGCATTGGGCTTTACCTTTCTCTGGTCCCTCCCTGATTAGCTTAATAACTAACCTCCTGAATTCTTTTTCAGGTAAATCAGGGATTTCTTTTTGGTTTGGATCCATTGCTGGTGAACTCATGTGACTTTCTGGGGGTGTCAAAGAGCCTTGTTTTGTCATATTACCAGGGTTGGTTTTCTGGTTCCTTCTCATTTGGATAGGCTCTGTCAGAGGGAAGGTCTAGGGCAGAAGGCTGTTGTTCAGATTCTTCTGTCCTATGGGGTATTCCCTTAATGTAGTACTCTCCCCCTTTTCCTATGGAAAAGGAAAGTACTCTCCCCCTTTTCCTATGGCTTCCTATGAGCCAAACTGCAGTGATTGTTGTCTCTCTTCTGGATCTAGTCACCCAGCGAGTCTACCAGGCTCCAGGCTGGTGTTGGGGGTTGTCTGCACAGAGTCCTGTGATGTGAACCATCTGTGGGTCTCTCACTGTGTATACCTGGGCCTGTTCCAGTGGAGGTGGCAGTGGGGTGCAATGGACTCCATGAGGGTTCTTAGCTTTGGTGGTTTAATGCTCTATTTTTGTGCTGGTTGGCCTCCTGCCAGGAGGTGGTGCTTTACAGAAAGCATCAGCTGTAGTAATATAGAGAGGGACTGGCAGTGAGCGGGGCCCTAGAACGCCCAAGATTATATGCTCTTTGTCATCTGCTACCAGGGTGTACAGGGAAGGACCATCAGGTGGGGGTGGGGCTAGGCGTGTCTGAACTCAGACTCTTCTTGAGCAGGTCTTGCTGTGGCTGCTGTGGGGGGTAGGGGTGAGATTCCCAGATCACTGGAGTTGGGTACCCAGGATTATGGCTGCCTCTGCTGAGTTGCAGGTTGTCAGGGAAGTGGGGGAAAGTCAGCAGTTACAGGCCTCACCCAGCTCCCATGCAAACCGAAGGAACGGTCTCACTCCTGCCATGCCCATCCCCCTGCCCCCAACAGTCCTGAGTCCACTTCCAGGTGGAGGGCCTGAAGGACTTGAAAACTTTCCCCAGGCTACTCGCCTCCCAGCTGCGAAAGAGAAGGGCTTGGTTCTTCCCCCACCTGTGGTGTCTGCACACCGGATTTGCATCCTCCCACAAGTTCTGGCCGGGAGGCTTCTCGCCCTGTTCAAATTGTTACAAAGTTCAGCTAGAGAAGTCCTTCTCCCTGTAGAATTTTACCTGCTGCTCCTCTGGTCACCCTCCTGATGGATCCTTGTGGTGCCAGGCAGTAACGACCTGCTAGGAGATGCAATGACCTCCCAGGGCCTTTCCGCTGCTTCTTCCACCCCTGTATTTTTCTCGGCTCTCTAAATTGACCTCAGTTCCAGGTAAAGTCAGAAACTTCTGCTGCAAGCAGATCTTCAGCTTATTCCAGTGAGGTTGTGTGTTCGGGAGAGGAGGGTCTCTCTTTTCCACTTCCACAGCTGGGGGACTCACAGTATTTGGGGTGTCTCCTGGGTCCTGCAGGAAGTCCTCTTCCTTCAGAGGGTCTGTAGGTCCTCTCAGAATTGCTGGTTTGTTCTTGCAGTCAATCTGGAGCTCAAATTCACAATGCAAGCCTCCGCAAGCTGCTCTGTCTGGAGCTGCAATCTAGTCCTGTCTCCCATCCGCCACGATCTGTTTTTCTTATTTATATACTTTTAATGTAATTTTTGGGTAAGTGTACAATTTGATGCTTCAATACACATATAGTTGTGTAATGACCAAATGAGAGTACTTAGTGTAATGGTCACCCATGCACTTATTTCTTTGTGGCAAGGACATTAGAAAGCCTCTCTTCTAGCTGTTTTGTAATATACTGTACCTTGCTGTTCAACCCACTGCGCAATAGCACACCAGAAATTATCCCTCCTATGTAATTATAACTTTGTACCTGTTGACCAACCTCTCTCCTCCTTACTTCTCCCCTCCCCTCCCCAGTCTCTGGGGAGCTGGGAAAGTAGATATTGAATAAGGTAGACATGACCTGTCCACCACTGGTGTTTACATTTTAGTGATGGAGAGAGGTGAATAAAGGAAGAAGAAAATACATGATCTGTGTGTAAATTCTCATGAGTCCTATGAAGGAAAGAAACAAAGTGCAGGGACAGTGTATGAGAAAGACGGACCGAGTTTGTAATTTTCCTTGTGCCATCGGCCCAGCTGTGTGGCTCCGTGGTTTCAATTTTCAGCCTGGTTGTGGTGGCTGCCTTCCTGCCTATGTCTCATTATTGTTGAGCTCAGTAATTTGAGGGAGGCTGTCTTCCTCCCAGGCAAATCCCATCAATTGGCAGTCCCTCCTCCTCTGCAAACTGGGAACTCATAGATTCACAGAAACATCTGGAAATCTCTCCTGCAGCTCAAGGGCACATGTATTAGTTTTCTATTGCTGTGTAACAAATTACCACAAGCTTAGTGGCTTAAAACAACCCTCATTTATTAGTTCATAGTTTTATAGTTCAGAAATCTGGCCCAGTGTGACTGGGGCCTGAATACACAGGCTGAATGCAAAGCGTTAGCCAGGATTTCTCTTTCTCCAGAGGCTCTGGGCTACAATCTTATTCTAAGCTCATTTGTTTGTTTGTTTGTTTGTTTGTTTTAG